>NC_000012.12:26459650-27084650 GCF_000001405.40 Homo sapiens
AATTCCTCCTTCTTTCTGTTAAAGTTTGCCATTTCTCAGGATTCAACTCTTGAACTTTTACTCCTCTCATTCCAATTGATTTTCCCAGGAAATCTCATCTACATCTGCAATTTCAAACAGCATCTATATACCAATGTCTCCGTACATCTATGCTCCAAGCCTAGCTCTCCCTTCTGAGAATCAAGGACATAGTATCAACTGCCTGTTGTACACCTCCAACCCAGTGTCCCATCAGTTCCTTAACTACCAACAGTCTAGAACTAAGCTGCTCCTCTTTCCATTTCACCACAAGCCTCCTCTATCTCCAGTCTTTTGAAATGCACCATCATCTGCCAACTAGCCAACTCTATACCTAGAACCATCCAAGACTCTCACTTCATTTTCTCTCAACTTATGGCATTCCCAGACATTCAATCAGCTACAGATGAAGTGGTTCTTGGACTTAGGAAAGGGCAGTGGTGATGGATTCTCCCTGCCCCTGGGATACAGGCCAAAACCCTTAGCAAGATCTGCATGTCCTCCTGATCCGACCCTGCCTCCATCCTGTGTCTCACCTCTGGTCCTCTGTCTTATGGCACCCTAGCTATTCTGGCCATTTCTTATTGTTTGGTCATTAGGGACTTTGCATATAAAGCAGTAAGAGACTCCAGATTCTCACATGGCCTTACGGGGACAAGAAGTGCACGCCCATGGAGGAGAGTGTTGTGGTTTTTATTCGTTTGTTTTGGTGCAAGCTATTTTTCAACATATATTTTCATGTGTATAAGTGGCAGAGGTTAATGTCTTTAATTTCTGAGAAGCGGAGTTAACAGAAACGAAATTAGTAACAATCAGCTTAGGTTGGTACCAGGAAAGTGGAAAGCACAAAAAAAGGAAGGGAAGGAAATGAGAAGAGGCTGTCTCTGGATCAGATGATCAGCCTATCAGACAAATAGGGAAGGAAGCTGAGAAGGTGAAAAGTCTGGAGCAGCTTTTTTTGAAACTGTGGTCTGCAGACAACTTGAATAAAAATATCCAGGATATACGGTAAAAAGCAATTGCAGGCCCTACTCCAGATATTCTCAGAGTCTCTGGGGTCGGGGTCCCGGAATTTGATGCACTACAACTTGAGAACCACTGCTTTAGAGCTCAACTCTAATACACAGTGTTTCCCAAGTTGTGTATCAGAAGGAAGCAGAAGACTACCTTTGCCCCCAGCTAGGGTTCTTTGTTTGCCCTCCGACCTGGATGCCTAGATCTGTCTCATTTCAATGACTTCTGCCTCCATTTCCCCCACTTCTCCCTCTATTCTACTCGATTCATCCACACACCTGGTTCATACTTGATTCATTCCTATCCTGAATCCACTGAATGAACATGTGCCTGCTCTGTCAATTGGTTAGTCAATTCTAATTTATGAGCAGGCTTCCACTGTCCATAGAATGCTTAAATCACAGAACCACAGCAATCGGAGAAAGAACCTCTGGAGTGTTCTTTTTTATGCAGTCAGAACCTCTACATGTATGTCACTCTGTCTATGGGTATGTGTGTATGTGTGTGTTAGTTACACTCACATACAAAGTGAATTAAACACTATAAATATAAGCATGAAAAATATTTAAAAATAAATGACTCAGTTTTCACAAGGATATTTCAGATATGGGACACAGGCAACTTCTCAACTGTGAAGATTATAAAAATAATCTACAGAAGGGTTTGGCCAACTACATACAGCTCCTAGGTCAAATTCAGCATGCCACCTGTTTTTTAAAATAAAGATTTATTTGAACACAGCCAGACTTATTTGTTTACATATTGTCTATGGCTGTTTTTTCTCTAGAATGGCAGAGTTGAGTATCTGCAACAGAGACAGTATAACCTGAAAAGCCTAAAATATTTACTATGTAGTACTTTGCAAATCTCTGGTATAGTAACAGAAACCTGCAAATCATTTTCAGGTCTCACAAAGCTGACAATAAGAAAAAGAAAAGCATATAAATATATATATATATATATATATATATATATATATATATATATATGCACACATACATATATATATACACACACACACACACACACACACACATACATATAAAGTTACATATATGTGTATAGGGATACATTTCTAGAAGTTTTCTGAGACCAGCTGATTTCACATCTCTAAAATTGATCACATTTAGTCAATAATATAAATCCTGACAAGGGACTTTTCAGAATTTTCCCCTACCATATAATTTCAAATAATCACTTGGTTGTGACAGAAGGGGACTTTTTTTTTGGTCTGGCTAAGGGTAACTATTTCCCTTTCCGAAGCCTGACTTTTTTTTTTTTTTTTAGATCAACTATTTTGTCTTTCAGCATTAGTTTGTCACAATGGTCTGCCACTTTTCTGTGCCTCTGTAAGTAATTCTGAAACTCAAAATGCACCAACAGCCATAAAACAGAAAAGCTGAGCAATCTCATCACATAATAATGAGACTCACATACCTACATGATTCCATGGGCTACTACACAAGGAAAACTTTTGTTTTGTTTTGTTTTGTTTTGTTTTTGAGACAAAGTATTCCTCTGCTGCCCAGACTGGAGTGCAGTGGTGCCATCTCGGCTCACTGCAACCTCCGCCTCTCAGGTTCAAGTGATTCTCGTGCCTCAGCTTCCTGAGTAGCTGGGACTACAGGCAAGTGCCACCACACCAAACTAATTTTTGTATTTTTATTAGGTTGGTGCAAAAGTGATTGCGGTTTTTGCCACTGGTAAAAATAGTAGAGATGTTGTTTCATCATGTTGGCCAGGCTGGTCTGGAACTCCTGACCTCAAGTGATCTGCCCACCTCAGCCTCCCAAAGTGTTGGGATTATAGGCGTGAGCCACTGTGCCTGGCGGGAAAAACTATTTTCATACATCACTTTGATATTATAGTACTGGATCTATTGACTAAATGAGAATTAGTTGGCTCTCTCTGTCCTGACATTCTGTCCTAGCTCATACTTCCTCAACATGCCTTCAGGATAAAATGTCAGCTATATAGTTAAGCTTTCTTTCTTTTTTTTTTTTTTTTGAGACAGAGTTTTGCTCTGTCGCCCAGGCTGGAGTGCAATGGCGCCATCCCAGCTCACGGCAACCTCCGCCTCCCGGGTTCAAGCAATTCTCCTGCCTTAGCCTCCTGAGTAGCTGGGATTACAGGTGCCTGCCACCATGCCTGGCTAATTTTTGTATATTTAGTAGAGATGGGGTTTCACCATGTTGGCCAGGCTGGTCTCAAACTCCTGACCTCAAATGATCTACCTGCCTCAGCCTCTCAAAGTGCTGGGATTACAGGTGTAAGCCACGGTGCCTGAGCTATAGTTAAGCTTTCTTCGTTTATGTCTGAGCAGGAAAAATAAGTTAATCAATAAATATTATATGCAGATACATGCAAGTACACACATAAACCCATATATACAGAATATTACTTAGTGATCTGACCTAAGTATTTTTATATTGGCTTATGTGTTTACTAATTACATTTTCTCATGGGTTCACTTATAATTGATTTATCTGTAAATACTTGCCTAATAATGTCAGGTTATAAATGAGTAACAGTACAATCATTAAATAATCATTTTAAGACTTATAACATTGCTTTGGGGTTAGTGGATATTTTCTAAAGCAGACTTCTGTGCTATTTGTCTCTGCATTATTCTGTTCAGCATTTTACAGAATCATTACAGTCTCATTCATTTTATGGCAACAGAGGTAAGAACTGAGTACTCTGGCCGGGCTCGGTGGCTCACGCCTGTAATCCCAGCACTTTGGGAGGCTGAGGTGGGCGGATTATCTGAGGTCAAGAGTTTGAGACCAGCCTGACAAACATGGAGAAACCCGTCTCTACTAAAAACACAAAATTAGCCGGTCGTGGTGGCATGCACCTGCAATCCCAGCTACTCGGGAGGCTGAGGCAGGAGAATTGCTTGAACCAGGGAGGCAGAGATTGCACTGAGCTGAGATCGCACCACTGCACTCCAGCCTGGGCAACAAGGGCGAAACTCCATCTCAAAAAACAAAACACAAAAAACAAACAAACAAACAAAAAAAAAACAAATTAAGTACTCTAAGGAACAGTTTAGCAGAAATGTATACTATATCACATTTCAATAAATATTTATACGTAATTAGTCTTTGGTACTTAAAGTCCTTCAGAATTCAATAGGTTGTGTCCCTCCCTAACTACCTCCCACAGTTGCAACACAGGGCTTTCTCTCTTCTTGATGTAAGGTCCCAGAGAAGCTGCTCTCACACACGCACAGCACGCTAAATATTGCCCCCATCTCTGTGCATATTTTCCCTATGATGAAAATGCTTTTCTCGGTTTATCTAAATCTTATCAATCCATAAGATTCATCTAAAATGCAAGCCCCACCACAAAGCCTTATACAGTAACTCCAGCTAATATTAACCTATTTCACCTATTTCCTTTCTAGCCATCTGTAGCAGCAGTCCCCAACCTTTTTGGCACCAGGGATCAGTTTTGTGGAAAGCAATTTTTCCATGGACTGGGGCGTGGGGGGGAATGGTTTTGGGATGAATCAACCACATTATATTTATTGCGCACATTATTTCTACTATTATTACGTACTCACCATAATATAGAATCAGTGGGAGCCCTGAGCTTGTTTTACTGCAACTAGGCGGTCCCATCTGGGGGTGAACAGGAGACAGTAACAGATCATCATGCATTAGATTCTCATAAGGAGGACGTTACCTAGATCCCTCACAAATACAGTTCACGACAAGGTTCACACTCTTATGAGAATCTAATAGCGCCACTGATCTAAGAGGAGGCAGAGCTCAGGTGGTCATGCTTGCTTGCCTGCCACTCACCTCCTGCTGTGTGGCCCCGTTCCTAACAGGCCACAGACTGGTACCTGTCTGGAGCCCGGGGGTTGGGGACCCCTGATCTACAGCACTTGTTGACTATCACAGCCACTCATTTACTTACTCTCTCACTCAATGAATCAAAACAATTTACTATATCAAACACAGCACTATGCACTGGGTGACATTCATGAGTAAAACCTAACTCCTGCCTTTATGAAGTTTGGAGTCTGGTGGAGGAGACAAGTCAACACAGGCCATGTGAATTTGGTGATATATGTTCTATGATCACAGCAGGCGTGGTGTGCCATGGGCACACACAGGAGGGACATCCACCCAGGCTTGGGCTACAGGAATGCTAAGGAGCTGAGGCTATGGAGTCTGAGTGTCTGGGGTATCTGAGTTGTACACAGGGTGGGAGGACCAAGAGTTCTATTATGGATAATGTTAAGTGTGAGATGCCTAAAAAGACATTCAAATGCAGATCCTGAGCAAGCAGTTGGAGGAACAAGCCTGGTGTGCAGAAGACAGGCCCACGCTGAAGATGTGCATTTGGAATTTATCATGGTACAGCTGGTGTTTAAAGTCATGTGACTAAGTGACATTCAGGGAGTGAGCGTCGATTAAGAAGACCAGAGATCCATGGAATGGTTCTGACTAGAAGACCTCTAACAGAAGCCAGAGAAAGAAATAGGAGCCAGTGAAGCAGAACGAAAGATCAGGAGATTGCGCTGGGCAAAAACTAAGTGAAGAAATATTTCACAGAAAGGAGAGTGGCCAATTGTGTCAAATGTTAGTGACAGGACAAAAGATGCGGAATGGGGGCAACCTTTAGATTGGTCAAAGAGGCAGTGACTGGTGGCCTCACCAAGAGTGGTTTAGGTGGAACGGTGAAAATGAAAGCCTGGCAGAAATGGGTTAGAGAGAGAATAGAAAGAGAGGAATTGGAGATAGCAATTATATACAATCTTTTGAGCACTTTTGCTATAAAAGACAGCAAGTTATGAGCCAGTGGGCTAGAGGTTTTTTTAAAGAAGCAGATTTGCATGCACGAATGCTGAGCAAATGATCAAACGAGGGAGAACAGAGGGAAAGTGGTATCTCTCTGTTCCTCTTGCTCCCTCTGGCGCCCTCTCTCTCTCTCTTGCTCTGCCATACTCACTTTCCTAAGCACACTCCTAACCTAAGATCCCAGAGCACCTCAGATACGCATTTTTCCTAGGACTTGATGCAATGTGGTTGTTTTTGTGTCTCCCTCCTGTAATAAAGGTATACTCCATGGGGGTAGAGATGATGCCTCCTTTCCGTATCCCGTGCATTCCCTACCCACCCCACAACTGCATCTATAAAGCACATGCCCCAAAAGGAATCATGTGGTCTCAAGGAGGGAGACATTCCTGCTAGCATGTAAGCTCACAGAGGAAAGGGATTTGGGTGTGTCTGCTCACTACTTTATCCCCAGCACTGAGAGCAGCAGGATTTTCACATACCTGGGCAAGTAGGATAAGTCTATTTTCTGTGATTTAATATGATAATCTCTTCATGTTTACAAAAGTTTTTTTTCAACTAAGTTCACATATTAGAAAGGTCCTACATTATCAAAGTCTGTCTATAAGGTGAATATAATATCTATTTTCATAATGGCTGTTGAATTAAACACACTTCAACATTAATTACATTCACTCCTGCTAACAAATCAGAAGTGTTGATCATTGTCCCTGAGGACCAAAAAACAGCTATGTGCATTATTTCATCTGTTGCGTTCTGCAGAATGGTTCTGTCCACTGTGTTGTACTATATCCTTGCATAAACTCCTTCCTGAATTAAATGCCAGTAAAAAGTTGGTCATTAATGAATACTATAGGTATCAATTATACTCTTGGTTACCAAGAAGCTCAGAGCTACCACTGATAAACTGTAAGAATGTTAGCCAAGGCCTCGGGTATACTTAGATCCTCTTTCCTTCTCATGGCTTTTGATCTTGTATTCTAACAAGCTAATTATACACATGCATTTCTCATTCAACCTCAAATTCTGTTTATAATGATGATATATAAATAAATACATAAATATCTAGTAGCTGATTAGTTATTGTTACATTATTTAAAACATAATTGAATCCAGTAAAAGAGCTATCACAGTCCAACTACTTTCTGGAGTTCATAAGTCTCTGAAAGTTTACTTTGCAAATGCAGCTCACTGACAGCCATCACATTTTTATAGATGAGAAGGTTGAAGCCAGAGAAGTTAAGTGATGTAAATAGCTCACAGAGAAAACACAGGGTGCAGGGGTGGAATAATAGCTAAACTGTTTGCATAATATTCTTGGTACAACATTCTAGCCAACATATTACTGAGCTACAAGTGCCTCTGTGAGTTGAAAAACCCAGCTGTGTTTTCTACGTTCTGCACTACAAGCAATAATAAAGATGAGGTAATTGTACGTTACTTAAAACCCTTCAAAGATATTAGAGATGGAAGTTATGTATCCAATTACAAACCATCCTTCTGCATCTACAAATAAAGTAAATGAAGCAATGCTGATTACTACATATTAGCATAAGAAAATGGAAGCTGCAAAGAGGTGAAGAGCATAAATCTCTAAGGAAAACACTGTAAGTAGTCTGAGTGATAGATACATTTCATATGGTTTCAGTATAAATTAAACTTTAGCTATTTGGAGTAATTTACATGCATATCCCTTAAAATGAATATAGCTCAAGCAATTGTAGTTAGTTATTAGAAACAGAATTTTTAAAGAAAAAAGTGGATTAATGAAGACTATCAGGAAATCCAAAAAATTTCTTTAGCATGACATAAAAAATCCCTGTCCTTAAAATGCCATGGCTGTTCCTGCCATTCTCTTTCTCTATCTCTCTCTCTCTCTCTTTCTCTTTCTCTCTCTCTCCTGAAAGTTAAGAAAGAGTTATTGACTTTGATTAGGGATAAGCTAAAAATTCAAGGGTCTGAAATATACTAGGAAGTGCTATGCATTTTCCTTTTCCTGGAAAAACTAATCATAAAAGCCTTGCCTGATATCTCCAGCTATCCTATTAGACTTTGAATTCAGTGGATAGTAAAAGCAGGCAGAAGGAGGAGTCAAAGACACAGCAATGGCATTTTACATTGCTAGAATTCAGACTGATGCTCTAATAATTATGTCACTCAGAAATAAATACGTAACTAACAAACATGGGATGTTAAGCAAACAAATAATTGCTTCCACTTCATGATCTTTATATCAAACTAATAATTAGTGAGTCCCATTTCAATCCATTTCCTAGATTGCATTTTTTATTGTACCCATTAACCATCAATTTGAGAGGTCATTTAAATGGCCATAACCCAAAGATTCTTAGTTGCTCAGTGAAAGACACGTAAGTGCCTATTAGAGGATTTAAATCTATTCTATAATACCCAGGCATTTTTTTCCCATTATACTTTTTCTTTGTGGAAAGTTTCTTTTGTAAAAATAAGGCCTCCTGGGTGCCCAGATTTTGTAGATCCACTACTAATTTAGTAGCCAGGTCCGACATACATGACACAAAGAACAATTCCAGGATGATATATAGCACAACCTAGTGTAAAAGTAAGTATGTGGTTCTAGTTGGACATAACAAATGTAAGAATTCAAAACAAAGAATAGTTGCTGGCTGTATTTTATCTAGGAAATGTGTTAGGTAGCTCTCAGTTTGGATCTTAAGGGTATGAAGGTAACACTAAGATGAATTGTAACAACAGAAGGAGATATTCTATTAGTAAAAGAGAGAGATGGTATCATGAACAAAAATAAGAAAAGTGCCTAGCAAGAAAGAAGATATTATAGGGCCTGTTGATACAGAGTTTACTAACAATATTGGCAAAGAGTAATGTATAAAATTAAAAAGAAAGTTAAGAGCAGTTGAATAAGATTATGGACTGCCAGAATGCTATTATAAGCATTGTAGGAGTCTATTAATCTTACATAGTGGATGTATTATCTAGAAATATTATCAGCATGCATGCATTTTTGCCAGAAGTTATTCCTTCAAACTCTTCTAGAGTGCCTGCTATATTCTAGGCACTGAACAAATATAGAAACAGAAAAAAAAAAAAAAGATAATTGCATCTGTACACAAGAAACGTAAGCTCCAGTGGCAGAAATTATCATTAACTTTTATCATGGTAATGATAGTAACAGAAAAATATCTTTATTCAGTTTTTTAAATTATAATACTTAAACTATAAATTATCAAAGCTTTAGAATATATCATGTCCTAGTCAGTCATTCATTCATCCCTCAATTATTCACTCATTTGTGCAACATTTGTTAAGTGCCTACAGAGTCATTACAGTTATCAAAGATGTTTACACAATTCAAATTATTGTAGTTTATTTCATATAAAAACATATGTAGATACCATACAAGATCCCTACCAATATGACCAAAAGAAGTTTCTCTCCTTAAAATATTTTTGGCTCCTCTCCCTAAAATATTTTTGGCTCTTTGCAGAAGTTGTTCTGCTTGCCTGGACTGTCTTCCTCTATCCCTCTCTTTCAAGATTTAGTTCAAATGTCACCTCTTCCAAGAAGCTCTCTTGACTCCTAGGGGAAGTAGATCTTGTACATAACCTCCATGTTAAGACAAACACATTCAATTATAATGATTTATCTCTCTCGCTCTTCCTTTTATATACACTTCATTGTGAGCTTCTTGATTGCATTTTTAGTCATCTTTCCATCTTAGAAACTAGCACAATGCCTGACATAAGAGGTGTTCAATAAATGTTGTTGAAAGACTATCTTATAATAAATAAGCCTGAGGTGAACTGTAGGTGATTAGTGTAATAGTCAAGTACTAATAGCTGGCTGGGGGTAGGTTCAAGCTACCCAGGCCTTCTTTTGTTCCTTTAAATATGCCAAGTTCATTGCCACTTTCAAGCCACTGGGATGTTCCCCTGCAAACCCCCCACCCCCATGGTATCCTGCTGGCTTTTGATTTTTGACTTAGATCTAGTCTAAATTGCTCCCCAGAAAACCCTCCAGATCAACCAATCTCTAATAGCCTCTAGTAACTGTCTTTCACCAGGATCTATTCTTATTCACTGCGTAGCTTATATCACCATCTGGTATCTTTCTGGTTCATTGTCTACTCTTCATTGCTCCCAGCCAGAATGCAAATTCCCTGAGAGCTGATCTGTTGCGGATCTTCTTTACCACTGCATTCCTAGTATCTGGCACAGCGCTTGGCATCTAGTAAGCACTCAATGCATCTGTGAAACTCAATGAAAGAAAGAACAAGAAATGTAAATCCTTTCCTCCACAGTGGTAAACTGATGGATCGAGGGCTGCATTCAGCTTGCTGCTGAGTTTTCTTTGGCCTGTTCAGTGTTTGTAAAAATCTTGAATGATCTGCCAACTTTTAAAAGTTAGGAGATTCCACATTTTCACAAAATTTCAAAATATAGGCTTCTTTTGAAATATTGGAAGAAGTGGAAATCCAGGGCCTGCAAGCCCAACTGGCAAGTCAGCGGAAGTGAGTAATGGCTCCCTGCTTTGGAAGAGGAACGTCAGACTGTCCCAACCTCACCAGCCCCTAGATCACTCATTCACATACCCCATCTGGCCTTGAAGATGGCTAGATTTTGGCCCTAATCTCTTCTACTAAAACTTTCTCTGTGACCCATGCTCTACAGCACCCTCCTATAATTCCTGCAAATCCTGCCCTCATGGATTGCTGTTACACTAAATTTTGGAATATGTCTTTACAGATGAAGCATCAGAACTTTTCTTCTTATTATTTTTGCATTATGACATGGAAAGATTATATAATTAGATACAAAAACTGAATTCATTACACACCAGAAGAAAATCTAGGTGAGTGTTTAAATGATCTCGAGGTGCTGAAAGAAAATTATTCTGAAAACATAAAAGCCAGTAAATCAGTAAGAAATAAATATAACTAATATGACTGACAAAGAGTTATTATCCCTAATTAAACTTCATTAAAATGAACCTTATAAAATAAGAGATAAATACTTTCTAGTAATTCACAGAAGAAATACAAATGACCAAAGAACATATTAAAAGATAGTCCATTTTACCAGTAATCCAAAAGATATAAATCAAAATGTGATTCTCCTTTCATCTATCATATGTTAATTCACTCAGCAAACATTGTTGTTCCAAATACTATCAGTTTGGCCAATATTTTTTTAAATGGTCATAATTTTAGGATTCAGTAAGACAAGCACCATCATAAACTGTGGAAAACAATTTTACAATATGCATCAGGAACCATAAAATAGTTACTACCCTGTGACCCAGTAATTAAACTTCTTGGAATTTATCCTAGAGAAATAATCAGTGTGGCAGACAAAGATTAATGTATGAGGATGTTAATCATAGCGTAATTTATAATATCAAGTACATTAGAAACCTAAATGTCTAACAATAAGGAGTGATTACATGAATCATGGTACATTCAAATGAAGAACAATTATGTAGACATTAAAATTATGTTTTCAAAGACCATTTAGTGATATGGGAAAAGCTCATGAAAAATTTTCAAGCCTGCATTTTGAAAAGAATTAAATATAACCAATCAGAGTGACCCATTCTCTCTTGCCTTATGATCCAGGAGTTATTTTTGCTTCCTACAGCTTGCTATCTAATACTTCTCCCCAACCTGAAAAGCATATAACATTTCTCCATATGCTTCTTACTTCAGGTAGGCATTAAATGCAGGGTCTCAGACAGAGGAACAGAAATTGCTTCAGGAGAGAATGAAACAACATGGTTTAATATATATTGGACATGGTTTAATATATATTGGACATACACAAAGTACTGAACAGTGCTCTGGACTGTGTATAGTGACTGTCTCTACAGAAAGCAAGAAAAGAATATAAAAGACCAAGAGCAAAGCAGAGAGATGGGGCAGAGAGACATAAGGTAAACACGCAGAAGATAGAAAGTCAAAAAGTGCACATAGTTGGATTTTAAGGAAATTCTCTGCACAACACTATAGTATTAGAAGTTAAGAAATTCCCTTTTTGAGGTACTTATAGTTTTATGTAGATCAGACAAGACACTTACAAGAAGCATTATTTGTTTCTTGTAACACCAACCACAGGAAAGGCCAAAAGAGATGTCATGGCAGAAAAAGCAGAACTACCTTACTACCATGAAAAGAACAACAACAAAAATTGAAAGTCTGAGAGCACCAGAATAAACTGTCTGCACAAAAGATGATTATAGTAAAACAAAGAGGAAGTTGCATCTTGGTTTTGGAATTACTAAACTGTACAAAGCCAGAAACCAATTTGCACAGTCATTTGCCTGCAGGAGCCCAGTGACTGCATATCCACAATGAAAACAGTGGAAACTGGACTCTACCAAATTCCTATAGCACAGCCACATGGCCACTTCTGAAGCAGTGCTTACAAGCAACCACTCCTTGTGAGTTTGTGGAGGACAATAGATTCATGAGGAACTTGGAAACAATCTTAGGGATTGGCCTGCTAAGAAACCAAATATGACATCCTAGCCTAGAGAAAGCCAAGGAGTCACCTGCAGAAAGATCAGCAGAGCACAATGGTCTCTCTTCTGTGAGTGAAAGCTCATAATTTTTCATGAAAAACTGGTGACGGGGTTACCCCATAAAGAATACATTTATATGGTGGCAAGGAAATGACTCCTTGTGTCACTATAATAGAATAAGCGGACAATTGCTTAACTCTACACTGTCAGTTACATACAACTGGCCTACTTTTCTTCCATACCTATGCCCTCTTTGGGTTCTAAGAGGGACTCATGAGGACTCTTATTTAATATTTAATCTCTTACAGTGTAATCATGAGGCTTAAAGTATTCAGCAATTCAGAATCTCCTTTTCTCTTTACTTTCTTTTGTTTTGATGTTTGTTCTCTCTCTTCTCGAGTCTGCCTTTGTTTCTCTACTTCTATATTGGACCTTCGTTGCTCTACAAATCATTGCTTTTCCAACATTTTGCTTCTGGGAAGTTTAAAAAAAAAAACAACTTCGATATATCCACCCCAATCATTTTCACATCATTGATATCATTGATTTATCTTCCTTTCAACAAGTTGTTTTAACGCCTTGTAACATTTTTTTTACTACTTCTAAATTTCCACTTTTTGGGCAATTCCACCATCATCTTTGCATATGTCTATTCTCCTCTTCAAGCGCTGTAATAAACTCAAATTCATTAAAATAATTGGCCTTTATGCCATCTTCATTTTGAATTTATTTCATATATAGGTTGCTTTATGTTTTCTATCATCTTTCCATCTCTGAGCACTGCTTGCATTCTTTACCCTCTTTGTCCATTCTTCTCAACATGTATCATCGTCTTTTTAAAAATTTGTATTCTGTACTCTGTTTTTTTTTGTTTTTTGTTTGTTTGTTTGTTCGTTTTGAGACAGAGTCTTGCTCTATCGCCCAGGATGGAGTGCAGTGGAGTGATCTAGGCTCACTGCAACCTCCACCTTCCAGGTTCAAGTGATTCTCGTGCCTCAGCCTCCTAAGCAGCTTGGATTACAGTCATGCACCACCACACCCAACTAATTTTTGTATTTTTAGTACAGATGAGGTTTCACCATGTTAGCCAGGCTGCTCTTGAACTCCTGACTTCAAGTGATCCACCCACCTCAGCCTCCCAAAGTCTTGGGATTACAGGCGTGAGCCATTGCACCTGGCCTGTATCCTCTACTTTTATGCTTAGTCTGCTTCAAACTGAAGTTACCTAACATAAGTCTTTTCTTTACCTTGATATTTTCACTGTTACCCCTAAGACACTGGTCATCTGAGACTGCTTTATTAAATTTCTTAATGGATGTCAGGTGGTTCATTCATTGTCTGCTGGCCAATCTGTCACTCTGCTGGCTCCAGGGCAAGCTTAGCTCATCTGGTTGTTCATTCCCCACTCAACAGCTACACAGTCAGGTTTTACTCATGCAGCTGCTCACTCGTGCAAGAAGACAACCTCCCCCATACAAAGCAAGACTATCTTGCAGTCAAGAAAACAGAAGTGGTTCTACTTCCCTACTTTCTTCTTCTGAAACTTATTACTGCTCATTTTGACCTTGCCTTTTTGACCTTGCTTGTCTTCCTTGCCTTCTTCCCTCCACAGTGCTACAGCCTCTAAAGTAACTCCTTGACCCTGTACACATATGGGTCAGCATGTTTCTGTGTTCATTCTAGTAGCCAATATGATTTTAATTCTCAGCCTGGGATTTTTTCCTTTCTACTCACATTCAATCTCTAGCCATTCCTTTGCTAGCTTGACTCACTTTGTGTCACATGGCTTCTCTTTCTCTCTAAAACGACACCTTTTCCACATCCTAAATCTCCACTTTCTGCTTCCTTCCACTTGTCCATCATCCTGGCTTTCAGTTGCTCAGCAGCTAAAATGCTCATCTGTCTAGCTATAAGTCATCTGCCCTTACCTCTTTCTGTTCTACATAGGTATTTTGATACATTATGAGAGACCTTAAAATATTTTCAATGAGCCAGATATATTATAAAACAATAGTGGTGTCTTTTGTTAGTATCTTTTAGAATCTGACTCCTTCCTGGAAGGTTTTGGAAAAATTATAGTCAAGTTCACATATATTAGACAGTTATACAAAGGGTAGAAAAGGGCATAAGAAATGTCTAAAGAGCAACCTTAAAAATAAATCTTCCGAGAATCTGACTTTATATCTATCAATGTTTATTCAATCAACTGATAAAACGTACAGGGAAACAGAAGGGAATGATTGCCAATGGGAGAAAATGATGAGAAAGAAAGATAGAGCAAGTCTCTAAAGTTTGAACTTCATTTTGTAAAAACAAAGGAGCTATCATAGACAAAATCAAATTGGCAAATGCACATTTAAAATGTTTAACTTCTAAACAAATTTGCATTCAAAGATGCCAATTTAAAGTTGATCTTCATGTTAATTGTATTAAATTTATGAATAGTACTCATCAGGCACCTGTTTAAGTTATAAAATGGAAACAGTTCCTTCAAAAGAATTTAAAGGCCGGGCGCGGTGGCTCACGCCTGTAATCCCAGCACTTTGGGAGGCCGAGGCGGGCGGATCACGAGGTCAGGAGATCGAGACCATCCCGGCTAAAGCGGTGAAACCCCGTCTCTACTAAAAATACAAAAAAATTAGCCGGGCGTAGTGGCGGGCGCCTGTAGTCCCAGCTACTTGGGAGGCTGAGGCAGGAGAATGGCGTGAACCCGGGAGGCGGAGCTTGCAGTGAGCCGAGATCCCGCCACTGCACTCCAGCCTGGGCGACAGAGCGAGACTCCGTCTCAAAAAAAAAAAAAAAAAAAAAAGAATTTAAAGTTTAGCCTCACACTTCCAATCAGAGGCTGCCAGTTTATGGCTTCTACAGAAAGCATGTCAACCTACAATTCAAGGAGGCCAGAAACTACCTGCCGAATTTGTCCTGATTAGGACTGAATGCACCCCCTCACTTCACACTCTGTCTCCCCAGTAGCCTCTCTTCCCCTCTCCTTCAGGACCCTCATTTTTTGCCATGGTTTATCCATGGCTCAGGCTGACATGGGAATGTCTCCTCCCTTCTGGTCCAGTAGTTTTGGGTACCAAGCACTCTTTTCCTGAAGACTGTCCCTTAGCATACCTTGGGGTGCATAGTCAGGCATTCTGGGAGGCTGTTCCTCTCTTTAGCCCAAACCTAGGATGGTAAGTGCTGAATAAATGAAGGGACCAGAACTTGAAAATATGACAAGCCATGGATACAAAACACGATTGATAGGATGAGCAAAATAATGTAAAGATATAAAATGTGACACCTGATGGGCCAGAATATAGATATTGTGTCCAACATCTTTTGGAGAAACACCATCATCTCCACCCTCATCATCCCCATGGTCACATTCCAATCCTTGGTTATAGGCATTCTTCATCACATCCACCTATCCAAAAAAAAAAAGAATATTGAAATGCCAGAAACAACATCTGCTTTATATTTTTATGAGATTTAATTAAAAATTGGGCAGCTTCATAAGCCTCAAAAGTATAAAAGGACTCTAAATGAAAATGGCCTTGGAAACCATCCTTATTTCAATGAACATGGAAGTATCTTCCTACAATATTCCCCTTTTCCTTGGAAATTTTTGTTTGATATTTGAATGTTGATAGTGCCGAAGTTCCCATGAATTAGGAGAATCGAGAACCCCAATAAACATCCATTATTTACTAAGTGCCCACTAAGTAACAGGCAGACATGGTGCTAGAAATTGCCCTGGGAAGTGAGGACCCCAACAGTGGATGGGAGAGAGTACCCTCATGGAACTTACTCTCCAGTGGGAGAGTCAGCAAGCAAGGAGGCAAACACAGTGCGGTGCCATCGGTCCTAATCCAGGGCTATGTATGTTTCTGAGGAAGCGCAGAGCAGGGGCATATACTCAAGCAAGAGGTGGAGGGTGGGCCACAAGGAGGAAGGGGATGACAGAATAAAGGTGTTGTTCACAGAGGAACTAGTATTTTCAAAGGGCTATTGCACAGTGCCATTGTTGAATAAATATATGATTCACTGCCACATTTAACCATAGGATAGGAAATGTGTTGGTCCTTGTAACTCACTGTTTGCAGATAGACATTATGCTCTCATTAAATATATATTAAATCAAACTTCACTTTGTCTCTCTTTTTGTCTGCCCTCCTCAACTCCATTCTTTACTAATAAAGTGAGAGCAAAAGAATGTTGTGCCAGACTTTCGTAGGAGTTGCCCATAGCACCAACAATGGCCCTGATGTGAGTGGGGCTTAATCATCAGGGCACTGAGCTATATTATGTGAGTACATTCTCAATGCTTTTGGAACCCAATGCTTTTAAAATACACCTGCATTATTTCATAATGTGCATGCCACGAGTGAGAAAGAAAAGATAACTTCTACAATAGGAAGACACACTAATGATCTCTGTGGAATCTCTACTAGAGTATGCACAGTTTCCTTGAGGCCAAGCATTGTACAACATATCACTGAGAAGAACAGCTACAAAAAATATTAATTTTATTTTTATTTTTCAGAAAGAAGTATAAATAAAATTTTTGAAGAGTACAAACATTTTTTTTACATCCCTTCCTCATATGCTCCAATACACCATTAAACCAAAGCCAACTTTTTTCTGGCAATACACATTTGCATATAGTTTAGTATAGTGTGATAAGTTGGCTAAGAAAAGTGCTTAGAGTGGATAAAACTACTGAAGTCATAAGGCCCAAATCACACAGGCCTTTGTCACCACAGGGCCTTCTGAGGTATTGGTAATGGTAGGTCATGATGTTCCATTTGTCTTGGTAGAGCAATGAAAATCAATCAACTTTTTTTTCTGACATGCATTCTCTAAATTTTTTCCTTTTAGGCTACCCAATATTGACCAAGCTTTTAAAAGTTTTCTTACCAGTTCTCTGGGTCTCATGTTAAAAAGAATTCTTTCTGCATTCTCACTGTCATGTCTGCTTTCCATAATGGCCAGCAAAAGTTTAGATGCATTGTTCTAGAGACACAGATTGAGTTAATGTGCATGCAAAGTCTATTTCATGGATTAACGATTTCTCTGCATTTGTTTTAATTGAGATTACTAGGACCTTTTTTAATCAAACGGAATTTAAAACTGCTAATTTCATTTGTCTTGTTAACATTCTAAAATAGAACATCTTACTCCATTGTCAACACAAAATATAACTAATGAATCATGAGAGCTATGTTACAAGAGATATTTTAAATATTGGTGAAAAGGTACTTCAAATGCAAAAGTGACTTACTATATACCACACTAAAATATAATCATATTTTCCCTCACTGTTTCCTAAATAGGCATTTCATAATGATGTTTTAATAAAAAAAAAGGTGAACAGGTATCAGTAACATATTTTACAGAAATGGTATACAATTTAAAGAATTTAGCACAATTGTTAAAATGAAATATTAATATATATTAGCAAATCGAAACCTAAAATAAATTTAAGCAATAATTAGAATTAATCTATAAAATTACAAATTCCATGTGTTAGAAATATAATATAAACTTATTGATAACGGCTTCCTAGTCTCACTATATGGCAGGCGATATGCAACTTTGTTTACCTTTGGGTTGTGAAAGAATATCTTCTATTTTTGCTTAACAAAGAATGAAAATAGCTTATGTTGTCTTTGAAGTGTTCTAATTTGTTTTATAAGTATATTATCTCAACCATTTCTACATACAGATATCAAAAATATTTCTGATACAATTTATAATCCAAAATAGATACTCAGAGTTACAGAAAATCTTAGCCAAGAAAGCACAATATCCTAAACATTTTGAAAGATGTTACTTCATGCTGTGTTTTTAACAGTGCTGGCATAGAATTTTGGCAAATTGCAATATGAAATTAAATATCCAGGATTTATTTCTACAGTGTGCTCATAATATTCATTTAGATAAAAATCTTAACCTCCACACACAATCTTTGATAGAAGTACAAAAGAATTGGAGTTAACATGGCTTTAAGATGCTTCTAAGTGACTCAAAGTTAACATATCATAGAATGAAAATTAAACTGAATTGTGTTTGGTCTAAACAAATAATGACCATGCAAATTTTGTTAAGGTTGTGCAAATTAATTCTCCTGGGTAGTTTTAACATCAAATTCTATCCAACTATTTTCCCCCCAGAAGTACAGCCTAAAGATCATCTTAAGTGACCAATAATAGTGACGATGATGAAGATGATGATTGACACTAATGTCACTGACTCATTATGAAAAGACGTCAGTATTTTGGAGGAAAGGGAGTATTATCTTTTTCTGCTCCATTTTCATTTTTTTGCGGACTTGAACCAATCCTAAAATCCACTTCGACAATCTAGTATCCCACATAAATAACATACCTAAAAGAGTAAGGTTCTAGGATTAGTGGAGAGCTTAAATCCTAGGAGTAATCTGAACAGACCTCCATGGAATTCAAAGCTAAAACCTTGGCAACACTGACAGTGCTATCTAATGAACCTACCCTCAGCAGGCCCAATACATGATAGCTTAAAAATACATCCAATTTCAGAACGCTATTGGCAATATGGTATTTTTTCTAGCCAATCTTCTTTTCTATATTATGTCAGAAGAATAGAAATCTTATAAACGGCCTAATGAAATATGAATTGAATTGATAGTATAAGAGTCTATATATACCACAAAATCAAATGAAATATCAGTGTTAGTGCAGGAGTTTCTTCTTAAAGAAGCCAGATTCTTTGAAAAAACAAAACAAAACAAATCTTTACCTATTTACAAATGAAGCACTTCATATTTACAGCTCAGTTTTGCAAATGAAAATAAAAAGTAAAGGACAACAAATATGAAAAAGTAATAGAATCTCATACTAAATGAGTACATAAAGCTAAGTATACTTAAAATTAGGGATGATTAAGCAATTAAATTCAGGAATGAATGACATAAAATAAAACCTTAATAATTTTTAATATGGTATCTTTTTAATGTTAAAGATAATTTATTATTTAAAGTACCCTATGCAAGGAAGTCCCTTAAATTTACTAATATATATTATTCTGTCTTACAAACATTGTTCTTATATTGGCCAATGTGTACAAACCCTCAAAGATTGTTTAGAAAACTACACACACCTCATTCACTAAGAAAAAAAAAAAAAAACTATACTTTAAATATTTCAAGCCAAATCTATATTTGGTATTTTGACTTATTCAACTGTCATATTTTTAAAAGGTAGCAATTGTACATACTAAAATCAATAAAAATTTAAATAATATATATTTTTTAAAAAGCATTTTCATTTGAATAGTTAATAATATCTTTGTGCTGTTAAGTGATGCCCTCTCACTTAATTTTTTTACATAGGCTTTGATTTGTAAATAATCTATATGCTTATACTTTATTTTAAATGGATGAGCCATTCAGTATTTCTGTCCATTAAGTTTAATTAATTACAAATGAAATTTAAAGGTATAGTCTTTAGACTAATGAAGGATTTTAAAAGCCAAAGATCAAGACCTCTCTATGTTGTTTCTTAATGAATTATGGTTAAATATGAATTTAAGATAAAACAACAAAAATTTTTCTAATAACTTGAATTTAAGCTGACTATCTTACAGGCCTAGGCTGGTTTCATTAACTGAAACATGATGGTAATGAATCGAGGGGCACAAGTACATCTATGTAAGAATCGTCTTTGCTAATCTATGAATAGAAAGAGCAGAAGCTTATACACATTACAACTGAAAACATGAAAAAATACAAACTAATCTCTTCTATTAAAAAAGCATTTAAGCTGGGTGTGGTGGCATGCACCTGTAATCCCAGCTTATCAGGAGGCAGATGCTGGAGGATCACATGGGCCCAGGAGTTCAATATCAGCCTGGGCAACATAGTGAGACCCTGACTCAAAAAAATAAAATAAAGATAAAGAAGCACATGCTTACTAAGAGCCTTTAGCACAATCTTCACGTAAACATATGTACTTTCCATTGTACTACCCAAACCTAAATTTAGAAACAGGATTAGAAAAATATCATTCCTATTCTTCTTGGCTATAAATTTACCCATACAAAGTTAAATTTAATTATACATTCTTAATAGTCTTGGATAGACAGGGCTTCACAGATAAATTGTAATTTAAGCAAGAATTATTTTTTCCTGTTTAACCCTAAACACAATAATGTGGTCTTTACTAGCTCATCTCAATTGAATATCATGCCTTAGTATTTGGGCTTTATATAATTTAGTGTGTATATTAATTTCTGCTCCTGAGCTCTTATAAATGAAACTGCTGGGAGCTGTGCACAAGGCTTAAACTAAAGAAACCTCTTAAAGACAGTGTGGATATCACTGAAAGTATTTTGGGGAAAAACTAAATTTTAATGTAAAAGAGAACAACTTTTAGAAAGAAGAGAACCATAAAAATAAAATGCAGCACTCCTTTGACTTTGTCTAATTCCTTGTGTCTTTCTGGGTGGAATTCTGTAGTCAATGTGTTTTAAAAATACATCAGCACCTTTTGCTTCTCCCTATAATGAAAAATATAAAATTAAAAACAAAGCCGGGCACGATGGCTCACACTTGTAATCCCAGCACTTTGGGAGGCCGAGGTGGGCAGATCACGAGGTCAGGAGTTCCAGACCAGCCTGGCCAACACAGTGAAACCCCGTCTCTACTAAAAATACAAAAATTAGCCAGGCATGGTGGCGGGCGCCTGTAATCCCAGCTACTCAGGAGGCTGAGGCAGGAGAATCACTTGAACCTGGGAGGAGGAGGTTGCAGTGAGCCGAGATCGTGCCACTGCACTCCAGCTTGGGCGGCAGAGCTAGACTTCATCTCAAAAAGTAAAGTTAAAAATAAAATAAAAAATAAAATAAAAATAAAAACAAAAGGGAAGTCATGAAACACAGTGGCTGCTTGGAAAACTTCCAGGAAAGGACCTTGCCATGGAATATTACCTCAAAGCTAACTTCACATTGCATCTGGAGTTTAGTAAGCATTGTACTTTCACTATCCCTTTCTGTCAATTGATTAGTTGAAAACATGATAATATGCTTTTGACAAGAGCTGCTTGAAGATTGTACTATAGAGACTGTAGCTTTTCTGGCCTGAACAGTGGAATCGCTCTACCTTTAGCTGGAGCACCAGGTCCATTCGGTATTTACCAAGAGGGTTTATGTCATTCAGAATCAAAGCAATGATGATATCAATCCCATTAGACTCATGTGTAGCGATACAGGTCTAGAAAACAAAATATTTGTAAAATATCATTTTATTCACAACAGAATAGCACTAGAACTAACAGGATATAAAACAACATAATCACCTTAATTTTTGACCTTTAAAAAATAGGTAAGATTTACCTTTGAGCATTTGACTTATTCTTTTGTATAGGGTCTGGCAATTAATTGATTAGTATTGATCAAATGGTTTTGTATGCAGAACACTGAGCGAGACACTGCATGAAGCACGTATCTTTTAAAATGAACTGTGTTTATAGAATTTCAGAGAATACTGGTTAAGTTAAATATCCTTCCATTCAATAAACTTTAATATACCAATCAACAGAGGAGATCTTTAAGGTCAGAATTTTAAGATCTGAATTATCCTCAATAAAAGAATTTTCCCATTTATGAAAGACATGTGTCCCTCATACCTGAGATTTGTAGGCAAATTTTATGGTACCAATGAAGCATTTTAATTTCGTTGCTACTTAATGCTAAACTGATGACAAGAGATGCTGCTGTCCAAGCCAGGTGGAAGTGAAGACAAGTAATATGAGACTCTCCTGATGTTTGGGGACATGCTGTCAATAATGATGGCTGAAGGAAAAATTTACTGGATTTCTTAAACTTACATGAGGGAATCTTGATTGGGGAAAATTTATGAAACATCCTGTGAGATAAATATCCACATTTTGAAGGTTAAGATCGACCATGCTGGGGTTCTGAATTTAATTTTACAGGTCTTAAATCAGGAACTTGCGAGCCAGATTTGTAGGACTATGTGTTAACAATGTAGCACCTTGTCAAGAGGTATGAAAAACTGAAATCCTGGTGAGTTAAATGAGAAAGACCAAAATCAAGACAACTTCAAAATGACTGCTTTTTCAGCATGGGCCTTATTTCTCCCTTCATACAACGGAGTTTTTATTCCTCTGACACAGAGGAAAGGTGTTTTCTACCCATCTCCTACCTGTCCTGAGGTTCTTCTGCTCATTAAAATATTTCCCAAACTTAAAGAGAATCTTTTTGCAGATCATCTCCAGAATTTGCCAGCAATCTTTCCTCCCACACATTTTCAGAGCAATGGGGAATTATATGTGGGGTTCATGTTATTTGAAAATTAGCTTTTACTTTTAGAACTTATTTGGTTTTAGTAAATTACTTTCAAAGCTCTATTCCATTCTCTTATGAGACCAAAACTGGGGAACATTCTTACAAGCTTTCCTGGAAACAGCAGAAGAGACAAATGGTATAATTATTTTCTATTATAGATGTACAAGTTTTTATCAACAACAAAACCAAATCTCTGAATTTGTATGTTTTTCCTTAACTTTAAATCAACATTTAGGTTTTCTTGTATCATTGCTCTGGGAGACTGAAATATAACCCAGAAAAATGCAGGGAAAAATCCACAAACTCTTTCGGTATTTCATATGTACAGTACAGAAAGGGAAAATACCCCCATAACAAATTGTTTATGCCAAAACTGTCCTGTTTTCATTGTACACACCTATGCATGTACACATGTGTGTATAGATTCATAAATGTATGTGTGTGTGCATAGACACCGTGTGTATGTGTGCGTATCTCATGTAAACTGCAATGTTTAAAAAAGCAAATTTCTTTTTCACAATTTTCTATGTCAATCGTTGATGTTTGCTCTCAATGACTTTTTTAATATTTATATCCAGAAATGTTTATGACTTGAAAACTCTGTCTTCTGGACTGATCCATGCTTACGATGGTAGCTCCATGATGCCTGAGAGGAGGTGAAACAGTCAACTGGCAAACTTTCAGGTGGCATCCCTTACCTTGATTGACCCAAGTGTCCTGCCTTCTACTCCCACAATATATCCTTGATATCCCAGAAAACAAAATCAGAGACAAACATTCTGGAAAAGAGACTTGAAACTGTGCCCTCCAAAATGTAATATAGTCAAAAGAGCACTCGATTTAGACTCAGAATCAAAAGTCCTTAGTTGTAAGAATGGCTCTACAACTTATTGATTCTGTCACTCTGAAACTCTGGAAAGTCACTTAATCTTTGGGTTAGAACCTATTCATCAGCAAACTAGAAATAATGATACCTATTCATAAGTTTATTGTGCATATAAAAGAAATAACATATACTACTCCTTGTAGGGATGCCAAAGGAGCCAAAGAAAGTTTATTCCACAAATCCTGGAAAAGTTCACTAAAGATGAAAACTGGGTGGTGGTCATGACACATATTTCACTTTTTTCAGTAAGTTGATTTTTATCTTGAACATTTTCATGGGACTTGTTTTTACAATGAAATTATCTACAAATACAGCATAGTATTTCCTTGTCTATAATTCAGTCTTTGTATGTTTTATTAGGAAAGTAAAAATGTCTGGCAAAGCAAGAAGAAAGATCTTTCAAGTGCACACAAAGATTGGCTCCTTCCCCAAATTAATCCCTTTACTAATTAGTCATGGATACTTCTGGTTACCTGATTTTCATGGCAAGGGCCCTGGCAATACTCAGTCAAGCTCTCCAGGTTCTGGTTGACCAGCGCTACATTCTTCTCATTGATGTAGAGACCCAACAGGCCCAGGCCACCGGTTGTACTTCCACAAATGCAGTCCAGAAACTGAAGGGTCTCACAGACTAGGTTGTAATTTGTTTTGTTGTTTTGATTCCTCAAGAAGTTCTGAAGGCAAAAGAAAATAAAATTGAAGGGTTACAAAAATTCACTGTGCTGATTGTTTGCTGTTCTTCCCATATGTGTGCTTTTCTAACTTTTCTTTGTAAGAAAAGTATTCGCATTTATTAAAACTGTCCTCCACTTAAGGAGGGAGAAACGCCCTTAGGTTTTTCCCCAAGCATCTATATATATATATACACACACACATATATATGTATACATGTACATATATATGTGTGTATATGTGTGTATATATGTATATATGTATATATACATATATGTGTATATATATATCAAGATAGTTCATAATAAACATTTCTCAGTGTCATTATCATCAAACTACACAGAGAGGGAAAGAGTAATGGGAAGTCGGAAAAAGAGAAAAAAAAACTAGGTAGAAAGAAGTTCATTAGGGAGAGAAGCAAATTTTCAATTATAAATAATCTCATATGAACAGTGCAACTTCATTGTTCATTAATTATAAATGATATAATCATTATGAAGGGCAACTGGAAGTATCTATCAATATTTTAAGTTAACATACAGCTCCACTTCTAAAAAAGTTTTTCTAGATATATGTACATAAGTACACCAACAGGTTCTCTGCATACTGCTTGTTATACGAACACCAGAAACCATATCATATGTATGGTAATGTGACTGGCTTAATGAATAATAGTACATCCAAACATTAGAATACTGTAAAACTATAAAAATTAGGTACTTCAACATGTACCAATAAACATAACCTGGCAATAAGTAATTGACTAATAACCGAAATTACTAAATGAAAAATGTAAGTTGAGGAATACCATAAAATACGATTTTTTTTTTCTCGAGACAGAGTCTCACTCTATCACCCAGGCTGGAGTGCAGTGGCATCATCTCCGCTCACTGCAAGCTCCGCCTCCCGGGTTCACGCCATTCTCCTGCCTCAGCCTCCGGAGTAGCTGGGACTACAGGTGCCAGCCACCACGCCCAGCTAATTTTTTGTATTTTTTTTTAGTAGAGACGGGGTTTCACTGGGTTGGCCAGGATGGTCTCGATCTCCTGGCCTTGTGATCCGCCCATCTTGGCCTCCCAAAGTGCTGGGATTACAGGCGTGAGCCACTGTGCCCGGCCGGAATACCATAGAATATGATTTTTAAAAAATGTTTACCTGCACAGTTCGATATGCTTATGCATGCATAAAAATTTCTAGAAGAAAAAACCTGGGCCCTGACAATATTCAGTCAAGTTCTCTAGATTAATCACCTGTTAACAGTGGTTTTCTCTGGGGAGTAAACCTAGTAAAAGGGTAAGCAGGGAAGGAAACATGTTTTATATTTTAATTTAGTATTTATTTCTATTAATTTATTATTTAACGTGTTTATTTGAATTTATATCTACCATTTATTCTTCTTAAGACAACTTTAAAAGTAGTATTTTCTATACTGATCCCACACTCCTACCAGTAAACTGTTCAATCAGATACTATCTAATGTATTATACACCCTATACATCTATTTCCTACACTGCCAGACGAAATGGGTTAGGATAGGCCCATGGGCACTGATCCAGTATTGTCCCTCTGGAAGCAATGTTTCTGGCCTTGGCCTGCCTGTGTACAAACAATGCAAAAAAGAGGCCAAAATTCAGAAATTCATAGGCAATCCTAAGTTCATTTATCTAACAAAGGAAAATGCAGGAAAGAAGATATGACACTGACTACATTCATTTTTGAATGTATCCACCTTCACTCTGGTTAAAAACATCCTCTTCTATGTTAATTCTGTTTCAAATGAAGACATACAAATATACTCAGTACTCTCACTCAAGAAATATGAATTGGCTTGAAAATAATGAAAGCCCCTTAAGAATATAAAATCATGAAAGATATAGATGAGACAAATGTGATCTCTCTCAACAATATAACCTTACCAGAGAATACTAGGAAGACAGGATGCCCACTGAGGCTAAAAATATTTGAGGCTAAAAATATTGAGGAGGATGACACTGTATGAGCCTGATTTTTTTTTCTTGCATAAAAGGATTTTCTTCTTCCTTTTCTTCACTGATACCAAAGTTTCTTCCCATTTCAGAGGAGCACTATTGCTTTTATTGATTATCTTTCTAAAATGCTCTCCGAAACTACTTGTTGGTTTTATTTGAATTTAATTACTGATAAACATAGGTTGTATTCTCAGCTTTCACACAAAACAGAACAAATACCTGCAATTCCCGGTTGTGATTCTCACACAGTAACTGAAGAAATCTCAGTATTGGCTGCATGATGGCAATTGCGGGACTCATTGTTACTTCCTCTGCGGATTTTTCCTCAGTGTTTCCCGCTTCTGGTCCTGTGCACATAATGTCTATTTCTGGATCCATTTCTCTTCTGTATACACAATATGCTTTGGATGTTGCTGAAGAAGCTTCTGTTAATTGCCCTTTCATTCCCTCTTTTAAATGTAGTGTTGAATCTCTTACTGAAAACAAAGCAGTACTTTTATATTTCTGAACCAATTTGCTTTTACTAATTAAAAAAAAAAAAACAAACCAGGTACCCAAATTCTCTAACAATTGAATTAAAAATAATCTGACAAAAGGTGCAACAATTTCCAAAAAGGATTTGAGAGAGCACTTAAAAATTAAATTTGCAGTGGGTCATAAAAAAGATCTCAATGCTTAGCAAATTTTAAAAGCACTCATGTCTTTCTGATATATACATATATATATTCATGTATATGAGTTTCATATTCAAGGAGGTAAGAAAATGTGACAAACTTCAAAATGTTAATGTCTTTATGATTTGTATTTAATACATGGATGATTTTGTCATTCTGAATACCAAGAATCTTTCATTGGAGTTTGGTGTGGTAATTTCTGTTTTTAAAGTTTCATTTTCATGGTCACTTAAAAGATTTGGGGCAGTTACTATTTACCATGCATGCCACAATGAAATCAAACATCTTTCATGCCGTTGGTTGCTTTGCACTGATTATGTCTCATTTAAGTTTAGTCCTGCAGAGCCGTTTTAGGGTCACCCCATGACCAAAATTCTTTATGGATGATCAGAGCCACAGTGGGGATAATTAAACCAAGAGAAGAGAGACGAAAAATGTTAATGAGATTTAAACGCTATTCCCCTCTTTTCTCTCACTCTGTTCTCCCAAATACTCAAATACTTCTTTACCTCTCATTCGTGGACCAGATGTCATCAATTCATTGTCATCGTCCCTTTTTTTGTTACCTAAATCTATGGTATTAACTGTCACTGTTGATCTTATTTCTTTCTGAGCAGCCTTCATTCGATCATAGAGAACTTTAAAGAATTTTTCTGACTTTTTTTGTTCATGCAACTGCTGGTAGAAAGAATACTGCAAGAAAACATATTTTAAGACATCAATACCCAAGGGGAGACAAATGGTGTTTTTATGCTTGAACTAAACATAAGCATTATAGGCAAAAGCACACACTTAATGCACCACCCATTACTATTTCATAAATTGACAGCCTTTGCCAGTTTCTTGTACTATTTAATGTGTACTAATAATAGTTGGTATTTACTTAGCATTTTCCACTAAACTCCAACATATTTTCAGATGCTGTTTAATTTATCCTTACTGGTTATATATTTTTAAAAACTTACAGGGACATTGTAAGAAGTTGTATGGAAAGAATTCTTTGATTTTTATATTATTATAAAGTCATGCATTGATTCAACATGTATGTATTGAGTGCCTACTATGCGTCAAGCCCTCTGTTAATAGGGATAGAACAAAAATGGAAACCAACAACAATCCTTGTTCTCATGAGTTTGTAATCTAAAGTGGAAAATAGCCATCAATCCAAAGATCATCCTGTATAAACATGAGTTTATGGAAAGTTACAAAGGACTATTTTTCTCTTTATCTAAATTACAGCACATTTAATTTGGAAAGTGTTACCATGGTAGCCTCACTCATGGGATCTCACTGATAAACAGGTACCAACTTCTTTTGGTTCCTCATTAGCTACATTGCTTTGCATGGGGTCTCAGACAAATCCACCTTAAAATAAATATAGTCAATAATGATGTAGAAATGGTTCAGAAACAAAAGTATGATAAAATGTATCTTTGTAAGATGTGGAAATATTCAACCTTGGGAAGATTTACCCTAATTCTTGCCTGCTCAATGCCTTATGGAAGTGTCCAGGAGAAGCAGTAGGAGGTAGGAAAGATAACACATTCCAGAGAAGACAGAATTTGAAGTGGGTGGGGGAATTATAACTTATTACTACCAAGATTATGAGATAGATACAAGACAAACAAGATAAATATCATTTGTAAATTAATAAAGATAATAACTCCCTAACTGTAGTGAATAAAAGAGTTATATAAGCTTGAGGAGAGATAGTATGAAGAAAACATAAGAAAAAATAATTTCCAGATCAAGCAGAACTGGCCCTACTCCAATATAAGAACATTTAAACAGCCAGTTTGGGGGAGTTTGCCCCAGGATATGCTTTCCTTTAGGAATTCCTGGAAACATGACCCACAGGTCTTGGGATCTGTAACTGAGACTCTAATGACATCAGGTCTTGAAATGGTTGCCTACTCTGCAATTTTCTCTGTGGGCAATGTATATACACAGAGTGTCTTATGAAGCCTTAGATGTCAGCTGCACACCTACAAGGGTAAGCTCCTACACAGAGGGCAAGCAACCCTCAAG
Source organism: Homo sapiens (assembly GCF_000001405.40). Taxonomy (NCBI): domain Eukaryota; kingdom Metazoa; phylum Chordata; class Mammalia; order Primates; family Hominidae; genus Homo; species Homo sapiens. Next base: position 26,488,587 of record NC_000012.12, read on the forward strand.
AAAGAAGGCCAAAAAGTCACGGTAACCATAGCAACCACAGTAAAACAGTCAAGCTGGTTTTGTTAATTCAAACAACAAATGCAGCATCCACAGACCTCTACAATCCCATGAATTAAGCAGATGATAAAGCCCAAATCTTTTCAATATAATGGGGTTAGAAGGTGGAAGGAGTTTCCAGTATATTAATGAGGAGTTATGAGAACTTTGTGGCTCTATTAAAACAAAGCTTCATAATTTATGTAGTTCTTCTATATATATTACTTCATAGATACTTTCAATTCAACAGTGTGATGAATAGAGTGCTCTTAGTTCCATTTTATAGATTCATAAAATGAGGTTTAGTAAAGATGAGTGACTTGCCCAACATTATATAACTAGTAAGGGGTAGAGCTAGGATTTAAATCTAGATTTTCGGACTCTAAATCACTAAATGTATAAAACAACCTCTTACGATGAAAATGCTAGATTATTTACATAGATAACACCTTTTAAGAACGAGGTATCTACAATGCTGAACAACACGATTTTAAAAAGGAAAAGTAGGTTTCATATATATTTATATAATCTCAACAAGTAGCATAAGTATTCCTTTCACTAAAGACATGATTTTTGCTTAGGAAACTACCTCCATTAGCTGCATAGAGTGTAAGGGGAAAGAAACTCCAAGTGTTTTGGAGCTAAGGGGGATGGATCAACAGATATGTGTGACAGGAGACTGGAAGAGGCAGAGAAGGGAAGGGAAGTGAGAATGGAGAAAGACAAGAGCATGATGCAGGGAGAATCCTCAAGTGAAATATCCTAGTGGTGAGGATGGAGATGGCTATTTCTAGAAAAGAGATGCTTATTGCATCTAAGAGCACAGAATCTGGAGCCAGACTGCATCGGTTTGAAACCTATCTCTATCTCTAACTAGCGATGTAAGCTTGGGTCTATCTCAGTTTCTTCTTCAGTAAGGTAGGATAACATACCACTTACCTCACAGGTTGTTTGAATATTAGCCAAGTTAATACATACAAATCACAAAGAACAGCGCCTTATATTTAGTAGGTATAATTTTCCTTATTGCTATCATTAGGTTCCATTTGAAATTGTAATATAAGTACCTCCTATACCTTCTCCTTCAGTTGATCTTTAACAAAGTATAGAACATACACACATTGACTTAATGTAGTTAGAAAGGAAGAAATAAAGGAAGGGGCTGCAGTTCTCAGTATGACAGAAGCAGGGGTGTTAAGAATTTATGTGCTGAGAAAGCAAGACTTTTTTGGCTAAGGAGACAGTGAGAATGTAAAACCCCCATGGAACTGGCAAGTGTCTTGGGGAGGAGTGCGCTTTAGACTGCTATAGGGCAAGGAATAAGATTTGAGCTAATCTCAACTAGACCTCTTAGAGCCAGGAAAACATAGTTGCCATCTGGGTTATACAATGTGAGACATCCGAGTAGAGGAAGGCTGGTCCTTATTGTCATAATCCATCTTAAAAGAAGGTTTTCATATATAAGAGTAATTTAATGCTGTTTCATCAAAAAATATTTGTTGAATGGCTATAAAGCACTGTAGACATAAAGAATAGGATATGATCCCCTATACTGAAGAAGTTGAAATTCAATTGGAGAGGCAGGGTATAATACAAATTACAACCAAACAAAGTAGCACATGCAAAATGCCAAGTGGTATTAAAGAAACAAGTGCATGGAAGCTGAGATAAGGGAATGGACACCAAATGTCCCAGACAGCTAGGAAAGACTTTGTGAAGAAGAAAGAATTTAATTAGGACCATTCATTCACAGAACCATTCACTTCTGCACATTGACTGAACCCCAAGATTGGTCCAGACACAAGGGGTACAAAGATGAATAAAACGTAGTTTCAACCTTTAAGGACTTATAATTTACTAGACGAAGCCTGATGCACACATGAAGAGGCAAAATAAAGCGGCAGAAATGGCCGGGCGCAGTGGCTCATGCCTGTAATCCCAGCACTTTGGGAGGCCGAGGCAGGTGGATCACCTGAGGTCAGGAGTTGGAGACCAGCCTGGCCACAGGATGAAACCCTGTCTCTACTAAAAGTACAAAAAATTAGTCAGGCATGGTAGTGGGTGCCTGTAATCCCAGCTACTCAGGAGGCTGAAGCAGGAGAATCACTTGAACCCAGGAGGCAGAAGTTGAAGTGAGCCGCTATCGCGCCATTGCACTCCAGCCTGGGTGACAAGAGTGAAACTCCATCTCAAGAACAAACAAACAAGCAAACAAAGTGGTAGAAATGTCATTAAAGACATCCACAGGTTATAACAGGGGCACATAGTAAGCAGTAATCAATTCTACCCAGTGAGATATGGAGCCTAGGCTTCTAGGAGAAATGTATTGAGTTGAATCCTCAAAGAGGAGAAAGCAGCATGAGAAATAACACAACGCATTTGAGGAATGGCAAAGAGCTAAGTGTAGCTGATGCATAAGAGGAAGGATGGAGGAGGCAAGAGGGTGGAAGAACAAGGGAAAGTTGGAAAATTTGAAGAGATCATGAAGTATCTTATGGACTGTAGCAGGGAGTTTGTCTTTATAGGGCAGGTGACATATTTTAAGCAGAAGAATAGCATGTTTTTGGAAAGGCATCTTTGGCTGGGTGTGGTGGCTCACACCTGTAATCCCAGCACTTTGGGAGGCTGAGGCAGGTGGATCACGAGGTCAGGAGATCAAGACCATCCTGGCTAACACAGTGAAACCCCGTCTCTACTAAAAATACAAAAAATTAGCCGGGCGTGGTGGTGGGCACCTGTAGTCCCAGCTACTCGGGAGGCTGAGGAAGGAGAATGGCGTGAACCCAGGAGGCGGAGTTTGCAGTGAGCCGAGATTACACCACTGCACTCCAGCCTGGGCCACAGAGCAAGACTCCATCTCAAAAAAAAAAAAAAAAAAAAAAAAAAGGCATCTTTGAAGGCAACACGGAGAATGATTTGGAGAAGGGCAAAACTGGAAGCAGGGACACCTCTTAGAAGACTACTTGTCACTGTCTAGGAAAAGATAAGGAGAATCTGTAGTGAGAGCTGGAAAAGCAGGAATTGAAAATAATAGAGTATGGATATGAGGGATATTAAGGGGGCAGAATCACAGAAGTTGGTCATCAGTGGGATGTTCAGGAAGAGAGTAAGTAAGGGTGGACAAGTTAAGGTCAAGGATGACTATCATTTTCTGGTCAGACAACTGGGTAGATGGAGTGCCAGTCACTGAGAGAGGCAATGGCAAAAGGAGCAGTGCGTGTATGGAGAGCAACAGCAGACTCCATGTGAGACATGTTGAGTTTAAGGCATTTGTGCACATCCCACTAAATATTCTGGAAGACAGCTGGATACATAGTCTAGAACGTCAGTAAGTTCAGAAGCATCCAAACACAGTAAACGTTAAAGGTGTGGAAATGAAGGAGGTCAGGGTGGGGAACACACAGAGTGAGAACAGAGAGTCCAAAGAAACTTGGGAGTTAAGTAGAGGGAGAAAAACCTTTGCAGAAGGCTAAGAAGAAATGGTAGGAGGTAGAAGACAAGCTGGAGAGGGTGGTATCCCAAGACCCAGGCAGAAAAGGTTTCAAGAAGAAAGAAAAAGTCACTAGTGGCAAATGCCACAGAAAATCATGTAAAGAAGGACTGAAAAATATTTCGGTTGTGAAGAGATCTAGGGGAACAACTTGCCAGGAATTTATAAGTAGAAGGTGCAGTTTCCAATGGGAGCTGGCTTATTCCCCAGCAATATGAGGATATAAGTAAGCATAAATAAGTGCGAAGGATGAAGGATGATCCCATCTGGTGACCCTTAGTGGCCTAGAAACAGAAATCTACAAAAGACTGTAATCCTGAGGATATCTTCTAGAGATGCCCCCCACCAAAAAAAAAAAAAAAATCCTTCACTTCTATCCACTGAACAAGCCTTTATCTAATGTTATGTGGTTGACTGGACACTTTCTCTAGAAAGTCCCAATTGACAGAACTTCCTGGTTTAAGTCTGAATAGTATTCTGTCATGTTTATATATCACATTTTTAAAAATCATTCATCCATTGATAAGTGAAATAGTGGAATCTAAAAATGTTGAAGTCATAGACGTAGACAGTGGAACATTGGTCAAAGAGTCCAGTTTCAGTTAAACAGGAGGAGTAAGTTTTGGTGTTCTACTGTAAAGCAAGGCAATGATACTTAATAACAATAATATGCTATATATTTCCAAATAGCTGAAAGAATTTTAAATGCTCTCACTACAAGTAAATGATAAATATTTGAGGTGATGGATATGCTAATTATCCTGATTTGATCATTGCACGATATGTGTGTGTGTATGTGTGTGTGTGTATATATATATATATATATATATAAAAGCATCAGATTGTACCCCATAAATATACACAATGATTATTTGTCAATTAAAAATTAAATTAAATTTTAAAAAGTCCCAACTGAATACCTGGTTCAGATAAGATAATTTCCAAAAAAACTCACTCAATTTCCTCCATCACCTCCTTCCTCAAATTCCCTCAGAGGAAATCTATGCTGCAGCTACAGCATCATGAGAATTTTAAACACTTTCTTTTCTCAACTAAGTACTATTGATTTAGCGTTGTTTTTGTCACCATGCCACTTGCTGCTCGTGAGGCCTTTACTCCTAAAGCCACTGTGATTGGATGTGTTAGATGGTAATGTTCCTATTGTTCAATGTATTTGATGGTTAAATGAAGCACAATATCCCAGTTTCAAATTAGACATGGCTTCTGCTGGCCTTGAGTCGAGAAAATGGCTTTTGGAATTTCTAATTATATACTTAGTAGTAAGTAGACAGTTTTCTTTACTGACCAAGGCAAACCTAGAAAGAGCAGGCTACCGAGCAGCAAAACAGACAGCTACATAGGAGGAATAAATTCCTGTGTTCTAATCCTCAGTAGGGTGGCCATAATTAACCATTTATTGTATATTTTCAAACAGCTAGAAAAGTGAATTTTGAGTGTTCCCAACACAAAGAAATGATAAACATTTGAGGTGAAAGATGTGCTAATTACCTTGATTTGATCATTACATATTGTACACATGTATCAAAATATCACACTGTACCCTATAAATATGTACAATTATTATTATTTAACCATAATGATAAATGAAAAAAAAAGACTGGAGGACAATGTCTGTCATCTGGGAACACTCCCCAGCACTCGGGCTCATGCAGCATGTTTTGCTTTTGGGTGTCGTCAACCCTACGGGCCACTTGGCAGAAGTTTCAAAAGAAAACATGTGCCTTCTGGAAATAGTGGCCTAATCTCCTGTGTGCAGGTGAGCATATTGCTCACTGTTGTGGAATTCCTGGAATAATGTCAGAAGGAAGTTTCAGAGGAATGTTCTGCTTGACTGAATAAATTGTGAAGCTCTGTAGTTTCTACAGCAAACAAATTTAAGAAAAGTGTGATACATGGATTTTTTTTTTTTTAGATAGTAATAAGAGCTAAAAGAAACACATTACTTTTCCTTGGTTTCTGTGACAAGTAAACAAGAAATACCAATAATAAATGTAATCCCCATGATTGATGAACAAGTACCTGTGTTTGTGTATTTCCTCCTTCAAGCAAGGCAATGCCGAGGAAAATGCCTTCTGAAAAAATTCTGTCATTTTTGGTGTTCACTATAACATCGATGACAAGTTCTGATGCACCTTCTTTATCCAGCAGACACTGAATGTCTGACATTGATATCCCCATCTTATCTGAATCTTGTCCAGAAAAGCTTCCTGTGATTGGGAAAAATAAATAAATAAACCTTAATTGTAGACATTATTAATATGTAAGGTTTTCAAATTCTTAAATTTTATTATTTTAATAAAAATATTAATCATTGAGATTTTTTCCCTACAAAGTTAAATATAATAGAAGCTTGAGGCTGGGCATGGTGGCTCACGCCTGTAATCCCAGCACTTTGGGAAGCTAAGGCAGGCAGATCACTTGAGGTCAGGAGTCTGAGACCAGCCTGGCCAACAGAGTGAAACCCCAATTCTACTAAAAATACAAAAATTAGCCAGGCGTGGTGGCACATGACTGTAATCACAGCTACTTGGGAGGCTGAGGCAGGAGAATTGCTTGAACCTCAGAGGCAGAGGTTGCAGTGAGCCAAGATTGCGCCACTGCACTCTGGGCTGGGTGACAGAGTGAGACTCTGCCTCAGAAAAAAAAAAAAAAAAAAAAAAAAGCTTGAGTTTAAAAATATCAAAGTTTGTAAAAATAGAACTCTTTATTAAATGTTTGACACATGTGATTAAATGTTTTTCTTAAAAACAGAAAGAGAAAACTAGCTTTATTTTGTCCTTAATTTATACATTAAGAGATTATAACTTAGTTTAACTATTTTTCCAAGGTCAAAAAGCAAAATCAATTCTGATGTTCAAATCTGTTGTTTTATGAGCCCCAAATTGTATGAAAGTTTTTAACAGTGATTTTTAAATGACTCTTTTATATATCTGCCATTTCAGTAAAATACTAGAGTAACACTGACATGAAGATGTATCATGAGAATCCTAAAATGAGAAAACAAATGACAGGACTTACCTCCCACCTGTGCAGTTTTGGAGTAGGCTCCTGATAGGTGTCCATTCACACCAATACTATAATCACCTTTAAAGTATCGATTCAGAAGTATCTTTCTTAATGTGTTACCCTAATAAGAAGGATAACAAAGAGTTACTGTTCCCTTTTCTAATAAAAGTGAAAAATGTCAGTATGTTAAATGCTTTAAATGCATTTTGTGAATGATGTTGAGGCATGGAAAAATTAACTTTCTATCAGATAATATTTTCTGAGGCAAAAATTTACAAATGCATCCCAATAAAATAATCATTTTGCTTCTCATAATAAATAAAGAGGGTGGGAGAAGCTTTTTGGAGGTGACGAACAGGTTTATGGCAGATATTGTGGTGGTGGTTTCACAGTGTATACTTATCTCCAAACTCATCAAGTTGAAGACATTAAATATGTACAGCTTTTTGAATGTCAATTAATCATAACTCAATAAAGAGTTTTAAATATAACTTTATTCTGTCAAAAATAAAAGAGTGTGTTCAATAGAATGTACTAGAAAAATCACAAATGCTAAAAATTTAAGATTGCTTCAAAAGCTGAAGTTTCCAGAGTTGGGGAGTATCAGTTGCCTAAAGAAGACTCAGAATAATAAACACCCTAAGAATTGGAAAGCAAAGGGCTTAGGTAGAGGAATTTAGTCAAAATAGCCAGAAAAAGAGTGGGGAACAGAGCAGGTACTCAAAAAATTAACCTTGATAAAACAGACTGAATTATATTTAAACTCCAAAATGCTTTATTCAGAAGACTGTGGGCAAAAGACAGTGTATTCCTTTACAAATTACATAATCCAAAACTTCCTAAGTCTTCAATTTTGTACTGACTACAGGACATTTTTAAAATAATACATTTTGTAATATAATTGCTTGCATGTACATAAGAAACACAGATAACTCCAAATCTTTTATTGGTGATTATTATTTTAATAAAAAGAGTGATTTAAAAGCATTATTTAAGGAATACTTGTTTAAACTATTTAAATTAACATAACTACAGAGGTGTTATTTCCATCTTGCAGGTAAGGAAACTGTGGCCCAAGAGCTTAAGTAATTGGCTGCAGATCATGCAGTTAACAGGTGATTGAGCAACACCTGATTCAACTCTTGGCTACAAAATCCAGCCATTTCTTCATGTCCCGCTGCACCCAACCTTCATGCTGTGACATGTAGCTCTCATTGCTCATTCACTTTCTCATATTTTGGCTATTCTTTCTCAAGTTCTTTAGGTATTATCCTCAGTTCTTTTGTTGTGCTCCTCTCCTGGCTGGCAATTTCATCTTCTCCTTAGTTGCACAATCACTTCTGCTGGTCTGCCTGCCAAATCTGTTTCCTCCAGCCTGAACCTTGCTTTCCTAAGCTTCTTATTCTGTTTCCACTTAGATTTCCTTACCTGTGTCTTGAGGTTCCACTGGCATCTCAAACTCAATTTTTCAGAACAGAATATTCCTTCTCTTTCAAATGTTTTCCCCTTAATTTTAATTTCTTTTAAGAAGATCACACCCATTCTCATAATCCCAGCACTTTGGGAGGCCGAGGCGGGCAGATCACGAGGTCAGGAGATAGAGACTATCCTGGCTAACACAGTGAAACCCCGTCTGTACTAAAAATACGAAAAAATTAGCCAGGCGTGGTGGTGGGCGCCTGTAGTCCCAGCTACTTGGGAGGCTGAGGCAGGAGAATGGCGTGAACCCAGGAAGCGGAGCTTGCAGTGAGCCGAGATTGTGACACTGCACTCCAGCCTGGGCGACAGAGCGAGACTCCATCTCAAAAAAAAAAAAAAGAAGATCACACCCATTTTCATCATTTAAGCTCCAAATTTAAGGGATCACCTACTACCCGCCCCCACCCCAACTTGATAATGATTTGAAATGTCAAATGACATGAAATCCTGCCCATTCTACCTTTCAGCTGTAGCTTCCAATAGAGTCTTCCTACATTATATTTTAACCAAATTGAACCATGTGATCATTTCTCTCTCTTTTTTTTTTTTTTTTGAGACGGAGTCTCGCTCTGTGGCCCAGGCTGGAGTGCAGTGGCACAATCTCGGCTCACTGCAAGCTCCGCCTCCTGGGTTCATGCCATTCTCCTGCCTCAGCCTCCAGAGTAGCTGGGACAACAGGTGCCCGCCACCACACCCAGCTAATTTTTTTGTATTTTTAGTAGAGACGTGGTTTCACCGTGTTGGCCAGGATGGTCTCGATCTCCTGACCTCCTGATCCGCCTGCCTCGGCCTCCCAAAGTGCTGGGATTACAGGCATGAGCCACCGTGCCCACAAAGCCTTCTATGTCTTACCTTTACTCCTATGATATTCAATTGTTTTAGGCACCATTTTAAGTCAATAAGATATAACCCACCCTCAAGAGTTACAATGAGATGAATGCAATATTCTGGAAGCATAAGAGGAGCTGTCGACTCTGAGGAGGCTCTACATGGCATAGCCTGTCTACTAACTTATGTGATCATCAGACAGACCTGCCTTGTGCACAGTTAACACTCAACTAACATGTCCTAAATGTCATAGTGCCAAGAATTTTTTTTTTTTTTTTTTTTGAAACGGAGTCTCACTCTGTTGCCCAGGCTGGAGTGCAGTGGTACAATCTCAGCTCACTGCAACCTCCACCTCCCTGGTTCAAGCAATTCCCCTGCCTCAGCCTCCCGAGTAGCTGGGATTACAGGCACACACCACCACGCCTGGCTAATTTTTTTTGTTTGTTTTGTTTTGTTTTTTGTATTTTTAGTACAGACTGGATTTCACCATGTTGGCCAGAGCTGGTCTCGAACTCCTGACCTCAGGCAATCTGCCGGCCTCAGCCTCCCAAAGTGCTGGGATTACAGGCATGAGCCACCGTGCCCGGTCAGTGCCAAGAATTCTAATAGACACTCAGAGTGTCTGGAGTTTGTTTATCCTTGTAACAACTTTTATTTATTGGTACTTAAATTCTTAGAACATAGACAGTTATTATTGCTTCCTATTTCATGTTTTCTTTCTTTAAGACCTCTTCATAATGGGGTGTAGTAAGTAAAGGTGGTGACTAGTCTCAAAAGAAACAGTGAAGTATAACAGCTTATTCTACCAAGGAATACAACTCTACTATTTACTATTCCTGATAACACTTAAGTGCAGCACCTAGAAGAAACATAAGACATGAAAATCGTCCTTACTGTTTCTTTTTTTAAGAGAAAGTCCTTTGAGTTGAATTAAATTCACCTGGCCAAAGAAAATTTCTTCCAAAAGGAAAGGAAAAACAAAACAAAGCTTTTCTTTGGAGTCAACGCCTTTGGGTAATTACTGCGACTCTCATTATAGTAGAAGGAGATGCTATGAAAAATCTTTTAGACCCATAAACTACAGGGTTGAAGTTATAAGTTGGGGAGAAAAATATGAGGTCACATTAACTGAAGCACTCATTTTTTTAAAGAGTAGCTCAGTTTGTTGTACTATTCATGGATCTCACCTCTACAGACCACTCACTCTAACCCTGTAGAAGACAGTTGGCCCACCTGTAATAACTAAAGCTGACAGTGTGAAAATCCAGGACTTTTTCTTGAAATTGCACAAGTCAGCATCACTGTCTGAAAGGGAACCTATTGTGAAGAGGACTGAACCCTTGAGAACTAGCTCCCCTTTTAGTCTCTGCAAGAACCTTTTATGTATTATTATTTCTATTATTATTTAGAGATAGGGTCTTGTTGTGTTGCCCAGGCTGGAGTACAGTGGCACAATCATAGCTCATTGCAACCTCACACTCCTGGCCTCAAGCAACCCTCTCACCTTGGCCTCCCAAAGTTCTGGGATTACAGACATGAACCTGGCCCTGGAAGAATCTTTTAATCACACCATTTATCACACTGCTACAAGAACCCAACCAACAGATAAACAAATAAATTTTTTTAAAGATGAAATAGAAAACTTTTTTACCATTTACTTTTTAAAATGCCGTTTATACTGCTAGAATAATGAAACTATTGAAAACCAACCAAAGAGTAGAATTATGTCACACCAAATAAAAATAAGCATCATATTTGTGATTATTTTTAAATTCTCTTCGGCAGATATAATCACAGTGCCTATCAGATTCATAGACATCAAAATCAAACGAGTAACACTCTTCTTATTCAATTATAGCCCCATTAGAAGCATCTATTTCCTCACCATGTAATATTCAGACTGCCATAGAAAAGGCAGGGGCTTCCTATTTTTCTGTTGTCAACTCTGAAGCCACTCTGCCTGGGTTTAAATCCCCTCTATGCCATATACTAACTGGGGATCTTAAACAAGTTACTTCATCACTCTGGGCCTCAGTCCCTCAATTGTCAAATGAAATTGTTAATATCTACTCTCAGAGGATTTCTGTGATAATTAAATAGTTAAAATTTACTGAAAGTACTTGGAACAGTTCCAAACACATAGTAAGTGCTATAAAAGTTGTACATTGTTGATGTTATCCCTGCTAGTATTAATATTATCCAGATCATGGGAACAGTCTACAACTTGCAAAGTGCTTTTGCAGACACTTTCTTATGTTATACCAAACCTTCCCACAAAAGTGAAATAAATTTCCAGTATATTAAGAAAATGTGAAAAATAATAAATGATAAACTGCCCCTAAATCCTAGCTTTTTAACTATTAATCAGTCCTTAGAATTATATACTTATTAGCTAACATGGCAAAGTCACCCTAAAGCATGAATATACTTCACTATATAAAATGTACCCTTACAACTTCAACTAAAGTTGGAACAAATTCTGTCTTGGTTCAAACTTCAGAGTTTTGTGCTAAGACAAACTCTGGTGCTAAAAATGATTAATGAATAGGTATAAACAGAACAAGATTCTGTTATGTCTTAGTAATCTTCATTTAAGAATAAAAAAATTCAGATATTGCTACATCACAAGTTCAGCAGAAACTGACTTCTCTTGTCAACTATCCAGTTCTGACTTAAGCGGTGAGAGACATGTACTGTGTCCCAATTTGCTTTTGGGGCATTCTTGATAGTTTGCACTATCTGTGCAGTGGTGGTAGCTTAAATGTGAGTCATTTCCCCAAATTACTTTAATTCAAAAGTAACTGCAGAATCATTGTCAGAAATTCTGGTGCCAGGGTTGCAAATAATTGTCTCAGAGCTATAATTGCCATGGCAGAAATGAGGGAAGAACTAAAAGCACATTAGGCCATTATGAAAAGAATTTCACCACAGTTGAGAAGTTTGACTTCTGTGCTGGTTCTTCAAATCCAAAATGCATTCCTGATGCACCTCCCATGGAAGGTCTCTTTGCTGAGTGAGGACAAGCAAGGAATGTCCTTTACAGCCTTTTCAATATCAGAGTCAATTCCAGGCCACAAGACACTACTTTTAGCCAATGTCTTCATGTGAACACATCCCAGATGTGCTAAATGTAATGTAGCCAAGAAAACTAACAACCACCTTCTGAAATTACAACAAAATATCTCCATAAAAAGACATCTTTTGTGGCCAGAGAAGTCCTGCTGATGGTTTGTGAATATCTGGGAGGATTGGGTTTTTCCCACCCACTCCCTGTTACACCGAGTCCAATGCATCAAAAATTAAAAAGTTCAGAAATCATTGCCTTTCATGGATAGAAAGGATAATCAAATTTATGCATCCTAGAAAGGACTAAAATTTTGTTTCATTTTTGAGAAAGCACAACTCTGTTTGCCTTAATGGGGAGTTAATAGCCTTAGGAATGAAGACTTCAAGGATGTGTGATATTTGAGGTATAGCTACCCACATTCATTCCCATCCCCTTAGAAAAACAATTTACTAAAGTAATATTTTTTCATTATGTAAAATATAATCAAGATATCATGAAAAAACACAACCAGCATCCTAGAAAACTAAGTCCTCAACTAGAAATTCAAAATGTAATAAAAACTGCAAACTAAGGATGCCCAATTTAAGACTTATCCTCAAAGATTCATGATAAGCTACCAATCAGCTGAGACAAGATCTACAAGGAGGTGATGATAGGTACCTGTTAGTCTCCCCATAGTCCCATTTTAACATTAAACTTGGTATTAGCATAATTTGTGTTTCTGTAACCTTTTGGCTTAGTAACAATACGTCTGATTAGGTATTTTTCCTCATTTGAATTGCCAGGGGTAAAAAGGTACATTTCTCATTTCAATACATTAATGTAACAACTGTATCTTTGTGGAGTGATATTCTGTCCATCGTTATAATCAACTATATTTTCAGATAACTCCTTCGGGAGAATATGGTCAATCTCCTATAATCTAGCTGTTTAATCATTTGAACATCTTAGTCTCCCTGTCCAAGAAGTTGTAAGTCAATTTCTCTCCCTGTTGCCTTTGCCTAGCTTTCTTAAGACAGGAAACACAAATTTCAACAGGACTAGTTATGTGCACTCAGAAGATGCTCTTCTCATCAACACAATGACATACTCATTACAATCTTGAAAAATATATGATGTCTCAATGATTCTAGTAAAGAGCCTTGTGAAAAAACAAGACTGTGGAAAATGTTAGATCCAAATATTCATTCACCATAATGGCAACCTACTTCCAAATTTCTTCTTTCCTTGTTTTTATTGATTGTAAAGACATTTATTACATTTCTACCATGTGTCAGGAAGTAGAAAAGTGGATGCAAAAAGCAATTCTGCAGCATATGCTGAAAGAATTTTCAGATATGTGGAGTTGAAACATATGGCACTGTTTTCCAATATAAATAATCCTCACCAGACCATTTGATTCCATTGGTGAAAATTAAATGTTTAAACAGTAAATGATGAGGTTTAAATATTTGATGCTGCTGCTGAATGAAAGAGTGACTTCAATAACCACTCTGAGTTTATCAAATATCCTAGCCTCAAGACAAACAGGGTTGCTGAGAAGGTTTTGTTAGGAGATGATTCTATACTCCATAGATAGCAAGGAATAAAGCAAACTGTATTTGTTTTCCTTGGGGCATTAATTAAAACCTCCCAGTATTTGAATTCCAGGAAGCATACTAACTAACATGAAACCCAACAGACCCTTCTACCTCAACCATTTTAAATACAGGGTTTGCTGAAATTCAGAGTTTGAGAACTTATGCAATCCCTCACCAATAGGACTTAAGAATGGATTTTACTGCTTGTAATTGTTTAGTTTTCAGAATAAGCAGTCTTCTGACTTTAAGCTGAGAGGAGGGTAAGTAAGCAAGAAGTGAGCAGACAAGCTTTAGATACCATCTCCTTAATGAAGGAAAATGACTGTATTCACATAACATAAATCAGTGCCTCATAAAATCACACTCAAAGACAGTGGCACACAATCATTAAAGTGAAGCCCATAGTCCCTGGTACACAGTATAAAAACCTACTAGAGTACTGTTTGTTACTGAAAAGAATGAAATCAGTGCTGTCAGTGCAGGCGTGTGCATGCTCACCAAAGACTGGGGAAAATGGAACTTCAAGAGGTAATTTCAAAGCTTCTGCAAAGACTATGTTGCTGAGTGGGGGGTAAGGCAAAGTATGTAACTCAGTAATGGACTCAGCTTACAGTGCATCCCAGAGAGTACAAGAGGAAAGAGCAGGAGATGGAATGAGATTTAAATAAATGAGAAGACTGACACTGATCTGAATAGCAATATGAACTTCAGTGGGAGAAAGGTCTTCCTCCTAGACAATGGGGAAAGTCATAACTAGTTTGCTGTTTTAAAGTTCTATCCCCAGATTCTGTGATGTCTGTTATATTTCCATAATCATTTAGTGAAGACAGGCACAACTTTGGAAGGTGGTGTCACAGGAGATGAGGAACAATACATACGGGGACATATCACCAGCACTATCCTGCTCTATATTGGCCTTCCTGTTTCTATGGAGTTTCTTGCATTCTCAACAGTAGTGCAGTCCTTGATCTTCAAGCTGTGACCTCCTGACCCACAAACAAGAGAGTGTGGCTGGTTCACAGGGCAGTGAGACGAGTGCATGGCTCCGAAGAGCTGGCAAGGAAACAATGGGGTAGAAGACCCACTGCCCCCCACCAACACACACACACACACACACACACACACACGGATTAAGTGAGAGACAAAGACCTCATTATTTTTCCCCAAAATACTAGAAATAGATTATTCTTAAAAGAGAGGAAGAAAACTGGCACTGGTATTACTTATCAATCAATGCAATATTTGACAAAATATGTATGAAGCTAAATTTTAATAAATTCAGAATACATTTAGAAGTTCCTCAGATAGGACAGTCTATGGAATCCATGGAATAGAGGAGTTCTACATGGCACAACTCCAAAGGGAAACCTTGAGAATTAAATGAGATAATATCTATACACACTTTAATACATAAGAAGTTCAGTTTATGAATGCTCCCGGCATTGGCAATGACAATGCACGTTAGTGGACCTTAGTGGAAATGATGTCTCAGAGAGTAATGTGATTGGTTTGAGTCTGGGTTCTTCCACTTATTGGCTTTGTGATCTAAAGAATTTTAATTAACTGCCCCAAGGCTCAGTTTCCCCATCTGTGGATAATAATATTTACACTGCAAGGCTATTTAAGGATTAGGAAATTAAATAGGAGAAGCTTTATGTTCTTGGCCCATAGCAAGTACTGAATAAACAGCTACTGTAATATTTTATTTTATGTTTAAAGGAAAGCATTAATAAGTTTCAATCTGGGGAAGACTTGTACAATTGATGACATAAAGAGGACATTACAATGCCCAGTGCCACAAGACAGCCATGGTTTTCACAGCTGACATCAATATCCAGCTCCAACCTTCTATAATTTTTCAAGAGAAGGCAAATGAAAAACAGCATTCATTTTGTGAAAGACTACTTTGAAGCCAATTTGATCAGTATGCTACAATTTCTTAAAAATAACACTTACTTGTGGATAGGTTTCAATCACCCCTATTACATGTACAAAGCAGAATTCTTCAGAAGATAATTTAGACAGCCTTTCCTTGAAGTAGTGTTAAATGGAAAACCAATATTCCATGTTCTGTGGGAAAAGAGCTATTTTCCCTCCTATTTAGTTTTAACACAAGAAATGTATTAAGTATATTTATAAAGTTATTATCAGCAACAATTGTTCATTAGTGGAAAGGCTGTGCTTCCTAACACATATCCATATGTCTCTCCATATCCACAGGATGCCCCTCTAAGTCATTGCTCACTTAACATTCAGAGGCTTGCAAAACAACAGATGACTGGTATTCAGAATACATGACTATACAAAGAGTGTTTATAAATCATTAAGAATCTTGTAGAAAAGCTGACAGAAGAACTGAACTGGCATTTCATATAAGAAACACATACAGCCAATAAACATGAAAAAAAATGCTCACCTTCATTGGTAATCAAAGAAATGCTAATAAAATGGTGGAGACACCATTTTATACCCAATAAATTGACAAAAATTAAGAAGTCTTACAAAATCAAGTGTTGAAGAGGACATGGATCAAGAGAATGTGGGATGCAAATTGGTACAACTACTTTGGAAATCACATCAATGTATGCTCTCAGCCACCAATTTCACTCCCAGGGGAAACATGCTCAAGGAAACAAATAGTATCCCATCCTAGACATTTATATCTGCATGATAGCAATAGCAAAACAAACAACAAGCAAAACATCACCTGGAATCAACCCAAATAACAAGTGACAGGAAAATTGACAAATAAATTATAGAATATTCCCAAACTGGAATATTATAGAGTAGTAAACATGGATTAAACAGAGCCTCACCGTAACACACAACTACTTTCATGAATGTTAGAAATAGAATGATGACAGGGAAAAAAAGGGAAGTCCTAGAAGATATGCAGTATGGTATTCAAAACGTGAGCTACCTCTGGAAGGGGAGGCCAGAACACATATGTAGACACAAGTTACAGGTAATGTTCTCATTCTTCATTTGGCTGAGGTCATGAGTCTTTATTATATTTAATGCTTTATAGCTAAAATTTATGTTGTATATATTTCTTCATAAAAATTCAATATTATAGGAAAAGAAAATGCTCAAGAACTATTAGACATCATGATGACAGCTTCCTACATAGGATGTTCTGTTACTTTCCAGCTCTCTTTGAATCCTGGCTAAAATCCATAGCATTACTTTAGGGGATGATACACAATGCAACACCTACAGATTTGAGCCACTGTCTCATTGTCTTCTGAACAATCCACATCTTCCTTCTGCCACACAGCTTCTTAGTGTCTTATCATGCTCCCTTCTGCTTCAAGACATTAACAGATGATGTTCTCTTTCACCAGCCATGCTTTCTGTCCCCCGACCCTGAGTCCTCCTGGCTTTACTTAATTCCTACTTAACCTTTAGATCTCAGCTCAACCATATCTTCCTCAGAGTCATCCTCTCTAACCGCACCAAGTCAATTCTCATTAAGTCCTCTTATAATAGCATGTATATCACCATGTGCTTTAGCTGTATATTTATTTATACCAATCTTTCAATGATTTCTATCACCCTCTATTAGATTATAAGTACCATGAGGACAGGAACTATACCTTTCTTTTTTTCCTTTTTGGCTGACCATTGATTCCAACACCTAGCCCCAAAGCTAGCAAACTAAGTACTCAATAAATATTTTTGACTGAATGTATGAATCAATGATTTTGAATGAGAGATCACTCAATTTATCAACAAAATTTGATGCTGAGTGCCAACCTATTCAAGGATGGCTGATATTTGTTGTATATCATGTCTGATAACTTTGGAAAACATTTGAGATTTATTCAATGTTACTTGCATATTACATATTTTTAGTACAAGGCTGGGTGCCTTGTATTAATACTAAAACTACAAGGCACTCAGCCTTGTACTAAAAATATTCAAATATTTAGCATAGTACTAAAAATACAAGATGCCCAGCCTTGTACTAAAAATACTTAATATGTAAATATTACATTGTATTACTGGCTCATGCCTGTAATCCCAGCACTTTAGGAGGCCAAGGCAGAAGGATTTCTTGAGCCCAGGAGTTCAAGACCAGCCTAGGCAATATAGGGAGACCTCTTCTCTACCAAATTAAAAAAAAAAAAATTAGCCTGGTGTGATAACATACACCTATGGTCCCAGTTACTCAGGAGGCCCAGGCAGGAGGATCACTTGAGCTCAGGAGTTTACGACTGGCCTGGGAAACTTAGCAAGACTTCATCTCTAATAAAAATAGGAAAATAATCTGGGTGTGGTGACATACGCCTGTGGTCCCAACTACTAGGAGGCTGAGGTGGGAGGATCGCTTGAGCCTGGGAAATCAAGGCTGCAGTGAGGCATGATTGCACACTGCACTCCAGCCTGGGAGACCCTGTCCAGCCTGGGAGTAGGAATCCTGTCTCAAAAAAAAAAAAAAAAAAAAAAAATTAGCACACAAAACTCATTACCTATGGTCGGCTGAAAGAAGGAAATTGTGTTGAAATCCAGCAAGCAAAATGTTATAAAACTTAAAAGACAGACAATTTCAATATTTAGCCTGAAAGATTAGAAGGTAAAATACTAATTAATGATCACAAATGTAGCCTAATGCAAGAGAACACACTAATATCCCAAAAGTCCAGTCCAGGTTATCCCCCTGCTACAATATGTCTACTGCAATAGGATTTTCGTATTTTACTAAAAAACAAAGAAACCACCTTAAGGCTGCACGTCATACAAGGATCTGACTCAGCAACATAATTCCTAATATTATGTGAATATGTCAATTTGAAGAGATACAAATTCACTATTCTCTTTTAAAATATGTTTGAATGTGTCATAATTTATAATAGAAGATAAAGATAATTCTTTTACCTCATTTTTCCTCATGAAATAAATCATTTCATTTCTTTAGTGTTCATTGCTACATTAAAAATTATATAAATCTAATCTTAATCATTTCTTGCATCTATTTGTCCAGGAGGCCACATATTTGGCCTACTTTAATATGAGCAATTATCTGCTCCCATGAGCTCCTAATTGTGTTCTACATGTAAACCACAATTTTCAAAGAATTTTGCAGAGAGAAAACTATGAGACAATGATTTAGAACTAATGAAAAATAGAAATCCTTTAAATTTTCATCAACATTTCAAAGCAGTAACACAATTATTACTAAAAGAAAATGAGGTCTCAGTTCAAACAAACCTAGAGATGCCTGAGCTAATTAAAGGGGCCAAGTACCAAATGCTTACCTTAGAAAGGGTCTTTTTAAGAAAGGCTTTATTAGACTTATTATGGTCTTATGAATGTTATTTTGGAAATCAGTTTGATTCCCTGTGGCATACACCGTGATAGATATTTCACTACTTTAATGCATTTAGAACTGTAACTATAATCCGGGGCACTAAGAAAGTAAACGTTTATTTTTAATAACATGCAAAGCACATTTGCTGGTAAGGAAGCATAGCCGCTTGGTAGTACTGTGGTGCTAGCCTCTGAATTATAAATGTGGATTTTCACAGGTTTGTGATTCACCTATTGAAATTAGCTTCTGGAAAAAACAAGATGAAACATTCTCAGGCTGAAAAGAAAGCTTAAAGTATTTAATAAACATTATTTGAGGTAAACCAGCTTTTCTGAATCAGTGAATTGAAGAGAGGAAGAATCATTTCAGTGAACTACAGGTTGCTGATGCTGATCTAATACTCCTAAGGTGTGGAAGAATGAGTCAATGAATATCTCTCTACTCTTCTCTCTCTGTCTCTGTGTGTGTGTGTGTGTGTGTGTGTGTGTGTATGTCAGTGTGTATGTGTGTAATATATACGTATATCTATTTTTGTACTCATGGATATTGATGCATATTTGTAAAATGAATTAGGTCTTTGAAGTATGAAGATTCTTGCTATCTCCCCTGGGTGTTGGTAAGCATAAATGACTGGGTTGCCTTCAAAAAACACTGAGCAAGCACATCTCTTTTCTGCTTTATTTCATTGATTCTAACACACCCATTTCTCTCCTGCATGTTTTAACATTTCTAAATTACAGGTCACTTTAAAATCCATGGTGTGCTTTAGTTTAATTGGCAGCATTTATTTATTTTTAGGGATACATAAAATTATGGTATGCCTTATTTATGATTGATGGTATTTTATGATTGATGAACTATATTGAACGAAAAAATAAGTACACCTTTTAATCTGGCATTGTATCAAATACTCATTGCTTCCCAGTATGTGGCATCACTATTATACCTGTTTTCTAGTTAAAGTCAAGTAAGATGAAAACATACAGAAATTTAGAGATTTAACCTTTGCAATCGAACAGTTATTTCAGTGTTTTCCCTTTTTCATGATACATTTTCTATATGTAGCCCAATTCACTACTGTAAATTTTGATATCATAGGCCCCTACATTAAAATTAGTAAGGAAAGTGACAATATTGATAGAGATGAGAGGTATATTTATCTTACAAATCAAGAGTAATGGAAAAGCAAACAAGTAAGAGACACACATTGAACTAATTTATGAACCATGGACAATATTAAATTTCTCTCCTTTTAAAAAAAGTTGCCCCTTGATACCATCTCACACCCACTAGAATGGCTAAAATAAGTGATCTGGGGACACGGAAAAAGCTGACATTGTGATCTGAACAATAACACATGTTGGTGAGGATGTGGAGAAATTGGGACCCTCATACACTGCTAATGGGAATAGAAAATGGTGCAGCCACTTGGCAGTTCCAAAAAATTAAACGTAGAGTTACCATACATTCCGGCAATTCCACTCCTAAGTATTTACCCTAAAGAAATTAAAACAGAGGTCCACACAAGAACTTGTACAGAATGTTCATTGTGGCATGATCCATAATAGTAGAGACAATCCAAATGTCCACCAAATGATGACTGGATAAACACAATGTGGTATATGCACATAATAGAATATTATTTGGCAATAAAATGGGACTGAAGTGCTGACACCTGCTAGAACATGTATGAGCCTTGAAAACATTATGCCAAGTGAAGGGAGGCAGTCACAAAAGACCACATATTGTATGATTCCATTTATATGAAATGTCCAGAAGAGGCAAATTCATAGAGACAAAAAGAGACAGAAAATAGATAGCCAAGGGCTGGGGCTGGGAAGAATGAAGAGTGACTGCTAAGAGGCATGGGGTTTCTTTTAGGGGTGATGAAAATGTTCTAAAATTAAACAGCAGTATTGGTTGTAAATCTGTAAATAAACCAAAAAACACTAAATTGTACACTTTTGTAGGGTGAATTTTATAGTATGTGAATATCTCAATAAAGCTGTTACCAAAATATAAAATAAATCCATTAGATTGGTTAAGGAAAATCACTCCTTAAATAACATTAAAGTACATCTCTTAAGGAAAATAATGTCAGTTCTGTCCAAATTTTTGCTAAGCAGCTGAGCTGCTATTTCATAAAGTTCTGCATTTAGGTGCATCTGTGCAACAGATATATTAGAATGGCACGTTTTGAATGTTACATCTGTTAGTAAAATGTAGACAGGCTCAAATTGCTAATTAAACATGAAATTGTATGTGTCAATTAGGAGCCAATTTCCTTTTAAAACTGTCTAATGTTTAGGGCACAATAAATCAAGCTAGTATCTGGAACTGTTTGAGTCTTGACCTGTGTGGGAAGGCGGTCCAGTGCACTGAATATAGGCTAGACAGTTTCCATGGATACCTCACACTACTTGATGTGTAGAAACTCAAAATTATAAACAACTTCATGGAAATTATGGTTCACAAAATATGTTAGTTAAAAAAGCCCTCATCTTCCTAAAAAAAGATCCCAGAATTTATTTTGTTAACAAGTAGATAAGGGTTTTGTGTGTGTGTGTGTGTGTGTGTGTGTGTGTGTGTGTGTGTGTGTGGTGGGGGGTGGGGGTGGGGAGAGAAGGGAAACAAATTTTTAAAAGGACAGCTTTTAAGTGCCTTTGTAATTCATATGGGAGGAAGAGACATTCAAAATGTTGCTCTCATCATAAGCTTTATAGCAAACCTCAAGAGTTTAAAGACAGTTTGCTTTTACAGGAACTAACCATATTGAATTATGCCAGCTGAGTTTAATTAATCTAGCCACTGCATACTAATATGCTAGTCTTTCCAAATAAACGTACACTATAATTACAACCAGGCTACTCCACCCACCATCCTTTTACTCCTTCTCATAAAATAAGACTACACATCTTCCAGATGTGACAGAAAAGCCATAGTGGTATTTGCCAACCATTTCAGAATTAAACATAATAAAGGATGAGAAGAAGACATGTAGCTTCCATAAGAAAAGAAGATGCTTCCCACAGACTTTGTTGACAAGACCTGACCACACACCTGTTTACTTACAGCTTTAGCAGGCTAGAGAAGGAGGAGTGAGAAGATCACAATGTCAGCTTTTTCCATGTCCCCAAATCACTTCCACTGTTAAGCAGTCAGGTCGCAGAATGCCAAAGACAATCAGCATGCACAGAAATGCAGTCATTTTCTTTGGACCACTTAATCTAGTCATTACAGGAGGACCCGCAGGAGTAAGGTGAAGAACACAAATTGTTTTAATAATGGAGACAAATGAATCAGTAAATTCAATTTGAATTAAACTAATATTTGATTACGTATCAGGGCAGTTTCACAAATGTCATCTCATTTGGTGCTCATAGCAAACTAACACCTAGCTTAGCAGCAAGAGTCAACTGCATTATTTGCTCTTCCGAAATATTTTTGAGGAGTGTGCATTTGTTTTAATTTAAAGCAAAATAAAGACAGCTTTTTGAAAAATTATAAAATGTTCACTAGACGTGTTGGGGGCAGAAGTTGTTGGTAAAAAATCACAAAAAGAACTGTACCAAAAAATACATTAAGTATATCTCTGCTCTAATAACATTTTCTATGCTATTATCAACTCTTCTCCCCTATTTCAAATTCACTATCATCTTGACTTCCCCAAATTCTGTTTTCTCAGTCTCTTTTTTCCTGAGCTGTAACCAATCGTTTCCCTGCAATCCTTCTTGCTTCTTCTGGGTGTCTAATTGTTTAAAAGTAAAAGAGTGCTCCACAAGTATCATCCCATCAGTGGAACAGGAGCATCCTTCACACCTGTGTGTGTGTTCCACTGCTCCCAGGGCCTTTTCCACCAAATCCTCCTTGCTCTTCTGGTCTGTTTAATGTCACTGTCTTGGAGAAGCTGTTTCTGACACCCCTCCCCTAGCCCAGTTTGTGCCCTCTGGTTGCACACTCATACAGTACTCTGGACTTCTCCTTCAGAGTAAATTTAAAACAGAAATTAATTAATCCCTGTCCAACTATTTGGTTGGTATGATTTTCTCACTAAACGCCAAGAAGGTAGAGTGATTGTTCATCAGTGCCTTTCCAGGGCTGAGCAGACATTCAATAACTTTTTTTGTAAGTATTTACTGTCTCACCCATTTTTTTTCTATTTCCAAATACCTCTGCATTCTGTCATTTCCATAATTTCCTAATAGATTTTTTTCATAGAATTCATATTCTTGCTTTTCAAAATCACCTAAAAAGTCATACTATGACATAAACATTCTTTATTCTATTCTGACCTCTGATGAATAGAAAGTAATTACTCTCAGCATATGTGGGACCAATGTGTAAACATGTGTGGGACCACGTTTGGGACATGCGTGAGGCCAACGCATAGACAGCTGGAGGCTGGTAGAACATAGCTACAAATCAAGTCTTGAAGTCTAAGCCATCTCTGTCCACCATTTTCGCCCTCAGGCCCCATCAGTTTCTTTAGTTCTGTCCTCCTCAACGTCTTTCCACACCATCTTACTATTCCTGACACTAAAATCTCCTTCTCTGAAACATCTGTCATCCTAAACAACCTCCCAGTACCTCTCTGCCTCATCTACTCTTCATCTCATTTCCACCCTCAGTCAAAAACATCTTTTGCTCTTGCTTTACCTCTGTGAAAGGAAAATAAATCCCAGGACCCCAAAATGACTAAGCCAACGGGAAAATCAAGCTGGGAACTGTGTCAGGCAAACCTGCCTCCCATTTTATTCCTAAATAAGATAGCTACAAAGATAAAAAAAAAAAAAAAAAAAGCTGCAGATCTCCCTCACAATTTGCCCACAAGAAGATTCCTTGTGGGCCTCCAGATCTTTACCCTAAAACAAGTCTGTTGAATTTCACTCTGGCAATGTAAATTGATAGCTTATCTTCACAGGTGCGGGACAAAGGACAAAACTCAAAGTCATCTCTCTGTTCACCTGAGATAAATGCATACCTGATTGCTTCCTCTGCCCTATTGCTTATGTAAAAATGCAGATTCACTGGGCCAGACTAAGGCATAAGTGATTATTTCTCTACCCACCCCCCACATGTAAATCGTGTATCGAGTGAAAGGCTGATCAAAGACTCAAAAGAATGCAACCTTTTGTCTCTTATCTACCTATAACCTGGAAGCCCCTGCTTTGAGTTGTCTCACCTTTCTGGACCTAGCCAAAGTACATCTTACACATATTGATTGATGTCTCATGTCTCCCAAAAATGTAGAAGAGTAAGCTGTGCCCTGACCACCTTGGGCACATGTCGTCAGGATCTCCTAAGGCTGTGTCATGGGTGCATCCTTAACCTTGGCAAAATAAACTTCTTACATTGACTGAGACCTGTCTCAGATACTTTTGGGTTCACACCTCTCAACGGACAGGGAAGGGAAACAATTTTTTTTTTTTTTTTTTTGAGACAGAGTTTTGCTCCGTCACCCAGGCTAGAGTGCAGTGGCGCGATTTCGGCTCACCACAACCTCCGCCTCCCAGGTTCAAGCAATTCTCTGCCTCAGCCTCCCAAGTAGCTGGGATTACAGGTGCCCACCAACTCGAGTAGCTGGGATTACAGGTGCCCGGGTAACATTTTGTATTTTTAGTAGAGACGGGGTTTCACCATCTTGGCCAGGCTGATCTTGAACTCCTGACCTCGTGATCCACCCGCCTAGGCCTCCCAAAGTGCTGGGATTACCGGTGTGAGCCACCGCGCCCGGCCGGGAAACAATTTTTAACTCTAAAGCATATGAGCAGATACCTTACTATAAGACACTCTGCAGTTACCATTGTGAAACACAGAATGCTGCCTGTATGCCCAGGGGATTTCACAGATTTATGAAAGCCATTTCCATCCTGCATTTTAAAAGCCCTTGCTTAAATTCGAATTAAGATTCATTATGCTTTTGCCATGATACTAACATTTTAACCCAGTGAAAAAAGAATATTAATATTCTTTTTATTCTGGAAAATGTAAAAAGTTTTCTAAAGATCCAGTGTCAAAGACTCATTAGCTAGTTTTACCTTAAATAATATAGGCCAGTTTGGGTCACTCTGAATGGGCAATTACTTCCTGTCCTGGGCAGCTCCAGCTGTTACTCTTCCTCGGATACTTTGTTCAGACCTCTCTCTCTCTCTCTGCAGAAACCCTGACTTTGAGCATAAGCCAGCCATGAAGCTGCCATGAAAAGTCATCTGGGAATATAATTTCATCTACACCCAAGTTTTCCAGGTTTCTCTTGTCTCAGCACTCCCTGTTTCCAGCACCTTTGCCTTATGTCTTCTATCCAATTTTTCCACTGTCTCCAAATTTCCTTTATTGCCAATTATCACACACACACACACACACACACACACACATGCAACCCTACATTTTTCCCCCGCCGTGGTAGTCCCTGAACAAAAGTCTCATACATAAAAGCTACCCAGGAGGAAAATCAACTGACTTCAGGCCACATGTATGTCATCAACTATTTCAAAATGATCTCTAACATCCACTTGTTGTGTTTCCACCAAATTTGTCATTTGTCCGTTTGTCCCATGTTTGAACTTCTGAAAATATTTCCCTTTCACAATGATGGCTGAAGGATTAATAAGCCTCCTTAGAAATCTGTCAATTAAATCTGTATCTTAAGAACAATGTGATACTTATAAACCATAGACTGCATAATTTTAGTCTTATTTTTTAATATTTTATCAGCTATGGAAGAAGAGTGAGCTAAATTCCTTAACGTAATCAGCTCTTTTGTTAAAAGCTTCCAACTAACTACGATGTTTTTTTAAAAAAAGAAAGAGTTTAGAAAAAGGGAGGGAAAAGAAGAAAGGGTAAATGAATTGAAGGATAGCACTGGCTGGGATTTGTATCAATTTATGTTTTAAATGCAAAAAACAAAGCGATTACAGTATTGCTGTTTCCTTTAATGAAGTCCCGAAAATGATTTACAGGAGTATTTACTGCAGTCATGATGTTTCTAAGCTTGAAAGAAATCCATACAAAAAGATATTCTGCTGTATCAGATCAATTGAGTTCCAGCCTGGCAAGAAGTGATGATAATTATTGGAAAGTAAATTGTTATGTTTTTGTCTGACTGCCTGTTGCCTTGGCACGTGCTATTTCCAACTCTGTCTGGAAATAATAGTACATTGAGCCATCTTGGGTGACTTACATAACCCGCTACTATCATTTGAAAACTGTCAGCTCCAGTAACTTGCTACTGTTTGTACAGTTTCACTACTGAAACACTGACTTCATTGCATTTATTTTCTGCCTGTTGCCAAGAACCGTATGTTAAAAGGAAAATTAAGTATAAAGCTTCACCTTTAATCTAAATTCACACCATTTTCAATTTGGTTACGCACAATAATAAAAAATAAATAAGATTTAATGAAGAGCTGACTATAAAATAGTTCCTATTTTAATTTATCAATTAAAATTTGTATTGTAGCTATGACTAATTATCCAGGCAAAACATAATTATTTCTACTGTCTGGAACTATAACAAAAGACCAAGAAATCAGCCTTTGATCAGAATAGTATCTATGTATTTTCTCATCAGTTAAAAGTAAGATGATGGAAAATTATCCTCCTAAATTCCAGGTAGTTTAACAAATATACAGAGTAATTTCTACCTCAGTAGCAAAATACCAACAGAATAGTGAAAAACAGGGTCCACAAGATCTTACTCAGATTGAACCAGTTTACTCCAGTATCAGCAAAATAACAAGAAAGAACAATCTATAAATCAAAAGATATAGGGAGAAAATAGGAGCTTTGCATCATTTATCAAAGAAAGTAGTTTTCTTGGAATGCTCAAATATTAGCACCAAATTCTAATACTAAAGTTTTTCTTTAAAATAAATGAAAGGCAAGAAAGAGAAAAGCAGCATGTCTCTCATTTTCTACAGTGATTTTCTGGGGCAAGTGTGAACATTATTTTACTTCCATATTTGAACAGCACCTGCTGTAATTATTGTATTGCCTGTGTAAACTATCAAAGCCCTGATATTAAACTGCTATTCCTTAAGGCCCACACTGACTTCCAGCATGTGCATGGCTAATGAATTTAGTATCATTATACTGCTGTGGAAATCAACAAAAAGAAGGAGAAGAAAATAAAAGCCTGAAAACTCCATTTTCAGCAAAAGAAAGAGACAGATATAATCCACAAACTACAGAAGACACATAAGAGCTGCCCATATCAGCAGCCATCAGGCAGAAGCCAAGCAGGAGAAAGTACAGAGAAGCACTGAGAGTGGCCACATGGCCGAGCCGCATCCCCAAGAAGTTAAGGCAAAAATCTATCTCCTGAAGTGAAGGAGCCCACCAAGAAACACCAAAGCCGCAGTTCATATTTGTATCCATAGAAGTCAGAATTAGGGGGAGAAAAGGCAAGGTCAGAAATGTAGAGGGCCCGGGTATGGTGGCTCATGCCTGTAATCCCAGCACTTTGGGAGGCTGAGGCAGGCAGACTGCTTGAGCCCAGGAGTTCAAGACCAGCCTGAGCAACATGGAAAAATTCCATCTCTACAAAAAAAAAAGAAAAAGAAAAAAGCTGGGTGTGGTGGTGTGGTGTCATGAGCATGTAATCCCATCTACTTAGGAGGCTGAGGCAGGAGGACTGCTTGAGCCCTGAAGGCAGAGGTTGCAGTGAGCCATGATTGCACCACTGAACTCTAGCCTGGGTGACAGAGTGAGACCCTGTCTCAAAAGAAAAAAGAAAAGAAAAGACGAAGAAAAGAGAAGGGGAGAGGAGAGGGGAGGGGAGGGGAGGCGGGGGAGGGAAGGGGAGGACAGGAAGGAAAGGAAAGGAAAGGAAAGGAAAGGAAAGGAAAGGAAAGGAAAGGAAAGGAAAGGAAGGGAAGGGAAGGGAAAGGAAAGGAAAGGAAAGGAAAGGAAAGGAAAGGAAAGGAAAGGAAAGGAAAGGAAAGGAAAGGAAAGGAAAGGAAAGCTAAGCTGAGGAACTACTGTTATGAAAGATACCATCAGAGTGGCCATATTTTTAGGATGTGCTCCAGCTTTGTGATAGCAGAAAAGAAAAGGGCTTTGGGGTCTTCAAAGACTTCCCATAAATTACTGGTTGTATCAACTGAAAGAATATATATAAGGAATATAAAGGGGAAAGGAAAGGTGAGAGATGCAAGAGCAAAGTTTATCAATAAATAGCACTCATGGATTATACAAACAAATTAAAATCATTATAAAAAAATTTTTATATGCACTTTTTAACATGATGAAATCACCTCTATAAAGGAATGCTGCATAGCAAAAAGATAAGAAATTCAGGAAGAAATTGTGGAAAAAATAGGAGATGAACATTTAAAAAGTATTTCTTTGGAAATGAATAAATAATTGGAAGGGACACAAATAAGCTCGACACTACAGCAAACAAAGGGATGGAGAGGATAGATATGAGAAAAAAATAAAATGGGTATTTCAAAAATCTCTTCAAAAGTTAAAAGAGAACGTAAAAGAAAAAAAAGACAGTGAATGGAAGACTCAGCATATACATAATTGGAGATCTGAAGAAGGAAACAAAAGAAATGGAAGTTAACAAATAGTTTTAAAATATATAATGTAATAGAATTATCTTAAATGTAAGAATATTTGAAGAGTATAACATTGATGACAAGTAAGAAAACTAGGAACTAGTTTTTTAAACTTCAAAAGATCCCTTGCATCTAGAAAATAAACTCTCCTTAAACAACTTTTAGAAGAGAAAAATTCTAAAGAGAATTTCTGAAAAACAACAATAATTAAAATACTATATATAGGGAGATGCTATGGGATGCAACTAAAGTAGTGATAACAGCCAAAAGAAACTATCAACTGACTTAACAGACAACCTACAGAATGGGAGAAAATATTTGCACACTCTGCATCCAATGAAAGTATAATATCCAGAATCTATAAGGATTTTAAACAAAATTAACAAGCAAAAAGCAAACAACCCCATTGAAAAATGGCCAAAGGACATGAACAGACACTTCTCAAAAGAACACATACATGTGGCCAACAAGCATATGAAAAAATGCTCAATATTACTAATCACTAGAGAAATGTAAATCAAAACCACAATGAGATAACAATTACACCAGTCAGAAAGGCTATTATTAAAAAGTGAAAAACTAACAGATGCTGACCGGGCGTGATGGCTCACACCTGTAATCCTAGCACTTTGGGAGGCCAAGGCAGGTGGATCACCAGAGGTCAGAAGCTCGAGACCAGCCTGGCCAACATGGCAAAACCACATCTCTCCTAAAAATACAAAAATTAGCCAGACATGGTGGTGCCTGCCTGTAATCCCAGCTACTCGGGAGGTTGAGGCAGGAGAATCACTTGAACCCAGGAGGCAGAGATTGCAGTGAGTTGAGGTCACGCCACTGCACTCCAGCCTGGGCAACAGGGCAAGACTCTGTATCAAACAAAACAAAACAAAACAAAACAAAAACTAACAGATGATGAAGAAGTTGCAGAGAAAAGAGAACACTTACATACTGCTGGGGATAATGTAAACTAGTTCAGCCACTGTGGAAAGCAGTTTGGAGATTTCTCAGAGAACTTAAAACAGAACTACCATTTGACCCAGCAATCCTGTTACTGGGTATATGCCCAAAGGAATATAAATTATTTTAATATAAAGTCACATATACACAATGTTCATCACAACACCATTCACAATTGCACAGACATGGAATCAACTTAAACCCATCAACAGTGGAATGGATAAAGAAAATGTGGCACACACATACCATGGAAATACTACACAGCCCTAAAAAAGAATGAGATCATGTCCTTTGCAGCAACATGGATGGAGCTGGAGGCCATTATCCTAAGCAAACTAACACAGGAACAGAAAACCAAGTACCCCATGTTCTCACTTATAAGGAGGAGCTAAACATTGAGTACATATGAACACAAAGAAGGGAATAACAGACACCAGGTCCTACTTGAGGGTGGAGGGTGGAAGAAGGGTGACAACCTAAAAACTAGCTATCAGGAACTATGCTTATTACCAGGGTGACAAAATAATCTATACATCAAACCCCTGTGACATGCAATTTACCTATATAACAAACACATGTACCCCCGAACCTAAAATAAATGTTGTCGGGGAAGGGGGGGCGGGAATAAATACAAATAAAAAATAAAGTAGTGCTAAGAGAAAAATCTGTATCCTCAAAACATCCATAGAAATAAAAATAAATGTCATACCCAAAAATAAAAAATAGCAAAATTTTAAACCAACTCATTAAATATAGAAGCATGGTGTAACGAGGTTGAAAAGAAATACAAACAGAACTAATTTTTAAATTTTTAAAATTTAACAATTTTTTAAAAACTTGCTTTCTGAGAAAATTAACCAGCAGAAACCCTAGTAAAGAAAGAAGGAAAGCCTGAAATACTAAGTAAAACATTGCAAGAAGGAAATAACTAAAGAAACAGAAAAAAATTAAATGATCACAAGATTTTCTATGATCAACAAGATTTTTCAACTACACGTAAACTTTTTTGAAAGACTGCATAAAACGAATAAATTTCTAGAAAAATAAAATTTATCAAAATTGAACCCAAAAGAGACAGAAAATCTAAAGGGACCATTTTCATGTAATAAATAAAGGAAATTGTCAAAGAGCAAACAGCTCAAAAAGCACCAAGCCCAGATAGTTTCACAGGGAACTTCTCCCAAAGAGAAGATCAATCCAGCACTTTTTAACTGTTTCAGAGCAGAAGAAAATAAGAAAAACTTCCAAATTCTTCCTATGAAATAAATAAAAAACTAACAAATAGTAATCAACAATAAATAAAACCTACAATATTTTTATAAATATCATTGTGTACAAACACACACGTGTGTGGGTGTGTTTGTGTGTTGGTGAATTCCATGACCCAGTGGAATTTGTTCCAGGAATGCAAAGATGGCTCAATGTTAGAAACATTAGGAAACTGCTTAACAAAATAGAAAGCTTATAGAAATATAGTACTTACATAAAACAGCAAAAGTCCTATGATTATGCTTTACAGATGCTGAAGAACCATTTGACAAAATTTAATTTCATTTCTGATTTTAAAAGTAAGTATAATAAATAGATGCTTCTTTAACAAAATAAAATATATTTATCTTGTCCCAAAAGCCAGTATCATGCTTACTGAGAAATATTAAAGGCATTCTCAATAAGGCCGGATAGAGACAAAGATGTTCATTACCATTAATATTTAACATGTGCTGGATGCACAAGCCAAAACAATTGGCAGAGATAAATGATGTAGAGACAAAATATTTAGAAACCATCAATATTTGCAGATGATGTCATTTTGTCCTGTGAACGCCAAAGACAATAAAATGAAAAACTACTGAAAACAGTAAGAGAATTTATTAAGGTAATGAGGTTTAAAACATAAAGAGGTTCTCTATGAACTTATATGGCAAAATCAACGAGATATATTAAGTAAAAAGAGAAAGGTGTGAAATAGTGGTATGATAAGTGATATGACAGAAACAAACATACATACTGTGTTTGCTTGTATATACATAAAGAAACTCTGAAAACATACATAAGAAACCAATAATAGTGATTACCTGGCTGGGAGGTAGGTGGGAGGATGGGAACACGGTGCAAGGGCAATGAAGGTGGGAAAGAAACTATTCTTGTTACATTTTGGTACTATGCAGTATATTACCTATTCAAAAATTAAATGTAAAATAACTTTTAATTGAGATAGTTTTCTTAAGGTTTTCAGAGAAACATACCAGTTATTGAGCTGTTGCCTCTCAGCTCCAAACTCCCCCTTGTGATTTGGGACTGAAATTTTATGGATCACATTTCTACTTTGCTGGCTACATCTAGGATAGGCTTTGCCAGCAGGAAGTATGAGAGGGAGATTGCAGGCAATCTGGGAGGAAGAACAGACTCCAGGAAGGAAGAAGAGACTTGTTCCTCTTCTCTGCTTCCTATGGGCTTCCTGTTGACTTCCTGTTTTTGCTTCCTGTTCTTGTGAGTGTCATTCCAAACACACTTTATTCTGGCAAGGGTGTTTCCTGCTCAAAGCCACAACTAACCCAGTCTGTAGTTTTTCCAACACGCCTTTCCCTCAGAAATAGCGGCTCCTGGTCTTTGCCAGTGGTCCCCAAGGTCTGAGTTCCAGCCACATGGGACCTCTCATCTAAGTTTTAAGTTACTTCTCTTTGCTCCTGATGTAGGGGTGAGATCTGCTTCATGAAATGGCTATCTTTGTGACACTTTAGTGTCTTTCTTTTCATCTTTCATTTCTTCATTCCTAGCTATCAATTCTTCATATTAAATTTTTTGTTAAAATAATTTGTGGATTTTTGTCTCCTGATTCAAACCTGATTGATAGACCAACCAAGAAAATCTTTCTCTTTATTTTTTAAGCACATACTATATCTATATATGAATTTGATTGATTAGATATTTATGGGGTATGGATCTTCTATAGGCTGATATAACTTTGAAAAATTATAGCAGAACAAGTCAGGAATCAAGTAGAATTAGTTTATGTAAGGAATATAACATGCTCCTTTTTAGAGCATCTGGATAAATTATTTCCTGAACCAAACATCACATTGAAGTAGCAATATGAGTCACTGTGAAAGAAAGTACATTAAAGACTCAGATTTTGCCCCTAAGTAGCTTCCTTTCTATGGTATAAATACTCAAATAGAAACTCCAGTTAACCAACCTGTATAATGCTGATTTATTTTATTACCTGAAGATATTTTTTGGGAGGTGGTGCATTTTCAATAGTTATACAAAACTGACATTAATATTTAGTTCATTTGCAAAGAAAAGTTCACACACTCTTAACTGAAGTTCAGAAAACCATGATACTGTATTATTATTTATTTTTATAAGTGCAGCGCATGAAAAATAATTTCTATTAATTATGTAATATAAAGAGTAAAATTTAAGATAAAAATACCTTAATAGCTGTCAATCATATACTTGGTAATGCACTATGACAGCTGAACAATTAAGAATGCGTTTCTAGAAAATACATGTTCTGCAAAGTTGCATGTACCCTGTTATTAACTGTCAATATTTTTCAGATTCATTATATGCAGTCAGGGGCCCCTCGAGTCTTTCCAAAGCTTCAGCCAGGATGCTTTGGTCATCAAGCATGTAGGTTTACAGACTTAATTTGGCCTTTTCAAACACTTTCCTTTAAAACAAATATCTGTGGTACAAAACAAGACGATCTTCGTAAAAAGAGTGGGAGGGAGGAATGAAGAAAGGAGAGATGCTCAGGGAGTCCCATCCCCAACAGTAATGGATCATATCTCATCTTTTAAAGACGCAGATAGGAAAGGAAACAACAACAACAACAAAGCCAGACTCAATTATGTCAGGGTAAGGGATTAGCTGGTCCCTTTTTATTATTTTGCAAAGATGCAGCAGCGAGTTATATTCCCTGATGATAATGAGCTATCCCTACATCACTAACTCATTAAACCAACTCTGAATTCACTCATTAACAAAGTTACTCCAGCTAGCATCAATTTAAGACCTGGAGGCTAGCCTTTTTATAGCAGATGCCATTTACTGAATTACATTTCCCACTATATTCTTTTGACTACTATAAAATACTACAGCGTCAGACACAGAATATTTTATGTCTATTCTAGCAAGATATATTTTCTATTAAAGTTTTACTAAGAACCAAAAAGAATAAACTATGTTTTTACAATTTGATTTGAATAAACAGGATGAACACTATATAGTATAAATACTCGAAACTTTCAGTTAACCAACCTGTATAATGCTGATTTAATTCCCTGAAGATTTTTTAGATATTATATAGTGTTCATCCTGTTTATACACACACACACATCAGAAGTACAGCATAGAGATGTTCTAATGCTATCTCTGTAGCTTAGACTATTAGACATGAAGTAGCCACCAATCCTGATCTTAAATCACAATCACCTGGGAAGTTATTTTAAAACTATATATTCCCAGGTTTACGCTTTACACATAATAAATCAGGATTTCCTTGAAATATGGTCCAACTTGGCCCAGTTTGTGGGTCAGTGTTTGGGGACCATTATTACAGTGGAAGAAAACATCTAAGATCTGCTTTGGAACCCCTATCCAGTCACCTCTGAGCAGTGCGACCCCAAGCAGTTCATTATGCTTCTTGATGCATCCATTTTCCCTTTGGTTAAATGGAATAATACCTACTGCAGATAGTTATGGAAATTGAATGAATGGGAAAGTACATGTGCAAGTTAAATCTCACACGTCATTTAGATAATCTATTAAATTGAAAAATTGTTAAATTCTGGGTTTTAGTACATATTAGAAAATAATCTACTCACATCAAAATCAGGATATAAGAATTTACCTTAAGCAAATTCTTGAGAAGATTTTCAAAGAATAGAAGAAAAAAAGCCATGCTTCCACGGCGGGGGGGGAACCCCACAACAACACCGGTTTTGCTACAGTTCAAGACTGTTTTACCTAAAATCGCAAAAGAACTGTACACCTAATCCCTGTTGATATAACAAAATGGAAGCATTCTGCATAACATTTCGATGCCTTGGGTTTCAGCTCAGTGTCTGAACAATTCTAACGAGCATTGTCTCACAAGGTCTTTTGGTTAAAAACATAAATCCTATTTGGAGTAAAATAGAAGTAGAGGGAGCTGGGATAGCCAAGCTCACATCATTGATTTTGGTTGTTCCCCAGAGGCTCTTAAGCCTCTAGTATGATAATAATCCTCAACTTCTTTACCAAGCCCCAATTTCTCAACTTCTATTACCTTCCTTCTTTTATCCCACATCTCTTTTCGTAAAAAGATAACTAGAAGCCTCAACCAAATATAGGGTTAATTTCTGACGGTTCCTTAAATTGATCAGCTATAATCTCACAAAAAATTAATTTGTTCAACATTAAAAGGCCATCTGAGCTCACAACTTAGTTTTAATTTAATTGAACTCACGATTTGACACTTTTTCTCGCTAATCTTCCTTCCCCCCACCAAATTATCACTGTATCAATTTCTTTATTCTCACTCATAGATAATTGCATTGAAAAATAAAATACTGGCAGCCTTTTAAGCAGATTCTCAAAAACAATGGCAAAATCTTTTTTTTTTTTTTAAAAAGCCTACTGCTAACTGTCTGTAAGAAAACATTTTTCTCTACTTGTGAAGGTTGGTACTCCCCCACCCCTACATTATTTATCCAGGTTATATAATGCTTAAACTCAGCTCTTCAGGGGCATGATGATGTATACATAATGCAAATATCCTTGCTGGAATTACAAAGGCAATTTATCAATTTATGTGCAGCTAATCAACCCATTTGCTTTCTACTGTAGAGCAGTAAAAGCTTATCTCATGCAGACTCACGGATCGTTCAAAGCAATCTAATTGAATTTCAGGGCCAAGAGCATTGCACAACACGTGACGTGTCTCCAGTGGAGCACAGTGCCAGACACTGCAGGCGTTACATAATCACATGCTGTTGTTGGCAGAGCCGCCTCAGTGGCTTGGCAGTCTGTGTCTCCTCCAATCATGCCCCGCAGCTTTAATCTGCACGGAGTGTGCACATGTACTGTCACATGCTTTGGGACTTTCATAGCAGCAAATAAAACAGGGACCATTTCCCTACTGGTAGAAACAGTTCATTAAAACCAGTCACACAGTACACAAGATTATAACGGGATAGAAGGCATATGTAACACACATGCTTCTAACCAAGCAACAGAGAAAGCAAATTTCAAATACTCCATTTTTCAAACGAATAAGGCTATCTAATAGTATCTCTGCCATTTCAAAGGAGTTTTCAAATTGGGAAGGTGTGGGAATGATACATTTCAGATACTACATAGAGTATAACCAACTGACAAATATGAGCTAGATATTCCTGAACATGAGCCACAGGGGGTACTATACATTCTAAACCTCATATACTCATCATTTTATTTGCAGGGATTAATCAAAAAATATGCACAACTATGAAATATTATGTACATCTGGTTTTTAAGTAATGCCATTGGATTTATAAATAATGAACCATTATATTTGTATATAAATATTTACCCTTGCCTTATTATTATTACACTGCTAATTTTTTGCCCAAATGTAAAAATATCTCTAAAATTGATAATGAAATACAATACATGCTAAACAAATTCCTACACATATTTTGTTTTTAAATTTTTAAAAAACAGGTCTATGTACAGGATCTTGAACTCAAGTACATGGCAATGTCTGCAGATTTTTTCAAAAAAATAAAAAAGATTGGTTTAATCTATACAAGGGCTGAAAACAAAGTACACAAACCAGATATTTTCAGATTCCATGACTTGTTTATATCTCCACCAACATTACAATATTATCAAAATAAATAGCATAATACTACAGCAGTTAAAATTAAGCAGGTTATCAATTGTATAAAAATATCACTAAAAGAGTATTCTAAACAAAATGTGACTGTTACTGTAACAAGATTTAGAAAATGTTTTCTTTGATTTCATGTGACTCAAAAAATTATTTATAATTATGGAGTGAGAACTCAAAATATAGATGGAATAAAAATAAAACATTTCTATAATTTAAAACTAAACCTGAGAAACACTGAGTGGAATAAGTCATTGGTGAGAGGATGACACCTAGTGATGAGCTGTGATATTGCAGCCCAGCTCTACAGGCCGTCCATTCACCATCTCAGGGAAGAGGCAGGATAAAGAAATTTCCAAAGATTTTACTGTAAAATATGGATATCACTACCATGAGGAGAGTGTGGGCATGGAAGGCAGGGGATGGCAAAGTAGAGCTACTCTAATATCCCTGCCAAACTTTCTGTTGCTAAAGCTTCCCAAAGTTCAGGTCTTCATGTCTTTCATTCTATAACAACTTCCTTTGAATACTTTTTAGTATGGGATTTATG
Organism: Homo sapiens; assembly: GCF_000001405.40. Classification (NCBI taxonomy): domain Eukaryota; kingdom Metazoa; phylum Chordata; class Mammalia; order Primates; family Hominidae; genus Homo; species Homo sapiens. The sequence goes on from NC_000012.12 coordinate 26,525,331, forward strand.
ACAGACATATAAAGTATATCCTTGTTAAGTAAACAGACTTAGAAACACATTTCAAAAGCGCTCACCTAGACAGCTACAATCCTTTCCTACTGGCATCTCTACCTACAGCATTTGTAACCAATAATATCACAGCAGGATTAATCTTATAGAGTCACTCCTTGATCAAAAATATTTCCTCAGTAACATCAAGTTGACTGACTGTAAGGTGAATTCCATCCATACAGCTTTGACTTTGAGACCCTCTCTATATGTTTGTTTTTATTCTCCAAATTCATATATCAGTACTACTGAAACAAAACTTTACACCATATAAATAGGATTGCTCTCAATAAGAACAGTATTCTAGATGATTTGTTCACAAACCACATCCTGAACAAAATATTTTTCACTTACCCTTGTTCTCCCTACTATGCCCTGTTCCTTCCTGATGTTGTTTGGTATTTAATCTCTTCTCTCTACAACCTTGGGCTCACCCTATCAGACCTACTGCTTAATATGATACTTCTCCTGTTTCCTTCTTTGAACACAATTTGTATCTACCCATTAGACTGTCTCACTTTCAGCCACTATAATTCAACCCTAAGCCCCAACCTCCAATCCAAGTCACCACTGCCAGCATTCCTGCTAGGCTCCTCCAGTCCTTTGAGCAGCACTCAGGTGTTGCTCCCTACAATACTATGCACACTTTATCTCCAGCTCTTTGCTCACACTCTCACCCAGACGAGAAGGTCCCCTTTCTTTCTCCTCTGCTTATATCAGCTGCACTATTTATTCATGTGTTTATTGGGTAGTCCAAGACACTGTGATATGCACTGCAGCTAGAGTAATAATAGACTCATGGAAATAAGAAAAAATGTACATTTTCTGAAATTTGCTATGAAAAAAATGAATAAATGTTGTAATAGAGAAGAACTGGGGGAAGTTATTTTAGATAGAGTTGTCAAGAAAGGCATTTGTGCTGAGAATGTGACATTAGGACTGAGACCTGAAAAATATAAAAGGAGTCAGGCACATGAATAGCCAAGGGAATGGTATTCCAGGCAGAAGGAATAGCAAATGCAAAACCTCTAAACAGAAAGAGGTGATTCTGTTTGAGGAACAGAAAGGACACCACTGTGGCTACACTATAATAAAATAAGGGAAAGAGGTTGAAAAGATGGCCCAAGTTGTGTTGTGCAGGGTCCTACTAATTTTGGTAAGAAATGTACATTTTCTTTTAAAGAGAAACAGAAAAACATCAAAGGGTTTTTAAAAAGAGAATGACATTATCTGATTTATCATTTACAACTGTTACTCTATGAAAAAAAAAGATTGGAGGTTACAAATACTGAAAGCAGGGAGAAGAGTTAGGAGGTCATGTGGTAGTCCAGGCAGGAGATGACGGTTTCTTGGACCAGGATAACGGGTTTAGACAAGGGGGTGGCAGGGCAGATAGGCAGCTGGGTGTATTCAAGAAACACTTATAGGTAAAATCAACAAGACTAGCTGATGCATTTGCCATAAGGGGCGAGAGATAAGAAGAAATCAAGAATGACACCTAAAATTTTGGTGAGCAGCTTGGTGGATGGTGATATTATTTATTAATAAGAGGAATGCAGATGGAGTGGACAAGGGAACCAAACACTCAGTCCTGGGATATTTGAAGCCTGGCTCAATTTCTACCTTCTTTATGAAATATCCTAGTACCAAACAGCCCCTAATGATCTATTCCTGCAAAGTTAACACTCACTTCTAGTGTCTTAAGCTTTATGAACAATTCCTAGGAAATGGTTTACAATCATCCCAAACCTGTCAAAAGTGTCTTTGGTGCATGGCTTAACATTCTGCCTGTAATGCTCATGTAATCCACTTAGCAGGTAGTATAGGGTACATTTATATTATTCACTTTTCACATGTACTCATGTGGCACACATTCTATACTGGAGTACAAACTTCTTGTGTCCAGACAACTTATACTTCTTGGTGTGTCCTCAGACTTGGCATTGCACTTTGTAGGAAGAATGCCTTTGAGAAATGTTTGCTGTTGTTGATGATGATAGAATGCCTAAAAGTGTCATCAAATTCTGAAAATTCTACAAACATTACACCACCAATCAGTATAGTTCTGGTATAGCTGAATATTTGGCATTTTGGGGAATCCCTTTCAGTTCAGGTATACTGGTAGACTTACTGAGATAATCAATTCCAAATATTCATTTTATAGAAATATTCCTTAGTCTTGACTGAAACGTATCTACATTAATAGTTCTCAAACTCACAGAGAAAAGAATGGATTTGGCACCAGTGAAACTGGGAGTAATGCATAGTTTAGTGGTAGCAGCTAATGAGATACCAATACTAATGGTTTGTTATTCATCAGATATGTTTCTGTGGGAAAACAAGTTGAGACATACTTCTTCTATACTATAAAGCAAGGAGTCCTACAATATCTCCCACAGAAACATGAACCTGACAAGGATAAAGGTAATGACAATTTACTACGTAATGAGATAAAGCTCCCAATGGAGAAAGGTCAATAGGGAAGTGCCCTTCTCCTTACCTCATGTGCCCCAGGTGGAGGAACTTCCGCTAGTGATACCTTTGGCCTCTCTCTGCCCACTCACTCATGCCTCCTTTGAAAAAGGGAAGCGCCTTATGTGACTGGTGGTTTGGAAAGAAGGAATAACAGATGTTAGCAAAGTCCTCCCCAAGTTCTGCCTGACCCCAAGAGCAGGAGACTCCTGGACTGCTCTCTGCCATATTCTAAGCGGCTTGCCCCTTTGGAGAGTCTGGGTTTGCCGTTAGGTTGGGGGGAAATATTAGCAAACACACCCACAGATCTCAAGCCATGTTTTCCAGTTGCATATTCCAGTTATGAACCTGACATTCTGATCTCAACCTGAAAGATTCCTATGACTTTCAATGGTTCCAGCTCCTGAGAGAGGGATGTTACTTCGGGGCCTCTGCAAGCCCTAACACTAACAAACTGTTCGAAATAGAACCACAAAGGATGTTGGATTTTTGTTTAGAGCTACAAAAGTAAATATAAGATTCAATGCACTTGTATGTTTGAGGAACACTGCATCTATCCCAGAAAAATAGTTTCTATCCTATCATGTCCTCTTCCATATCTTTCTTAGCCACTTATAACAATGCTCATCTGTATGAAAACCTGAAGGAAGAAGTTGTACTGAAATGCCATTTCTTCACAGGTCACTGAAAACCTGCTCAAAATAACTCTTTACATTGTACAAGAATGAAATGTTGATTACATCTTATGTCCAGGTTTATCGTAAATGAGATTCCATCTCCCTCCAAATTAAAACTACATTTTCCCTTTTGATATTGCTGTCATCAAGAAGCTCAGAATATCATGCAAAGGGGGACATGTTTCTCCACTAAACTTCACTGTCATGGATTTTGGTATTTGTTTGAGGACACCTGGCAGGAATAGGAGTAATTCCATGGCTAACTAATTCAGTTCTGTACTGAACCCATTTGCTGTGCTGTGTTGTGCACTGGAGGCACAGGGTGGGTGAGGTTCCTCCTTTCATCTTCCCCTTTACAACAAATGGCACTTCCATTCTTCCAGTTACTCATGCCGCAATCCTTACAGACATTTTGAACTCCTCTTTGTCTTTTATTGCACATTCAGCCTCACATTCAAAAGCTATCCACTCAAACTTCACTCCACATCCAGAATCCTACAACTTCTTGCCTCCACTGTCACCCTACTCTAAGCCTCCATCATGTCTCAGCTAGATAACTGCAATCACTTCTTAAAAATTATCTCTGCTTTCACTCTTGCCCTCTTAAGCGTACTCTACACTTAAGCTGACACAGTAGTCTCTGTCAATCATAGATCAGATTTCACTTACTCCTATACTCAAACCTTCCAATGGCTTTCTGTCTAATGCTGAGAAACTCAGACAACATCAAAGTCCTTACCATCTCCTACAAAGGGCCTACATGATCCAGCCCCTTCTCCCACTGCTCTGATCTCATGACCTAGTGCTACCTGTCACTGAGCCCTTTCTAGCCACACTGGCTTCCTTGATGGTTCTCAAACCAGGAATCCAGCTGCTAATGCAGATCTTTGGGTGTGTGCTGTTTCCTCTGCCCAGGATGGCTGCATGGCCTTCCTCAGTCTCTGCCACACAGGACCCTGTCAAAGATGCATTCTCTTAACACCCCATAGAAAACACAAACCCATTTCTCTTCACTGTTCTTGCTCTCCTTTTATCCTGAGACAGGTAGCAGAATAATTTCCTATTAAAGATCCTATAATCACGCTGCCTGGGTTCTAATGCCAGCTGGGTCATGGGCTGGTTCTGTCTGTGGAACCTGGAACAAGTAAAATAACCAAACGTCTCTAAACTTCAGTTTTTCCATCTGTAAAATGGACACTGGAATGTGAGGATTAAATCTCCATATAAAGCACCTCTAACATCCTTAAAATGATTCCTGGTACCTATGAAGATTCAATACATGATGGCTAGTCCATTTTTCATCACAGCACACTGTGTATTTGTTTATCTATTTATGTATCATCTGCTCCCCCTCCAGAATGTAAGCTCCAATATAAGAATGGACCATGCCATTTCATTGTTTTGTTTTCTTTCACAACTGTATCTTCAGTAACTGGTTCAGCTCCTGGCACATGGTAGGCATTTAATTAAATTTTTATTTTTGCAGTTTAAGTCTACCTCCAATATTTCTGAAAAGGAATTTATATGCTTTGTAGTCCCATTAAGAATCTAAATCCATAAGAGAGAAGGAGATCAGAGAATCAGGATACAGACCTCAAAAGCTCACCTGGCTCAACTGGGATTTTAATTTAATTTAACAGATGATGCAGGTTAGAGCCAAGGGTCCTAGGATCCCACAGCCAATAAGTGATGTAGCAAGGGCCCCAATGTCCCAGACCAGCACACTTAATGTGGTCAGAAAACCAGCTAACATCTCAAACACTTATTCTGGAATTTTCTACACCTGAAGTCCACAAAGACAGGCCCAGAAGCCACAGAATACTTGAAATTATCTGGATTACTCTCTTGTGTCTGTGTCTGTATTTTGGAAAGTTCATTGTTTGTGTTGCCAACAGTCATCATCTTCAGATGATACTGTTCACTGAGGATCATATTTCCCGTGAATCCTGGAGATTTTTACTTTCTTGATGGTCAGAAGTAAATGTAGGAAGAAGACCATTGTTCTCTGGCTCCCCAGTTGGGGCTATGAACTACTAGAATCAAGACAGCTAATATTTCTATACATAAGCTATCCTGCTTTGGACTTCTGATTCCAGGAACTCTGCCTCGTGTAGGATTCTCTGAAGTCAGCCTCAGCCTTCAATTCTCCCCTACTGGGTTCTTAAATACTATGGATGTGGTTGTGGGTAGAAAGGCCATGTTTATGTAGCTTTCTCAAACACTGTAGTATATCTACATAGGACTGTACCAATAAATTCAGAAAAAAAAGAAATAATTCTTTCCAGAACTATTTTCTTTTCTCATTTTGAGTTGTCTTAATGCAACTGTCTAATTTATAAATCTGAAGTCATAAAAATTACATTCAGCAAAGAAGAGGTGACAATAGATAAAAGCCCAAAATAAATCATAAATTTTTTCAGAGTTAAACTCTTCTATGATTAAATTTAAACCCACTTTTAGTGCTGAACTATCAATATTTTTAGATTTGGATATAGCCACTGAATGCTAAGTAGATTTGGTAAAATAAATCAATTACAGTACATTGTTTTTATCTTAAATACCCTTAAGAATAAGATAAAAGATAGAGGTCTGGGAACCAAGCAAGTCCATTTCTGTGTCTGGTTCCCTTGGATTACCATAAATATTCATTGGGCTTTCCTAATGCACCTCACTGTATTCTGCCCACTGAAATATCGGAGGCAGTGAGAAGTACAAACACGCATAACACACTACAGCATTAAAGTGTGTAAGACATTTCAATAAATGTACTGAGGGTAACAGCAGTGAACAGTAAAATCAGACAAAAGATTTTCACATTAAAGTCTATAACTCATTTTTAACCATTCATTTATCACATACACTGGTCATGTGTAATAAACTGGAGCAGAAACGAATTGTAGAGAAATTCAGCAGCAGACAAGTATAAATAGTGGCTTCTTAAAATGCTCCTTGATTTTTTCATTCGTCTTAGCTTTGTGACCCATCTAAAGCAATGCTCTGACAATTGTTATTCTTGTGCAGATTAGATTGCCTCTTCACTTCCAGAATAATGTATCTCAGATTTTTAAAAGGTGATATTTTCTCACATACACCTTTGATTTTCTACCATGTTCTAAGCTTCATGTTTACTGTATTTACACACACACACACACACACACACACACAAGTGTGTATCTGAATGATTCAAGACAATTCTCTTTTCCTGTACAGTCAGTGAAGTACCCCACCACTTAGAACCTCATAGGAAAGATTATACCAACACCAAAACAAAAAATGATCAATCATCTTGATTTAGATATGGAATAGATACTTGCTTGAGGACAGAAGGAATTACTGTGAGTCTATCTTGAAGTTTATTTTTCTGAAATTGCATATTCTCCTTTGATTGGCATAAGAGAACTGGTTAAAATATACTAGAAGCAGGAAAACTTTACACACAAGAAAATACGGTAATGCTGTCTTAAAATATCAGAAAAGTATTTTATAAATATTTTTAAGATTTAAAAACAAAGCTTAAAATTATAGGATATTTGTGAAAGGATATTTACAAAAGTAATACTATGACATGAGTCATTTTCTTCCTTAAAATCATGACAATTTATTATTTCATTGTTATCTCCCACATACAGGTGCAAGGAATAAGTCATTGAGGCTTGGCTATATCACGAGCTAAAAGCAGTGTTCTTGTTTGTGTTATGTTCCGTAAAATTCACTCTATCTTTAGGTAGATATTAAAAGCAACCACCAACATTTTAAAAACTGACCACTTGCCAAAACAAATAGCAAAATTGTGTATGTGTGGTTTACACAAACTTGTGAACAGTATAAAACACTCCTCCAGAAAAGGGACATTTTTCAATGAAATATTTTTTCTTTTTTTGAGACAGGGTCTCACTTTGTTGCACAGGCTGGAGTGCAATGGCACAATCATGACTCACTGCATCCTCAATCTCCCAGGCTCAAGCAGTCTTCCCACCTCAGCCTGCTAAGTAGCTGGGGCTACAGGTGTGTGCCACTATGCCCAGCTAATTTTTTTAAAGTAACTTTTTGTAAAGTGTTGGGATCACAGGCATGAGCCACTGTGCCCAGCCCCCGGTAAAAGACTTTAAGCATGTATTTTGCACACAATGGACTGTAATGATGAATTGATGAAATGATATTCCAAAATAATTCTTTTTGTTTTTTTGGAGACGGAGTTTTCGATGTTGCCCAGGCTGGAGTACAGTGGCGCAATCTTGGCTCACTGCAACCTTCACCTCCTGGGTTCAAGCGATTCTCTATCTCAGCCCCCTGAGTAGCCAGGATTACAGGCATGCACCACCACGCCCAGCTAATTTTTGTATTTTTAGTAGAGACAGGGTCTCGCCATGTTGACCAGGCTGGTCTCGAACTCCTGATCTCAGGTGATCCACCCACCTCGGCATCCCAAACAGCTGGGATTACAGGCGTGAGCCACCGTGCCCGGCCCAGAATAATTCTTTAATTTAATTTGTAGCAAATAGAAAACCCCAAAGATCCTATCTAAAATGTGCATTCTTCATGATCATGCTGAAACACAGTCGAAAAGTGCTTGGTAAGAAACTGGACTCTATATTTGAGTCAGCCCAAAGCTAAAAACTGCCACAAACACAGTGCTATCAAATTTTCAAATTTTCCCACTTATCTTGGAACCAGTCTATATGATGTTTTGACTTTCTGCTAAAAAACCTATGTATCTGGTAGTCATTGTCACTTGAGTTTTTATTCCAATCAACTGGTTTTTTTCAACCTTAACCTAAGATAGGAAACAAGAGAAAAACCTCTTTTCTGTTTCTTCCATGGGTTTAAACCAACTTAAACAATAATGTTTAGAAATCACTTCTTAAATCTGTTTGTAGATGCCCGCAAGCTGCTCGGTGCATTTTGGCTGCTGTCAGCAAAATGCGCACAAGAGAAGCATACACAGAAAACCTTTGCACATCTCATCTATGAAAAGATTAAAGACTTAGATATGTTATGGGCTGAATTATGCCTTAACCTGCAACACCTTAGAATATAACCATATTCAGAAATAAGATCTTTGAAGAGGTAATTACATTAAAATGAGGTCATTAGGGTGGACCCTAATTCAATATTACTAGTGGCCCTATAAGAAGAGGAAATTTGGACACAGACACACATACAGAAGGAAAATAATATGAAGACACAAGGAGAGGGTGGCCATCTACAAGCCAAGGAGAAACACCTGGGACAGTTCCTTCTCTCCTGGCCCTTGGAAGGAAACCACCTGTTGACCCCTGAATCTCTGACTTCCAGCCTCCAGAGCTATAAGAAAACAAATTTCTGTTGTTTAAGCCACTCGATCTGTGGGACTTTGTGATGGCAGCCCTACAAACTAATACAGGTGGCATCATTTCTTCCTCTGTGTCTTCCCACAGAAGATGATACAATACAAGGCAGATTCCCCCTAGGTGTCAGTTATCTGACTAGAACTATACAAGTCAGCCCAGCCTTTTCTCCAAGTAATTCTCTCCCTGGCATCTAATCCCTGATCCAGAGGGCCACTGCTTGACATGTCCATTCTCCTAACCCCGTGGAGACACCAGCCATCACGTCAGTGGCCTTCCAGAAGTAGGTCCTTCATCTGCTCCTCAGCTCCTGGCTCTGTCATGGGATAGTTCCAAATTTTTGTAATATTCCCTTTTCTCCCTAAAATTGAAGCATTGCAGAAATATTCAGCATGCTTTTCCCAGGAAGTATTCCTGGCAAGAATCAGCAAAATTGTATGCAAACATGTGAATTTCATTTTGCTTTCAGAAAATGGCAGATGTGGAAGAGAGATGACACTTGCCAATAGATCTCAGAGGAAATGGTTTGATCTCAACTAAGATAAATTCCTAATCCCTGATACGGCCCTTGAAGAGAGCAAAAGATGTAAAGAAATCTCTTCTATTCTAAATATAAATTTCACATGATCTAGATAAAACTGAAGAAATAGAAATTTCATCACTTATCAATGAGTTAGTATATTTTCCAATTTATTAACTCTCATTTAACAACGGAGTATTCTCACTTCAAAAAAATAAAGAAAAAGCAAAAGAAAACCCAAAGCTTTATGAAAACCAGAGAATGGAGCTTCTCTCTCAAGATTTTATGATGTAAATTTTTAAAAAAGATGTTGAACAGCTAGATTTAAGGAATATCGAACATTTCAGTTTAAATGTTGAACACTTAAGGAATTGTCCCTAGTTTAGATGCTGAACAGGTGGTTTACTAAGAAAGAAAAGATACTATGGCACTGTAATCAAACAGTCTTTCAAAATTAGTCACTTGCTGTATTTTGCATCATTAGCTTCACATGAACTGAGGATTCTTTGCTAACAGGGTTAGGATCAATATCTGTGTGAAGCATTTTTCATTCTTAAGGTTAAAAATTGTTTTATTAAGAGAAATAAGTTCTGGTGTTCTACTGCACAGCAAGGTGACTATGGTTAACTCTACTGTATATTTCAAAATAACTACAAGACAGGATTTTTTGAGTTCTCACCATAAATAAATGATATGTGTATGAGGTGGTGGATATGCTGAATACCTTAATTTGATTTTTATGTAACATAAACATGTATCAAAATATCACACAGTACCCCATAAATATGTACAATTGTGTCCATAAAAGTTGTTCTACTAATTGAGCAATAATTGGAACAATTTAAAATATGCTGAATTACTTATCCCTAGAGGTAACATTAAAATAAATCAGGAACTACTATACACAATAAAAATGATTCCAAAAAAGCTACATATGGCATTTAAAATGCTTCATATGTTCTATTTAGTGTACGGTCGAGGTCACAGAAGACCAATAAAACTTTATCAATGTCATTAAATAACACCCATTGGTAGACAGTGTTGTTATGTTCCATTAAAGATTTTCCAATTATCTTCCCATGAAAAAGTATGATTAGAAATTAAGATGCATCAAATATCACTGGAGAACACCTTGGCTATCACTGTCCAATTCAAAATAATTATTTGGTTCTAAAGTTTATAGCTTCACAGAAAGAAGAAACAGTTATCTACCTTGGGACTAAATCAGTCAAGTACTTGGGGAAGTTGAGCTTAGATGTCTTCCTTGGGTACTTCAAAGAGCTGAAGTAAAAACATTATTCCAATGGAATAAATTTAGTTGAGCAAAAGAAAAAGGAGATTTCAAATGTAAAGAAAAAAATCACAAGCTTTCAAATTAGACATTATATGGCTTCCACTTTTAAAATAAGAATTTTTCATAAGAAAATCTTTTTTTGTTGTACTGTGGCACAATCATTTAAAGATGGTGCACATAAATAAGAAAAGAAGAAAGGAATCCAAAAAGAACAACTTATATGTCAGTCAAGATTTCAAAGATTAATATTTATGAAAACAATTGGCAAACAACCGTCCATGATCGAAGAACAAAAACTGTTGCAGCAGATGTCTTGTCAAGAGGCTACAGACGATGAGAAGCAGCATACTTTCGTCCATATGTTTTCTCAGCCTTAAGAAAGAATATCCTCAGTCATTTGAATTTTGGAGAACACAGAGTGCCTGTGTATATAGCAAAGTAGAAGCTTTTTTTGTACAAGAACTTTGAGCCAAGATTTCTGGCTTCATTTGGAAAGAGGTGGCATATACATTTAGGTGGAATATTAAAAGAAAAGCAGCCAAATAACTTAAATAATCCAAATAACTCAATCTGTCAAGATTTTCCCGAAGAACTCAGGGTGGTCACTGGTTATTCTGGCCTGCCTGCCATCCCTGTTCCCATCTGTTGGCAACAATACTGCAATTTTCTCAGGAGGAACAGCCCCTTCCCTCTTCTATGCTATTTTATTAGGACAGTTTGTTAGTCCCCTGTCTTAAACAGCTGCTCAACAGTAGAACTCGAGACTATGAAATCTGAGGTGAATAAGAAGAGGAAGGGGGCAAGCTGAAGAACCGGGAAATTTGAGGGGTCAGTGGTTTTCATCAGGTTGAAGGACAGTTGAAATGGATGTAAGTGAACAAGGAAACTGAATGGAAAGGAGTAAATGTCAGAGCATTGGGATGCCTGAATTAGCAATCATGGAGTAGCAGCAATTACTGCCTGAGTTAGCAATCATGGAGTAGCAGCAAGAACTGGGTGGTGGACTCTGGAAGAGAGATGGTCAGTGCAGATACACCAGGCCAGTGTTGGCAGGATCCACCAGGCCAGTGTTGGCTACACAGCCGAGATTGACTGGGGTCACCCCTGATGATGGCAGTGCTGAGGGCCAAGATCAAGGTTCCAAAGTCTTAGATGGATGAGAGCAATTGACTGGGATGTGGGCTGATGTGGTCGTGATATAGTTGGAGGGTCTTAACTTCAAAGGAGCTAAGAATTTTAAAAGAAGGCAGAGGAATCTGTCTTGAAATAACAATGGGAAACCACAGGGACAAAAAGCTTCTTCCCCTGGAGGATGAAGGAGAAAAGAGACAGCACTTCACACAGCTGCTCAGAAAGTGGGCTGACCTTGGGGGCCAGGGAGTCTTCAAATAAAGCAAGAAGCTGGAGGGACCGCTTAGAGAAGAGGACAAGGATAGAGGAGAGCTTGCTGAGTGGCAGTTCTGGAGCGGGAGAGGAAGTGTTGAGAAATGGCAAGGCAATGTCATGGTGGTGATAGGAAGGGTTTGGTCTGTACATTTTGTGCATTAACTAATCCAAGCATGGTGGAGTTGATACCAACAGTTTATTTCAAGAGAGTGGGCAGTGGGCCTAGTAACCAGAGGTCTTGCCTAACTCAGCCAAGAGGATGGGGGACTCTTTGCCAATTGTATATATGCTGCAGTCTATTTGTTGAATGAATAAATGGCTGCATACACCAGGGTGGTAGATGGCAAGAAGCCTAAAGAAGCATCCTCAAAGGTGCACCCAAGTATGAGATTACTGCCCGGTTATTGCTTACCTTCTGGTGAATGTTTCCCTGATTACTATACTCTGGCACTGTCAGAGAAAATAAAATCAACTCAATACCTGGGATGGAGTTATATAAGTACATGTCTCTGAGTCAGTATCTTCAACATCATTCCAGCTATGTGATATTAATTATAAGCATTTGATTAGATTTTAATTGTCCATGAGTCCTCATTTAAATTATTTTGTGCCACAGACTCATTTTATCAAGCTGCCATGCTGTGCTCATTTACATATCACATTTGTTTTCTGTATTCCATGACTGTATAAGTAATATAGTCTATATTGAGTTTTAATTAAAAACCCAGCCAAAAGCCAGCGATAACTGAGATAAGATAGACCTAACAACTTCACCGAGCAATCTGCAAATATTCATAATGTTCTGTGTTGTTTTGTTTTAAGCAACTAAGATTTATCCAAAAATGTTTAAGATGTTCAAGCACCAGATGGAATATGCAGGAACCAGGCCTACTCTGAAGAAATCAGTAAATGGTAGATACTCAAAATCATTATACATAAAAAATATCTTAAGTTGGCTTCTGTTATTTAACGTAAAAAAACAGTTGCCTCTGGCAGCCATGTGTGAAATTCCTACAGCTTTGCAAATTGATATCATCATAGAATGAGAGACAGTATCATGTAGTGATTGGAAACATGGGCTCTAGGGCCAGATTGGCTGGATTTTCCTCCTGGTTGTGTCATCTTTTGTTGTGTGATCTTGGGCAAGTTTCTTAACCTTTCTGTGCTACAGGTCTTCAATGTGTTATGATTGTTAAACTAACAACAGAGTAAACCCCATAAAAGTTTAAGCTGTTACTATTATTTGGGGCATGTACCTGAAAGTTAGATAAGAATATATCCCCCACAAACACACCTTTTTGAAAAAAAAAAAGATTTGCTTAACCTTCAGGTTGCTAGAACTAGCAAAGGAAATAAGTCTGAAAGAAGTGGCTTGAAAAACTGAAATCAAATTCAAATTATCATTTACTTTCACCAGCATTATTTAATTCCCTACTATGTGGAGAAGCATCAAAGAAAGCAGAATCAGAAAACCTTGATTCATATTCCTGCTCTGCCATTTACAAAGCCTGTGATTTTTTTTTCTTTTTTTCTTTTTTTCTTTTTTTTTGAGACAGAATCTCACTCTGTCACCGAGGCTGGAATGCAGTGGCATGATCTCAGCTCACTGCAACCTCCGCCTTCTGGGTACAAGCAATTCTTCTGCCTCACCCTCCAGAGTAGCTGGGACTACAGGTGTGCACCACCATGCCAGGCTAATTTTTGTGTTTTTAGTAGATACAGGGTTTCACCGTGCTGGCCAGGCTGGTCTCGAACTCCTGACCTCGTGATCCGCCTGCCTCCACCTCCCAAAGTGCTAGGATTACAGGCGTGAGCCACTGCGCCCGGACAGCCTGTGATTCTTACCAGGTCATTTTACCTACTGTGCCTTTCTTTTTATCTATAAAATGGAGATTAAAATACTTTCTTTCCTCAGAGAGTTAGTGTGAAGATCCAAGCAGACACAGACACATTGTTACCTTGCAAACAGCTTCTCTAGATATGCCTAGTCAACAGCAGTTAAATAATAACAACAATAATAGTGTGGTTTTGGTGCCTCATATACCAGGTTGCAAATATTCTCTGTGAGGACCTGTTCAAACAGTATCCCGAAATTAGTGTATTTGATAGAAAAGGTGAAATGTATCAGGCCCAGTCTTATCCAGAGCCTTTCTATTCCTTCTCCTCTCAACCGTAACACCATTGAGCAGTTCAGAACACCAATTTCATCCTGTGGCAGGAGAGCCTGATGCTGCTTGAGATCAACAGTTCTTGGACTCTGCAGCTAGTTGCTCTCATTAATCTAACTCAGTGTCCCAGTTCATGTGACTGGACCTTGGCCTCTCCCCATAAGTCCCAAATGCTGCCATGTTCTCCTGGTTTTATAGTAAGTTTTTTTTTTTCCTGGTTCAAAGCCTACATGGTTTTTCTTTTTGAAAACCTACATGGTTTCTTTTTGTAGCCTGGCTCTCTTGCTTGTTCCTACTGGATCCAGGACGAGCGCCCTTCCTGGGACAGAAGCCCCATGGCTGGAACCCCCTCCCCACTGGCTGGCCTTCAGATTTGGTCATCATCTGCTCCAATCCCCCTTGGCTGAGCTCACACCATAACTGTGCACAGTGTCTGGGATCCTCTTTTGCTTTCTAAGCCACACAGTGAGCAAAAGACAACAGCAGTCCCCTGGTCCCAGTGCCTTCTGCGAGACGTCTTCTTCCTCAGCCCTCTATGCTGTGGTTCTCTGCTGCCCACCCAAGTTTGCAGGGATGTCAAATACAAAGAAACCTGCTGTTACCTGGGTAACAGAGATATGCAAAGTATAACATGACATGATATGTCTAGAATCTACTTCTTGGATAGGACTAGGGAAGGTCAATGTGCTGCATTGCAGAGAGCTGGTAACATTTACATCTACTATGTGTCAATCTGTCCCTCTGCAAACATTTATTGAGTAGCAACTAAGTGCAGGGCACAATTCTAGACATAGAAATACTTCAGTGAATAAGATCAACAGTCTCTGCTTTCAAATAGTATACCATTTTGTGGAGGGTGGGCTGGAACTGGAGAGAAATCCAGTACTCTACCCTCCTAGATTCTCAGCACTGAAAGGCCTTTTAGGCATTCTTTCCCCTTACATTATGCATCAGCCCTATCCCCAAGGAGTTTCTAACTTATTTAAAATGGCAGTACATACACCAAAGAAAACCTTCATAAGGCATGATATGAAAAGGTCTACACTAATAAGATAAATATAATTTGATAAGTGCTGAAATGATTACAAATTAGAATGATATGGAATTAAACTAAATGGGAAATACTTCCTGGAAAAGGTTTTAGGTTTAGATTTAGGTGGAAATGATGAACATGATAACTTAATAATACATTGATTTTAGTGATTCTCCTTTTAGTTCCTTATTCTCTTCTCCTTTTTTTTCTTTTAATGCTATCCAAGTTTGTTTTTTAATCACAATGCCATTTTTCACCTACAATCATTAGCTACCAAATGTCCTATACTTACTAGAGGCAATGAATGGTGGTTACCTTCTGAGTACAGGCAATATTTTCAATATGACTTTTTAGTCATAGATCTCTAAAGAGTGGTAGCATATCTCAAAAACCCTTGAAGCAATGAGTGCTATTATGTGAGATTTTGAAAGAGTAAAGTAAATGTGAGGCACAGTTAAGAACTTTGTAATTTTTTTGTAATAATGAGGTTAAAATGAATATAATTCATCCAGTAAATTTATCACTTTTATAGTCTAACAAGTGACCAAACCAGCCCAGCAACTGAAAAGAGTAAATTTCTAAAAGCAACTGTTGCTTTTATACCCACTTTAATGGTTGAAAGTATTTTTGCCTAAGTGAAAATATAAAATAAAAATTCCAAAGTGGAAGAGCATGCTAATAATGTATACTAAAGCAGATGTCTTATTATAAGAACACATCAACTCATTTTCATATTTCCAACCACTTAGCGACATAGCACATGTGTTAAAACATAACACAGCTGGGCGTGGTGGCTCAAACCTATAATCCCAGCACTTTGGGAGGCCGAGGCAGGTGGATCACCTTAGGTCAGGAGTTCAAGACCAGCCTGGTCAACATGGTGAAACCCCATCTCTGCTTAAAAAAAAAAAAAAAAAAAAATTAGCTGGACATGGTGGCAGCCGCCTGTAATCCCAGCTACTCGGGAGGCTGAGACAGGAGAATCACTTGAACCCGGGAGGCAGAGGTTGCAGTGAGCTGAGATCACGCCATTGCACTCCAGCATGGGTGACAAGAGTGAAACTCCATCTCAAAAAAATAAAATAAAATAACACATGCAGGTGCACACAACCACAATATACATGGGAATGACTAAGATGGTACACAGTTGCAGCATCACTAATATTTGATTTAAAACAACATTAGAGCACTTATATTACAAAACAAATGTACTCACCTCTAAAATGTATTTAATAAGAAATATTATAAAATACAGCTGATAATAAAACTAAAATGTGTTTCTCTCAGCAAAAGTTATTATCCAATTTTTAAGCTACAATGCAGTCTATGTAGCATTTCTATTTAAATTCATTCATTTGCCTGCTAGAAACTGAAATGAGTATATGCATAGATGTGAATGATTCTATACAGATTGATACAATAAGAGGAGCTTGATACAATTTACAAATTTGCAACAATGCAATTATTGCTGGGACTGACACATGCATATTTGATGTAGGAGTTAAGTTGCTTGGTATAATTATGACATTCTTTTTGTGACTTCTCAAAATTAGAAATAAAAGATTAGTTACAATATTTTTTCCTGCTGAGGATAAGAATAAATTTCTTGTTAACTCAGGAGTCAGTATATTTTAGAGTTAAAAAAAAAAAAGAGGACATCTTAAAAATAATTCAGGCATCATTTCTTAAAGATCTTTATTCCATATCACTCCGGATATCAACTTTCAAATCAAGAATCCATTGTCTGCTACCACTATTCAATGTCTAAATATCACCTACCCAACCTGGGCATTTGTAAAGATCACAGCTCTCAATTAGATGCTATGCTATTTGTTGAAAGCCACACTTCAACAAGGGGCTATCTCCAGTAGTCATCTTACAAAATATTGTTTAGAACTTTTATAACTAATATTCTAGTTAATAACGACTCAGACCGTGATCACAAGGTGGGTGTCAAGCCTTTCCTGGGCAGCTCACTGAATAAATGGATTATGCTTTCCAGTACACACTTAGGCAAATTTTATCAAGAATAAAATTGAAGAACTTTTCATGTTATTTAGTTTTGTAACTGAGAAAATAAATGAGTTGTGATTATAAGTCCTATAACCTGTTTGGATCTAACATGCCAATGAAGTGTGTGAGCTCAGAAGCGCAACTGTTTAGGTTGGAATCCCAGGTCTCTTTCTCCTAAGATGTGTGACCTTAAAAACTTTCTATACCTCAGTTTCCTAACCAGTAAAAGGGAGATAATAAAACTATGACATAGGGTTGAAGAATAAATAAGGTAACATATATAAGTGATTAGGAACAGTGTCTGACAGTACTGTCTGATAATAACAATGTCACACGGTAAGCTCTTAATAAATGCTAGCTATTAATTTTTAAAACCGTTGCTTAAAACTGTACCATAGCTATTGCAGAGGCAGCTCTCAATATTTTTGCAACAATATTCCAAGGATAGATGGTATTTTAAATCTGATCATTTTAAGAATATTGAACTTTACTATAAAAACATCTCTGTTGCCCTATAGATTATATGTATGTCAGTGTAACATTAACAGATAGGAATATAGTCATGGGGAAATTGTAACTGTCATTCTAAATAGGTCAACTTCTTTGACTAGAATGTAAAGAGAATAACTGTAAATTACCATTTCCACAGGCGATCCATGAATATTTTCAATGCTCGTTCTCTTCTCCAATTCTAAAGTACAGAAGCTATGAATTTTATATACTTAGGATTGGAGTTGACAGACATCTCTACTTTCATGATTTATATATGTTTTTCCCTTTTTATGAGAGAAATAACTTGTAATGCTCTATAAATCTTGATGAAAATGTATACTAAAGAGTACAAGATGCGGGAAATTGACCCCCAAAATCCTTAAAACCAAACCAAACCAAACCATTCCTCTGAGTGCAGTCCTTATTTCCTGCTCCAACCTCATCAGCCCACCTCTATCCAATCCACGTAAGCTCTTTCTGTCTCCATTAGCAACTCACCACTACACAGATTTGGACCTCTAAAGTATCTTTAAATACACAGAACGAAGGCACAGTACTTTAATAAAGCTATTCTCTTCATCAGCACACACATACTATCAGATATTGTGTGTGTTTGTGTGTGTGTGTGACAGAGACAGGGGAAGAGAGAGAGAGAGAGGAGAGAGAGGGAGAGAGAAAGAGAGTGTCATGGAAATAAGAGTAGAACAAAATGGCTTTAAGGATAGAGAATTTTAGAAATCACATTGCCCTCAGGCTGGGCACGGTAGCTCACAGCACTTTGGGAGGCTGAAGCAGGTGGATTGCTTGAGGTCAGGAGTTCAAGACCAGCCTGACCAAGATGGTGAAACCCTGTTTCTACTAAAAATACAAAAATTAGCTGGGTGGCAGGTGCCTGTAATCCCAGCTACTCGGAAGGCTGAGGCAGGAGAATCACTTGAACCCAGGAGGTGGAGATCGCAGTGAGCCAAGATAGCATCACTGCACTCCAGCCTGGGTGGCAGAGCAAGACTCTGTCTCAAAGAAAAAGAGAAATCACACTGCCCTCCAGCCATTTTGAAGCATTCCTTCTCTTCTCTTTCCCTACCCCAATGTTCCAACATACATATTTTTTTAAAGTACAAATAAATATGCCTGCTGTTGTTACGTTTAAAAAGCCTTCTAAATATGCCAACCCCAAAGGAAAACTAAGCTCTCAGACTTGTTAGGGTTGTTAGTTACATCCTTTGTAAACTCTTGCTTTTCTATCACAGTCACCTAAACAAACAGTATTTTAAGGGGGAATTTTTTAAAACTCAGGTAATTTTCCCCTTAAAGACTTTCTATAAAAAATTTTCACATTTTATCCTTCCATTAAAAATAAATACTATAGCTTAACTAACTATATGATCCCTAGATGATTTCACATATAGGCACACTTCACAGAAAATTAAATTTTCCTTTATTTATTTTATTCTTTCAAGAATCTTTAAGATGTTGCCCACCCGTATCTTATTTCTCAGTGTCTTAGGCACAAACTAAGAAACATGGGTCAAGGAAGAATATCCCTAAGTATAATTAATTTAGAAATTGTACTCAAGGGTATTCTAAATTATAAGCTTTTAATAAATAATTGACCAGTAGGTAAAATCTAATTACATTTAGTTACATTAAATATCCTTAATGTAATTCCTTAATACATCATACAGAGAAGGCTAACAAACTCGGGAAATTTAGAATCCCAGGGTTGAGAATTGCTTTAAAGGACATTTGGTTCAACCATGAAGCAAATTTATGCTTCATTGCCCTATTTTTAAATTTTTACCAGTTTCACACATAGACACACACACACACAGACAAACACACAGAGACACACAGACACACACACACACACACACATACACCACTTCTGGTGTCAGGAACCAAGGAAATAAAAATAGTAATTTTCTTTTAAGTTGACATTTTAAATTCAAATAAGTGGAGTCTCAAATGTAATATTAGAATAGCTCGTGTGAAAAACCCTGGTTTGAGTTTTCTGTTTTGATTTAATTCTGATAAATCTCCTGGGAATGCTTCAATACACAGTCGAAATCCAGCTGGTTAGGCATTACAGGGCAGGTATTGGGTAACCTATGTGACTTAACGCAATTCACTTTTCTGAGTCTCTCTTTTCACATTTGCAATGTGGAGGTAACACTGCCTGTTCTGTGTATGTGTTAGAATTGTTGAAAGGTAGCAAAATATTCTAAAATATTTTGAAAACAGCAAAGTGCTATAGATTCCAAGCATTTTTGTTCTATTCATTTGCATTTAAATTGCCCTACACAGTAATATTAATCAGCCACAAGTAAATACTACATCTACATTCTAGATGTTATTTCTCACTGTCAATAAAAGGGTCATTGTGATAGGCAGAATAATGGCCCTCCCCAAAGATGCACATGTCCTCATGATCCCTTTCCTAGTCACCAGAACCTGTAAACATGTTACCTCACATGCCAAAAGGGATTCGGCAGGTGTGATTTGAGTTAAGGCTCTTGAGATGGGAAAATTATACCAGATTATCCAGGTGGTTCCAATGTAATCACAGGTGTTCTTATAGGAAGGAGACAGGAGCATCAGAGTAGGACGAGATGTGACAATTGTGGGAAGGGGGGCGGGAAATAGGGAGTGGAGATTGAAAGGTACTACACTACCGGCTTTAAAGATAGGGGATGGGGCCACGAGCCAAGGAATGCAGGTGGCCTCCAGAATCCAGAAAAGGCAAGGAAATGAACTCTCCCCTAGAGTCTGCAGAAGGAACACACTACTGCTCACACCTTGATTTTAAGCTCTTGACTTTCAAAACTGTAAGATAATAAATTTGTGTGGTTTTACACACCACAAAGTTTCTGGTCAGTAGGAAAAAATACAGTCATGGAAACACAGCCACCCCTTATCCCACTATTGATAATTAGGGCTTGTTATTAGAGCCCACCATTGGTTGTACAATAGTATCTTTTGCTACTTTTTGAATCTATCATCCAAGGCCATTTCACCCAAATGGGTGAGCCATTTAGCTCCCCTCCACTGGCATGGATCACTGAGCACCAGCTGTTTCAGAAGGACCAATGGACAAAATACAGAGATCATGGAGTCCCAACTCATTCCCAAACTGGTTGTTTGAATCCTTCTAGATCCAATATGCTTATCTTTAAGATTTCCTGAGAGGGGAATGAGATGTCTTCTGCTTCCACTGATAGAAATACTTCTCATTTCAAAACACTTAGAATTAAAAAGTTGTCTAAGAGCTAGAATTGCTTTAGCTATAATTTTTTATTCTGTCCTTAGTAAACATGAAAATTAAGAAACAATAAAATTAAGAAATAAGATATGTATGCTTTTTATAAGGCTTTTCCTTTTTCTTTTTTGTTCTTATAAATTTACAGGATAAATGAGACATTTTGTTACATGTATATAAATGTGTAGTGATCAAGTCAGTGTATTTGATGTGTCCATCACTCAAATACAACATATTTTGTTAAGTATAGTCACCCTACTCTGCTATCAAACATTGAATTTATTCCTTCTGTCATACTGTATGTTTGTGGCCTTTAACCCAGTTCCCTTCATTTTCCCACTCCCACCCTTCCCAGTCTCTGTTACCTATCTTTCCACTCTCTTACCTTCATATGATCAAATGTGTTAGCTCCCACATATAAGTGAGAACATGTAGTATTTGTCTTTTTGTACCTGGCTTATTTCCCTTAAGATAATGACCTTCAGTTCCATGCAGCATCCACGTTGCTGCAAATGACATGATATCATATTCTTTTGGAAGAATCTTAAAATTCATATGGAACCAAAAAAGAGTTGGAATAGCCAAAGCAATCCTGAGTGAAAAGAACAAAGCTGGAGGCATCAAATTATCTAACTTATAATATATTGCAGGGCTACACTACACTAACCAAAGCAGCACGGTATTGGTATAAAAATAGACACACAGACCAATGGAACAGAATGAAGAATTCAGGAACAAAGCCATATATTTACAGCCAACTGATCTTCAACAAAGCAGATAAGAACTTACACTGGGGAAAGAACACCCTCTCCAATAAATGACACTGGGAAAATTGGACAGTCACATGCAGAAGAAACTGGATCCCTATCTCTCACCATATACAAAAATCAACTCAAAATGGATTAAAGACTTAAATATAAAACTTGAAACGATAAAAATACTGGAAGAAAACCTAGGGAAAACTCTCTTGGAAATTGGTCTAGGCAAATAATTTATGGCTAAGATCTGAAAAGCACAGGCAACAGAAACAAAAATAGACAAATGGGACTATCTTAAACTAAAAAGCTTCTGCACAGCAGAGGAAACACTCAACAGAGTGAAGAGACAACCTGTTGAATGGGAGAAAATATTTGCAAATTATTTATCTGACTGGAGACTAGTAACCAAAATATACAAGAAACTCAAACAACTCAACAGGACAAAAGCAAATAACCTCATTAGAAAGTGGGCAAAAGACATGACTAGATATTTCTCAAAGGAAGACAGAGAAATGGCCGAGAAGCATATGAAAAACTCCTCAACATCACTTATCATCAGAGCAATGCAACTCAAAATGACAACAGGGTATTATCTTTCCCCAGCCAGAATGGCTATTATTAAAAAGACAAAAAAATAACAGACGTTGATGAGGATGTGGAGAAAAGGAAACTCAAACCTTACTGGTGGGAATGTAAACTAGTAGAGCCACTGTGAAAAACAGTACAGAGATTTCTCAAAAAATGAAAAACAGAATTATCATTGGATTCAGCAATCCCACTACTGAGTATTTATCCAAGGAAAAGAAATGAACATATCAAAGGGATACCTGCACTCACATGTTTACTGCAACATTATTCACCACAGCAAAGACATGGAATCAACCCAAATGTCCCTTGACGGATGAATGGGTAAAGAAAATGTGATGAATATATGTGCAATGGAATTTTATTCAGCCATAAAAAAATGAAATCAGGTTTTTCTTTCTTAGTTAAATGACTTCATTTCCCCCATATTTACTATTTTCTTAGAAGTTTATCTGAATCTTTACCTATTTTGGATGTTATTCCTGTCTTATATTCTGTCTGCCTATGTCTTAAAATTTGGCGCCATAAACCTGCTAGACAAAGTATACTAACCTTTCTTAATAGCAATGCAAAAAATTTGTAAAACTTGGCTATGATCAAAGGAGTAAGAAGATTAAACAAAGAGGAAGGAGTTCCAATTTAAACTTTGGTTCTAGCTCTTGCTGTGTAACCTCAGTCAAATCACATCACCTCTCTGGGACTCTGTGGCATCATCTATAAAATAAGGAGCTTGGACTAAATTTCCAGATACAGCCTAAAGTGTCCTAAAAGAGAAGCATGAAGTATTTTGGTAATTCTATT
Source organism: Homo sapiens (assembly GCF_000001405.40). Classification (NCBI taxonomy): domain Eukaryota; kingdom Metazoa; phylum Chordata; class Mammalia; order Primates; family Hominidae; genus Homo; species Homo sapiens. The sequence continues at coordinate 26,548,152 of NC_000012.12, forward strand.
GAGAAAGTAATCACCACTTGCTGGAACAATTGATAAGTACTACCCAGTAGCTCCTCCACAAAGATAGCCGGTGGCATTGAGGCTTGATTGGATTTTTGCAATCTATGATTCCAGATGAAGCAAAGGTCAGGGCAGGAAAAGCCTGAGGTACATTATAGGTACATTGAGTAACACAGATTTCCGGAGGCTAATGGATGAAGACAGATGGGGGTGTGAAGTGGAGAGGACAAATGGAGGGCCTGGAACACTGACGCTGTGCAGAGCCCCTGATGGTTTCTGAAGGGCTCTAGTGATCTCTTCCCTACACTATTAAGGGAGTCCACTAGCACAGGAATTGTATCCATTCATGGCCCTTGGCAAGCTGTGTCATTCATATCAGTATCCCCAGTTCCCAGGCACAATAATCACCATTTAATAGTTTGCTGACAACATATGTGTTGGGTGACTGAATGAAGAACTTGCAATTAGCCTTTCCCATCTCAACTCTTCTGTGAGGGCTATGTGCTGGGGGTGTCCTTTACATCACATCTTGCATAAATGGGGACCCTTGGAGTTAGGAAAACAGCAGCCCTGCCTCCACCCAAGGGAGCAGTTCTGTCTCAGGAAACTGCACTCCTGGAATTTTCTCAACAGGAGGTAATAAAAGCCTGAACTAGTGATAGCAGTGGGAATGGAAAGGAGAAAACAAGTGATTTATTTTAGAGTGGTTTGGGAGACACATAAAAATACTCTTGACTAGCCAAAGTAAAAATTTAACCTGATTTCTTTCCGATTTTCCTTTGGAGTAATTCAATAAAAATCTGTTACATAAAAATGGAAGACTTGCCATGTACCTCCTGTTAAGTGCAAGTCACTTTTATTGTGAACCTCGTCCTTTGCCAGAAAAGGATATTGACCTCATTTTTCTACTTCAGAATCTGGTACTTCAGTCAATATCCCACAATCTACAGCAATATTTTAAGAGAAAGACAACCAAAAGTCCCAAGGAATTCTCTTTATCATTTTTTAAATATGAAAGCACGTTTTTGAGTCCTATCTTAGAGAAATATTTGCTAAAATTGCATTGACCACCTTTATTTTGATCATTTGTTTTCCAAATATAATTTAAGTGATGCAGAGAACTAATGCAAAGTAGAAGGCATTTTGATTACTGAAACAAACATTGATTCACATGGAATATTTTGAAGCAATGCTCTTTCTATTAATATCTAAGTTTCCATTGCATTTTTTTCTAAGATGGGAATGCACTTTAAAAAACCCAACCACTACAATCTTTCTGGAATTTAGCATATACATAAAGTAATACATAAAATCCTTCCAGTTTTAAAATATCAGATGATTAGTATTTACCGAAACAGACCAAAAAGTTATTGAGGAACATGGTACAAATTTTGTTTAATATCTAACATAAAAGTACAGACAGCTAGCTAAAAAAAATTCTCTAGATTTATACTTTATATTTAAGTGTATCACCTTGGGTATCAAACATGCTGCTAGCTATCTCTTAATGAGCACCTGAGCTGTCATTTTTAATAACAGACTGACAATTATTATCTATAGGTTGATATTTCCCTGAAAATCACTTGTGAATCTCAAGTTAATATAGTTAAGAATAGAAACTGACTATTCCACTTACTAAAATAGTATTATTTTATAAAACTTGGCAGAATATTATAAAAAATAACATGAATATATATTTATAATAAAAAAATCAACATATGCCAAAATGCATAGACATTCTCAGTATGTGGCAGAACTTTACACAAAATCTAAATAATGCATCTCAGTTACTCATTGTTTAAAAAGGTCATTTGGTCCACTAAAGCCATAAGAGGAAAAAACACAGATCCAAGAATATAATATAAGAATATAATAAAACAAATATCTAGGAAACTCTAATTTTAGTTATTTCCCAGTTTAAAACAAGGCATGAGAGATGAATATCATAAAAACTCAAATTATATAATTCATCTAAGTACATGCATCATTAAGATATAATGCAAGTAATCACGTAATAGCCTATTGTAATTCATAGGTTACAGTATTGGGGAAATCCTACTTTATTTTTAAATAATAAAGTTTTTTAAAAAAATACCTCTTCCACAAAGCTGTCTTTCTTCTCTAACATTTCTCGTAATGTCTGAAGAATTTTAATGCACAGTTTTTCTTCTTTCTCCATTAGTTTCTTTGTATGATTAATCAACCTTAAAGCAAAACATGAGACCTTTAGAAAGACAGTGATTTCTCTTCAAGCTATATACAAACATCAAAGGCCATAGGGGAAAAAATTTACACAATTATTTGAGAATATGAAGCAAACCAGGTACATGTTTTCAAAAGTTTTAAGATCACACTTCAGCTTATAAATTTTGTATTACAACACATTATTTTTGTCTTACAACAAAATATCTCAGGGCTTCTCAAACTTACTCAGGTGGCATTCTTTTAGTGGGATACAATACTCTGAGAAACAATGAAATACTAATATTCTCACCCCAATATATGAACTAAAACAAATTTATTAGAGAAATACAAATATTTATATTATATTACATTTTATTATGTTATACTATATTATTTTTATATACTGTATTACATTAAGCATACAGTAGCAGTGGCTGTATACAACTCTGCAACCTTAATATAACAGGCTGCTTTCCAGTTTCCATTCATAATAATATGATATTTTTCACTGCCAGGGTTTGGTAGGAACAAGCAGTTTTTGTATTAAGAGCAAAAAACAAAACAAAACAAAAGTGACATCAAGACAGTCTAACCATTTACTAGTTTGGGTATAATTTGGGCAAAAACTCCAATCAATTTTCATCAAGTGGTACACTGTGCACTGGTGCTCCGTTAGGAGAAGAGTTTCAAGATCACCATCCCCAAGAACTTAAAATCAAATAAAATGTTCATTAACAGAATTTAGCTTATATAGCTATATATATCGCCTATATAGCTCATGTTGTTAAAAAGCTGATCCTCAAAATGACCCTGTAAGATGTCTTCCTTAAATGATCCAATTTCAGTGACATAACATGAATACTGTGGGATATAACCCTGGGGAAAAAGTGAACTTTCACTGGTTAATGGCTACCAAGTGCTTATCAGGTGTCAGGGTCAAGTGTAAGGGCTTCCCAGGGACTCCCAATTTACCCTCACACCAAGCCTATGAGACAGGTTCAGACTAATTTTGCTCATGACAGAACAGAGGCCCAGGGAGATAGGGCAACTTGCCTCTGGTTACCTAAATTGTTAAGTGGTGAGACCTGCAAATGCATTCAGGTCCATCTGACCTCAGAGCGAAAATTCTTAAGAACGACTCTGTGGTGACAGGACTCAGGTCACTGATCTCCTGAGTCTCAGGGGTCTTGTGCAGAGTCCCCACACATGCTAGGCTGCACACAGCCCCCTGAATGAGCAAGTGCCACAACAGAGGCATTGGCAAATGCTGTGAACCAGACATGAAACCACTTCATTCTGCTGGGGGGAATTACCTAGGGCTGATCAGAGAAGGTTTCAGTGAAGAGATAGCATGCTACTAATGAAGATTTCACCTGGCAAGGAAGGCTCGGGAGAGAAGACATCCCTGCAAAGGGAATGGTATGAACACAGGACAGAGGCAGAAACCTGGCCGGCATGTCCAGGAAATGAGAAGCATGACAACTGCCCGCTGACACTTAAAGACCTGGAAGAGGAAAGTGTAAGAGATGTGGTTTGGAAAGAAGGGACTGGAATATTAACCTCAAGAGTCTGGAATGTTTTCTAGAGAAAATAGGGAACCACTGTTCTAAAGCACCTGAATGCCTCTTCCCATTGTGAGAAAGAGACCAATGATGGCAGCGGGAAAGATGAAGCAGAGGAGACGGAGCAAGGCGAGTGAGCAGTGGCAGAGGTTGGGTGAGGACGTACGAAGCAACAGAGAAGACCCACAGCAGAGACTTGTAAATGATGACATGTGGGAAGTGGAAGAGGAAGCAGGGCAGATTAGAGACCCCTGAAATGTATAGACTAGGCTAATGTGTGGATGGTGATCAGTTTTTTTTTAATTTATTTAATGAGACAGGGTCTCTGTCACCCAGGCTGGAGTGCGGTGATGTGATCATAGCTCATTGCAGCCTAGACCTCCTGGGCTCAAGCTATCCTCCCACCTCAGCCTCCTGAGTAGCTGGGACCACAGGTATATGCCACCATGCCTGGCTAAATTTTTTTACTTTTTGCAGAGATAGGGTCTTGCTTTGTGGCCCAGGCTGGTTTCAAACTCAAGGGATCCCCCTGCTTCAGCCTCCCAAAGTGCTGGGATTAGAAGTGTGAGCCATCACACCCAGCTCAATGGTGACAGTTTAAAATGACACTGTTACATGGTGAAGAAGTAGCAAACACACAATGAAAGTAACACTGATGTCCTTTTAGACATGTTGAGTCTAGAAAAGGTGTTATATCCATGCGGTCAGGCCTAGCAGGCAGAAGAATTTCAAAAGTTCTCCTGGCAAGGAAAGTGAAGCCTGCCTTTCTAAAACTTCTACTATTCGATTCTTTCTTTCACGCAACACTTTTTTTTTAATTTTTAATTTTTGTGGATACATAGTAGGCATATACATTCACATAATAGTCTTTAAATATGGGAAAATCGTTTCGGTGGACATGATAAATTTCTTTTGATTTTGTTTTTCGCTCTCTCAGGCTAAGTATTTCCATTTTCTTTAACTCTTCCTTAGATAAACCATATTGAAAATATCAACCATAAGGTTGAATGACCACTTGCTACAGATTTATAAAAGGTATTCAAAGGCCACATAATGTTTGGTTGAGTTAGGTCGGTGACTTTCAAATATTTTTCTATGATCAAAGTAAGAAATATATTTCACAAAACAACCCAGTAAAGAAGTACCTGTGTGGGAGTGTGTGTATAAACTCACACAAATGTCACCCTCACTATGAGATGCACTCTGATAATTTGTATCTTCTCTAATTCATTTTTTAAATTAGCTGGTTGCGTCTACCTAAGTCAGTTTAAAAATCTATAAATGGATCACACCCCACGGTTTGAAAAACACTGAGATTCTCCTTCACAAGGGAGAAGTAGGTGTTGATTTGAATGGACTCTAATCAGCCGCCTTAAAGGTTAACAGTATCATTGACCTATTCTCTTCTCTTTCACTCTATGTGTTAAGTAGACTCCTGTCCTGGGGTCTATCCTCATATTCTCCTGCAGACTCATCTGAGTCAACAGATTCCAAGAATTAGATTTATTTGAGAAAGCAGGAAGCCCTACTTAGGGCTTGGCCCTAAATTTATATTCTCCAGCTAAGCTTTACCAGGATGGTATGCACAGCAATACAAGACCCCTGGCAGCCAGGCATGGTAGCTCACGCCTGTAATCCCAGCACTTTGGGAGGCCGATGTGGGTGGATCATGAGGTCAGGAGATTGAGACCATCCTGGCTAACACGGTGAAACCCTGTCTCTTAAAAAACAGAAAAAATTAGCTGGGCTTGGTGGCGGTTGCCTCTAGTCCCAGCTACTCGGGAGGCTGAGGCAGGATAATGGCGTGAACCAGGGAGGCAGAGCTTGCAGTGAGCCAAGATTGCGCCACTGCACTCCAGCCTGGGTGACAGAGCAAGACTCCGTCTCAAAAAAAAAGACCCCTGGCAAAGCTATTCATAAAGTTGGATTTTAATTTTGTAAGATATTCTTACAAAGGAAACCCTTAGTTCTTCACAGAGTTGGGGAAGTGGTAGGGTGAGCAGTAAGGCAGAAAACAGACAATCCTGAGGCTCTGGCTGTAATATAATTGCAATAGCACAAAAATCCCTTCTAGAACTACTCATGTAAACACAACATCATTTTACTTCATGTGCGTGTGGGATCTGCAATGTATTCCTATTATCACATCACTTCTGCTTCTCTCCTTTCAGGTTACCTAATGATGCCACAGGCTTGTCTCCATCTGCAGCACAGCTCAATATTTGCTTGATATCATGAGTTACTTCATAACACTTTCTCATAGACCAGTATCTCCAAGTTCTAGACCAGTGCTGTCTAACAGAACTCTCTGCAAAAATACACGTGTTCCATATTTGTGCTGCCAAATTTGGTAGCCATTAGCCACATGTGGCTACTGAGCACTTGAAATGTTGCAGATATGACTGAGGAAGTGGATTTTTATTTCATTTTAATTCATTTAAACTATAATTTAAATAACCATGTGTGGCTAGTAGCTACCATACTGGCACCCTAGTTCTCGACAAGGAGTCAGGAAACCTTTTCTCTAAAGGATCAGACAGTAAATATTTTAGGCTTTGTGGGGTACACAGTCTCTGTGGCAACTAACTGATTCTGCCACAGTGGCATGAAAGCAGCCACAGACAATCCAGAAATGAATGAGCACTACTGTATTTCAGTAAAACTTTATTTACAGAAATGAGTAGCAGGACCAATTTAGCCTGAGGGCCAGAGCTTGCCAACCCGTTCCAGGCTGTCACATCTCGGGGATATAGCTATTGTATTATGTTAATTTACTGAATTTAACAGGTTTATCGCCTAACTTTTAACCCATATTCCATACACTGACATATATTTATAGGAGATGAAGGGTATTTATCAAAGATCCTATTATCTTTGCTTTTTTTTTTCATTTAGTTCTTATGTTTAGATCTGTAATGGGTACAGGTGCAGAGTTCTCACATGCATGTATGTGCAGTGGTGAAGTCTGGGCTTTCAACGTACCCATCATCTGAATAATGAACTGCGCTCAACACCCTATTTTTATAGTGAATTACTAGGCAATACCTCCACTTAAAATTTTCTTTCTACTGTTCTCAGCAGTCATCAGTTGTACACTCAGGGCCTCTTCACTTTAAAATCCTTACTCACAAGACTGGCAGGTGTCTGGACAAATACACTCTTCCCAATCTCCCTAAGACGCAATGAGTCTAAAGCCAAAAATACCTGATTCTGGCCATAGTATAAAAACCCCACCTATTCTTCAACATGATCCCTGTAGTCAGTTTTTCTCATCCCATACCTTGTTTTCACTCCCAAGGTTCCAGCTTAAATGGTGAAAGAAAGGAACACACTTCTTGTGTGCCCTAGTCCTTTAATCTCTGCCTCGATATATCACAGTTGATAGAAGAGGTTTCCAGATCTATTTTGGTAATACCCTCTACCACACAGGAATTAGCTGGGATGAGTCATGGTCAAGGGGCTTGGCAAGCTCATCTCACTGACTCTCCATCCAGATACTCTTCCCAGGAAGACCAAGCACCCTCTTTCTGACTGGCCATCTAGGGTCTACATGTGACGACCTGCGGATCCCCCTCAATAACGTGCCCTCCACATAAAGACAAGTCTCTTCTTTCTGGAACTAGTTATGCTTTTTCTCACAACTGCTTATCCTTGCACATCTCCCTTGAGAATTTTTCACTTATCATTAAGATGAAGATACTCTAGGGTAAACATATCAGCTATAATAGATCTGCAATACCACAAACGCTAAGAAACATCAGTAAACGGAAGAGCGGCAGATGAGGATCATCCAGGCAGCATGGCCATGTGCGGGGTCTGAGTCTTACTAACCCTGCACCTGAAGCACACGTGGTCCTCAGCAATCTCCTCTCTGAATCAGGCTGACCTCCCAGTCTCTGGGTGTTTATGCAGATTAGATAAAATAATAGTTAAACACATATGACAATAGTAAGACCTCAATAAAAGCTAGCTCTTTTTCCTTTCTCCCTATGTTAATGAAAATAAGTGACTTTAAACAAGAATTTTTTTAAAGGTCACACCATATAATTATGGAAAGGAATTAGGACCAAAATATTATTTTGCATGATACTTTGTGCCCCATAATGACACACTTTATTTTCAGTAAATTTAGTAAAATATGATAACTTGACCTTCACCAAAATAAAATTTCAAATGAATCAATTTAATTATTCTGGCAGTATATTTTAACATGGATTTTAGACCTTTCGCATACTTTGCGGACTGTCATTTTATATCAGTGAAGTATAAAGCGGAAATGTTAGAGGCCATGTCAGTTTGACGACACTAGCAGAATCTCAGATTGGATCCACTTACTTCGACATGAAAGCGCCACATCTTATTCTTGCATCGCTTCCCTCAGGGAACAGCAGTTCTGGACTGTACAATACATCAACCAACACTGAGAATTCAGCCTGCATCATTGGGCTGAACTGGTGCTCCAAGGAGGCCACTACATCCTAGGGAATGAAACACAAGAGAACCCACATGAAGGCGTAAGTCAGATTTCATCTTTCGAAGATAAGACAAGCTCAAGAATACTAATGGGAATTTTATAGATGCCCCTCTATTTCCATAGCAGCAAATGTCTGTGCCATAATTATAGTCTGGTTTTATGTAAGAATATTGCCTGGGTCTCTATTTTTTTTTTTGTGTGTGTGTGTGTGTGTGTGTGTGTGTTTTTGTTTATAAGATAAGGGACGGACAGGTAGCTATAAGACTTCTAAGGATATACACCTATAGAGGAAAAGTCAGTTAAGCCACTGTATGTGCCCTGCAGTGCCTAGGATTATAATGGAGACATGAGAGGTACTCATTACTTTGCAATAAATTAGGGGAATACCCAGGGAACAGCTTAAAAAAAAAAAAAAAAAAAATTCCAGCCAGGTGCGGTGCCTCACGCATGTAATCCCAGCACTTTGGGAGGCCAAGGCAGGTGGATTGCATGAGGCCAGGATTTGGGGACCAGCCTGGTCAACATGGTGAAACCATGTCTCTACTAAAAATACAAAAATCAGCCAGGCATGGTGGCATGCGCGTGTGGTCCCAGCTACTCAGGAGGCTGAGGTGGGAGAATCACCTGAGCCTGGGAGGCGGAGGTTGCAGTGACGCAATATAGCACCATTGCACTCCAGCCTGGGTGACAGAGCCAAACCCTGTCTCAAATTGAAAAAAAAAAAATTCCCATGTGTCATTGGTCATTCAGAATGAATCATTTCATCCAATGGGGAAAGTCACTGAAATATTATTTGAAGCAATATTAGTACTATACATGGGTTCAGTGACATTCAACAGAATTTCAAATTATATTTTTTGAGAGACCCTATTGGTCACCTACCCAACAGCCTTTCTTCACTCTCTTCCTTGCTAACAGAATCTCAATGTCATTTCTGAGTCAGGCCACAACATTCTCAGGGGATGAGCCCCCTCAGCTTAGGGTCAAGATTGATTACTCTAAGCAGAGGCATGGTTATCCCATTTCCGCCTGTAGCAATCTGTCCAGGTATGATTATGCGACACAGTCCCAGTCAATGAGACATCAGGTGAAGTCAGCTGAGAGAGCAGGGTACATGTGGTGTGTGGGGAGGTTCTTTCAAAACCACCTACTGCTCTCAAGGCAGCTTGAGGGTGTGAATCCGAAATCTGAGACAGCCCTCGTGTGACCCTGGGAGACCAGCATCAAGCTGAATGCCTACAGACCTTTGGTTTTAGGGGCCCAGGCCTACAATTAGCAAACTCAAGGAAAGCCACAGCTCCAGGTTTCTTGCTATGTGAAATGATATGGTCTTTATTATTTAAGTCACTTTTAGTTGAATGTTGTGTTATTTAAAGCTGAAAGCATCTTAACTGATATGTTTCTAAAATGAACTGCAGGTAATCATAATTTCCTAAACATTCTTTAATGGTTAAAGCACCCCCATTTTATTTTTAAACTACATTAGAAGAAAAAAAAACTAACTTCTTACATAAAGGAACAATTTATTCACCCATAGCTATGGCATATTTTTATCAAGCAGAACATTGCCAATTGCTTATTGTCACTCTTAGCTACAGAAGCACAGATGGGGATGTCACCCTCTTGATTTCTTATAAATTATGTTAATTCATGTTTTAATTCTTTCTCTTTCTGAAAAAGTGATCATTTCTACTTCAACCACTCTAAATAAGCTTTCTGAGAAATGTCTGAAAACAATTAAAAGAGACTAATGGGAACTAGCATAAAGGGGAAAACTAGATATTATATAAAAGTGGGGAGAGCATGTTTATCAAATATGACAATATTTAATTAAATGTCCCTGTTGTTTAGATTACCTCTTCTTTGTTTCATCTATTAAACAAATAGCACTCAGGCTGCTGTGATGTGAATTCTGTCTTTAACTCTTATTTTGGTCATGAGGCAACTATGCAACCTCCCTAAGTCATTGTTTCCCCACTTGAAAGCTTAGGATAATGATACTAACAATCACGTGAGTTTGCTGCAAGGATTAAAGGTAAGTGCATAGAACATCCTCTAACACATACAGGCCACTTATTCCATATAAATGCTAGTAATCTTTATTATTGAGCACCAGTTAGCTGTGATCATCACCCAAACTCAGTGGTTTACTTGCCTGTCTTCATCTTAATCACTCCTAACCATTTTACACACTGGTTTCTGCTCTTTGAAACACTTTCTGCTCTTGACTTCTATGACATCACACTTTATTTTCCACCTACGTCCTTACTATTTCTTCATCAACTCTTGATAGCTCCTGCTCCTTTTCTCTTTGCTATCTACATTTTCTTCCGAGAAATCTCATCCAATTCTATGGTTTTAATAACATCTGTATGTTGGAACTCCCACATTTATATTTCCAGCATGGACATCTTTCTAAACCACTTCAGACTCACTTATCTAACAGCCTAGTTGACACACTCACTTAGGTATCTAAATAGGCATCTCAACTTTAAAATTCCCCAAATAGAACTCCTAATTTCAACTCAGCCTCAAATTCTTTCTCTCCCATTACTTCCTATCTTAGTAAATAACACAATCATATCAAAACCAGAGTCATCCTTGATTCTTCTTTCCATTATCCTACAACACATCGATTCATCCACCAAGTTCTATTAGTTCTACAACTAAATACATACAAAATTAATACACTTCTCTGCATTACTATTGTTACCTCCTTAAGCCAAGCTACCATCACCTTTTGCCTGAATTAATGCAAAGCTACCTAACTAGATTCACTGCTTCCATGTCTGGATCTTATAATACACTCAGAATTCACAGTGATCTTTTAAAAAGTAAACCAGGTCAGCCTCTCCTCTGCTGAAAATCTTCAATGAGTTGTCATCACACATAGAATACAATTAAAATGCCTTAATATGTGCCTTAATCTGTTCAGGCTGCTATAACAAAATAGCTTAAACTGAGTAGCTTATGAACAACAGAAATTATTTCTCATAGTTCTGGAGGCTGCAAAGTCCAAGATCAGGCACCAGCAGATTTGTTGTCTGGTGAGGATGCACTTCCTGGTTCATAGAGGGTACTTCTCTTGCTGTGTCCTCACATGGTAGAAGGGCTGAATGAGCTTGCACGGGCCTATTTTATAGGGACTCTAATCGCAACTCCCAGAAGACATCACCTCCTAATACTAATACTAATACTATCCCCTTGGGGGTTAGAATTTCAGCATATGAATTTGGGGTGGGGGAGGACACAAACACTCAGGGCACAGCCATAGCACCATGTAAGTCTCTACATGATTTGGCCCCTTATCTCATAATATTTTCTTCCTTTACTCACTAAACTCCTGCCCCAGTGGGCTTTTCTTGGATCTTCAAACCCATCAACCTCCTGTCTAAGCACCTTTGCATTTCCTATTTCCTTCCCATAAAACTATCTGAACCTAAATCTTGGAATAGATTATTCATCTTCATTATTCATATCTCAACACAACTGTTACTCTGGCAGAGAGGAACTTCACAATTACAGGGCCACCCTCCCAGTAATTCTCCACCATGCTGTTACTCTGTTCTATTTTTTACATTGCAGTTTTAATTATCCAACAATTTATCATTTATTTAATGAGTTAGAATGCATGTCCCAGAAGAGCATAGACCCCATGGCTCTCTCTTTAGCACTTCACACAGTGGCTAGCATAGAATTTTCACTAAATAAATACTTACTTAATGGATATCAATCTATTAAAAGAAGTTTACTAAAAGAAGTTTAAGGCACACCCTCTCTGTGCTGGTTGGCACTACTATATACCTCTCCTCTGAAATGTTCCACTCCCTTTGCTCTCCTGATCCTCCTCCTTTCTGACCCACTTTTTTTTCTTGCACTCTTTATGTGGCCATTCTGCTACCCTTAGCCTCTCATAGGGCGTTCTTTTTTTTTCTCCTATCACTGTATTTTCTCTTTTAGCAATACCAACCACTATCCTTGCTCCAACTATTATCTTCAAATATAGACTTAACTTCCAATATACTCAGTAGCCTGCTACCCTAGTTCACTGTATTTTCCATTGCCCTCCTATTGCATTCTCTTCTCCTCTGCTCTTAAAATAAACAGTCTTAATGATACTACCTAGTCTCTAATCATCGGGGCCTCTTAAACTCCTCTCATGCCCTGTCTCTACTTCCACCTAAGAGCCCCAGGTCTGCTGACCCTGCCTTCATTATTATCTGCAACACCTATTTCTTCATTTCATCCATATCACCACCTGGCTTAGACCTTAAGTAACTTCTCACTAGTCCCTCTTCCTCTAGTCTCTTTTAGATAACCCTATCCTACAAATCAAGAACCACTTATAATGGCATTTTCCCCAAAATTTTTAATGTCTCACACCATTTAGGTTTCTCATACTCTCTGAATCTAACTTGTCCTTCTAATCCCGTATAACACTCATCTACATGTTACCTCTCATAATATTTATTTCAGTTAATGTCTTGGCCATTTTGTAGAAAAAAAACTTCTTCAAACTATACCCCAATTCAACTCCATGCAATATTCTACTAATTATGTGAATGGGAAGATGTCTATTATGGGCTGAATTAGAACTCCCCCAAATTTCATATGTTGAAGGCCTAACTCACAGTACCTCAGAATGTGACTGTCTTTAGAGCTAGGGCTTTCAAAAGTGTAATTAAGATAAAATGAGTTCATATGAGCGGGCCCTAATCCAACATAACTGGTATCCTTATAAGAAGAAGGGATTAGGACACAGACATGTGCAAACACAGAGGAAAGAGCCTATGAGGACACAGCAGGAAGTCCACCATGTGCAAGCCCAGGAGAGAAGCCTCAGGAGAAAGCATACCTGCTGATACCTTGATCTTGGACTTCTAGCCTCCAAAACTATGAGAAAATAAATTTCTGTTGTTTAAGCCACCAAGTCTGTGACATTCTGCAACAGCAGCCCTGGCAAACTAATACAATTTCCAGGCCTAAATCAGGAGTGAGATACTATACAAGTAATTTGGGAGCAAGGTGCTTGGATCATTCTGACCAAAGGATTAGAAGGGAATACTAAAACATAAGTTGAAGCAAGATTATGAATATTTAGTTGATTTACCAGTGTTATCATTGCTATTATGATCATTATTTTGATATTAAGACCCACTATTCACTACTATACTATCAAAACAGAGTTATTAATATACACTCATTAAAAAATAACTCACGACATATGGAAGCTATATGTTTAAAAAGAGCAGTGGTAGTAGAGAGTTGTAAAGCAAGGCCTGGTCCCCAAATAGAACTTGATATTTTAAACCATATTTTATTTATGTGACTACATATTTTTAAAAAATATAATTTAGAAAATATTAATGCTATTTCACGCTTTCATGTACCTGTAACTTTTCAATAATATTTCTGTAATCCCAAGCAGGCCCTCCAAGAGCTTCCTTAAAGCGTGGCCCAGAGCGAGCTGATAGTCTCCAACCCATTGCTGCTCTCTGCACCATATTTGAATGGCTCTTCATGAAAAGAGTATTAACTTGGCTGTCCAAATCCACTGGAATGGCAATTCCACGATTTTTTGCTGAAAAAGAAAGATTTAAAATATTTCCCTCTTAATTTGACTAAAGTTTCTTACATATTATCCATACAATCTTATAAACATAAAAGAAAAAATATTAAATCTTTAAACTCTGCCATTAACTTGTTTTATATAACTGTAAAAGCTTCTAACCTGAATGTATTTCAATTCTTAAGACCAATTAGTAAAGTGGGTTCATGAAACATTCAAGAACTTATTTGATTTCTTAATGATTCATGCTTGAAATGTACTTTATACAGCATCAATACAGAAACACACTGTATAACAACCAGCATATTTGTACCTTCCCAGATGCCAACATAAATAAGAAAGCAGACATAAAACACACGATATAATTCTTCCACTCCATTCATTAATTTAAGTAGTGTTTGTGTGCACACAAAATTGTATGTGATGAAACATCTGAGAATAGAAATAACAAGTTGAAGAGTGTAAAACATCTGCATTGGAAGAGGGCACTCTTCCCGAGATCTGCTCTCTTCCCAAGATCTGCTGAAATTTATATTTTAACAAGTTTACATCACAACAATACTGAAAATTGAGAATGCTTGTCACAAAGAAAGCAGTAATGTTGAAGCATTTTTGCAAGGCAAAATGAAGATGGGATTAGTCCATCAGCGAAAGAAGAGAAGAAACTGCCCCACAAGAGATTAGAGTTAGAAAAGGTCTTCCCAGGTGTGCAGTCAACCAAAACAAAGTGCAGCAGGGATATGGGGCAACTCATTAAAGAATAACAGCTGAACAATGAGAACACTTGGACACAGGAAGGGGAACATCACACACCAGGGCCTGTTGAGGGGTGGGGGAAGGGGGGGAGGGATAGCATTAGGAGATATACCTAATGTAAATGACAAGTTAATGGGTGCAGCACACCAACATGGCACATGTATACATATGTAACAAACCTGCACGTTGTGCACATGTACCCTAGAACTTAAAGTATAATTAAAAAAAAAAAGAAATAACACAAAACATGAAGAAAAACTTGTATAGCAAAAAAAAAAGACAAAGGTAAGATACAAAGGATATATTTTTCTATATTTTATCCAAATTAAATCAATGACAACGGATTAAAAAAAATAATAACAGCTGAAGAGCTGGGAAGCTAAGGCCCTCCTCCCTCTGATTAGCATAGACATAGCAGTTGGCAGAAGCAGTTTTTACCTGGAGGACAAAGTCAGAGAAATGAAGAAATGTTCTCTCAAGAAAGTAGAATACCTGACTGGACAGAATGCCAAATGCAGGTGTTAGAACTTGATAGAGAAGCAAAATGGAGCTTGAAGTAATGGCAGAGACCATCAAGTAAGAGGTAAAACGTGGGCTGGGTGTGTTGGCTCACGCCTGTAATCCCAGCACTTTGGGAGGCCGAGGCAGGCGGATCACAAGGTCAGGAGATCGAGACCATCCTGGCCAACATGGTGAAACCCCATCTCTACTAAAAATACGAAAACTAGCTGGGTGTGGTGGTGCATGCCTGTAATCCCAGCTACTCAGGAAGCTGAGGCAGGAGAATCGCTTGAACCCAGTAGGCAGAGGTTGCACACCACTGCACTGCAGCCTGGTGAGAGAACTAGACTCCATCTAAAAAAAAAAAAGATAGAATGTGGGGAGAGAGAAGAGGCAGCACCAGCAGAGAGAGGAAATATATTAAATTCTCCAACTCCTGCGCAAAGCCCTCCTTACTTAACATTTACTGGTGTTCCCAGTCTGCCTCTGCTATACACACACATGCACATATGCATGCACGCACACAAACACAAACACAGCCTAAAGGAAAGCCTGAGTATCATTTGGTCAGCCTTTGGCCTCTCATACAGAATTCCAGGTCAGCCCTGTCATTTATACAAGAATTCTAGGAAGGAAACAGGCCTTTAAAACTGCAGTGGAAACCTATGCCAGTCATTACGGACTTTCCTAATTACGAACACACCACCTAGGATCACAAGGAAAACCAATACCATTAAGAATAACCAATCCTAGTGAAAACAGGGATGACTCAAGGAAAAGCAAGAAATATTTAAATAATCCTAATTATTGTCCTCAGAGAATTTGAGTATATACTGCATCCAAAAAATTAGAAAATCAGAAAGAAGAATGACATCTTAGAAATTAAAATGTCCTTGCATACATAAACATGTGAAAAATTGGCTGAAAAATAACTGATAGAAACACAATTGGTAATCTGGAAAGGAAGTCAAGGAATCTTCTAAAAATTAAGCATAAAAGATCAAAAAGCAGAATAAAACAGAGAGACTGTGAAATAAAGAGGGTAAACCCAGGAATTTAAATATCTAACAAATATAAGTTCCAGAAAGAAATAGCAGATACAATGTGAGAGAAGAAATTATTAAGAAAACAATATAAGACAACTTCCTTGAGCTTAAGACACATGTACATCTCCAAATTAAAAAGGTCCACAATATGTTAAACAGGATTAAGTAAGCATATTGGCCGTATTCTGGTAGAATTTTAGAATGCTGTTTTGGGTTGAACTGCATCCCCAAAAAGTATATGTTGAAGTATTAATCATCACTCCCCCTGAATGTGACCTTATTTGGAAATACGGTCTTTGCAGATGTAATCACGTTAAGTTGAGGTCATACTGAATCATGGTGGGCCCCAATCCAATTCAACTGGTGTCCTTATAAGAAGGGAAGGAGAGACACAGAGAAATACCTGAGGGACACACACGATGTGAAGATGGAGGAAGAGAATGGATTTATGCAGCTGCAAGCCAAAGAATGCCAAAGATTGTCAGCAAACCTCAGAAGCTAAGAGAAAGGCATGGAACGAATTCTTCCCTGGAGCCTTCAGAGAGAGCATGGTACTGATGAACCCTTGATTCCAGACTCCTAGTCTCCAAATTGTGAGACACTAAAATTTCTGTTGTTTTAAGCTACACAGTTATGCTAATTTATGGCCAGCCGTAGAAAAATATACAAATGTCAATAGTATGGAGAAAATATCAAGTACTTCCAGAGAGAAAAGATGATTCCTAAAAAGAGTCTGACTAGCATCAGACTTATCATCATCAGCATTGAATGCTAAAAGATCCAATACCTTTATAGATGAAAAATTTTGAAACACGGACTTTATGTCCATCTAAACTAAAAATCAAATGTAATTCCCAAACAAAAACATTTCAAAATACGTAAAGGCTCAGAAATTCTTCAATGAACCCCCTATGAAAAAATTACTCTAAAAAAAGAGCAAATAATTTTTACATGTCCACATGGATATGAGAAACTATGGCAACTAAGTATGAATCTGAAGAAGAAAATTAAGTTAGAAACAAATGAAAAAAGATCCATCAGCTATTTCCATGGTTAGGAAATTCTCTTCTACTTGGAAAAGTTTTAATATCATAGTGCTACATTTTTTGTCCTAAATGGTTATAGCAGAACTATAAAGATCATATTTAAAATTATAATGATAGTCCCCAGAAGGCTTACTTTAAATGAATGAAAATAGGAAGGAAGGGATAAAAAAAAATTGGATGAATAGATAGACAGATGATAGATAGATAGATAGATAGATAGATAGATAGATAGATAGATAGACAGACAGACAGATAGATAGATAATCTGGCTTGCTTCATATAATGAAAGGAAAGCAAATAGTAGATAATATTACCAGCTGGTGGAAATTCTCTGAAGCTTAAAGATACTCAAAAACTTGTTTGAAAATAGACAATTTGCTGGATGCAATGGTAGCCTCAGCTATTCAGGAGGCTGAGTCAGGTGGATCACTTGAGTCCAGGAGTTTGAGGTTGTAGTACACTGTGATGCGAATAGCCACTGCATCTAGCCTAGGCAACACAGCAAAACCCTGTCTCTAAAAAGGAAAGAAAAGAAGAGAGGAGAGGAGAGTAGAGAGGAGAGGAGAGGAGAGGGGAGGGGAGGAGAGGAGAGGGGAGGGGAGGAGAGGAGAGGGGAGGGGAGGAGAGGAGAGGGGAGGAGAGGAGAGGGGAGGAGAGGAGAGGGGAGGAGAGGAGAGGGGAGGGGAGGGGAGGGGAGGGGAGAAGGAGAGGTGAAGAAGAGGAGAAGGAAAGGAGGAGAGGAAAGGAGAAGGAGAGGAGATGGAGAGGAGAAGGAGAGGAAAGGAGAAGGAGAGGAGATGGAGAGGAGAAGGTGAGGAAAGGAGAAGGAGAGGAGGAGAGGGAGAGGAGGAGAGGAAAGGAGAAGGAGAGGAAAGAGGAGAGGGGAGAGGAGAGGGAGAGGGAGATGAGAGTGAGAGGAGGAGAGGAGAGGAGAAGAAGGAGGAGGAAAGAGGAGAGGTGAGAGGAGAGGGAGAGGAGAAGGAGAGGAGAGGAGAAGGGAGGAGAGGAGAGGGAGAGGGAAAAGAAGAGTGAGAGGAGAGGGAGAGGAGAAGGAGAAGGGGAAGAGGAAAGAGAAGGAGAGGAGAGGAGAGGCAGAGGGAGAGGAGAAGGAAAGGAGAAGAGAAGGAGAAGGAGAGGTAAGAGGAGAAGGAGAGGAAAGAGGGGAGGAGGAGAGGAGAGGAGGAGGAGGGAGAGGAGGGAGAGGAGGGAGAGGAGGAAGAGGAGGAAGAGGAGGAGGAGAGGAAAGAAGAGAGGAGAAGGATAAGGAGGAGAGGAGAGGAAAAGGAAAGGAAAAAGAAAGGAAGAAAGAAAATAGATAATTTTCACTAGCCACACCAAAAACATGTACTAATGTAGACAAAAACTCACTCTGAAGTTTTATAGAAATAATAACAGCTATAAGGCAACCTTAAACAATCAATTTCACCACTGCTTAAATTTCCTTAGTAAATGTTTTCCTAATATTCATGATACGCTTCCCTTTCCCAAAGCATGCAATATCTCTGTTTATGTCTTTCACACACAGCAGTGCAACTGCACTTCTGTCTCATCTGAAGGACAGATGGCCTCAACTCTGCCAAACAGCACATAGTTTTATAAATACTTAATCCTGCACCATGATCAAATCCTGGCAAGATTTTCATCCTTTTCTGGCTGCTTCACACATAAACTGGGTTTGCTCTAAACATTCAAAAATCAAACAGAAGACAATACTGCTTCTATGTTATTTTCTAAGCAACGAAAATAAAATGTTTCTCAAAACATGTTACAAACAAGTTTCCACTGACATTTAAACAAATTGGGGAGGAGATTGGGATTTATCTGCCCTTTAGGAATCAGGTACATTAGGTGAAATTGACCATCAAATAAGTGTTGCTGCTATGACTATGACTTACACAAAGAAGTGCTCAATGAATATTTTTCTAATGACACCAGTGAAAATTTAGTTCAATGGCAGCACCTCTGTTATTAACAATGCAGCCTTTTTATTAGTGACTTCAGGGAAATCTCATCCACCTCCAGAATCTCTTGTAAGCTGCTGATGGAACACATTCTTCTATAGCCAGCACCATGGACAAACCAGGCTGGGGAGACTCCACGATCCCAAACTCTGTTGAAAGGTTTTTTTGTTTCCCTCAAACCATCCCATTTCGATTGATATTATCTAGTCTCCTGTCTTCACATGAACTGTACAATGAAAATTAGCAAGGTAAAATATACTACTTTCCACAACTGTAGGTAAACTTTGAACAGAGCTAAATGACAATTTTTAGGCAATAATAGAAAATTAACTATGCAATTGAGAAAAAGATTTTTTGAGTCAAAATCAGTCTGCTTTGTAGACAAAGTTTTTTCAAACAATTGTAAAAACACAAGTATTTCTAAAGATATGGTCGGAAATAAATTCGCTGCACTGTCCAAATAGTATAAATACTAATCCAAAACCAAAATTAACAATGCCAATTTAGCTGTCCATTGTTTAAAAATTAAAGCAGAAAAAACAAAAAAGAAAATTATGTCTAAAAAATGAAAATATTAATTTATCATTTCACTTACAAGGACATTAATAAATAGAACAATATTTTTCAAATGCAATCAAAAACACAATCCAAAGTTAGCTTACTTTTACTAAGCTAGAAAAATTCTGGTATATATATATATTATATATATATATATATATTATATATATTATATATATATATATATATTATATATATTATATATATATATATATATATATATAAAATGTCAAAATGTGAACTAGAATGTATTCTTGGGATTAGCAGTTATTCTCTGCCCCATCTGTCTCTCAATAAGGAAGAGCTAATAAATTTACTACAGTTAGCCATTCTTCTGGCCTATAGCATTAACTCCAACTATGTACTTTAATACAAAGGGTCACTTTAAAGTTTAAAATATTTTTTAAAATACTTGTTCCTAGTTCACTTCTAAGTTGGAACGCAATTGAGATACACCTTGTTAAGGATACACTGTCAGCAAGTAAGTACATGGATCCCTTAAAAAACTAATAAGAGAGAGGATGGGTTGTTATCAATGCATTTATCTTTTGTAGAGCTCTGCCTAGAGATAACAGTTCTCTAAAATAGGCTATCTTTATTCACAATTTTTTTTATTTTTAGGCAACTGTCTAATTAGGCTTATAAACCTCGGAAGTTCTCTGGATATGACAAGTCTTTGCAGTGATTTTAAGATGTAATCAAAATCTATTTCTAATTATTATTATTAAATATTGCTTATTATATAAAAAAATTTTAATTAGATGGAATTACTGATGGTATCTGCCAGACCAAAATCTCTGAGAATACAAACAATGCAGTGATAGGTGCCATGGAGAAAAATGCTTAGCTAGATAAACTGACAGGTAGGGGGGAAAGGCAACAGAAAGTGTAAGCATTAATTAGAAAACCTGGTTGGTTGTCAAGTTCTACTGTATAGCCCAGGTGGAGCACAGGAAAGTGGAATGGCAGGGACAGAGAATGGCACATTTCCTGTATCATGTCAAAGGACCCAGAATAAATCTGTACTGAAGCACCAGTATACATAAACAGGAAGAACATCAAATATATTAAATTCATCTTTCCTGTTTGGCACTCAAATTATACTGAGTGAATCCTCAATTAATCCTTACATTGAATAATGCACGTAATTTTTATGGGTTATTGAAGAACTAGTATTGGCACACTTGATTAGTCATCTGGAAAAAATAAAGTTGGTTCCACACCTTATACCTCACAACTAAATGTATCCCAGATAGCTCACAATTTTAAACAGCAACTCCCAAAACACAAAGAGACAAACCAAAACTATGAAAATTCTCCATGAGAATTCAAAAAACATCTTAGACTGATAAGGGCTATTCCGAAGATGAAAGAAAACCTTAAAAGCCTAAAAGAAAATTTAAAAATATTGCATGCCAAAAAATAAATAAAAGTTCAAATGACAAATGGCAAGAAAAAAAATATGGTGGGCACGGTGGTTCATACCTGTAATCCCAACAATTAGGGAGGTCAAGGCGGGTGGATTGATTGAGCCCAGAAATTTGAGACCACCCTGGGTAACATGGTAAAAACTCTTTATACAAAAAAATACAAAAATTAGCCGGGTGTGGCAGCACGTGCCTATAGTCCCAGCTACTCGGGAGACTGAGATGGGAGGATTACTTGAACCCAGGGGAGTCGGGGCTGTAGCCAGCCATGTTCATGCCACTGCACTCCACCCTGGGCGACAGAGCAAGACTCTGTCTCAAAAAAAAAAAAATCAGAAAAGAAAAAAAGAGAAAAAAATTGTTACTTATAGGCAAAGAGATCATTTTCTTAAAAATGGTTACACAAATTATTAAGAAAAAAACCTATTAGGAGAAATAAGGAAAGCACAAGAAGTGACAGTTCACAGAAAAGGAAATATCAATCATTTAATGTTTTTTTCCTCACTCATAAAAAAGAGAAACACACATTAAAACTACAAAAATATTTTTACTTACAAGGTTGGCAAAAATCTAACGCACTGAAGAAGAAAGACATTCTCCTACATTGCTGGTGGAGTGTAAATTGAACAATCTCTACAGAGGGCAGCATCCGTCAGAAGTGAAATAACCCAAAAAGTCTATTCCTAGGTATTTACCTTATTCACATGTGCAAAATGATTGAAAACAACATAAATATCCAATAGTGAGGTTAAATCTATTTTAATAGTCATGAAATGGGATGTTATGCAGCCAAAGAGAAGAATGAGATACTCACCCATTTATTTGTATTCATTTATTTTATTCATGTGATAAATATACATTGAGTACCTACTGTGCTATAGACAAGGTCAGGCTCTAGAATTTTATAACAGGTAGGGGACTTACTTTTATTCTGCTTTGTTATTTCTGTACATGTTATATCTACCCCTAATATACTGGAAATTAATCGAGGGTAGAAAACATGGTTTGACATATTGCATTTCCCCCAAAATTAGAATAATGCATTTCAGATAATGAGGAATCATTATAAATCAGTTGAGTTAATAAATATGTGAAAAATTGTATGATATTGTCCTATTTTATAACTTACTCAGATTTAATTTTTTTAGTAATAATTGAGTTTTTAAAAACTGTGATCACAGGGATATATGATGTCAAGCTCCTTCTAAAATCAACCACAACACCTTAGATAGATTAAAATAGATATAATGTTTATTTAATAGAGACTGAATTTCTCTTCTGAAAGAGTTAATATTTTCTACATGTACAATTTTTTGGGACAAGTTGGCTTGTAAATTGATGTTTATTATTCAAAACATTTGTAAAAGATATTTTATGGAATTTCCACTTGGAAAATAGATTATGTTGCCAACAAAGTACCCAGCATTAATTCCCCCAAATCATTTGAAGATTATGAAACACATGGAACAAAATTCTTTTTTAAGAGGAATAATATGGAAGTAATTCTTGGATACTTTTTCTCAAAGTCCTATACTTCTACCATGTGCTATTTTACTTCAAATAAACGAATCAACTGAGGAACAGCAATTGACCAAGTGCATTAAAAAAATTCGCATAGCCTTAATGCCCTGAACGTTTCTCAAATCTCTGTGAACACCATGGTGTACATTTACTGCAGAGCTCTCCATCCTTACTTGCTCCCACCATCACCCTTAATTTAGCTCATTGAGGGCAGAGGATGATAAAGATGTTTATACCTTACATTCCAGTTAGGCCCCCTGCATGTAATGACTTTGCTGGGGAATTTGCATTTATGATCACTTAAAAGCTTGTATCTTCTTATCAATTTCAAGTCCTACATCTTAGAAGACAGCGTAACAATGGAGGTAAATATCAGTAATTTCTACATATAAAAAGACATTCAAAAGCACTTTAGCCTTTAAAAGTTTAAAACATTTTATCAGAAAAATCTAACATGATATACATGGTATATTCACAATTGATCGTGGCTTCAGTTTTAAAAACTTCTGAAGTTTTATCAGAAAAATTCGACATGACATAGTAAACTCACAGAGGATCATAGCCTCAAAACATTAATGGCAATAGATAAAGTTACAGCAAACTTCTGGAGCAATCAAGGGAAAGGAGGAAAAGCAATAGATGATAGGAAGTATTCTTTTTCTATAAAGGACTTTCCCAAAACCCTTATAACTCAGTTCACTAGCTCCTCACCTTCTTTTTACTTTATTTGAAAACTCTATATATTTGTCTCATGTATAGCTTAAATTACCACCTTGATCCACAATGCACACGGTATAAAACAGGTAACACATCTGCTTAAACTGATTTGTGATAGCAGAGCAGAGATTTGTGATAGGAGAGGTTAATGCCGCTAGCACGTCAGTGCAGAAGGGATTCAGATCCTGGCTCAGGCCCTGCCTACCTGTGTGACCTTCAGAAAGCTGCCAAACCCTGATAACGTCATTTCCCCATCTATAAAATGGAGCTAAGAATTATGTCCACATCATAGATTTCACTAGATTTTCCAACACTCAGTAAATGCTTGCTGCTCTCAGCAAAGCAAACACTGACTTAGAGAGTGCTTCTGCTGATTTTTACTACCTTTTGTATTCCATGTACAACTAAGAAAAAGAATGAAGTATTTTTGATGCTAGATGAGTTGAGCTACTGTACTTGAGAGCAATTTACAAATCATAAAATGTTATATAAATATGACTATAATTGATCTTTACATTGACAGCAATGTGTTTACCAACTTGGAAATGCACTGAAAATCTGCCTTATAAACAAAGTACTCTCTTGACTTTGTTGCATTTTAAATATGCATATCCCTTGTTCTGTTTAATATTAAAAATTCTTGCATATTTGAATTCTGCTAAACTTTAGTGCCTCTGTGTGTTTTTAAAGAATTGCTGAAACACAAAAATAATTTTGCACCTGAGTTGTAAAATGTCAGACAGATCCCCACCCAACAAAGTTTTATGGGAGGCCATTGTTTTGATCTAGCCTCCTGCACTAGGCCCCAGCAGACCAGGCCAGAATGAAGTCATTCATGCTAAGTGCCACATAATCAAGCAGAACTCTGAAATGGGCCTTATCCAAGAAAACAGGAGATTCATGGCAATCCATTAAAAGGGGCCTAGTTTGGCACGATGTTTTTTAACCCTTTAAGGAAGGGAACTTTGAAAAGGCCAATTTGCTTCTTGTTCCTTGTTTCTACTTTCTTCAGCCCTTTTCTGTCTAAAAAGCAACTGAGGTGCTGCTTGATTCTAGAATGGAATCGTTAAGTAGACTGAAGCCAGTTGACTAGGGTATTTAGCTGTTGGCTAAATTTTCGTGGGGTTGGATCCCACCAATCTAGGAAGGAGTTAGCTCAATTAAAGTGATTGATTTGCATTCAGTTGATGTAAGATAAGATCTTGCAGTCCTTATTTTTGGTTAACAGAAATTAAGTATGGTTTCCTTACTTGGGGCTTTGAAGGTTCTTGGTCTGACTTAACCTAAATTTCTAGTTTCATGTTGAAAGTATTGGTGAGAGTAGTAGAAACAGGGTTGACATGGTAATAGTGGCAAATAAAAGGCAATTAGATCTTTAAATAAAATTTGTTGTAATTTTGTCTTTTGACTCCAGTAAGCCAAATGTCCATAGTTCTAGTTTATATGTCAGGACTTTCTAAGACAGGACTTTTGGGGCAACATGATAAAGCATAAAATTCGTACTCAAAAGAAACTTGGATTTCATTTATTTATTTATTTATTTATTTATTTATTTATTTATTTATTTTAGAAACAGGGTCTGGCTCTGTCACCCAGGCTGGAGTGTAGTGGTGCGAACATAGCTCATTGAAGCTGCGAACTCCTGGGCAGTAAAGATCTCCCACTTAAGCTCCTAAGTAGCTAGGACTACAGGTATGCACCACCATGCCCAGCTAATTTTGTTTTTGGCCTCCCAAAGTGCTGGGATTGTAGGCATGAGCTATCCTGCCTGGCTGAAACTTGGATTTCAAACCCAACTCAAATACTTATTAATTGGACAAGTTACTTAACCTTTCTAAGCCTAACTTTCACTCTGTGAAACTCCCAGCCTATGGATTATTGTCAGTCAACAAACACTTATTAATCTGCTTAGTCAAGAACAAACACTTTCAGGCTCCAGTGGTGAAGAAAGGAAAGTTCCTCTTTTTATCATTTACATGCTAAAGGGGGGTGGGGCAGACAACAAAGAAGCAATAAATAAACAAACAAGCTGCTTTCAAATAGTGACAAGAGCTAAGAGGAAAATGAAATGGTCTAAGATGATAAGGAGCAGGAAGAAGCTGAGACACTGCATGGGGGGTGTTCTGGAATACTTCACTGAGCCCTTATATTTTGAACTGAGATCTGACTGACAGAGGAAACCAGCAAGTGACATTCTCCAGGAAGAGGATCCAAACAGAGGGAATGGCATATGCAAATGTCCTCAGGTGAGGAAATGCCTGAAGCAGATGAGACTCCGAAAGAAGGTCAGTGTGGATGGAGCAGAGTTGGAGGAGATGGAGGGTGATGGGAAAAGGTCAGACTAGACCAGCTCAGATGAGGAAGGGCTTTTGTAAGTGCAGTGGGGAGTTGTCAGTGGGTGAGTGACATGCTCAGGTTTACATGTTAAGATCCTCTAACAACTGTGCAGGCAGTGGATTGCAGGGGCACATTTAGTAAGGACACTCTTCTGTCATCCATGTCCGATGATGGTAGATTTGGACAAGGGTGACACAAGAGAAAGAAAAAGAGAGATTCTGGAAATGGGTCTGACAGAATTTGCTGCTGTGTTTAATGAGAGTAAACAAAAGGGAAGAATCCACTGTGACCCCTAAGGTTTTAAAAGAGTACTAACTGCAAAAGAGTTACTTTTTCAAGTAGCACAGAAATCTGCCTCTTGCAGCTGCCATATATGAGTTATAATTCTGTCTTTGGGAACCTGTTAAAAAAAAAAAAAAACAGCCTATTCTAACCTTCAAAAGTTTAAAAATAATTATTGTGTTCCTCCTCAGATTTCTTTTCTTTGTCTAAATATTTCAAATGTTTTCAATCACTAAAGTGAGGTGATTTTAGATCCCTTGACGACTGAGGGTTCACTTCTGAATGTGTTCCACTTTGGTTCTCTGTTTCTATGACCAGCGTCCAAAAACAACCAAAAAGCATACAGTCTAATCATCATTAAGCAGAATCTGCTTTTCACCTTCATCCTAGGTAACAACTTTCTATTAATTTCTTTTTGACAGCTGCTTTATAGTTGCCCATCAAAATCTAATATGGGAGACAAGAATAGTACTTGTGATGATGTAAGTTAGAATGAAATTAGACTGTATCAGGCTGTTCTTGTGTTGCTAAAAAGAAATACCTGGCGCTGGATAATTGATAAAGAAAAGAGTTTTAACTGACTCGTCGTTCTGCGGGCCATACAAGCATGGCCTTTGCACCTATTCAGCTTCTGGTGAGGCCTCAGGAAGCTTCCACTCGTGGTGGAAGGCACAGGGAGAGCAGACGGGGTCATGTGGCGAGGGCAGGAGCAAGGAGTCGGGGCAAGTCCCAAACTTTTAAACAACCAGATCTCACGGGAACTCACCAAGCAAGAACTCACTTATCACCGAGGGGATGGTGCTAGACCATTCATGACAGATCTGTCCCCACGATCCAGCCACCTCCCACCAGACCCCACCTCCAACGTCGGAATCCCATTTCCACATGAGATCTGGAGGGGACAGACGTCTAAACCATATCACAGACACTAAGAAAGGCATACGTGGACGAATGGGGTGAGTTCAGATTTGGATGTAGGAGCCAAGGGTGGCTATGGAGGAATTTGAGCAGAAAAAAAGTCGAGTAATGGGAAAGATGCTGAGGAGTGGCAATGGTGGAAACTCGAGAAAGCTAGTGTGAGCCATGTGGGGGCATCCTAGATGTAACAGTGAGGAATCTAGCCTTAGGTTGTTAGGCAAAGGGATGTTGCTGAAGGTTGGGGATGTAGTGTTGATTTTTTAAACCGACAAAGAATTTCACTTCAGAAAGATTACTCTGGTATCAGGCTTATCTAAATAAGGAAAGACAGAAGGAGATAACATTAATTTCCTGCAGTGGTCCAAGAAGAAAGTAATGAAGGGTTAATGAGGCCACGATGCGGGGAAGGGGAGGGGAAGAACAAATGCAGAAGGAGAGTGGGGACAGAATTTCCAGAGCCTTAACTGTTCAGATGGAAGGGACCAACAAGGAAAACGAAGAAGGCATGCCTTCTCACAAAGAGAAAACTGAGATTGATATGGAAACCTCACTCTTCACCTATCTTGATTATACCCTTCGATATAATTATTTTTTAGACTTATCACACATGTCTTTATAGCATACGAAAAGGAACTAAAATTTCCTCTTAAATTATAATGCTTTGGCCAGTATGGACATGGTAGGAAATGAAGTCTTATTACTTAGAAATAAAAGATGTATTTAGACTAATATAGTTTCAGTAACTATATTAAGCCCCCAAATCTCTGCAATTCTATGCATGAACTGATTGGATTACACAATGAGTATCACTGAAGTCAGAATTCAGAAAGCAGTCACAACATGGAATTTCACTTGTGGCTCCAAGTTCTTTTTCTCTCAATGTATACATGTGATCAACAACATGCCCGCTACGCCCTGTGTAGGGCCAACTGGTATTTCCCTGCCTTGCGTTTGCTAAATATTGAGGGGTAGAGGAGGAGGAACAAGAGGAGAGAGAAAGAAGGAAAAAGAGAAGAGACTACCTTAATATGTGAAATACTGAAAGAAAAATACTTAGCAGCTAAGACAATGTATTCCTATGTAAAAATTAACACCATCATATTTCTTTGCTTTTCCTTTGATTTTATCTTTTATTGGTTAGTGTGTTTCCTAACCGATTTGGCCCAAATAAAAATACATTTACTGCTGTTTCATTATAACTTGAAAGTAATATATTAGCAGAAATTACATAAAAGTGTGAAGAAGAAAACCAGATCCACACATCATCCATCCACCACTCAGAGATAATCAATATTAAAATTTTATTTATCTCTCTGAACACTTTCTTCTGTGCATCCTTTTAAAATAAAAATTACGTTCTCTTTCTTTATTTCTCCTTCTTTATTTTTGTGTGTCCTTCTTTATTCTTGATATGATACATATTGTGACCACTTCCTCTTCCTGTACCTCTTCACTTCCCCTCCCACACCATTCAGTTCTAAAATCTTTAGGAGGAGCGCAGCGCAGTAAGTGTCCGTGCTGGGTAAGATGTGCAAAAGAGCCATGGCGCTCCAGAATGTGGGGACCCAAAAGGGAGTGGAAGGTCTATGTAGGAGGACTGCCTGCAGAGAATCAGAACTCAAGTGGAGTGAGGAGGGTGTCCATGCGAGGAGCAGCCTGGGTTGGGGGTTACAGTCAAGGAGTGTATCCATGCAAAGGAGTGGCCCAGGATAGAGAGGTAGAGGCCAAGCCAGGTGAAGGGGATCCCCTGCAGAGCAGCAGCCTGACCTAGCACCAGCCCAAGGGAGGTGCTATGGCTTTATTGTGTCCCTCGAAGTTCGTGTGTTAGAAACTTAATCCTCAATAAAACAGAGGTGAGAGGTGGGACTTTTAGGAGGACAGAGCCCTCATAAATGAATTGA
Organism: Homo sapiens; assembly: GCF_000001405.40. Taxonomy (NCBI): domain Eukaryota; kingdom Metazoa; phylum Chordata; class Mammalia; order Primates; family Hominidae; genus Homo; species Homo sapiens. The sequence goes on from NC_000012.12 coordinate 26,576,912, forward strand.
TGCTGTTATGAGTGGATTAATTATCCTGGGAGTGGGTTTCTAATAAAAATATGAGTTTAGCCCCCTTCCTTTCACTCTCTCTCTCTCTCTTTTCCTCTCTTGCCTTCCACCTTCTGCCTTCCCCCATGGGATGATGCAGCAAGATGGCCCTCACCAGATGCACGCCTCTCCATCCTGGACTTCCCAGCCTCCAGAACTGTTAGAAATAAATCTCTATTCTTGATAAATTACTCAGTCACAGGTAATCTGTTATAGCAGTGCAAAACAGAGTAAGCACAAAACAGACTAAGACCAGAGATGAGGGCAATGTCCCTCCATAGGAGGGTAGCAGAGGCCAAGCTGCAAAAGGACAGCATCCTTGTGGGGTGTGGCCCACCAAGGGGGATCCCAGCTCATGTGGGCTCTGAGGTGAGGAGGGTATGTGCAAAGAATGGTTCCAGGTGTGGAAACATTAAAGTTATTAGTTTATCTGAGGAGAACTGGCATCTTTATCAGTTGAATTTTCCAATCAAGAAATTATGTTTCTCTATTTATTAAAATATTTTATATCCTTCAATATAGTAAAATTTTATTCTCTCATATTGTTTACCCTTAGATGTTTAATGTTTTTGTTGCTATTGATAATGACGTCTTTTTCATATTACATTCTCTTTTGTGGTATACAGAAAGTCTGTTAAGTATAATACTCATTTATAATTAATTACTTAAGTCAACTGTATTATTAGTCTATTAGTTCCACTAATTTTCAATTAAGCCTCTTGGGTTATAACTGCCTTTCATTGTATTCAAATCAAAATCAGGGCTGTCACTAAATTTTGTTAATATAAAATAACCTAGGTCAAATTGCAAACAGGGAGAAATGACTAAAAACATTTTAAATGGTCATTAATTAGTTAAGTCATTTATTCATTTCTCACATATTTGTTGAGGTATGCTATAACCCTGGCCAAATTGCATAACCTATAAAACTCTCTGTTTTCTTAACTATCAAATGTAAATAATTTAAAACCTATCTAAGGATTAAATGAGATAATGCATGTAAATGGCTGGCATTGCACATGGTAAGTACCCAACAAATGTTAACAGTGATGAAGACTGATAATGAAATACGCTACAAACTGCCTTTCCCAATGTCTGCAGAGCCACCATTAGTTGAAAGGATGATCAAGCTCTTCCTTTTTTGTTCAGTACAGCCAAGTGTGCATTTCTTCTCTCCTCTCCCCTCCACCATTGGGGGAATGGCCCTAATTAACTTATTAACTTTCTCTCTCTCTCTCTCTCTCGACACCCCACCCCCATACACAGAGAAGAATCTATGAGAAACTCTTCTAGAATCTACTCACCTTCCTTTAGCTGTAATTCCCTTGCCTTCAATTTCATTTGTAATTTCTGAAGCCTTGAATATTGACACACTTCAAACAAAATTGGAAAACTACAAGACCCTCAAAAAGTCCTATGTCATATGAAGGTATTAGCAAGTCAGGCCACTTAATAGACAAGACAATTCCATAATGAAATCTGAGGTAACAATTAACTAAAATCCTCTAAAATCTGACTGAGCCATATTAAAGTTCCATATGCAATAATATTAAATTTAAGATTTTTAATATAATGATTATATCCTCCTCCCAAAAAGTATGCAACATTCAGAATCATTTGCTGATGGCTGCTCTTCAGTTTAACAGAAAACATACTGGTTTTCTTAAGTTGTAAATTGGGAAGCTGCTTGTGTTGCCCATTAGCCAAAAACCTAATTTCTTCAAGAAATGTAAAAATAAGTAAAACTCAAACTATGACTTACCCACTTCAGCCAAAGTTCTGATACAGGATTCCACTGAGGCTTTCTGCGCTGGGTTTGGCCAGGTGCAATTGTAAATTCTGAAGGCAGATTGCAGTAGCTGAATAAAAACTGGCTGATGTGTCTAAAACCAGAAAGAAGGTAGGCAAAAAGAGATGCTAAACCATTAACAGCCCTGATGTAGCATCTATGCATTCTCAGAAAGGTTCATCAAAATAAAATAAAATACAATCTTTCAAGTTTCAGTGCTAGTTAATAAATATCTCATTCATGAAACATTTATTAGATACTCTCTTCATGAGAGGCAAGATGCTACACACTATAGGGGATTGATTATTTTCATTTTAATTATATTCTTAATCAGAAAAAAATATGCCATTTCCTGAAGCCAATGACATGAATATCTTTTATAATCCATGGTTTATTCCCATGAGCAAATAAGCAGGTGTTTCTGGGTTGGTTGGTTTGTTTTGGTTTCATATGATGGGCAAGTAGAGGAGACAACCATTTTGAACTACAGAAACAATTTCCTATGGTTCTATCTAATAGTTTAAAATTTTTCCCTAAAGAAAGCATAATTGAAATGATATTTTTAGAAGAGTTATACACAATCACTGTAGAATATTTGTGGACCACAGAAATGAAAATCATCAAGAATGCTACAACATAGAGATATAGTATCAATATTTGAAGATATTTACTCCCTGAGTTTTTTTATGCATGTATGTTTATATATTCTGTACACAAACAAATTTGGATAATACTATAATGGAATTCAGTGGCCTAATATTACTTCATGTTTATTTTCTTGGTCATCAATTTTCCCTTTAAAACATGATTTTTAATTACTATATAATAAACCATCCTACAGATATATCATAATTTATTTAGCTTTTCCTCCTTTTAAGGATGTTTAATTGATTAAATTTTTAGTATTACAAATATTTGAATTAGAAGTTTTAGTACATAAATCTTTGTTAATTCTTTTAGGATAAGTTACTAAAGTAAAACTTTAGGGGCAAAATGTCTATCATTTAAAGAATTAATTGTGCAGTTATTTCAACACCTGGCAATCAACATACAGATATGAAGTTCTTAGTCTGCTTAGAGAAAAAGGAAAAATAATTCAATTTAAAGATGAGGTCTCTTTATTTAAAGTAAAGTTTGGTAAACTCAGAAAGAGGCATAATAGTAAATAATATAAGAGAAGAATAAACATCTGAAGTGTAGGAGATGACTTCCTGACCAGAAAAAATTTCTCCTACTCAAATAAGAGAAACTCTTTGCAACAGAATGCTTTGCAATTGTTTAACTTACCTGGAGGCTGGTACTATTGTCTGAAAAGGGAGAATTAAAGAAGCCGCTCACAATATTCATTATTGACTCAGTAACACACTTTTCCAAAAAGATGTCTGCATGTTTCCTGTCTGTAGTTGTGTTGCAAACCTGGAGAGAAAATAAAACAACTCAATATGTTTTATCACATTTTTAAACCACAATTCAGTATTGGAACCACCTAAAAATTGTCCTGAAATAGTTGTCAGTAACATTTCTTCTGCTTTTTAAAGTTGCTGAGAAGAGAAGCATTTCAGCCTGAAATCATGATAATTGTATCAATCTTCAGTAGCTGCTCCATCAAGTTAGCCTGTCATTTCAGCCTTGAAACCAGAATTCTTTCACAGACCCCCAGCCTCTTCTTTTTAATTTGCTTCTCCCTTCTCTTGCACACCAACCTCTCCCTCAGCCTCCAAGCTTGGCTTTGCTGGAGAACACTTTTCCACTCAATGTAAGAGACCAAAGACGAAACAGTCATTCTAAGTGTAAGAAAGGTGATTAATGGTAGTTAGTAACTCCAAACATTTTCACTCCCAACCCTCACTCAAATTGGAGGACACAAACACAGAAAGCATCTGGAGAGGAAAACAGAAAGGTAGGAGAAGATAAATCAAACCCTTCCCAATAATTTTGATGTTATCATCCATGGATTATCTAAGAAGCATGGAAGTATAGGTTTGCGTGCATTCTTCTCAGAGTGGTCTCAGCCAAAGAGACAATGCTGAAGCTGGAGAAAGACCAGAAAAGAGCATCCCTGGCTCGTGCTCTGATCTTTACATCTGATGAAATGAGGCAGTAATTGGTCATTTTGCATTTTGCTGTAAATTTCAATGTCAGCATGAACAAATTGCAAAAGCTAAGATACCTAATTAAAAACACATGAAAAAAAGTTGGCTGGTGAAAAGACAGAAAAACATAGAGATAAAAAGAAAAAGAAGTGGGAGTGGTGGGCAGAGAATGTTAGAAAAGACTGAAAAACTGCAGCAGAGAAAGAAAGTTTAAATTTTCACAAAATTGTGGTTGGTAATATGGTGGCCAGATGTTCCAGATGTTCTTAGACCATCCAAATTTTTATGTAATTTTTAAAAATTTTCAATAAGGTGCTTAACCAAAAGAATAAGTCAATGTCACTTAATCTGATATTGTTTTAAAAGCTTTCACACAAATTCATAAAAGAGAACATTTTCCTTCTCAAACCATGTGTCCTGGGGCTTTTGTTTTGAGATCTGGGAGCACTAATGCCAGCATTTGCCAAATGGAGGCGGGAGAAAGAGAACAGGGTTTGTTTTGCATCTAAGTCACTTCCCATCTGAGCAGTTCACTTTTTCCTCATCTATTAATTGACCCCTACCTGACTTTGTTTTTAAAGATTTTTAGGGTATCTAATTTCATAGGATAACTGCAGGAACAGTGCAATTAACGGAAATAAATTATGTCAAATTATGTAACCTTCTAGTTATTGTTCCAGCATATAACATGGTGCCTGGCATACACAAGATGTTCAACAAACGTTTGTGAAATGAATTAATAATTTAGTAAATTTTTAAATGAAAGAGGGATTAAGGACTCTTATTTTGTTTTAGGTTAACTTTAGGTTGGGCTATATTCCTGGAACATCTAACCTAGGATTAAAATTTAATTTAATTTACATGGTCCCAGATCTAATATAAAATTGATCTTCCTATGATGGATAAGAATTAGGATTTACTTCTTTTAGTATCTTCCTAACACTGGCTTTACAGTGAACCTTCCTGATACATAGGTTAAAAATATAATAAAGTTGAAGAGGTAGCAGACCAATTCCATCATAACCAAAACAAACGACCTCCCTCATTCAGTGACATTTCATGCAATTGCGTGGGGCTCTCTGGAGTCATCAGAGTATACCACACTGCATCTTCTGCAACTGGGCACTTGCCAAAAAACCACCCAGAAATTTGCTTTTTAGTCAGTGGATTAATGAAAATAATCTATTTCTGGATCAAGACTTTCTTCAAAATCCAGGGTTATGAAAAGTCTGTGTTTTACAAAGCTATGTGGAACCTAGTCCTCAGTTCATTTAAACAAGAAATTCAAATAATTTTTCAAGATGTTTTTCCTGTCCCCTATGAATGATAACATTTCACCTTGCATCTTATATTATAATATCATGGACAGCCAAGAAATGTAGGAAGCACTTATTAAAATATTTTAAAATTTTTCAGGAAAATGATCCTCATACATATGAATATTTCTTTATTTTCTTTTATTTTAATTTATTTTCTCTTTACAATAGATTGGCCATGGCTCAAGTAAAATTACATCATATCAAATGATCTTTTTATGTGCAATACATATAGTTTAAAAGTTTTAATCCATTTGCACATATTATTCACATAACATTCTTTCCTATAAAACACTTTTATGTACTGCCATTATCTAAACACTTACTTTAAAAAGCTATATTTATTCCATAATTCTAATGCACCATCATGCTTTAAGCCATTTTTGGAATGAGTTGAGGTACACATTACCAATATTACAAATCATTTTCTTATCTTCTTAGTTATTTCCTTCTTGCTCATCTTTTATGATGTGATTTTTTTTTGCTATTATAAAGAATTGTGCAAAGTTACTGTTTTCACTTTCAGATTTTTTTGGCATATTTCACCAAAAGAGGAATCACCAGATGAGGGTATGTAGACAGTTTTATACTGCTTGCTGGGCTGATCCTCTAAAATAATAAATTTACAATACTATCAACAAACTATCCACAGATACACAGGATGGTCCCTTATTACCACCAAATAGCTTTTGCTTTGGGGCTCTGGTTGTATTCAGCTAATGTGAGGCTCTTGCAGGAGATTACAGAGTGGAAGAGAAAGAAGTCAGGCACCTACTCTACCTCTGCCTCCATCCCCATCTCCCTCTCCTTGTAGGGGCTTCTGTGTTCTCTGGATACAGCTGCTACTGAAGCCCTTCCTCCATGTCTCCAGGCTTTCCCCAGGATCTAGTAATAATGCCTGCTCCATGTGCCTTCAGGGTCTAGAGGTGGTAAAATCCCTCAGTACTCTCCTATCCCTTCTTAAATCTGCCCTCGTTTCTTGAAATGTGCCATGTGTTTCCTACGAGAACTGACTGCTATACCAGTAAATTATAATTGTTTTTATCAATTTAATTATACCTAAAAGTTATTTTTCATTTCCCTTGCTGTTAACAAGGTTGGCCTCTTTTTCATGGAATCATTTCATTTCTATCTTCTGTCATACACCAACAGTTCAAGCCCTGTAAACCATTTTCCAAAAACCTAATGACTGCACATTTAGTATGAGTTTAACATATTTTTATGAGCTCTTTTCAATTGTCATTTCATATGTATTTTTGCATTCTATTTAAAATATTTCATTATATTTCATTGTGTAAACTACTTTTCAACATTCAGGCACTGTTATTTATTTTGTTCATTACTATTTATTAATATTTAATATAAAGAAGAAAAAAACTCCCTCTTAAAAAGAATAGTCCATACATTTTTATTCTAGTTTTTAACTCTTTAAAATATCTGCAATTTGTTGATGAAGGTGACCTAATTTATGAATTCTGATTAATTTTTCTCCATACGGATATTCAATTGTCCTCAAAACATTTATTAAATATTAATTCCTGTTTCATTCCTAGGTTACCTGAGGTTTGTCTTATAGTGTGTCACTAATGAGTACCTAAATCTCTCCCCAAATCTCTAATATACTCCATGGATTTTTAAAAAATATATTTTAACCTAACTCCACAGAATGAAATGATTCCCAATCTGTAATATGTTTCACAACTTGAAACAACCAAGTCGACCATCACTGTCTTTTCCAAGAAAAAAAAATCCATCTTTTGAAATATTTGTCTTCTTCTACTTCCAGATGAATTTTACTATATATTTGTCAGACGTAATAAGGACACAAATTATTAAATTGAAGCTACATATTAGACTAGAAGTTAGAACAATGAATCAAACAGAACAACGTCCCTACTCTATTAGACCCTTTCTCCCAATCAAGAGAGACACACAATAGACAAATTAATAAATATATAACATGCTAAGTAGTAAAAATAAAGAAAATAACAGACTAGAGAAAAATAAAGCAGGGCAAGTGGTACAGGGAATGTAGCAGGCAGGGTGGGGATGGTCAAGGATTCCTGTTTATTTAAACAGCTTGGTGGTATCTCTGTATAAGGCAACATTTCACAAAGAACTGAAGTTGGAAGCAGCCATCAACGTTTCTGTGGGAAGAGCAAGTAAAATGTTGTCTCTGCCATTAGGATATATGCTCCTGGACACCAGGAACAACTCTGTCTTGTTCACCACTGGACATGCAGCACCTCAGCATATAACAGATATTCTAAAATTATTTGTTGAACAAGCAGATGTTAAGTGAAATTTCTAGATACAATTGTGTCTGATTTTCTCCCCTTGCATATATGATGTCCTTCCTCTCTTCTGCTCTAAAAGTGACTGCTACCCTTCCAAGGATGATCGTCTATGGTAAATAAGTTACCATATGTTGAGCAGCACGGTCCTACAGAACTTCCTATAATGATGGAAATCATCTATATCTGTGATGTCCAATATGGTAGCCATTAGACACAGGTGCCTACTGAACATTTGAAATGTGACTAGTGCAACTGAGGAACTGAATTTCTACATTTTTTTAACTTATCTGAATTAAAATTTACATTTAAATAGCCACAGTTGGGAAGCGGCTACTCTACAGGGCAGGGCACCTCTAGAGCCAGTCACATACTTTTGATCATAAGGAATACAAATCCTAAGATCACTTTAGTATTTTACATAAACAGTAAAAATGTTCCTCTAAATATCTGAGGTGATATCTCATATTTATTTTAATTTGCATTCCGTTATTTGTGAGGCCAAAACTTTTGCAAGCATTTGCTTTCTATATCTCCTTTTTATGTGAATCATCAGCTCATACACTCAACTGGCTTTCTTAGAATTCGAAATTCTTTTTTTAAACAGACAACATTTTCATAATACCAATACATATTAATTGTAGGAACTCTGAAAAATACAGAAAATATAAAATGGAAAAATGAAAATTACTTATAATCCTATAATTCAGATAAGACTATGATTAACATGTTGGAATTTTTTCTTCTAATATTTTTGTTCTGCCATATATATTTTACATAATTGAAACCATTCTAGATTATGTGTTTCACATCTTCCCTTTTATACTTCATGCTTAAGCATTTTACATTATTAAAAATTCTCAAAAAATAATCTCAGTGACTTTAACATCCATCATATAGATATATAATAATTTATTTAACCGTTTGTCAAATATTAAATATTTAAGCTATTTCCTACTACATATTATCGTATTATCATAAAAGTACGGAGTCTCGCTCTGTCACCCAGGTTGGAGTGCAGCGGTGCAATCAGCTCATTGCAACCTCCGCCTCCCAGGTTTAAGGGATCCTCCTACCTCAGCCTCCCAAGTAGCAGGGACTACAGGCGCATGCCACAACACCCGACTAATTTTTGTATTTTTTGTAGAGACAGGGTTTCGCCATGTTTCCCAGGCTGGTCTCGAACTCCTGGGCTCAAGCAATCCGGCTGCCTCAGCCTCCCAAAGTACTGGGATTACAGGTCTGAGCCACTACACCCGACCCTTTATAGCATTTCTAATTATTTCCCAAGGACAGATTTTTGGAGGGTAAATTACTTGACACATTAGAAAAGTATGAAGGGTTTTTCTAAACGCTTTTTAGAAAGGCTGCATGAAATTATACTCTCATCAGCAGGATATGCAAATACATACGCTGAACCATCACCAACATTTAATATTATCTTTCCAAGCTTGCAACTTAGATGGTTGAAAATTGGATCTTATTTTTTGTGTTATTTTAAAAATTATTAATATTTGAACATTTTTCAGAGGTTTATTAACTTTTTGTATTTCCTGTTCTATAAATCATGAATGTTTGGTTTTTCCCATTTTCTTATTAAATTGTTAAGAGTTTTTCTTATAAATACATATAAGTTCTTCATGTGATGGTTATTACCCTTTTTAAAACTGTACCATAGCTATTTAAATTTTGATGTGTTTTATTTATTCATTTATTTTCAGAGACAGGGTCTTGCTCTGTTGCCCAGGCTGGAGTGCAGGGGCATGATCTCGGCTCACTACAGCCTCAAACTCCTGGGCTCAGGGGATCCTCTTCCCTCGGTGTCCCTAGTAGCTGGGACTACAGGCATATACCACCATGCCGAGCTTATTTTTTTGTAGAGACAGGCTCCCTCTATGTTGCCCAGGCTGGGTCTCAAGCTTCTGGCCTTAAGCAGTCCCTGAACTGGGCCTCCCAAAACACTGGGTTTACAAGTGTGAGGATATTTTTCATTTTTATTTATGATGTTTTTATGTACTTAAGTATTAAATTTTCAAACACTGAAATGGCTATGATTTTCCTTAGCTAATTTCATCTATTGCTTTCATCTAAAGACAGATAAATATTATCTACATTTCCATCCATTTTTACTGGTTCAGGTTTTTTTCTATTTAGCCATGAAATCCATTTCAATTATTGCTATTATGTGAGTTCATTTCACCCTAAATAGTCAGTGTCATCAACAGTCATTTTTACTTCAAATCAACAATTTTTATTGAGTGTCTATTCCATGCCAAGAATATTCTACATACTTGAGATCCATCAGTAAACAAAATATATAAAAACCACTATTCTAATAGAGTTTCTATTACTAATAATCCAAGGGTGGGTAAAATACAGCACATGCATCAAATCTAGCCAGATCCATTCATGTTTGTATTGCCTAGGACTCCTTTCTCTATAGTAATTGTCATAATAGTGGCAATAGGAGTCTACAAAGTTGAAATATTTACTGTTTTGCTGTTTACAGAAAAAGTTCACCAATCCCTGGAAATATCCAATCCCTTTCCACTAATAGGTGATAATTTATTATATATTAATATATTATATATGCAAAAGTCTATTTCTGGCTATTCATTTCATTCCATTGGTTTGCCTACTTAATTCTATGCTCAGACCACATTTTCTTTGTTTTCAAATCCACTTTTAAAATATTTTTAGCTTCATATGACATTTATTTATTTCACAAATATTTACTGAGTATCTATTATGTGTGAGACATTGTTCTAGGTCAGGTATGCAGCAGTGAACAGAGATAAAATTCCTGTCTTTCATTTGTTCCTACTGAAATACAAATAAATATATATATATATATATATGTAAATGTCAGGTGGTAATAAATTCTATGGAGAAAAATGAAGCAAGTGTTAAGAAGGATAAAGAAAAGAGCCTGTTATTTTATATAGGGTGGTTGGCAAAGCCCTCTCTGAAGGAGTGACTTTGAAGGAAAAACCTAAAGGAAAAGGAAGAAGTTATGCAGATACAGGGAAGTCCAGCATCCCTGGAAAATGTACAGTTGCTGAGATAGGAATGCATTTGGCATACCTGAGGAGTAGCAAGGAGGCCACAGTATGGAACAGATAGCTAGCTAGGGGGAGAATAAGAGGACAAGGGGAAGAAGGGTGGTCATAGGGCAGAGGCTAAGTCACACAGGGGTTTTATTCTGAGCAAGACAGGAAGTCACTGGAGGAATCTGAGCAGAGGAGTGACGATCATCTTCTCCTTCTTCTCCCTCTCTTTCCCCTTCATCCCTTTCTCCTCCATCTCCTCCACCTCCTCTTCCACCTCCTTCAATCATGATGGCTGCTAGATAAAGAATAGATGGAGAGAGGGACAAGAGCAGAAGCTTGGAAACAGGTTATGAGGCTATTGCAATCATCCAAATGAGAGAGAATGGTACTTGGGGTAGCGTAGTTGTGATGGGAGTGTTCAGGAGTAGTCAAATTTGGAATATTTTATGGTTAGAACTTGCAGAATTTGTGGAAGGACTGGATTTTGGGTAGAAGAAAATAAGATTTACAGATGGCACCAAAATGGTTTGCCTGAATGCCTAGAGTGAGTAATAGAATTGCCATTTATAGAGATGCTACAGTCTTGAAAAGGGGTTATTTTAGAGTGAGGCATGGGAATGAATAAAGAGTTTGAGGTTAGACAGCCAAGTGGAGGTGTCATGTAGACAGTTGAATATGTGAAACTAGACATCAGGAGAACCATAGAAAGTTATGAGAGTAAATGAGATTAGCAAACAGTGACTATAGACAGAGAAGGGATCCATTCCAAAGTCTGAGCCTGGCACACTCCAATATTTAGAAGTTGGGAAGGTGCAGAGAAAACAGACAAGAGACTGAGGAGTGGACAGTGTGGTGGGTGGCAAATAGAGTGGAATTGACATCCTGGGGTCCAAGGGAAGAAGCCTTGTATAAGTTATAGAATACTTTATACTTCTTCACTTCCCTGAAATATTAGTTAAAAGACCATATAAAATGAGCCCTTTTGAATGAGATTTTTTAATAGCTCATTCAACTTAAGAAATTCAAGAAAATTATTTTTTTAAATTGACTTAATGTCACCAAATTAAAGAACTAGGAAAGTGTGTTTCAATGTGCATATAAATTATATCTTTACTCCAACCTCTTACATATTTATTTGGTAAGTTAAGGGAGCAAAAATTTTAAGTAAAAACTTGACTCAATATAAGAGTTGTTAACAAAGTTGTAGAATAATAAAACCAATTATATCAAAAAAATGGCTCAAGTTATCTACCTGAAAGTGAAATACACAAGTTTGTCTTGTTAACCAGTGACTGATGGGATACTGACATGACAGAGAGTTAGGTGAGCCTCCTAAATTATTTCTTGGTCTAATTTCATTCTGCTAGTACATCACTTAGAGTACTGTTGGTCCTTATAGGATCCTGACATTGATAGCAAAATTGGAAACATCTTCAAAGAAAAAATATAGTCTGAGGCTAACATTGACCATAGTCTACCCTCTTTACGTGCCTTCTAATAATGACTCAAATCCCCTGACTATCAACAACAATCAGTTATAAAGCCAAAGAAAAGCTTTTCTGCCCTACAAACACCAGTTTTAGCTGCACTGGAACATAGATCAAAGTGGGCTGTCATTAAATGCTCTGAAAGACAGTGTAACAACTTTCCATGGGTCTAATAGCATCGCTGCCTGCCTAGATCTGGTGTGCTTACAGGACATGGATACTGTCTCTGTCAGGATATTAGAATGGAATAAGAATGTGAAACAATCTAGCACCAGTTTATTAAAAATAATCTTTTGGGAAAGATTTTCTTGTATGGGTCTTAACAAGATAAGAGACAAGGAAATGCCAATAGGAAAATGAAAAATACTAAAAAAAGGTGACTTTAGACAGCTTTACTCAAGGACAGACAAAAAGACCCTGGTAGTGCTGACTCCAGAAACACAAGAGAAGAATGATGGAAGGTGGTATGAGTGCTAATTTCATTACTATTAGTAATTTCATTTGCATTTTAAAAAATATTGTTGTCAGGTCAGGTGCAGTGGCTCACACCTGGAATCCCAGCACTTTGGGAGGCCGAGGCGGGCAGATCACGAGGTCAGGGGTTCGAGACCAGGGTGGCCAACATGGTGAAACCCTGTCTCTACTTAAAATAGAAAAATTAGTCAGGCGTGGTGGCGGGGGCCTATACTCCCAGCTACTCGGGAGGCTGAGGCAGGAGAATCACTTGAAACTGGAAGACAGAGGTTGCAGTGAGCCAAGATCGCCCCACTGCACTCCAGCCTGAGTGAAAGAACGAAACTCTGTTTCAAAAAAAAAAATAAATAAATAAAAAATAAATAAATAAATAAATAAACATATATATATATATATATATACACACACACACACACACACACACACACACACATATACATTTCTCCAAATGTCTACTAAAATAAACTGTGCTGGGTCATCTGCTGCCTGAAGTACTGGGTTCCATCCTGAATGTCATACCTTTCAACAAAACACAGAAACTAGAGGGATCTCAAAAGTATGTTGAAACTAGAATCCCAGAAACTATATCAGAAGAGGAATAACTGAAAGACATGGAGAAAATGATGGGAGATATGAAGGCTATCAGAAAATATCTGACCAGCTGTTGGGGAAAAGCACTGAATGATGCTACAGCAGCCCTCCCACTCTATATCTAGCTAGGAGAGTCACCCAGAAAATTCTCTCTGTAGAAGCCACAGGCAAAATTATGAGACCAACTAAGATGATCTTCATTTTCTTCAAGTTATATAATTTTGTCGTTTCAAAATAGGTCACTAGCAAGAATAGTGAGGAGGTGTTTATAGTAAACACATCTTTAACTGAATTATTTTGTGTTGCTGGAGAAAAAATAACTAGGCAAAAAATGTAATAAGGAAAAACTTGATAGCAAGGTTCTGGCATAAAAAGACACATAGACCAATGGAACAGAAAAGAGGACTCAGAAACAAATCCACACACCTACAATGAACTCATTTTCCACAAAGGTGCCAAAAACATACACTGGGGAAAAGACAGTCTCTTCAATAAATAGTGCGAGGAAAACTGAATATCCATAAGCAGAAGAAATGAAACTATACCCCTATCTCTCATGATATACAAAAATCAAATCAAAATGGATTAAAGACTTAAATCTGAGATCTCAAACCTTGAAACCACTACAAGAAAACATCAGGGAAACTGTCCAGGACATTGGTCTGGGCAAAAATTTCTAGAGTAACACCCAACAAGCACAGGCAACCAAAGCAAAAACGGAAAAATGGGATGACGTTAAGTTAAAAGGCTTCAGGTCGGGCACAGTGGCTCACGCCTGTAATCTTAGCACTTTGTGAGGCTGAGGTGGGCAGATCACTTGAGGTCAGGAGTTCAAGACCAGCCTGGCCAACATGGTGAAACCCCGTCTCTACTAAAAATACAAAAATTAAACGGGAGTGGTGGCAGGTGCCTGTAGTCCCAGCTACTCGGGAGGCTGAAGCAAGAGAATCACTGGAACCCAGGAGGCAGGTGTTGCAGTGACCTGAGATAGCACCACCGCACTCCAGCCTGGGTGACAGAGTGAGACTCCATCTCAAAAAAAAAAAAAAAAAAAAAAAGCCTTTTGTGCAGCAAAGGAAACAATCAACAAAGTAAAGAGATAATCCACAGAATGAGAGAGAATATTTACAAACTGTCCATCTGGCAAGGGATTAATAACCAGAATCTATAAGGACCTCAAACAACTCTATAGGAAAAAATAGAATAATCCGATTCAAAAATGGGCAAAAGATCTGAATAGATATTTCTCAAAAGAAGACATACAAATGGCAAACAGGTATATGAAAAGGTGTTCAACATCATTGATCACAAGAGAAATGCAAATCGAAACTACAATGAGATATCATCTCACCCCAGTTAAAGTGGCTTTTATCCAAAAGACAGGCAATAACAAATGCTGAAGAGCATGTAGAGAAATGGAAACCCTTGTACACATTAGTGGGAATGTAAATTTGGACAATCACAAGGGAAAACATTTTGGAGTTTCCTCAAAAAACTAAAAATAGCCGGGCGCAGAGGCTCACGCCTGTAATCCCAGTACTTTGGGAGGCCGAGATGGGTGGATCACTTGAGGTCAGGAGTTCAAGACCAGCCTGGCCAACATGGTGAAACCCCATCTCTACTAAAAAAAAAAAAATACGAAAATTAGCCAGGCATGGTGGTGCATGCCTGTAGTCCCAGCTACTCGAGAGGCTGAGGCAGGAGATGGTTGAACCCCGGAGGCAGAGGTTGCAGTGAGCTGAGATCACACCACTGTACTCCAGCCTGGGTGACAGAACCAGACTCTATCTCAAAAAAAAAAAAGCAACAACTAAAAATAGAGCTACCATATGATCCAACAATCTCACTTCTGGATATATTCCCACAAGAAAGGAAATTGTACATTGAAGAGATATCTGCACTCCCATGTTTGTTGCAGCACAGTTCACAATAGCCAAAATTTGGAAGCACCTTAAGTGCCCATCAACAGATGAATGGATAAAGAAAATGTGGTACATATACACAACAGAGTACTATTCAGCCAGTAAAAAAGAATGTGATCCAGTCATCTGCAACAACATAGACGGAACTGGAGGTCATTATGTTAAGTGAAATAAGCCGGGCACACAAAGATAAATTTTGCCTGTTCTCACTTATTTGTGGGCACTAAAAAAATTGCAACAACTAAATTCATGGAGATAGAGAATAAAAGGATGGTTACTAGAGGCTAGGAAGGGTAGTGGGGCAGAGGGGAAGTGGGGATGGTTAATGGGTACAAATATACAGTTGAAAACAATGAATAAAATCTAATATTTGATAGCACAACAGAGTGACTACAGTCAACAATAATTTCTTGTACATTTTAAAATAACTAAAGAAATATAACTGGATTGTTTGTAACAGAAAGAAAGGATAAATGCTTCAGGTGATGGATATCCCATTTACCTTGATGTGTTCATTACACATTATATGGCTGTATCAAAATATCTCCTGTACCTCATAAATATATACAGCTACTATTTATCCACAAAATTTAAAAAGAAAAAGAAAAAAGTAGTAAGCTCATTGTTAATCAGATATTTGAGTAAGTGCTGAAGACTATGAACTGTATATAAATTTGACTACTAGTCTCTTCCAACCCTAAGATGCTATGATTCTTTAGGTTCAACTTACCAAATTCCTTTCCTCCAGATTACCTTCATCATTTCTCATGGATATAAATCAGTTCTTCCAGAATGTCATAACTTTGTTGGAACATCTGGATTTGGTTTATCTCATACGTGGCTATTCATGTCAACTACTGTTGTGGATGTCCAGCTTTATGGACATAATTTCTAGTTTTTCCCTATGCTGAATGGTCCTCTGGATACAATGATATGGATGATGTTACCAACTCTCTTACTGATGCTAATATGTGCTAAGAATTTTATACACATTATCTCATTGGATTCTCCCACTAACCCTATGGGGAATGTGAATTTATTGTATTCATTTTACAAATCAGGAAACTCAGGGCCCAGAGGGGTTAAGTACTTTGCCCAAGATAAACTGAGCTACTGAGAGGCACAGTCTGGACTCGAACTCTGGTCTGGCTAAATCTTTTGAAATCCCTACTCTTAGCTACCATGCTCTGTCTACTACAGTGATTCTCAAAGTGTGGTCCCTGGACCAGCACCTGCAGCACCACTTAGGAATTTGTTAAAAATGTAAAGTCTTTCATTTATGGAAATTAGAAATTCTGGGGACAAGGACCAGCAATCTGTATTTCACCAAGCCCTCCAGCTAGGCCTGATGCTCACTAAAGCTTAAAAACTGCTCAACTGAACTGAAAATTTACCTAGAAGGCCACATTCTATTCATTTAACCACACTTAGTTTTATAACTTGAATTTGAAAGTTTCTGGTGACTCTGATCTTTCTTCATGGGGAGAGAAAGAAATCCCAGATATGAAAAAGTCAGGTTTCTATTTCCTTCCCTGAAAAAGGAAAGGTGATTCCTGTCAACCCTGGTGAAGGGATTAGAGAGCTACTGTTTTAAAATATAAACAAGAGGGAAATATTTTTAAAAACCTTTTTGCAGTATAGCTAAGTTATTGTGGTTAGACATAAATAATAAATAGATCAAGAAGATATTGAAATTCCCCTAGAGCTTTAATATAATAAATAACATTAATTATCCAATTAAGCAATAGTTAAAATCATTGCTATTTTTTTGTTTTTTTTTTTGTGTTTTTCAAAAAAAGAATGTAAATCTGTACACCTTTGCCTTGCAAATACATCGGTGAAAACGGTATTTCTCAGGTGGCATAATCAATGGAAGTTATCATTGGCTTTCTTTGGTTTAAAAAATAAAAATCCTTTCAGCTTTATAGCTCATGCTGCCTACAATGTGACCTTGATCTGTTTCAAGCTTATCTTTAGTCAGTAGCACTGTGCAACTCCGCAAATCAGTCTATAATCTCTTTAATATCCTCCTGCACGTGCAGTTTTAAAGCTTAGTCATTGGCATGGAAGTCACTCCTTACTTGAAGGTCTCTGGAGATACTATAGCTGGTCAGAAACAAAGTTTTCACAAGGTCAATGGGGACACATATGAGTACTATGTTAAATGCTGCATAAAACAGGACGATTTCTCTACAGGTGCATATTTACCTGAGATAGGCAATAAGTGGCTTTTAGCTGTATGGAAATGAAGTAAAACAGGAACTACCTCACTCACCACACTACACCACACCAAAGGTAAACTAAGCACATTTCACTTGGAAACCCTGGCTAAATAAAAAGAGTCCGTGGTCTGGAATAACGTATGATTCATTGTATTATCCAAGGGTGCTCTTACATGTCTGAGTCTACAGGCAGTGAAAGGAGGGATGACAAGGATGTACCTTGTCATCCCTCCTTTCAGAAAAAGGTATAGAGAGGCAGTGAGCTAACAGATAACAGCATCTGTTCTTGTAATTGAGATAATGAAAATATGGACTTCACTAATCTTTCTCCTCCAAATACATCTATATAAGGCCTATACAAAGCTACTAGCACTCAGGAATGTTGGAAGGCCAAAGGGGCTGAGTCCAGCCACCATCATTCATAATAGGTCTAAGGAGTTATCTATATACTGTCTTCTTTAGTGAAACTTTATTTGAACTTCAAGTCCCATAACTTTAAAGGGAAAATTAGATTTTTTTTTAGACACTGGCTGTTATGATAATTCAGTATGCAAAAAAAAAAGGCTAAGATGTGCTAAAGAAAATTGTGTTGTCCATCAAAGATATTCCTTCTTTCTTATATTTCTTCACTCATTCATTTACTCAATATTAACAGAGCAAAAACATATGTCAGGCAGTATCTAGAAAATGCCAACCAGCTCCACATGTCCTCCCCAACAGCCCCCAACAAAACAAACAGTAATAAGCGAATATAATTTGGTGGACACGAGTGAAAATGCCAGATGATTAAATTACTGGAGTACACTTCCAAAGAAGATTTTGAATAGGCAACAGCGAGCAAGGCCAAGTCCTCAGTCGGCTGGTCAAGTACCTATCTGCCTGAAAGCAGTAGTCAAGACCTCTTTAGGTCTCTTGATCTGTGCTTTGTAATTGCACTTAGAATAAGAGATTAAATGCAAATTGACCTCTGCCAAATATCTTCTCTAACCAATATAAAGAGGCCACTAAGATTCCATTTAATAACAGACAAACACAGTCACTCATAAAGGTAAAAATGAACACTTTACCTATTGTCATCTACAATGTACTAAGTATTTTGTGTATATATTAACTCATTAAATCTCACTCACAATCTTCTGAAATTTATTCACAACTTTATGAATGAATGCAACAAATCAAAAGGTAGTGAATTTAACTGCAAGTTTTCATCCAGATGCTTAATACTATTTAGTCGAAATATCTATTGACACCCTTCAGTAGTCAAAATCTAACTTACCCTTGCCATATCCACCAAGAAGTTCTCAAATAATTTCCAAATGTGGTTACTTGTATAGATTTCTTTCATTTCCACTTCAGTGTCAACATAACAGTGATTAACAAAGTTCACATAAGCAATTTTAACCTGTGCAAGTTTCAAATACAAAAGAAAGTTAGTTTTCTTTATTGATGACTTTCAAATATCAATTATGAAAGGTTAACATAAAATCTGTTAGTTTTTATGGTAGATCATAGCATAGTTTTGTCTATCCAGAAAGTATTCTCATTTCTCTTCTTTTGCTAACAGTCCACTGACCTAAGGGTGAAAACACGGGGCCTAGTACTCCATCCCCCTGGGCCAACCATTGCTGTGAGAAAGAACTTTATGCAAAACAAGCCTATCATATTTGAGATACAAGGAGTCAAAAGCAACCTCTCCTTCCTCTCCTTTTCCCTTTCTTTCTTCTTCCCCTCTCCTTCCCTCCCCTCCAATCCCCTCCCAACAGTAGAAAAGAAAGACATTATCGCAATGTACATTCCTGGATGCCTCATTAATAGAAGCCTATTGGCAGACAACCAGCTGCTACTGAGACTTTTTCTATCATCAGAAACAAACTAGGACAGAGGGTAAATGATGTGGGAATAAAGCAAACTGTGTGTGCATATTTTCAAGAATGCATCTATTCCATAAAGCCAGGTAAACCTGCAGAGTCTTTTATGTGGTCCTGCAGCACTATCCTAGCCTCTCCAATCAATGGTTATGAATAATTTTTGAAGCACCTGTTTTATGCTCAAGTACATACTAAAGTTTCAAGTAAACCTTTCAGTTTGATCATATGGCCATGTTTAGAATTGAAGAGAGCTGTCTAGTAGCTTCCACTAAACTAGCAGTGGCTATAGTTCTTAAAAGTTTCTCATAGGCTGGCTGTGGTGGCTCACGCCTGTAAATCCAACACTTTGGGAGGCCGAGGCAGGTGAATCACCTGAGGTCAGGAGTTCGAGACCAGCCTGGCCAACATGGTGAAACCCCATTTCTACTAAAAATACAAAAATTAGCTGAGCATGGTGGCACATGCCTGTAATCCCAGCCACTCGGGAGGCTGAGGCAGGAGAATCGCTTGAACCCAAGAGGTGGAGGCTGCAGTGAGTCGAAATCTTGCCATCGCACTCCAGCCTGGGCAACAGAGCAAAACTCTGTCTCAAAAAAAAAAAAAAAAAAAAAGTTTATCATCTTGCAGAACTTCTTATAGAACTTCTTATTAAAAAGTAGACCTTCTATGCTCTTTTACATTTTCCAAATTATATAGTTAAATACAATTCCCTGACTAAATATATGATCTCATTATAAATATTAGTATGGGGGACTTCTGGCACCTAGATAAACTTCAAAAATTAATAATGATTCTATTAGAGCTGCTAAGCTTTTGCCAGGCTTACCTCAGGGATGCAGTCGTCATGGGTCACCACCCTCACTATGTCGTCCAGCGGGAGAAGGGAATTACACTTGATTTCAGTGTAGACATTTTTCCCCTCTGTGCATGCTGCCAGCAACTCCACCAGGGTGATGTGGTAGGCTAAGGGGCCACTCTCATCCCCTCGGTCTCTCTCTGAACACATCATATGGAGAAGGATTGGAAATGATGCTCTATCATTGTAAAATATCAGCACGTCTTCACCCCCATTTATCAACTGAAATGATAATAAGAGAGTCTATGTAGCAGTCCGAACATTCATCCTTGCAGTTATTTCCAAAGGCTTGATATATCTGGAAACACGTATATCTCTTCGTAAAAACATATATAATACGGCAAAGACAGAGCTATGCTTGGGGAGGGTGGTGACAAGATTATGGTCCCATGCCAAGGAACCAGCTATGAACGCTATCAAAACCAGTTGAGGCGATGTGGAAGCAGCAGATAGGGCAAGAATGAAACAACATGGATGAAAGTAAATTGTTCATCACACTGAAATTAAACCTGTAAAAAAATAAAGTTATTTTCCTCTACTTTTTTTTGGGAGACTCCATGGCCAAAGCACAAGAAATCTCATAATTTTACTAAAGCAGAGTAAAATATCCTCATCCATTGCAATAATGACTACATAAGGAAGCAAGTACATTGAGCTAATTACAGCTCTACAAAAGTCTACAAAATTCCATGTGTCATAAGAAGGCATCAGCAGAGAATGAAGGTAAAAGCAGAGTTAAGAGAAATAAGTAGAAAACTAAAACCAAAAAACCGAGAGAAACAAAGATATGAATAGGTAGGGTCTTTTAAGACATAAATTTTCCTTCACATTTTGTTTATATAATTTTAGTAGAAAATTCCATCAGGTGGCAGTTTTATTGTTCAAGCTCCATAGTATCTTATTGTCTATTATCAGTACCAATTTTCTAACCCCAGTGTGAGATACATTGGTGGGTAACTAAGGACATACAATTTTTTTCTCTAGGTATTATATTTAAAGTGACAATATATTTAAATCTATAAGCCGATTCATTGGCTTACTTTGAAAGTGTTGTTGAAAGAGAATGTATGTGTATCAAAAATATGTATTATATATTAACATAATATTACAAATACTTCTTTGTGCACAGAAACACTTCACCCAACAGTATCATAGGGATGGTTTCACTGTTGCTGCTTCCCCATTCTAATTCTTTCCTTGCTGATCATAACACAAAATCCTTTAGTTCTCACATTTCCAGACAATGAAGAGCTAATGTGTAGGCAAATGCAGATAAGAAAAAGGTGCATTTTACAAGCTTAAAATGTTCCTTAAAATGTTTAATAACAATAATTTACATTTAAAAAAATTCAAGGCTTTAAGCTAAATTAATTTTAAGATTTCTAAGTGGCAGGAGGGACTCCTTGAATCATTATGGAAATCTCCTCCATTCCCAAATTTAAGGTATGTCATAATGAAAATGCCCAGAAACCAATAAAAATCTACCATGTAACTGTTTGGTAGCCATGGGTGGAAGCTCCCTTAACCCAAATGGGCCACTAGAGAACCATTTGGTCACAGAGCGGTGATTTAATCAACGGGCTCTTTAAGCTGCTACTTCTCCAATGTATCATACTTGCTTCCTAGTAACTTACTCATTACATAAATATCACTCAATGTCAAACATAAACATGAAAAAGGCAAATAAAGAAATGAAGTACCTTCATCTATTCATTTGCTGAAATTTGTAACTTACTCTAAGTAGTAAGTTTCCACATGTTGTAAAAAAAATCACTGTTAGGTAGTTTGTATTACTTAGTTTGATTCTCTTCAAAGCTTTCTGCAAATAGCAGCAGAGAACACCCATTCTATGTTTCAGAAACAGAGCAATAAAGGCACTGGAAAAGCACAGTTTAATCTGTCTTTCTTATATCATTGGAAACTTAAAAATATAAAATTTTGTCACTTTCATTCCAAACAATCGACAACATTTCATAGGATTTTACCCATTTTTTAAAATACACAAATTCATTATAGGTCAAAAAGAAAAACAAACTTAGAAAAATCATAAAACCAACTTAAGATATGTTGCTTCACTAAATTAAAGCAAAATATATTTGCACTTGAGTAGTCATGATTAAATTAAATAATTTTCCAAACCTATGTTGTTGGGGGCTTTTTCACTGTAATAGAAAATGCATATTTGAACATACTGTTTAGGTGAAGCTGATAAAAGGCAAACTGAGAACATACCTCTGTCATTACCATATCCTGGCATTTCTTCACATATTTACCATCTGCTTTTACAATTGTTTGCAAAAACCTCAGGTACTCCACGTGGCGGCCATGTGTCTCAATGCAGTGCACAAAGTGTTGTACAACTCTCTCGCTAATTTCGTTGCACAGATGGTAATTGTTCATGAAGATGTGCCGCATGGTTTCTGCTTCAAGGAGCTAAACACAGAGGAACATGCCCTTGTAATTCTGACAAGATCAATTTTCTATTCTACAGTACTTAGACTAATTGCCCTGCTTGTGATCAGTTTTATATTTTATACGAAGCCACAGTGAATTTTCTGTGCATGTCTTTCAAAAAATGCGATGAGATCATTAACCATTAAAAGAAAACTGAGCTCACAGAGGAATTTAGTTGGAGAAATGAGCTTATTATCATAAAGTGCAACATATTGGCAACAGTATTCTTGAGACTAATTATGAATTCAAAATTAGGTCTTCCATAAAATCTGCTCAAACACATTTTACAGACAAGGGCAAACTCCACCTCTGAGTTTTCCATATTTACCTTACTCATGGTATTGTGAGTTAGTTCTTTGTTCTACCATATCTTTTCCCTAACATTTAACTATATACGTATAAAATACATTGTCATTTGCATGTAAAACTTGTGCAATTTTTCAAGTTTCTTTAAAAGTTTCCTTAATGAAAAAAAAAAGATATTCACTTCTGGAGAGAGAATTTCCACAAGGAAAAAAAAATGAAGCAAGGAAGTGTAACAAAATTCTCTTCATGAATGTTACTGAGACAAATTTGATGCACACTTTACTAGAAATACTAGAAGCCACTAAAATACTTACACCTGGAGTTAAAAACAAATTCAGATGTTTATGAAGAAGAACTTGATTCTGTGGATTTCCTCGACAGAAATTCTGCAGAAATGTATGGGCTAGATTCATTACTTCATTCATCTTTTCATCATTCTGTAAGTTAAAGAATAGCACATGATAGAAACAAACATAGGAGACAGCAAATGTTATGCAAAAATCTCTCCTTCACCCACATACCATTTTTCTCTCTGCCCATCTTTGATCTCCTTTCTCTGTGTCCTTTATGTTTCACACCTCTCCCAGTTTCCCCTCCTGTCCCTCTTCTCTGTTTTCTAGATCTTTCTCACCTTCTCTTGGTTATTCCTCCTGATTCTATTCTGCTCTACTTTTCCAATGCCCCCTTCATTTCACAGCCCTTCTCTTTCTCCCCAATCTTTCCAACTGTCCACCACGTTTCCTCATCTCTGTACATAGCCACCTTTTCCTCCTCTGCTTTATCTCCACACCTCCTCTGTCCTCCTTTCCTCTCTGTCCCTATCTTTCTCTGTTTCTCCTCCCTTCTCTGCTGTACTCCCCAGTCCCCATAATTCTTCCCTTCCTTTAAATGTCTCATTTTGCAGTATGCCTATATCTCCATCATGCTGCTTCTATTCTTGTCTCTCTTTCCCTACTCTATTTCACTCTCTTTCTCATACATCTTCCTTTCCTACTCTTTCTCCCACATCTATTCCATCTCCTCTCTTCTTTTCCTCTTTTCCTATCTATTATTTCTTCTGCTCCCATCCCCTTTTCTCCTGCTCTGCTCTCACTCTATTTCCTCTCTATTCAAACTTCCTCTCTTCCTCCACTCTGTCAATCTTCTCTGTATATATATTTATTACTCACTCATCTCAGTTCTTCCTCTCTCCAATCTCTCTGTCCCTTCCTTTTGCTATTTACCTTGTCTCTTATTTCCACCTATTTCTTTTTCTTTTCCTCTTTGCTTTCTCTTCTATTTTCTCCTCCTTTTTGTCCCCCTCTTTCTTAACACTCTTAATAGTGAATATCCTTATTCATTGCCATTTTCCAAAGTCCTATACTAAGCTACTATCATTTGATTATAAGAATCTTAACAAGAAACTTAAGTCTCAAAATTCACAGAGAAGCAAATTTGTCTTCTTAAAAGTGGTCTTGTGACAACATCAGTGAAACTACCTAAAATTTCCCCATGTAGTTGATTGTACCATTTGTCATGTGGGCATTGTTACGAATTCAGATGGACTCATGTTTTCAGTGGTATTTTATATTAATATTAAATAAATTTCTACATGCACCCATACATATGCATATTCCCTAGCTTTGCCTATTTAGAGGGCCTATGGGGGCAACACCCCAAAGCAATAAGAACTGAGAACTCAGTTCTCAGAACTTTGCTCCTAAATACCATTTCCCACCAAATGGAAATGGGGCCTCTTGAAGAAATGGCTGATTCTAGAGTCGAAGCAAGGAGAATACAAGATGAACCTGGAACATTTTATTGTGCCAGAAAGCAAGGAAGTAATCAAAGAATGGTGGGGGTGATGTTAGAAGACAGATAGTCTAGCTCAAAGGAACTCCACTGGTCAAATCTGAGACAATCTGGAAATCAAAATAAATAATGATAGAACCCTTTATAACCTATTGAATAAAATGAATATATACAAACCCATACTGATAAAAATAAACACAATAAAT
This sequence comes from Homo sapiens, assembly GCF_000001405.40. Lineage (NCBI taxonomy): Eukaryota > Metazoa > Chordata > Mammalia > Primates > Hominidae > Homo > Homo sapiens. Next base: position 26,601,670 of record NC_000012.12, read on the forward strand.
GAATAAGTTGAAAGTTTGATGAAGAATGGGATATTTACTTAGTTTCACAGAACTGCTCCACAAAATACCTATTAATTACAAGGGAATTACAAAGGGAAAAATCAGAGAAACCTGGCAGACACAACCTCAATCAATTGATCAAAGTGAACATCATCAGTCATGGGACAAATCAAAATCGTGCACCAACAAATAGGAAGCAATGAGACGAACACAGCATCACTCCGGTTATGTCCCTGCCAAAGATGCCTAACTGTATTAATCACGAGGAAACATCAGATGATCCACATTAAAGGACATCCTTCAAAATAACTGGTTATTTTCAAGAGTGTCAATGTCATGGGAGTTCCCACATGAAGAGATTTAAATAAACATGACAACCGAATAGCGCATGATTCTGAAGTGGATCTTTTTTTCAAGTCGAAAACAATTGGGACAAAGGGAGAAATCTGAGTAGCGTGTAGGGACTAGGTGGCAGTAAAGTGCCTTGCTCTTTCCTGATATGGAAGACTCTAGTGTGGTGACATGGTAGTGTACCCTTGTTTGTAGAAAACATACACAAAAGGGCTCAGGGGTGATGGGGCACCTGGTGGGTGATTTATTCTAAAATAATTAAGAAAGAAAAAATTTCTTGGAACTTTGCAAAACATTTGAAATTGTATCAAAATAAAAAGCTAAAGAACAAAAAATAACCAGGACTAACCTTTTCATAGGGTATCTGCAGAAGATCCAACACCACCGAATGCGCCCCCATATTTTTCAGTAATCGTTGATGTTGATTCCGACACTTTTTATTCTGCACACAGAGTTTACTTAGCCTGATCAAAATCTTTAAAAGGAAGAGGGAAAGCATCAAATATAATAAATAACAATATTAAGTATAATATATAAGCAAAACTTATTTGGCATGCAAATATAAACCTATATAAGAATATTTTGTATCTGCCGACCTCCTTTACAATCCGGTAGTTATTGCTCTTGTTGCTGTCAATCTGAGGTTTCTTTGTTCCATCCTGCACTGGACTTAAAATGTTTGATTCCTAAAAGGAACACAAATATGTACTTTTATGCCATTTGTAGCTTTGTGTTACATTTATTTCTTTTGTATTAAATAATAAATATATTTTGTAATTATTTTGTAATAAATCTATTATTCAACTTAAATGTTTCTTTTGTACTTTTTTATTGCATAAAAAGTTCCTTGGCTTGACTGAGCCATGCAAATTACCGCTACCCAGTGAGAACCCAATGACAAGTTAACTGGAATGACCTATAATTATATGAGTTAAATTGTAAAGTTTTCATACATATTATTAGTGCATATCCATATGAGACATATATATCTCAGACATGCTGTGGCTTTATATTGCCTATATGAGAAGAAATAGTGAAAATACAGGGCATAAAAGATAATTTAATCACTAGGAATGAACTGCAAGAAAAAAAGAGTGATGGAGCAGATCATCATAGCTGAGCACATCTCAGAGAAGGGAGCAAAGAACAACTTAACACAACAATTCTCTGACAGGTTACCATGGCATCCTTAAGAGTCACGACTCCGGGCCAACATACAGAACCATGAAAATGAAGAGAGAAAAATAAAAAGCAAATTAAAATAAAATGTTTAAATTACCAAATTAATAAAGCTTATTAAGAAAACCTGAAACACCAAAGATACTTAATTATAATAACTATTATCTGTAGTATCACAAATATGGGGAGTGGACATATTTGAAACATCAACTACTGGCGTCACCTTATGAAAATCAAACACCAGTGACAAAAAATTCCACTCTGAACATTTATGAAGACGTCATGCACACCTGGCACTAGACTATGGTGAATGGATCTAAAAGGGATACAAAGAAGATATGGTCCTTCTCACAAGAAAATTACAGTCTGCCTAAGAAAACAGGGAGAAATATATCAATAAAGATTTGAACTGGGCAGAATTCACTATTCAGAAAGAGAGAGAAAGAGAACAGCTGCAGCTTTAGACAAGTTTACGAAGGAGGTCAAGTTTAAGGCAAGGTCTAGAACGATGAAAACTGTCTACTTAGGCATAAAGGATGTTTAAATGAGCAGGGAAAAGCCTTGCCAGGTGAAGAAGAAGTCACCTTAGCCAAAGGTACTGCAGCAAGAACAAGCACACTAGTTATATGGAAAACGGCAAGAACTGACAGGGTCCATCGCAAAGATTGGGCAATCAGAGTGGGGTCTGATGGCCTCCCTTATTTACGATCTATTCAAAATTGCACTTGGGAGGCATGTCAAGTTCAATGTGGGTCCAGAACACCCTAAACTCCTGACTATAATGATGGTGTTAGGCGCTTGCAGTTAAAGGGGACCCTAGTTTAAGCTCAGGAAAAAGTTACAAAGATACATGAGGCCAATTGATATGATTTATTTGTCCCAAGTTGTTTCTCCTACTGTGCTCCAGGACAAATCACAAAATTAATAAACATCAAGAAAGAAAAAAATACTTTCCTTGCTAATCAAACAGTGCTGATGAAAGGCTTCAAGCAGCAGAGCAACTTAATCCACGTTGAGCCAAAACACTCCTCACTCAGCTTTATATTTTTCTTTTGCTTCTTTTCTGGCAAATATTGTCCTGAGGCTCCCAGTCTCAACTTCACTTTAACAAGTGACCCCCTCCTCCCATTTTACTGTATAGACAGAAATGCCTCTACAAAGACACTTTCTCTTTTCCATTCAAAAATTTCCAGTGATATCCACAAACCTGTCTATCTTCCCCACTGTGTCTCCAAGAACAAAATTTTTGATGCATGAATTCAAAAATTCCATCTCTTCTTCCTCTTCTCCCTGCTTCATCCCTGTTTCTTGTAAAACAGCAGTTTCTACCCTTTAATGACTCTTTCTCATCTGTTAGCTTCTACCTTGCTGACCACTTGTCACTCATACTCACTAGAATTGGAAATGCAAAAAGTAAAAGATCAAAACACTGAAAGCCTTCAAAACATTACTAAGTTAGACTCCAGAGCTATATCGCCTAGCTATCATAATGAATATTTGGACAGAAATGAAAGCAGTCCAACCACCACTCCAGGTAAATAAAAGAGAGAAAAGAATGCAGGATATTACCTGCAAGACATTAATCATGAAGTGAATCTTAAAAATTATAGGAGAGGCCGGACGCAGTGGCTCACACCTGTAATCCCGGCACTTTGGGAGGCCAAGGCAGGTGGATCACAAGGTCAGGAGTTCGAGACCAGTCTGGCCAGTCTGGCCCATCTCTACTAAAAATACAAAAATTAGCTGGATGTGGTGGTGGATGCCTGTAATCCCAGCTACTCAGGAGGCTGAGGCAGGAGAATCGCTTGAACCTGAGAGGCGGAGGTGGCAGTGAGCCAAGATTGCACCACAGCACTGCAGCCTGGGCGACAGAGCATGACTCAGTCTCAAAAAAAAAAAAAATAAAAATAAAAAATAAAAAATAAAAATATATATATATATATGAGAAAGTGTTAAACTATACATGAAAGTAAAGCCAATGTAGAAGAGAAAACACAACCCAGTGGCTAAGATGAATGAAAACTATTTAGATGGAAAGAGGCTAGAGGTCAGAGTATAAAACAGATTTTCCATTTGATAGCAAAAATAGTTAATTGATGAGAAGTAGAAACTGCAAAAGCTAAAAATATAATTAGATTTCCTTTTTCTGATCACAAAGGTGAAGGCTGGATTTTTAAAAGGCCATTTCATTTTTTTTCTGTAAGAGAAGAAATACTAAAACATATACACACAAACACACACACTTGTACCACAAACCAGGATTAAGACATTACCAGCTCTAAAGATTGACAAAGCTTCTTAGTTAGAAAAGAGATATTTTTTATGTATGTCAACTTTAAAGAAAGCTGTTAAAAAGGCAGGTGAAGCTTTGGTCGATATCTTTAAGCCTGTTTTTCAAGCAATAATCTGAAGAAAAAGCAACTGTCTTGTTTTAAGAAAAGTAATCTTAGGTAAAATGTACTACATTACAAAAAGTCATACTCTTTAGTTCAGCCCAGGTGAAGCACATAGACAATGCTAAACTCTGTATGTGTGGGAATTGGTGAAAAATAATGATTTTAATTTAAAATTGCTAGCAGTCAACAAAAGGCAGCGACATTGGAAAATTCAACAAACAACCCCTTTTAATTTCAGAAAATAATTCAATTTAATTAAATTGAACAAAAACCCATGGAACATCTGGATGATTCCAAAGCAGTCATCAGGGTAATTTGAGAAATATGTAAACTATATAACTACAATTAGGTTTTGTTTTCTAATTCTGATGCCAAAATGGTCTAAATAAAGGTGCTCCAAAAGTTTTCCTTCTGAAAGAGCTGAAATTGGCTGTATTCTTCATGTCTTATACAATGCTTTACATTCTATAAACTTTAGCCCTACATCACTGGCCTAATCTACAAAACCCTGAATCTATTCTAATGACAAAATATTAGAAAAGTGCAAAATGTAGAAGTATGACTTATGCAGCATCCCAGAGCTGAATGGGCCTAGAAAAAAAAAAAAGTGTGACACTTAGAACAGTAAAAGGCTCGTAGCACATCTCCAAATGATCCTTTTGACAATAGTGATGAAAAATAAATACGATGCTCCAAACGTCCTTGCATTTTATTGTAACTGCTTCTTATCATCTAGAGAACCTAAATTTATTCCCCCTAATAGAATATGGGAAACAGCTTAGTGCAGTGATCTTAGCGGTAGCTGTATTTTTAATTGCATAGTATATACCATAACATAAAACAGTAGGTTCAAAAACAAGAGACCAAGAATAGTCTAGAAATTGGGTGGCATCAGGGTTCTAGGCAGAGAAACAAAGAGTGAATATTGGTTCTAAAGATAGTTCCTCCCTTTTTTTTTTTTTTGCATCAGGCAAGGAAACTTTTACATCAATAGCAAAAATTATATAAGAAAGTAATATTATATGAACTATAGGGTAAACTAAATTTTAGCACTGGCTAGGTATGATAACTCATGCCTATAACCCCTATACTTTGGGAGGCCAAGGTGGGAGGACTGCTTGAGGCCAAGAGTTTGAGGTTAGCGTAGGCCACATAGAAAGACTCTGTCTCTATAAAAAATAAAAAAAAAATTATTAGTTGGGCATGGTGGGCTCACCTATAGCCCTGGCTACTCAGGAAGCTGAGGCAGGAGGATCATTTGAGCCAAGAGTTTGAGGCTGTAGTGAGCTATGATTGTGCTAATCACTCCAGCCTGGGCAACAGAGTGAGACCCATCTCAATAAATAAATAAATACTGGCACTGATTAATGGGAATCCAGCTCCTTAATTTAACCAAGGGCAATCATGCTTTTAAAAATAGAATTTTCCAAATCCTACAATGTAGAGCTGCCTACATCTGCAGCTGCATGATTAAAATAACTTGGTGCATGCCTTCTATTTATCCCTATCCCACTGAAGTTTAAGGAGGTCCATCCTCAGCAAAGTTGCCAAGTTAGCAAGACTGCAAGGCCTTCTGCTCACCATCTGTACTGGTAGCCTTCTCTGGTGCAACCATTCTTTAAACCAGTCAGTGACACCATAAACCAGCCACCCACCCCCTAACTTCAGGTGCCAAATGCTTTCCTTCTTCTATCCTCACCTCCCTTCAAAACATGCAAAAAAAAATTTTAATAACCGGTCTTTTATATTTGATTCGCCAATCAGATTATAGATTATAATGTAGTTGAAGCTGTTCAGAATAAATATTGCCTCTTTCAGATAACTGAATAACCCTCTGTGGGATAAGGAGGTATTTTTTTCTCCCTCCCATCTAATGATAACATCATGTACTAGTCATTTAGGAAGATATCACCCTAGATCAACTTCTATGACCTTGCCTGGAAAGCTACTTTGCACGATCTTGGTATCATGGTTGTCGGTTTCTGCTTCCCTGGGAAGCACCTAAGGCTGCTTGAAGGCTTGATTCAAAATCCACAATGGGCAGAAGAGGCTCTGACCAGCATTACTTGCAGATAAGTTCCTTCCAGATGTTTCCTCAAGTCAGGAGCAAAGCTCTACCCTTCTAGAGAATACATACATATCCATAACCGTACCCCAAACCTTTTTTCCTTTTGCTCCGTCCCAAGACAAATAAAATAATGGCGGCCGGGCGCAGTGGCTCACACCCGTAATCCCAGCACTTTGGGAGGCCGAGGCAGGCGGATCACAAGGTCAGGAGATCGAGACCATCCTGGCTAACACAGTGAAACCCTGTCTCTACTAAAAAAATACAAAAAAAATTAGCCGGGCGTTTCTACTAAAAAAATACAAAAAAAATTAGCCAGGAGTGGTGGCGGGCACCTGTAGTCCCGGCTACTCGGGAGGCTGAGGCAGGAGAATGGCGTGAATCCGGGAGGTGGAGCTTGCAGTGAGCCGAGATCGTGCCACTGCACTCCAGCCTGGGCGACAGAGTGAGACTCTGTTTCAAAAAAATAAATAAATAAATAAAATAATGGCATTTTTTGACTCATTTGATGTCGTTTTAGTTAGTATTTGATAATGTTTAACCTGATGTTCTAGTACAAAACCCAAATCTCCTTTACAATCTGCATCTCTGATAATACATAAGTTAATAAAAAAAGTTCGTGCCACTGGGGTGCAGCATCTTTGCTTAGACAGGTATTAGGAAAAACTGGAAATGTTTAATGTAACTAGTAACTGCTTTCATAAGAACACATCAGGAACCTAGTGAGGAGCGCCTCTCCCCGGGCCCCCCACCGTCTGGGAAGTGAGGAGCACCTCTGCCCGGCAGCCCCACTGTCTGTGAAGTGAGGTGCGCCTCTGCCTGGCCGCCCCACAGTCTGTGAAGTGAGGAACCCCTCTGCTTGGCCGCCCCACTCGCTGGGAAGAGAGGAGCGCCTCTGCCTGGCTGCCCCACAGTCTATTAATTGAGGAGCTCCTCTGCTTGGCCGCCCCACTGTCTGGGAAGAGAGGAGGGCCTCTGCCTGGCCCGCCCCACAGTCTGTGAAGTGAGGGGCCCCTCTGCCCGGCTGCTGTGCAACCCCTCCAAGTGTGTGAAGTGGCAGCCTTGTGTGTGATCTTTCTGCGCTCCCCAAGTTTGCATTTTTGACACTAAAGTTTACTTTTAAATTAAAAAAAAAAAAAAAAAACACATCAGGAACCTATTATCATACAGCAATATGTCCCAGAAATTTTCTGATGTAACTCCAGGGATGGCTAAAAACTCAACAGTATTATGTAAAATGTAGAAAGCATGGGGAACCTTTTGGTCAACAGAATGGCATTTGGTCAACAGAAAAGCACTGTACAGGAAGTGAAAACAGCAACATAATAGAACCCTTAGAGACTGACTTTGATACTGATACATTGTATGAAGGAAGCTCCCCTAGTCACAATAGGGTTATAGCTCACCCAGACGGACATGGTTGTAAGAAGGGGGGTGTATGTATAAAATGTGTGAGAGGGACGAATCAGCACTGCCTTTTACACTCACTTGTTCCCCAAGAAATCATTACAGAAATGTTGTTGCCTGATCTAAAACAAATGTATTCTCTGATTTGAATGAATCAATCACTATTATTTCCTCGTTAGCCACTTGCTGAATAAAAGAAACCATATGGGTACATAGAATCTTCACTAACAACTTGTATTGAATTAAGAACAAGTGGAGGACAGGCGCAGGGGCTCACACCTGTAATCCCAGCACTTTGGGAGGCTAAAGTAGGTGGGTTGCTTGAGCTCAAGAGTTCAAGACCAGCCTGGGCCATATGGTGAAACCCCATGCCTACAAAAAATACAAAAATCAGCCAGGCGTGGTGGTGCACACATATGGTCCCAGCTACTCAGGAAGCTAAGGGAGGATCGCTGGAGCCTAGGAAGTGGAGTCTGCAGTGAGCTGTGATTGCACCACTGCACTCCAGCCTGAATGACAGAGCAAGACCCTGTCTACAACAAAAAGAACAAATGGAAAAGTTAAAAAAAAAAGATAGTAACTTATTTATAGCATGAAGGGAAATACTAAGTTTATACTCAAACAGTATCAATTTAAATGTGGTTAGAAAATGAGAAGGGAACAAATTCTCATAGAAAAAGATAAAATAACCAAGTAATTCAAATAACACATTCTGGAAGTATAATTGTTACATTTAAGAATTTATATTATAACCAAATAGGATAAGAATGTGTAAAACAAGCATTTTATTATAAACCAAAAGTTATTTTTCACATGTATGTCATGTGAAGGGGCTTATTTATTGAAACTCATCTGTCACAATCACCTTCAGTGGAATGAGCTCAGACATAAGTATGGGAATATGTATAATGATATAAACAAATAAATATACAATGAGGTCTGAGGCAAAAATAGAAACTGGAGACAAGAAAACAGATTCCATAAAAGGAAAATTCAGAAAAGCACTGTCCAAAACTAATGAATAAAAGCTCTGCATGAAATTACCACTGTGTCTCTGATTGGTCAGGTCAAGCTGCAAGATTCTGTCTAGAACACATGGACTGCTTCTGTCCCAGGCCATCAGGGTTAGACATTCTACCAGATTCTGTCAAAAGTCAGCTAATCGATCACAAGTTTGGCTGAAGAAACAAGTTTATGTAGAACTATTTTCCCACTGCACAGAATCTCATACCAACACTTGGAAAAGGAGAACCTTCTTAATATATATCCTTCTACAGGGATTTGCAACTTTGCTTGCTTCATCAAAGGAAAAAAGATCAGAAGCGGCAGGCAAAGAATGGAATACAGTTTTTGCTTTCAAAAAGTAATGAGATGTGGAGGTAATAGAAAAACTATCAGATAGGGAAGGTGTACCTAGGGAGAACTAGAGAAAAATCAGCAAAGAAAAGGAAAGAGAAGGAAGGGAGGGAAGGAAGGAATTAATTCATAATTAATAAAGTAATATAATTAATAAATAAAGATAAATCTGCAAACTATAATTCAAACTCCTATGAGGAACATTAATACTAAAAATGTCAACCAAAAAACTCAATAATAATAATATATCATGTCCAGTGAAATATAATCAATCAAGAGCTTTTCTGACAGGCTTTGTAAGTAGGTATGTTTAAAATAATCATAGAGATAGTGAGGAATAGCATCCCTCATGCCCAGTGGGTACCTCTGTGGTTGCCATGTGCCATGCAATAGTGTTCAGGATTATGTCACAGCATCGCTCAGCATGGATAATGAAGGATAGCCTTTTCAGGGAAAGGACAGGCTACAAGCCAAGCAACAGCAAGAGAAGAGAAGGCACAGGTGCCCCCTCCTCCCATCTCCCCGCACAGGAGTGCTGGGTGCCCCGCTGGATAGTATGGGTCTAGATTTCCAAGCAACCACTCCCCGCAACACCACAGTAACTACCTATGGGGCAAGCTGGAGCGTAACCGTCTCAATAAAGGGACACACAAACTGTTCCGGCACCAGGCAGTGCCTGTTGTTTACAGGAATCTTTCGAACACTAGCCCATGGCCCATAGAAATTGGACTGTCTCTGCTGAGGGGAAGAAGCCACGGGTCCTATGAGAAGCCAAAATCAGTACACAGCCCCTTGGAAGAAAGGGACTCCTCATCTGCAAAAACAGTCCCAGCCACCTCGTTGTCCAGACAACCCAGAGTGAGCCCCTAGGGACATTTTTTAGTTAATTCTGTTCCTTACATCACACATCCATTAAAAGAACAAAAATAATTATGAAGTAAAAACAGGCAGATATGAATCTAGAATAGATGGATATGAAAAAGAACCAATTAAATAACCTGAAAATGAACTATATAGTCCTTGAAGTAAAAACTAGATAGAGAGTTTAAGCATGAGACTTTACATCAGTGAGAGTCTAAGTCAAATTTTTAAAAAGGGCCACCGTACTCCAGCTGGGTGACAGAGCGAGACCCATCTCTAAAAAAAAGTAAAGAAAAAGAAGCTGGCAACCATATATAGGTGAGTAGATAGATATAGAGATAAATATAGGTATACACACAAATAGAGAAACAAAATCACTGTAAGAAAAATTAACAATCAAAATAAACAACATGAGGAACTTTCCTCTGAAGCACTGCAATGCCCACGTGACCTGCATCTCAACCCTAAATAAAGCGGTGGATGAACGTAAAGGGTAATCCTGACTTAACCTACTCGGATACGGTTTCCTGAGTTAATCTCTCCTTCCTATATTTAGAAGGCAATGCATATTTGAAAGTGATGAATTAGTAATTGCTCCTAATGCTACTGATATTGTCAACTTGTTATATTTTAGCCTTTAAGCTTTCAGAAATGATGGTACAGTCTTTTAATGCTGGGGACGATAGGTTTAATAAAGGGAAACACTATAATATACAATAGATAATAAAGCTGCTAGGCTCGAGGGACGCAATGGGCTTAATAGACAACCAAATCCATCCCCTTCTCCTTATTTATAAGAGATCAAGTATGGTAATGGTATAATTTTGGATTATAAACTGAGATTTGTTAGTGTTAGCAGACAGACCATCAATTCACATTTATTGTCAACAGAGTATACCAAATTTACCACTGAGGGAAAAAACTTTTTTTCCCCTCACGCTTTTATGTTATTGGAGATATTTTTTATTCTCAAAATGAAGAATCACATTAAAGTTATCTGGTCTTCTGATATCTAAGCAGGCACAAAGTTAGACCATTATGAGCTGTTTTAGAACAATGCTGATGGTGCTGTGTTTACAGCCTTTGTAAGATTTACTAAACAACAAAGGAGTATTGTTCGTATTGGCCTGCTAGTGTGTGTGCTGCCTGCTACTGGCTGTTTCCATTGATACTGTGATATATTTCATCCTGTTTACAATACATTGCCACTATCTTTGGCTGCTGGGTTATTGCATAATACAGATTATTTGGCTGTATATAAATTAGTAACTTCACAGTTTCTCATTTTTGTTCCCCTTATATTAATTCATTATATAGGTACCATTCTCCCAGCTTCCCAATCCACCCATTTGCATACATTTCTACTGCTACCTCACTAGTCCATGCTTTCAGAAGCTCACACCTGAATTCGTACAACAGCCTCTTAACGGGTGTCCCAACCCAGCCTCTTGCTCTTCTGAAGCATTCCGGATTCTGTCAGACTAAATTTTCCAAAATAGTATGCTCACCTCTCTACCCAAGAATCTTCACAGGCTCCCAGTTTCCAGTCATTGCAAATACAAATCGCTTATTCTTGAACTTTACTTCTCTTATTATTCTTGAATACATGCTAACTCCTCCCAGTCCTTCAGAATAGGCCTATGCGCAGAATCTGGAGTGAGGCCTTCTTTCAGTCATCAGGCCCACGCTGGCCTCTCCTTTTTCTGTACTACATAGTTCAGTATTTAATCAACTACTTTGTCACCCTATTTTTTGGGTGTTCATGAAGTGTGTTCGTTCGTTGAGGGCAAGTAGAATATGAGATTTGAGTCCAGATATCTAACTTTAAGAACGGAAAGGAGAAATTCAAGTGTGCACAAAGGCAAGTTAGCATGAAAACAACGGGACTGAAATGTACACTTTACACAGCATTTGAAAGAAAGATTTTACTCTGGAGAAACATGACAGTTCATTAAGTGTGACCATTCATGTTGCCCCAAACCCAGCATAGGTTTGAACAGGTATTATTGAGACAAATACACAGGCTCAAAACAAAGAGCTGTCTCTTGTTAAGAATGGTCAAACAGAAAATGACAAAGTGCAGAGAAATCCCTCCTGTATAAAATCTAAAAATGATTGATAAAATATTTAAAACATCTCTTTATAGTAGCAAGGCCAGAAACCCTGAAAATACATAAAATTTTCAGAGCAATAATCAAGCACTAGACTCATTGTTGGCTCTGACGGCATCAGTCCATACCTAATAAGCTGGATTCTGAGTTTTGCTATATCATACACAGACACACACACACACACACACACACACGGCAAAAAGGAAACAAAATCCAGATCCCATGCAAGATGGAAGGTCTGATCAGAGACCCTGGCATAGAGTCAGGAATACCTAAGGGTGATACCCACAATGATAAACCAGGGAAAGACATGGCCCACAGAAGAGCAAAAGGGCACCTATCTTGGCCTTGGTGCTCATCAAAAGCAAAAGAGGGGAAAAAATTCTCTTGAGGCTCCCATATACAAGACAAGCTCACTTTCACTCAAGACTGGGGACCAGAATGTCCAATCTAAAGGGGTCCCAAAAGACCCAAGCCAAAAGGTATGTTCAATATGGTTACAGAATGTAGTGTCCCACAGTGCTTCACAGAGGCAAATAAAATCTCAATAAGGCCTTAACTACAGACCTCAGAGAAATTCCACATACAAAGTTCCAAAGCATGTGGGTTCATGACAATAAAAAATCACGGAACACCTGAAGTAAATACAACCCAAAGACTTTGGCAAGAATGGCCAACTTAAAACTGCAAAGAACCCTCCTATTACAAAACAACTAGATCTTAGATATAAACCTATTTTAAGTACATTTCTGGGCCCATAGAAAAGAAAGGACAACTCCCAGAGACCCCACCCTCCATCTTCTAAGGGAAAAATGTAACCTGAAACCTGACCAGAGAGCTCCAAGCAACAAGGGCACAAGATAAGTTTCCCTGAAGGCAAATGACAATACTAGATCTGCAACCCAAAGACTAAGGGAACTCTGAGCAAGTGTCTAGTTTGGGGAGCTAAACCCAAAACTCCTGCCTTAAAATAGGTATATAGGATGGGAGTAATGTGGTCTCAGGCTAGCAGCGCCCCCTGCCAACAGGCAAAGGCAATCACAAATACTCTAAGCAGGAAAACATACCCTATGTCAACCCCAGAACTAAGGTCAAAAGATACGAGCTCAAAACCTGCACCCAAATGTTTATAGCAGCTTTATTCATAATTGCCAAAATTTAGAAGCAACCAAGATGTCCTTCAATAGGTGAATGGATAAACAATACAAGGGACTATTATTCAGCAATAACAAAAAATGAGGCATTAAACTGCAAAAGGACATGGAAGAACTTAAACATATACTGCTAAGTAAAAGAAACCAGTCTGGAAAAGCTACATGTTATATAATTCCAATTATATGAAATTCTGGAGAAGGCAAACCTACAGAGAAAAAAAATCAGTGGTTGGCAGGGACTCAGGGGTCCAGAAGGAGAGACAAATAGGTGAAGCACAGAGAATTTTTAGGGCAATGAAGCTATTCTGTTTGACACTGCAATGGTGGATACATGACATTATGCATTTGTCAAAACCCATAGTTAAACAACATAAAGAATGAACCTTAATAAATTATGGATTTTAGTTTAAAAATACTGTGTCAATATTGGCTTATCAATTATAATGAATGTACCACACTTATTCTAGATGTTAACAATCGGAGAAAGAGAGAGGAGAAGAGGGACTATATGGGAACTCTATGCTTTCTGTGTAATTTTTCTCTAAACCTAAAACTGCTCTAAAAATGAAGTCAATTTGAAAAAAGATATGAGCGCATAATCAAAGATGATCAAAAATATAATGAAACACAACATGAGTGAGAATAACAAGAAAATCTCAAGTACATCGGATCTCCGAGTTACCACATACAGACCATAAAACAGCCATAGGGAATCACAAAAATTAGAAAACAACAAAGCATGATAAAAAATGACCAAATATATTTGAAAAAACTCAAATTTCAGGTTTGAAAAAAATGAAATTTCAGGTATAAAAAAATATAGTGGCTGAAGTTTAAAAGTAAATTGGTAGAGAAAACTGCAAAGAAGACAGACTTGAAGAGAGACTCAGATGAGTCTAAAAAAATTATCCATATGCCATACAAAGTCATAGGTAGAGAAAATGTAAAAAGGAAATGAACAGATATGTACTATATAGTAATATATTCACTAATAAAGTTTAACATGAACTTAATTGGAGTTTCAAAGTTAAAGTACCACTATTTAACAGAGCAAACTTCTCAACAGCAGCAATGGAAGCCAGAAGACATGGGATAAAATAATCAGAAGTGAGGGGAAATAATTCACAGTTAATAAATTCTTTTGTTCTGCAGTAAAAATATAATAATTTCAAATTTACAGGCATCTAATGACATAGTCTCAAAACACATGGAGTAAAAACTAATAGAAATGCAAGGGGAAATTGATAAACATACCATTGTAGTGGAAAATGTCAACAAATCTCTCTCACTTATTGATATGTCAAGAAAATAAAAATATTATTAAATATAGTATTTAAACAGAATTAATAAGCTTGATTTGCCAGTCATCTATTAAGAATCCTACACCCATTCACATTCTTCTCAAGCCACAATGGACAATTACAAAACCTGGATGTACAATAGGTCAAAAAGCAAACCTCAATGAATTTTGGAGAAATGATATCATAATAACTAAATTATCTGGTCACAAGTTAATTAAGAATTCAATTAACAAAAAAGGTAAATTTTGCCTATGCATGTGGAAATTTATTTATTTATTTTTATTTTATTTTATTTTATTTTATTTGAGACAGAGTCTCACTCTGTTGCCCAAGCTGGAGTGCAGTGGTGCAATCTCGGCTCACTGCAAGCTCCGCCTCCCGGGTTCACGCCATTCTCCTGCCTCAGCCTCCCGAGTAGCTGGGACTACAGGCACCCACCACCACACCCAGCTAATTTTTTGTATTTTTAGTAGAGATGGGGTTTCACTGTGTTAGCCAGGATGGTCTCGATCTCCTGACCTTGTGATCCACCCACCTCAGCCTCCCAAAGTGCAGGGATTACAGGCATGAGCCACCGTGCCCGGCCGCATGTGGAAATTTAAAAACTCACTTCCAAGTAATTCTAAGAGAAAGAACTCACAATGGAAAAATTTTTAGTATCTAATATTGAAAAATAATAAAAATATCATTTGTCAAAACTCAGGGAATGCAGCTCCTTTGAAGAAAATTATACCACCAATTTTTTTTAAATCGAAAAGTCTGTCAACATAAAACGATAGAGTATAGTAGGATAAGTATAATAAAATAGCAAACAAATCCAGAATCTCAACAAACCCAAAACAGACTATATTTAAGAGATGAGTAAAATTCAGGTGACCTTGAACAACATGAATTTGAACTGTGCAGGTCCACTTATACACAGATTTTCTTTTACCTCTGCCCCCCTTCAGACAGCAAGACCAACCCTCCCTCTTCCTCCTCCTCCTGAATCTACTCAACATGAAGATGATGAGGATGAAGACCTTTATGATGATCCAATTCCATTTAATAGAGAGTAAATATATTTTCTTTTCCTTACGATTTTCTTAACATTTTCTTTTCTCTAGCTTATTTTATTGTAAAAATACACTACATAATTCACACAACACAGAAAATATATGTTAATTGACTGTCTGTGTTATCAGTAAGGCTTCCAGTCAACAGTAGGCTATTAGTACTTAAGTTTTGAGGGAGTCAGAAGTTATAAACAAATTTTCAACTGTGCGGGAGGGTAGCACCCCTGACCATCCCCCAAACACTGTTCAAGGGTAAACTGTACATAAAACTCTGGAAAGATTGAGCTGGATAGAGCTAGAGAAAAGAAGAGAGCCATAGCAAAACATACAAAGAATGAAAAAGGGATACAAAGCTATGAATACAGCAGAAATTTAAAAGATAGCAAAAGAATATGAACAAATTTATGCCAATAAATTCGAAGATTTCAATATATGGCTAGAAAAATGCACAACAAATTAACTCAAAATGGAAAATTTGAATGAATTTATAACCATTAAAAAATTGAATCAGTAGTCAAAGTCTTTCCCCAATGTAAATATCATGTCCAGACAGTTTTGCAGACAGGTTTTACCAAACATTTATGAACAGATCCTTCTAATGTTACACAAAGAAAAAGGAATATTCTATAGCTCATTTTATGGGACTAGTGTAACCTCAATACTACTGCTTGATAGGAACAGTGAAAGAAAGAAAGAAAAGAAAAGAGGAAAGAAAAGAAGAAAAGGAAAGAAAAAAGAAAAGAAAGGAGGGACGGAGGGAGGGAAGGAAGGAGGGAAGGAAGGAGGGAAGGAAGGAGAGAAGGAAGGAGGGAAGGAGGAAGGGAGGGAGGGAGGGAAGGAAGGACAGAAGGAGGGAGGGAGGGAAGGAAGGAGGGAAGGAAAGAGGAAAGGAAGGAGGGAAGGAAGGAAGGAAGGAAAAATTACAGGCTAATTTCACTGGCAACAGAGATGTAAAATTCTACAGAAAGTATTAGTAAACAGAATCTAGCAATGTAAAAACAAATCACCAAGATATTTTAAATCTAGAATGCAAAGTTACTACGGTAGAAGCTCTATTTAAGATTTATGTCATTTAGGTGAACAGATTAAATAAAAAATAATATAATCTTAATAGATGTGTAAATTACATTTAATTAAAGTCAATAACCATTTGTAGTTTTTAAAAAGTAAACTAGGAAGAGAATGTGCTCCTCCATAAAGGGTATCTATAAAAGAATGTACAGTAAACATTATGTTCAATAGTGAAATATTAGAACCATTCCCTTTAAAATCAGAAATAAGACAGGGATGCCCATTATTACCACTTCTATTTTACCTTGTACTTGAAAATACTACAAACACAGTAAAGCAAGAAAAAAAAGAAATAAAATATCATGTTCAAGTTTGAACTTATAGCATTACCTGACTTGAAGTGAATGAATATTTTTAACCTTATTAGTAAGTACACATGAATCGGTAGGACTTAACTATTTGCCTGTGTAGAATTTAGCTTTATCTAAACTGGAATAGGAAGTAAAATGGCAAATAAACATTAAAAAACTCAACCTCATAACTAATTCAGCAAAATGAAAATCACAGCGGAGATAATATATCAAGTGTACTCAATCATCAAAAGTGGGAAAGTGAGAAAAACACCCATCATAAGGATAGGGAGCTAGAAGAACACTCATACACTAGTGGAGGGAAAACAACTGGCATTGTCTGGTAGAGGGGAACATACTGCATGTGTTACTCCTATGTAGATATCCCAAAAAATCTCCCAAACATGTGCACCAGGTGACATACAACAGCTTTCACAGCAGCACTGCTTGTAGTAGCAAATTTTCTTTTAAAACACCAAAACCGGGAAGAGCCCAAATGTCCATCCACAGCTAACTGGATAAACATGTGCATAAATGTAATAATATATGTTAGAGAAAATGAATGAGTTGCAGTTATACATCAACAAGGATGAACAATGAAAACATGTACAAAATAGGCTAAATAAATATACCTCATATATTTCTTATGTTTTAGAAATACAGACACATGGTAAAACTACTAAGCAAGGAAAATGTTAAAATAAATTCATGATAGTGGTTTCCTCTGTTATATAGGGAGGGAGCACATCAACTTCTTACTGGCAATACTCTATTTCTTAAGCTGTACCTTAATATCAACAGAATATGCTACCTCAGGTGGTACTGAATTTCCAGCTACAGAAGTTTGCTTTGTTTAAAGAAATAATGTCACTCAGGTGAGATATTTAGAGATAGAGAACACATATATCACATAGGGAACTGGAGGTGATTATCCCTACAATTATCTTGTAACTCTAAAATTTCATAATTCCATATCCACCATAGTAAACAACACAGTGTGTTACACATAAAAACAATAATTACAACAAACACTGACTGAATGCTAATGTTGAAAAACACTGTTGGTTGCTAACCAACATTCTTTCTTATTCTTCCCTGCTAGAAGAATCCAGTTTTGTTCGGCCATCTATCGTTCTCCCAGGTAATTCAGGGTGGTGTATCCTAGCTTGGGCGACATCTTTTACTTAATCTAAACTAATCCTGTACTCCACTGGTGTAGAGTTTTAACATCTGGCCCTGTTCTGGCCAAAGAGACATGAAATAAGGTGAGGGATGTCTAGGAAAGGTTTCCTTGCCCCTAAACAGGAGACCCAGAAATAGATACTCCTTCTTGATGTTGTCGTGCACAGATGTGATATCTAGAATGCTACTGCCATGATGCCGTCAGGAGAAAGACTGGTTTCAAAACTAAGCCAGCTGATCCATGATGACAACACTGAGGCAAGGAATTAAAGCTGGAGTCTTACTTCTTGACTTGTTGGTAAGTAATATGTCATTTTATTGTATATATTTTCATGTTGTTCATATTTTCCCACTGAAGCCATATTAACTGACACACTTACCACGTGCATAGGGTTTCCTCATTTAATCTTTACAGCAATTCCAGGAGCTAAGTACCAGGATGATGTCCATTTGATAGTCAATAAAAATAAAACTTAGAGAATGAAAATAAGTTGCTCGAAGTCACACATATACCAAGTGGCAAATTCTGGGGTGTCTGATTCCAAAACCCATGCTAATAACCTACACATTGTCCTTCCTATGATGCACTTTATTACCTGGCATTCAGCAAGCATTCCCACCCCTCACGGTCCCTCTGTATCACAGAGCTGGTTTCTCAAATTCCCCTATAGCTGAAGTTCTAAATTCAATTCAACTTCTGCCAATGAGATAAACTCATGTGGAACTTAAAAGCCAAAAGGGAAATAAAGGGCATCTACTTGTGGCTGCGAGGGCCGCAAAGGAAATCCCAGTAGACGTCAGTGTGCAATGAAGCCCACGTTCCAGTATTTTGTCCCAAACTTCCAAAGCATTTCAGAAGCATTTTGATTAATTATCTCTTGCTCTGTTTTCACGTTTCACTTCACAATATTTTGGGTACTCCAACAAATAACAAAAGCTAAGGCAGGTAAACCCATCAAAACGGCTTATATGCCTGCAGATTAAAAAACAACTATATAAAACACCAGACAGGCATTTACAAAACTTTTTGTATTAACAATTATGATGTTGGTACTAGTGTGCTTTATCTAAGCATGACTACTAAAGCAGTATTTAACATTTTTTAAGTGGTTATAGGTACTTAGTGAAATGTGAAAACAGCAACTAATTAACACACTAAAAAAGCCAATACAACAGAAGATGACAGTCACTCTTTAGATTTTTGGTATTTTCATACTGGCAATAAAGCATATTGGTCTTCCATTTAGATACTTTTATATATTATATAAGGATATGCATAATGATAGGAATGAATTACTGCTTGGCAAAAAAATGGCCACAGCAAAAGGGTCCACAAAAATTCACCTCTCCCTACAGGTCTCAGTTTAGGGTCCACTCCTTTTTTCTCCTTCCACTCCTTCCTATTTTCTTGATTGCTGAATTATAGAATTTACCGTGGAAATGACAAAGAGTGAAACACTAGATAGATGAGGTAAGAAGTGGTAGAAATTGATAAGAGCTAAACAAAGTGCCAGTTTACGGAGTTAATTGACAACTTAGCAAATGAAAATTTTGTGCTCTGTTGCTCAGAACAGAATTTTTCTTTATGAACAATTTTGATTGTAGAGCATGTGGTTATATATCTGACTTAAAAGACATCATTGGGAGTATTTCGAAATAGATCTTGAAACGAACCTCAATTGGCTCTTCACCACCTTTCACTTGACTTTCCCCTATTTCTCCATTCTCATAGTTGCTGCTCTTCTCCACCCATAGCTCAGACTTTTCTACTGTCAGTCGAAGCTGGTCTAGATCTGCCTTGATTTGCTTGTAGTTATCTACGTCTTGATTAGACACCAGTAATTGCACCTAAAACAGAAGAATTTCAATCTTAGTTGAAGTTCACTATTTCTAGAATATTTATGAATATTTTAGATGTATATTGACCATGAAAACCTACCTAGAAGTAAGTGTGAACACTTAACCAGTATTTTCACACATTATAATTTTTTTAAGTGAGCCCTAGCAAAACTTTTCAAAGTGATTTAAGATTAAAAGATACCCTAACTTTAATTTCACTGCTGAAGTTAATTTTTCTGAGACTCTGTTTGAAAAGAGGCAGAAACAAAAACAACTGGGAGAAAATATCAATAGATACAATCTAAACCTCATCATACAAGTTTTTATTTTCTTATAATTTACATGTATTATATGACATATACATATACGTATTTGATGTATAACTACCCTTTTATTTCATATTCTTTTAACATATTCCTGTAAAACTGCCTAAATGATCAATACCCTATTATGTTAAATAAATAGTGAAACATATGTAAGCACTTACGTATTACTAATTAATAATCTCAAGATTGATGTCTTATTCAAAGACCACAAAGAAAAAGATTAGATCCATAACAGTTCGTTTTTTTGGATTTATGCAGTTTTCAATCATAAAATAATTATTTCAGGGCTATTGGTGCTCCTACCCAAATTCATCAGTAAAATTTAAGGATAAAATAATAGCAGTGGTAACAAAATTCCTAACATGTTATTATCTCCCAGTGCCTTCCCAAATCTTGGTGCCTTTCATTTGTTTTAAAGACATTAACTAAAAAATCACTTGTGGGGAATACCTTCTAAATAGATCACGTCCTGGCATAGACAAGGCCATGTCTCTGTTTAAAAATAGAAAGTGTCTCCAGGAAAAGCCACACAGTGTCATTACCTCTGCAGCCATGAAGTCAGGTTGGATGTTATTAACACTTTCAGAGCTTTTGCTGTGGATGCATTGAGGGCTCTTCAATCTTACCTGCTTAAATGCCTGTAAAACCTCTGCCCTCTGGCTGAAGTGCTTAAACAACAGCTGCAGGGCTCCAGACAGCAAAGGCGGGTAGTCGTGCATGATCAGATGAATGAGGACCCGTAAAAACGTCCTGCCTCCTTCATCGTCAAGTTGAACTGGATTTTTTTCTTTTCTATAAAACCAAAAACATTTCTAAAGTGACTCCTATTTATATAACATCTACACTTCAGTATTAGAATTGTATACGTATTCTCAGAGGTATATCATTTGTTTTACCAAATTAGGAAGTGAACAGGAAAACATTTTCTTTGTTTTCCTCATGTAACTGATGAGGAAACAATCATAAAGAAAAGCTTGTGTCTGTCCATGAAAGCAGGGGTGATCAAACATCCCGGTTTATCCAAGACTCAGGGGTTCCTAGGGAAACTGGGATGAGTTGGTCACCTTGGCATAGACAAAAGATGGGCATCTGCATCAATCCAAAAGCATTTATGGGAGGAGCTGTGCTAGGCTGGATGTACACCGATGACTGATTTCCCCTGGGGCCCTACAGACCCCTACATGACAGATGGGGAGGAGTGGGGGAGGCCAGCGCACATGTGCGTGAACCAGCACCAGAGTGGCCACAGGTGTGGCGTATGAGGACTCTGGGTGAGGTTCCACTGGAACAAAAGGTCCATCTGTTTCAAGATGAAATCATATACTGGTTCATTTCTCCTAGGGAATAATGAAATTCTTCAATAGGAAAATACAACACCACAAACTAGTACTATAATATAAAAACTAAACTAAATGTTCACTAGAGATAAAAATCCTCTTTTTGTGCCCCTAATTCTTGATTCTTGTTTGTCTTTCCAATGACAACAACAAAAACTGCAATAAGATGCTTAGTGTAGTCGTCCCCACTACCCTACCCAACTCTATCTGTGGTTTTACTTTTTGTGGTTTCAGTTGCCCATGGTCAACCATGGTCCTAAAATATGAAATGGAAAACTTCAGAAATAAATAATTCACGAGTTCTAAATTTTGTGTCATCCTGCCTGTCCCATTTGGGACATGAATCATCCCTTTGCCAGCATCTCCACGCTGTACGTGTTCCCCCATCATTAGTCACTTAGTAGCCGTATCAGTCATCAGGTGACTGCTGCAGGGTCACAGAGCTTGTTCAGGTAACCCTTACTTTACTTAATAATGGCCCCAAAGTGCAAGAGTGGTGATGCTGGCATATTGTTATAATTGTTTTATTATTAGTTATGTTGTTAATCTCTTAGTATGCCTAATTTATATATTAAATTTTATCATACGCATGTATATATAGGAAAAAACACAGTGTATACAGGGTTTGGTACTAGCTGTGGTTTCAGGCATCCACTGGGGGTCTTGGAATGTAACCGTAGCAGATAAGGAAAGACTACTGTACAGACTGTTTTTAGGGTCTCATGTCAAGTCTGTAATATAAATGAGCACCAGAAGCTTAATAATTTGTAGCTTAAACATTTTAATTTTTCTTTTTGATCACTATTAACTTCATTTCTGAAGAACAAACAATATTAAAACAATAAACGGCAGGATTCCTGATGGCAAAGGAGGCTAGTCATGTCAAAGGTGTCTTGTTTTATTTAATCATGGGTATTTCCAATTGGCAGAAAATGGCTTTATTTCTTACATATAAAGTTAATGATAACATTAAAGAAGTTACTTTCTTGCCTCAAATATCTAAGATTCAGGGAAGCAATGTTTTACAAGACTCAGTGATATTTATACCAGGGGAGTTAAAGGGCATTCTTGGGCTGTCATTATTTGAGGAAAGAAAAGCAAAGAATTCAGAGGAAAGTTCAATACACTGATCTCATCTCTCTTGTCCTTTTTTTTACCTGACCTAAAGAAAAGCTATGCTTTCTCCTCCAGAGTAAATTAGCAGCTTCATTTCTGGCAGAAATTATGTTAGCAACAATAGAGGGTCTAAAAATAAATAGATATAGAGTGAACAATATCAAAGTATCAATAGAATTCTAAGTAAAATGTTATTCACAAGTAAGATAAAGATATATAAATGTTACTATACCTTCCCGCAAACATAGTTTCTGCCTGAGCTGCAATTTCATCTATATCAGGAACAATAGCTGCAAAGATAAATGGTAAAATCTCTTCTTTATCCTATTTTAATTAGGAGCCATAATAGTCATATTAATATCAATTGATGTGAAAATATTTTTGTCTTCATTTCTTTATTCGACCAAAAGTCAATTAACACTAATAATCTGATTTTAAAATGGGCAAAAGATCTGAATAGACATTTCTTAAAAGAAAACATACAAATGGCAAACAGGTTTATGAAAAGGTGCTCAACATCACTGATCATCAGAGAAATGCAAATCAAAACTACAATGAGATATCATCTCACCCCAGTTAAAATGACTTTTATCCAACAAACAGGCAATAATAAATGCTGGTGAGAATTTGGAGACAAGGGAACCCTCATACACTGTTGGTGGGAATGTAAATTAGTACAACTGCTATGGAGAACAGTTTCGAGGTTTCTCAAAAAAAAAAAAAAACTAAAAATTGAGCTACCATATGATCCAGTAATTCTACTTCTGGGTGTATATGAAAAAGAAAGGAAATTTGTATGTCAAAGAGATATCTGCATTTCCATTTTTATGGAGGCACTATTTACAATAGCTAAGATTTGGAATCAACCTAAGTGTCCATCAACAGACAAATGGATAAAGAAGTGTGGTACACAGACACAATGGAGTACTATTCAGCCATTAAAAAAAAGAATGAGATCCTGTCATCTGCAACAACATGGATGGAACTGGAGGTCATTATGTTAAATGAAATTAGCCAGGCACAGAAAGACAAACTTCTCATGTTCTCACTCATTTGTGGAAGCTAAAAATTAAAACAATTGAACTCATGGCGATAGACAGTAGAATAAGAGTTACCAGAGGCTGGGAAAGGTAGTGGGGTGGGCGGAGTGGGGATGATTAATGGTTACAAAAATATAGTATGACAGAATGAGTAAGATCTAGTATACAGAGTGACTATAGTCAATAATAATTTGTTGTACATTTTTTAATAACTAAATGACTATAATTGGATTATTTGTAACACAAAAGATAAATGCTTGAGGTGATGCATACCTCATTTATCCTGATATGATTATTACACATTGTATACCTGCATCAAAATACTCCATATACCCCACAAATATATACATCAACTATGTACCCACAAAAATTAAAAATTAAAAAAATTTAAGTCAATTAACAGTTTGAAAAAAATCACAATATAGTTCCACTAAGACATCAATGTAATTTTTTAATGTAAACTATGTTTTAAACTAATGTATTGCTGTAATCAAAAATATGTCTAAAAGATCAGAAAGCACCAGTTACAAAGGTGCCTCTTATCTAGAGAAGTGTGTGTGTATATATAGATCATATATACATACATATGCACATACTTACATATAATTTAAATGAGTGATAAATGGGAGGATAATTCTTTAAAGAATCAAAATATACATACAATTAGCCTTGTTATTATATGGTTATTTCCAAACACCATGGTCTTTTTACCTAAGCTTACTATTACTAAAATTCCGTCCCTTTTTCTTGTGGGAAAGGGCATTTTTTTTTCTACGTGAACCAATCATGATTCCTTACTGTCCCACACCACTAACATTTTGAAGATAACTTTACTAAGATAACATGGGGCTTTTTGTGTGTTTGTTTGTTATTGAAACAGGGTCTTGTTCTGTTGCCCAGGCTGGAGTGCAGTGGCACAACTTCAACTCACTGCAGCGTCGACCTTCCAGGCTCAAGCAATCCTCCTGCCTCAGCCTCCTGAGTAGCTGGGACCAAAGGCACGCGCCTCCACTACTGGCTAATTTTTTTGTATTTTTTTGTAGAGACAGGGTTTCGCCATGTTGCCCAGTCTGGTCTCAAACTCCTGGGCTCAACCAATCCGCCCCCTTCGGCCTCCCAAAGTGTTGGGATTACAGGCGTGAGCCACCATACCTGGCCAAGGTAACATGTTTAAATGATAAAATACACCACTTATTTCTCATCTCCAAAGCGTAAAAAGAAACACAGTAAGATATAAAAGTGGAAAAATAATTCTCCCCAGAAAGGTATCCCTTACTGGTACAAAAAAAGGAAAGAGATCAGGTAGAGAGAAAGGGTTTTCTGGGGTGCCCCTAGACTTTCCCTCTGGTACTTTACTGACACTTAAAACTCATGTTTCCAGAAGCCAGGCCTCTGGGAGTCAATAATTTTTATGCTACTGTCAATGCAACCGCCAGCAAGACTTCCTGGTTCTGCCATATCATTCCTGGAAATAGCCCTTTGGGGTTCTACACTTCTGAGAAGCAGAAAAACAACACCATTGCAAAGGTGCCAGAAGAGAAGTCTTGCTTAGACAAGCTCAAGTCCTTCTGCAGCGGCATGCTGCCTTTTGATGGGACTAATGATTCAGACAGCAGGACAGTTGGTCTAGTATCCATTTTAACTACATGCTTGTAATCACTGAATCATTCCTAACTGATTGATGGACGAAGAAGAGGGGAGAGTTCCTAATGTCACAGTGGTGGCAGTTAGAAGGAAGTTTCACATCTGTGTACAAATCCTATTCTCACGAAAAGAATTCCATTAGCCGGCTAAATCTTCAATAAGACATACTTTTCAGCCTATAATGACTTGGCCTGACCTGTCCAAAAAAAAAAATGGTAATTTAATATTTCTTAGTTTTTCTAAAGTTCTTTCAATAGTCACAAAATTTTTACAATCATAACTGTGCTCTTTTGTTATGCTCCAGTGCTCAGAGATAAATTAGCTTCATTTTTACACTTTTTAAATATGAAAATTGAAATATAGTTCCAGTTTATAACTATACAAAGTAAATTTTTTTAAAAAAAATCCACACACACAAAATGAGACCAACAACCACATTCAAGTCTTTGGGGAATGCCACGTCTTTATTCTGGATCAGGCAACGGCTTCTCTTCAAAACACCTATCCTTCTGATAACTACATTTCGCACTGCTCTTTGATCCAGGCAGAAAAACTTCTCTTGGATTTTCACCAAAACATCATGATGCTGAAAAGATTTGGACTCTCGAGCTGGAGAGACCTCAGAGAGAATCCTTGTGCCACTACTTTCAGGACCTTTGGCAAGTAACTTAACCTTTCTGACCTTGGTTTTCTCCTCTGTAAAATGGCACAGTAAACAGTATGTCCCAGTCCTGAAGATTACAAAGGAAAAGGCATTCATAGGAGTTAGCAACAAACGACAGCAAACACCCTCCACACCATTCTAGGAGAGTTATTTCACAATCTGTCTCAGTTCTTTGATGTCGTTAGTGGAGATTACATCTACATTTTTGTCTCGTAAAAATATGAGGAAACCATCATTCTCAGCAAACTAACACAGGAACAGAAAACCAAACACTGCATGTTCTCATTCATAAGTGGGAGTTCAACAATAAGAACACATGGACACAGGGAGGGGAACATCACACACCAGGGCCTGTCGGTGGGTGGCGGGCTAGGGGAGTGACAGCATTAGGAGAAATACCAAATGTAGATGACGGGTTGATGGGTGCAGCAAACCAACATGGCACGTGTATACCTATGTAACAAATCTGCACGTTCTGCACATGTATCCCAGAACTTAAAGTATAATAAAAAAATTTAAAAAGCACAAAAAATATAATTATGTTTTAAAATATGATAGGTACTTTCAAGTTCTCAGAAAAATAAAATAAAAAGAGTAAATACTGTCACAAAAAGATACCTGATGGTAGTAAAGTGTCTGGAGATCCACTGGCAGATGTCTCCGCATTGTCATTGTCCTCTCCAAACTCCTTCTTATATATTGACAGCATATATGAGATCCTATAATCCAGTCTGACACTCAGGATAAACTATAAGAAACATTAAGAACAACATAAATTTCTTTCATTAGCATAGTATTTAAAAATGCAATTCACAACACACCAATAACAGTGGAAGTACCAACCTTTCAAAGGAACTAGTTAGAAGCTTTTAACACCAGTTGCCACATGTTTGTCAGCAATGACTAAGCAAGGGAATTCATTTCTACTAGCTAATGTCAGTAAAATCCCAAAGCAATTTTTGGAAAGAACATTTGACTCCCTATGACTGCTCTCTGAATATTCCAGCTAGAGGCATCGTGGGGGTCTGGATGAAGAGGTAATGATGACGTCATTTTACTGAACATTTTACAGAGTGCCATTGTCTCTGGGAGGAGACTGTTGGAGGTGTGACCCTCATTCTTACACAGTAGGGCAATAATTCAGCTACAATAGTATGACTGTGACTATACCATGATCAGTCCTAAAGCCAGGTTCTAAAAGGACAGTTTAAGTAACAGCATCTATACACCATGGATTTTCCTCACTGGTGTTTGTGTTTCCTTGAGTTTGGGTTGCTGTCATTGTTCTCATTCATGGATGCACGGACAGAAACTAAGTACCTAGCAAGGCTCCAGACTGTGCTAGGTGCCACAGGGAATGCAAACACGTGAAGCCTACTGCCCTCAAAAAGCCAATAGTCGAGTTGGGAAAAAAATATAGCACTGTTAGCATAATTAGGAAACTATTGAGAGCTAAATCATGTGGTCTAAATACAACAGAAATCAAAGAAGAAAAAGCTGGGATGTGCTGCAGATCAAAGGAGAGGTTTTTACATAGGTACCATCTGTCCCTGTCTGCCTGAGAGAGGCCCTGTTTAACCTTTTGTTTCAGCATAATTATTAATGGTGCCCCTACATTCTCAAAAGTGTCGTATTTGGACAGTAAACAATGTGGTCACCCAAGTTTTAGGAAGATTGGCATTTCATGGTATCATCTAACTTCATCTCTATCTATACCACCTGTGTCCCATCCCTCCCTCCTCCTACGCCCCTTCTCTCATCCTCTCTCCGGTTCTAACAGCACTGGAGTGCCTGCACTTCCGCTCTTGCCTCCGCACAGGTGCTCACAGTGTCCACTTTACTTTGAATATTCTCCTCCACTTCATAATAATTACATTTTAAGATATCCTCTCTCAGGGGCAGTGGCTCATGGCTGTAATCCCAGCACTTTGGGAGGCTGAGACAAAGGGATCGCTTGACCTCACGAATTCAAGACCAGCCTGGGCAACATGGCGAAGTCCCATCTCTACAAAAACACAACAAATTAGCCAGGCATGGTGGTGCGTGCCTGTAATCCCAGCTACCATGGATGCTGAGGTGGGAGAACATTTGAACCCACGACCTCAAGGCTGCAGTGAGCCAAGACTGTGCCACTGCATTTCTGCCTGGGTGACACAGCAAGACCCTGTCTCAAAAAAAAAAAAAATCCTCCAAGTTCCAGTTTAAATTCTTTTTTAACGCAGCTTTCACTGGTTCCCCAGTCACAATCTGAATCAATCTCCCTCCTTTCCTCCCTCCCTCCCTTTCTCTGTCCTCGTCTGTCTCAGTCTCTCTCTTTCTCTTTCTCTTTTTCTCTCTCTCTCTCTCTCCTCCCCCGACCCACCCAGCCTTTGCTAGACTTTTATGCTTTTTATGGACACATCCTCCATGTCAGCTGTACTCAGCTGGTTAATTCACCAGACATGCGTTAAACAAGGCATTGAGGAAGGCACTAAGGGCATAAAAAGGTGCCAAGGATCTCAATCCTGCCTTTGAAGAACTTACAGTCTAGAGGGGAAAACAAACACCAGAGACTCTTAAGAACGTGTGGTGAGGGCTGGAACACATATTGATTGAACTGATTCTTGGTAGCAAAGGGATTTGCAGGGCAGGAGACAGCTCATGGGAAAAGAGGACTGAGAAAGGGCATGGGATTTGGTAACCATGAGCAGAAGGCAGGGGGCAGAGCTGGACTGCAGATGCTTCACATGGAAGGGTGTTTAAAATCCTATTTTTTAAAGTAAAGGATAAATCATAAACAAATGAAACTAACTTTCAGTTGACAATGTTTACATGCAGCATTGTATTCCATAAATACAATCAAAATTAAAACTTTCATTTCTCTAATACGCCTAATCAGGAAAAACAAGTGGAAAGTAGAAAGAAAGGAGGAAAGGGAAGGATAAAAACAAAGGCAGAGAAAAAGAATTAAGAGAGGGCCAGGAAGAGAGAGAGAGAATGAGAGAGAAATGAAAAGAGAGAGGCTGAGAGAGATACACAAAGTGATGGGGGGGAAAAAAAAAAAGAAGACCCAGGGGGAAGAGAGGAGCTGGCACAAGGCACAGGACCTTGAAGTCCTTGTAGCACCAAGGAGTAGGGCTACAAAGAAATTCCTGAAGAGCCATTCCAAGAAAGACACATTCAGAAACAGTACTCAGACACATACGCACGGTGGAGCCGGCCCAGACACAGGGATAGAAAATCAGAGTGAATAGCGGTTCAAGGAGACGCTGCAGAAATGAATCAGCCCCGGACTGCTGAGCCGTAGAAGCTCCATCTCATCCTTTTTTAGCTGTTGGAGATTGTTTTTCTAATGCTTTTTTTCTGTAAATGTGGGCTAAAATGAGGTCACGTATTTTAGAGTTTGTCCCATGAGTCAGGTGATGGTAAGCTGGGGATCAGTAGGTCCATGGGTCAGGTGATCGCTATCTTTCTCAGTTTAAGAACAGGAAAACTTTAAACGATTTTTCAGGGTCATGAACACAGCATTGGGAGGCCTGCCAATATTTCTCAGGATTCAGCCTTTGGAATTCCTAGAGGAACTGTGAAACCTTTTATGATTATAAATCTAATTACTTTAAATGAACAATGTACAGACCCTTAAAGGACTACTAACCCACTTCTGGTAGCTCAGTCTATATTAAATTATGATGAAAGACACAGTAAACTGTACCTAGATTCCTAATAGGTACTTGAAAACTTCAAACTCCATTCTCCAAATCTGGAATAAATGCTATAATTAAGGTATCACAAAAGGTATTTTCAAACTTAAAAACTGCTAAGAATTTATAGCTCTCGTAATGGGAAGTCTATTCACTAAACCAATGGGCATGAAATAATAATTTATCTCCTTTAAATTCTTAAAATTAGGCATTAGACTAGGTTATTTTTTCTAGTTATTCCTTTGTCCTTTAGAAACAAAAACAGAGAGGGATTGTCACATATAAAATACCAAAACCAATGATTAATAATTTTTGTTAATAAGAAATAAAATTTTATTTGTCTTTCTTGCTAAAACAATAAATCTAGATATATGGAATCACATGTTCAATTCAATTAAAAATAGGAAAAGAGCTGGAAACTAATCAATAACTTTGCTTGCTCTGAAATCCTTCTCAAATGAAGGTAAAGTTCCATCAGGGACAATACTAATTTTTTTTAATACACATGAAAGCAGTTTATCAACCTCAAAGCACCCCACAATTGTTAGATATGATCATTAGTATATTTAATGGGAATGGACAAATGTGATTCATATGTTAAATAGCGTCTGTGTGATATTTTTTACCAGGTTTGTCATTAACTTAAAAAAATAAAATTATATTGATAGCATTTCAGAATATTTACACAGTGATTTGGAACAAAAAGGGTAAGAAGTTAAATCAATAAGCAAAATTACATCTTTGTCACCTAGCTTCTGTTAGGCAACACACCTGCAAAATCTCAATGATCTTCAGCTTGGTGTCCATCACAGTCACATCCTCGTGCTCGGTGGGGCTCCCTTGCTTGCTCGGGTGGATGCTGGGTGGCACATCCGGCACGCTCATGGGGAAGATGGAGCCTCTACTGAGTACCATCTGGGTCATCATCTCTCCCACCCCATGAATGGTTCTCATCACATTGTTTCCTGGCATGAGAAAATGCCGTAAGTCAACACACACAACCCCTGGAGATCATGTAACTATAAAACTCAGTTAGTCACAACCACACTGAAAAGCAGCCAGGAAAAGGATTCAGGATAAGACAGAATAGCATAAGCATTGTTTGGGCTCTTTCTTTACAGATAAAATTAAGATATTGCAGACATGTTTCAAAATGACAACTTTTAAAAATGGAAATTTTCCTTTTTCAGAAAATGCTTTCAAATCATGTAACAAAGGTGAGCAGGTTGCTCTAACATCCAAATCAGGTCCTTCTGTAACACAGTATGTCCTACTAACTGTCATACCAATAGGCCCTTGCTTTTACAATAATGCAAAAGAAGATTACTAATCGCCAAGATAAAGTGAGTTGCAAGTGGGGATACAAAGACTGCCTAAAAACATTTAGATATTGAATTCCAGCATCATAATCTGATCCTCAAACCAGGGATTTTTTAGCTTTCCTTTCATAACACTTATAAAAAGAGCTTGTGAGGAGGACTGTTACCTTTATTTTAAGAAAAAATAGTCTCATCTGGGGAAGACATATGCATTAGCCAATACACTTCCCATTCCTTCATCCAATTTGAATAGAAAACCATTACTCAAAATCCACAGAAAGCAATAATGTTTGAGGTGATTATGGAAACAAGCTAGTGACAAACATGATCATTTTCAATGAGGGAGGGATCACGCTCTTTCCGTCTCTTTCTGAATTTGGCTTCTCCTTTATTTGCTGATAAAATGTCATCATTCGTATCATGCACACGTTCCTTACACTGACCACAAATAGCTGTATCCAAGGATCCTCCTTAACACTATGACAATTTATGTTCTCCAGCCTGAATGCTGCTTCTCACTTCTAAGTTCCCACAGGAAGCAATAAGGATGCAAAAGAATGGCTGTCTCCATTCCTTTCCAAACAGTGGTCTTTGCTTCGTGGGTGTTCATGGAGCTCTGCCTTAAGCAAAGGCCTAAGAATCTGGCTAAGAATTTTCCTTTCCCTCAGTGTCTCAGGGCGTAAACCAAGAGAAAGAGAAATGGAAATAAGATGGGATGAGATTTTTATTAAAAAAAAAAAAACTCTGAGCTCTAAGAGAAGAATGTAAACCATGGTAATACCTACAGGATCGAAAGGCAAACAAATAAAAAGAAAATATGTAAAAGATGACAAGAGAATCTGAATGGTCCAGACCACAATTACCATTAAGCCACTGGTAAAGACTATTATCTGTACATTGTGAAAAGGTAAAATGCCTTTGAAAATTCATTATCTTATCTGTATATGGAATCAATTTAAGTGTAAGAGGGTAGTGCTTCAGTAATACATCTTAGAGTACACAAAGAAGTTACATTTTTCCTAAAGTGGCATAGTCCAGGCAGAAGTTTTCATTTTGAAGGTCTGAGACCTTTTATTACACTGCTACTTGCATAAGCCAAAAAACACGACAAAATGTATATATAAGTGTAATTTCCAAGTTCGGACAAAATTGAGGCAAAAGGATTTGAGCCAGCCCCTCTTTTCTATCAGAATAGCCTTGAGGCAGAATGCTTCATTGTCTGTGGTTCTCAAACAATCATAGCAATTGAGTATTTCAACATCCCTCCCCCTGCTTGCTACATGGACTGCAGGGAGGCACATCTGGTTGTTGGCAATGATTTTGAGCCATCGATATTTAACCACTACCTTTATCTGAGACTTGATTCAAGTATGTATACGTGTTTGCCTCCAAGAGATGCTTTCTCACTACTAATACAGAACAGGCTCCTTTGTTATTCTTACCCCTGATTCACACACAAATCCTTGGCACCCACAGTGTCTGCATCTTATTTAGATTTGCATGGAAAATAATCCTTTAATCCAAATGATTACTACACAGAAAGTTAGCCCAGACAATTCTTTCCCCCAAATATAGATCCTGTCACCAAGGAATTAAAATCCAGAGGCCAGATCCATAGTAATTTGTAACACATGTCGTCAATGAAATGGGAGGGTTCACTCAGTCATACCACATTCTCAGATGCCTGTGGCACGTGGTCGCCACAAACCTCACTTGACATTTCCATGTATGGCCAGCTCAGAGGCCTCAAATTAAAAATGCTACATTTTCTGGATTTGGTTGGTGGTGATGAGAAGTGCTAAAATTGTGAACCATTACAGCTTGAAAAACATGAAGTCAGACACTGCATAAATCACAGCCATGCAAAGCTTCTAATATCCATTCCTCCAGAGAAAAACTTCTAATTCTAAACTGTTGAGATAAATCAGAGGTGATTAATCCTCAACATTGCAAAAAAAGAAATTGTACTACTTCTCAACCATAATTAGTTAATATTGACTGGAAAGTTTTCAGTGAAAAAGCCTACTATAATATAAATTCTCTGAACAACCTAATGCTTACAAATTCAGCTTTTCTGTGTCTTTTATATAAACCCAGCAGCCAGAATTGGCATTTGTGTACAAAGTGTAATGAGATAATTTGAAAATATGGAAGTCATCTTTGCTAAGTACAAAGTAAGAAGGAAGGAAACGCCAGGCACGGTGGCTCATGCCTGTAATCCTAGCACTTTGGGAGGCCAAGGCGGGTGGATCACTTGAGGCCAGGAGATGAGACCAGCCTGATCAACATGGTGAAACCCTGTCTCTGTTAAAAATACAAAAACTAGCCGGGCGTGCTTGTGGGCACTGGTAATTTCAGCTACTCGGGAGGCTGAGGCAGGAGTATTGCTTGAAGCTGGAAGGCAGAGGTACTAGTGAGTTGAGACTGCACCACCGCACTCCAGCCCAGGCAACAGAGCAAGACTTCATCTCAAAAAAAAAAAAAAAAAAAAAAAAAGGAAGGGACTGCTTAGAAAGAATGACGGGTCAACTTTTCAGGTTCTTTCATTATATGATTACATAGATATTTTTAGTAACCTTAATTCCCTCAAGAAAAAAAATCTAAAAGACAGGTATAGCAAATGCATACTGAGAGCGGTAACTGGGAATGCTTGGGGAATACATTGCTTTGTTCTTTGATTGTTCCAGTGAGCCAAGCTCCTACTGCCCATTTCAGGAAAGTGAAAAGCAATAAGGAATTAACCAACCTAACACTACAGCTGTGCTGACCATAATTTAATTTTGCCCTATTCAGAAATAATTTTACTGTGGTGATCACACTATTGGGTTCAACAACCACTAGCAGCTACATGAATTTATAGCAGGTGTAAGAGATTTAACAGAATATTGATTGAAATTTACTTAAGTCTGCTGGTATTTATTTTATTTAAAGTTATATTTATTCTCTCTTTTTATTAGAAATGCTTTTCTCTTATGAACACATAAGAAAATGATAATTTGAATTTTCTTGTTGTTTAGATATCAGACATTTCTGAAACATTCTCAGCATTTATAAGAGATAACAGACACATTTGATTCTAAGAGTTTTGTGAATAATTGTTCACAGTCATTTAATTGTTCTATGACTACTAAAATCAGCTCAATGTTTTATCATAATAGAGGCCAAAAATGGATAATCCAAAAACTATTATTTTCCCTGAAACATATTTTTAATAGTTGGATTTGAATAAATGCATCTGCTGTTATAATAACTCATCTGAAACCGAATGATGTTCAACCATGAAGACATGATTCTGGAAGTCTTCCTATTTCCCATCCCAGCTTAGCAGCTCCTTATAAACCTGCCCTTGCTGGAAAATATCTTTACTTTCTAGAACTAGAGCAGTTTTCTATTTCAAACATTCCCTGGAGCAGTACTTCCTCCCAGTGGCTGAGGGTCTGGGTTATAAAAGGACTTTTCTGTATGCAAAGAAAACAAAAACATTAGCATAAGATCAAAGCCTTAATTAAGCTAGTAACCACAGAGCAGTAGGTAATATGGTAGCAACCTGGGTTAAGGGGAAGATCAAGATTAAACAGCCAGAGAAAGCAATTTTATCTAACCAGCAGTCCCAATTCCAAGTAAGATCACAGTATTTTGGAAAGCTGGATAGCTAGTTCTACGTAGTACATACATGCATGGTTTTTATTCCATGTGCCGAACCTACAGGGAACTTGCTATAACTTTGCCTTGTGTTCTTGTGTCCAGACGGTCACACAACTTGCTCCCTCACTCCTTTCTGATTTGTGGTGCAATGTCACCTCCATAGGTAGACCTCTTCTGGCCACCCTCTCTGAAGAACTTCCATCACTCTCAATCCATGCACCCCCTTTAAATTTCGGTCATGGCATTAACACTGTCTCATATCATATCATATATTTGTCTGTGTGTTTATTGCAGTCCCCCTCTCCAACAACATAAAACACGAGTTCCATGAGGACAGGGAGTCTACCTTTTTCTAACACCTGGAATAGTGTCCGATGCCCAACTCTTATTTAATAAATGTTTGTCAAAGTAACGCATGAATAACAAAGATTGGATAACAAAATGAACTATTAAAAATGAGAATGACTTATTGTAATAAGGTTTATATAAAAAGTTGGGTCTCATTAAAGGTACTTCATCTTTCATCAAGTTGAGTTTTTGCTTACTTTCCTTTATACTTCTCCCTTTTTTCAAAAAGCATACATAATTTCACATTACTTAAAAATTTATTAAAAGGAAAAAATTAATAAAATAGATACCAATGAGATAAGGGAAAATAATGAAACCTGTCTTTATCAGGGGCTTATCATATTGTGTGTACCTTGCTAGACCACAGGCCACATATACCCTTCACCTCATTGGATCCTCACAGCACGGTGGGGGTTGGGAGACGAATTCCAGTTTACATAGCTAGGAAGTGGCAGAGTCTCAAGTACACATCAACTGATCTCAGCATGAATCATGTTTTCCCACACCAGGTTGGTTCACTAACAGACTTTACAAAGTTCCAAAATTTTTATACTAGAATTCAGAAAGCCCTAATGCAATTACAGAAGAAAAGATTCCAATTAAAACTGTGTACTGAAAATGTAGAATTTCCATTAATCATATGATAAATTTGCTCACATTATTCTGAAGTGATCTTACCCAACCAGCTTTTATTACATATCATGTGCCACATACTACCAGTGGTATTTTGCTTATATTATACAATTTAATTTTAGAAGCAGCCCTTGTTCAGAAAGTATTCATAAAGTACCTAATGTTCATCTGGCTCTATACCAGGGACATCTCAGGTGGGAAGATATAAGAAAGGAAGAAGAATTTACAATATGGTCAGGAAAACATAAAATGTGCCCATAAAAAAATTAAGAACAAGTACAAGACAGATATGATGGTAGTAGTATAGCATGGACAGCACACAAAATTGCTTAGGAATTTTTTTTAACTGGGAAATTATCTTAGAGTGAGGGCAGTGAAAGACAGTTTCACAAAGGATATACAATTTTTAACGAGGTTTTGAACGAAGTGAAAGATTTAGATTACAGAAGTGTGATATTTGTCAAATCATGTCATCATCCTATGTTCAAAATCTTAATCCTATAAAATAGGTTGGGCCTTCTTGTAAGAATAAAATTATATAATATGTGCAAAAAAAGCCATGAACAATAAAAAAGTACCATATAATTGTAAGGTATTATTTCAAAAATGAAAAGTAGAGGACATCTGCATGCTTTCGCTACACCTCTGAAAAACAACTCTTCTCCATTTAATTATGTTCCATTATAGTGGTCACCACCTTACTAATGAATATGTGGTTTCATCATATAATTATAGTTCATAATGTCTTATAATACGGCATGATCAAAACACAATATTGACTCTAAATGGAGATGTCCTTCAGAAGAGTGTTTAATAAAGAATACTTAATGGAAGAAGCAGATAATATGATACCTAATTTTCTTCATTCTAAATAAAACACCACTGAATACAGTGTATTAATAGACTGCTTACAGATTCCAACTTTACAAGGGCTTAGAAATAGAACAAAACAAAAACCAACCAAAAGCATGTAACCAAAGTGTAGTAATGTTATTATCCATCTTTTATTGAATATCAAGTAGACTACTTAGAAGAAAACTGTTTTACATCCCACACACTAAAGAAGTGTTATTCAAAGGATTAACTGAAAAAGCAATTCATATAAAATAGTGGCTGTGTTCTGCATCTTATTTTGGATTTCATCACTGTCAAATATTGACAAAGTCATTTCAATATTCCAAATCTCAAGATTTCAATTTGCAAAACTGATCTTCAATGATTAATAGTTGGTAATGGAAGTAATAAATGAATGTACATGCTGTTTTCATAAGTGAAATGTAATTTACTTACAGTGAAATGCACTGATCATAAATGAAAGGTTTGAGCAGTTCTCATAAAGGCATATACCATACGAACCACATGCAAACCAGTTACTGAAAATTTCCATCACCCTAGAAAGCTCTCTTGTGCCCTTTCACAGTCAATTCCCCCCAAATTTCTCCCCAGCCCCACGACCAAAGGCAACGATGCTCTTGATTTCTCACACCACAGACACATGTATTGGCTAATGTAGAGTTTCATAGGTATGAGTTTGGTTAAGTGATTATGCCAAAGAATACTGGGTAACTGATCAATGTTAAAGCACAGAAGGGCCTTTAGTTCTTTGCTGCTTTGTTCTTGCCTTGACTAGATCAGTATTTTCGTCATTGACTTGGGTGAAGTCAGAGATAGCATGTTTCTCAAATGCAAAGATAACATGAAACAAGGGAGGATGGCTAATATAGTGAATGACTCTACCAAATTCCAAAACTACACAAATAGGAAGAAAATAACAGGTTAAATCCAACATGGTAAATTCAAAATATAAAAGGTGCTACATGCTTAGGGCCAAAGAAAACCAACTCAAGTACATGATGTGGGAAAATGTGATGTAAAAGAAAACAAATTAGAATTTTAGTTGAGTTCAAGTTTAGTAGGAATCAATACTATGTCATTGTTAACAAAACACTCATTTTCACCTAGGCTACATTATAAAAGGGTTCAGAATGAGGCGAATGTAGCCATCTTTGCTTCTGTGCCAGTCAAATCAGTGATAAATTAGATTGAGTCATAAGAGGAACTGCTACAGGAATTGCATAGGACTATACAGAGAGGAGGGGGGACGCAGGTGATGTGCTAGCCATTTTCAAGCACAGAAAGACCTGACATGTGGAAGGGATGTTGTATTTCTGTGCAGCTCAACAAGCAACAGAAGTAAGGCTGCTTGCTGGAAGTGAGAGGGAAGTCTACATATAGGATAACCAAACAAAAAAGACCTAATAATTAGAGCTATGAAAAATAAGAAAGGCCTACCCTTTGCGGAAGTAAAATCTTGGTCACTCTAGGTGTTCAAGGAGATCCTATGTGACCATTTGTAATGGGTGTTGCATGAAGATATGAAGCTCATATATTATATAGATAATTTATATGGTTCCTTTCTATGCCAGCATTCTTTTTTTTTTAAATTATACTTTAAGTTTTAGGGTACATGTGCACAACGTGCTGGTTAGTTACATATGTATACATGTGCCATGTTGGTGTGCTGCACCCAGTAACTCGTCATTTAACATTAGGTATATCTCCTGATGCTATCCCTCCCCGCTCCCCCCACCCCACGACAGTCCCCAGAGTGTGATGTTCCCCTTCCTGTGTCCATGTGTTCTCATTGTTCAATTCCCACCTATGAGTGAGAATATGCGGTGTTTGGTTTTTTGTCCTTGTGATAGTTTGCTGAGAATGATGGTTTCCAGCTTCATCCATGTCCCTACAAAGGACATGAACTCATCATTTTTTATGGCTGCATAGTATTCCATGGTGTATATGTGCCACATTTTCTTAATCCAGTCTATCGTTGTTGGACATTTGGGTTGGTTCCAAGTCTTTGCTACTGTGAATAGTGCCACAATAAACATACATGTGCATGTGTCTTTAAAGCAGCATGATTTATAATCCTTTGGGTATATACCCAGTAATGGGATTGCTGAGTCAAATGGGTCTATGCCAGCATTCGATAAGTTTGTGTTGGGTTCTAACAATAAGCCTTATCATAGGTCACCAGAGATTGTGAGAACTGGGGAGCCTATGCAAGTGTATTAACACTTGAAGACATCAGATGCTGAGGCTCAAGCAATATTTATAACTACAGAAAAATAACTGTAGTAGACAGCTTAGAACAACATGACCCTCTTCAGTCATTCTCATTATTTGTAAAGTCATTCTTAGGGATTGATCCTGCCCTATTAACTCAGTTAGGCAATGTGAGTAGAAAAACAATCAGCAAACCACCATGGCACATGTTTACCTATGTAACAAACCGCTACGTCCTAAACATTTATCCCAGAACTTAAAAAAAAATTTAATTAAAAAAAAACATATACTT
This sequence comes from Homo sapiens, assembly GCF_000001405.40. Lineage (NCBI taxonomy): Eukaryota > Metazoa > Chordata > Mammalia > Primates > Hominidae > Homo > Homo sapiens. The sequence continues at coordinate 26,640,398 of NC_000012.12, forward strand.
AGAATGTTACAATCTAGTAATATTGTTTTGATTCAAACATATTTGTATAAAGCATATAATTTACATATATTAAATTCATTTCACTCAATAAATATTTTTGAAAACCTATTAGGTATATAGTAATATATTAGACATGGTACAAGTCCCCCATAGAACCAGAAATAGAATCTATTTTGATAATTTTCCCCCCAGTATGATACTCTCAGTCAATAAATCTGAATCTCTGTTATTGAATCATCTATGTAGTAACTCTAAGAACCATAGAGTCTTCTATAAGTCTATTGGAAAAGACAACCTTATGAAAAATAATCATAAAATTAAGAAAGACACAAGTATATATTTGAAATATTAGGGTCTCTAAATATTTTTTGTGCTTCAAATGCATAAATGCTTTATAAGGCATGTCACACACATTCATCCTAACGACAGTGAGATATGAAAGTATATCTGAGATACTCATATGAGTAGCTCACAGAAAGGTGTCGAAGGAGATACAATTGCTTAGTATTACTGGGGAAACAGCAGGAGACAGAGCTGGAGATGTCTAACTCAGATTATGAAGACCCTTGGGCACCAATTTAAAGAGCTGAGTTATTATTCTCTGGAGATGATGAGAGCTAAATAAAGAAGTAGAGTATGTGATTTAGAAAGATCCTTACGTTGGAATGTGGAGAAAGAGTCAAAACACAGAGTCAGAGAGAACAATCAAATTTATTTCAGGAAAGGAAGAGGAATACTTAGCTTCAAGAGATCTTTAGCTGGTAAAACTTTTAAGACTTGCAATTGAAACTTTTCTGAGACAAGCCAAACAACCATTCACAAAGGAGTGATTCTTTGTTTAAAAAAAAAAAAAATCTCTCTTTAATATGACCTGAAAAATAACTTCCAGCCAAATCAAAACTCTTTCGTAGATATGTACTACATTGTGCTGAACTTTCTTGGGAAACTTGGAAAAAGTAGAAAAGAGTCTTTGCACATGAGGAAGTCAACTGTGTATAAAGAAAGCAATAAAATAATAATAGAAAGAATATCAACTGTAAAGCTGTAGGTTTTTTTTTTAAAGAAGAGAGAAAAAGAAAAAGAAAAGAAACCTGAATTCAAAATTTCCAGCAAGCTACATACAAGCTGTATGATCTTAGGCAAAGTATATAAGCTGTTGAAAAGCTTATTTCCTGGACACAATCAGGACCATAATATCCGACACGCTGGACTGCAATAAGGATTAACAATAAAAATATGCAAAAGACCTAGAGGTGTGCTAGGTATTCTATATAAGTAATAGATACCTTTACATAGAAATCCCTTGCCTGATGTGTAGCCTGGCATCCGTTACATAGTTATTCTCCCCCTACTTTACTATGTGCATTTGATTTTTAAAAGGAACATGATCTAGTGTAGAGCATGTGTTTGACACCCTCTTGACACAGAGAAAAGCTGGGAGGTGGAATGAGGAGAGTCCTTTTAGGCACCGTTGACAACTAAAAGAAAGTCCAATAGTCATACAGATACTTTTTATAAAACTTATAAAAGCTTAGAAGGAAAAAACAAACAAACAAACAGAAAAGTAAAAGACATTACACATTAAGCCAGAAAGGGCTTAGAGGCACAGCCAGCATAGCACAAAGCTGGTGAGAGAACCAGCCTCAGGACTTCAAAATGGCACAGAAAAATCTTTCTCAGCTCCTGAGGAACAGCATCCTGCAAAAGGCTTGCTGCCTAGAGCAGGTTTCTGATGCCAGTGATTCTGGGGCACCTGGAAATAGGAAGCTTCTAGCCATTGTTTTCATGTCTAGAATTTTATTACATGTTTAAATGTTATAATTTATTTTTATTTTTCTCCATAATCTCTATTTCCTATGACACCTGCTATGACTTGAATGTGTCCCCCAAAGCTCACATGTTGGAAACTAGATCTCCAATGTTGTGAAGTTGGGAGGTGGGACCTTTAAAGGGTATTGAAGTCATGAGAGCACCACCCTTATGAATGGATTAATGGCATTATCCCAGGAGTGGGTTTTTTGTGAAAGAATAAGTTTAGCGCTATCTTGCTCTCTCACACTCTTGCTTTCTCTTTGCCCTCCCACTAAGAGATGACACAGCAAGGAGATCTTTGCCAGATGCTGGCCTCTCAACCCTTGGCTTCCCAGCCTCCGGAGCTGTGAGCAATAAATTTCTGTTCCTTATACATTACCCAGTCTCAGGCATTCTGCAAAAGATATTACTCATTAATCCAGAAAGGACTTAGAGGTGCAGCCAGCATAGCACAAAGCTGACAAGAGAACCAGACTCAGAACATGACAATGGCACAGAAATGTTCCTCAGCATCTGAAAAACAGCATTCCAAAAAAGGCCTGCTGTGCAAAATGGACCAAGACAAGATCTTAGTCTTGACCCAAAATGTTTCCAATCAGGGCATTTTCTAGGAAGATAATTGTGGTGGATGCTGTGATGCTCCTGCCCAGATTCCCTTTCAGAAGTGAAGGTCTACTCCCCAAGCTGCTGGAGTGCTACTCAGAAGACAGCACTCAACTGCCAGCCCCTGTGTTTGTGTCCCCCCGAAATTCATGCATTGAGATACTCTCTCCCAAGGTGATGGTGTTAGAAGTAGAACCTTTGGGAGGTGATTAGGTCATGGAGGAGGAGTCCTCATGAATGGGACCAGGGCTCTTTCGAAAGATGCCCAAGAAAAATTCCCCTTGCCCCTTTCCCCAAGTCAGGACACAGTAAGAAGGTGCCATCTGTGATCCAAAAAGCAGACCCCCACTGGACACCAAATCTGCAGGCACCATAATCCTGGACTTCCCAGCCTCCAGAACTGTGAGAAATAAATGTTTGTTGTTTTGAAGCTACCTAGTTTATGGTATTTTTGTTGCTGTTGTTATAGCAGTCCAAATAGTCTAAGACAGAAAATTGTCTTACGAAGAAGTGGGATGCTGCTATAACAAATATCTAAAATGTAGAAGTGCTTTGAAACTGGGTAGTGGGTAGAGGCTGGAAGAGTTTTCATGTGCATCCAAGAAAAAGCCAACATTGCCATAAACAGATCCTTAAGGATGATTCTGTGAAGTCTCAGAGGAGAGGAGGAGAGCTACAGAGAAAGCATGTAGCTCTAATACTTTTTGAATTCTCTAAGAGTATTCTTAAAGACTTCATAGAAGGTCACAAACAGAACATTGGTAGAAATATGGATGGTAAAGGTCATTCAGAGGAGGTATCAGATAGAAATGAGGAACATCTTACTGGAAACTACAGAAGAGCCATCATTGTATAAAGTAGCAATAAACTTGGCTGAGTTGTATTCATGCCCTACTGATTTATGGAAGGTAGAACTTGCCAGAGATGAAATTGAATATTTGGGTGAAAAATATGTAAGCAAAGTGTTGACAGAACGTCTGGTTCCTCCTGACTGCTTACAGTAAAATATGAGAAAAGAGAAATGCCTTAAAGATGGAATTGCTAATTAAAAAGGAAACGGAACTTGAATTTTTGGAAAATCCTCAGCCTATCCATATTGAAAAACATGAAAAAGTCTGTTTGGAAGTGTGGCCAAGTGACCATTCGTAAAGAGTTTACTAGGGATCAGGCATCTCAAGGGAAGCCAGATGCTATTTATCATGACAATGGGGAGATGAATTAGCCACCTAAAGAGAAGCCAGGACCTACTGTCCAAAACAATGGAAGAATGACCCCAGCAGATTTAGGAGATTATCAGGGATGCCCCTCCCATCACAGGCCCAGAATATAAGGAGCTAGCGGCCAAAAAGATTTCAAAGGAGGGGGTGCCACCTCACATCATGAGCTTCACTTTCCCATACCCTGTGACTGGGCTCCTAGGCTGCCCCAGGTATGGCTCCAGTGGACCCCATTACAGCATGCACTGTGTCCAGCAAAGCTGTGGGGGAGTTGAGTGGGGAGGAGCTGCTGCCTCCACCTGGATTTCAAAGGATGCCCTGGTGAGCTGTGGGGCCCAGGCAATAGAAAGCACCATCTATCAACCAGAAGCAGGCTCTCACCAGACACTGAATCTGCTGGCACCATTATATTAGTCTATTCTCACACTGCTAATAAAGACACACCCGATACTCGGTAACTTATAAAGGAAAGAGGTTTAATTGACTCACAATTCCACATGGCTGGGGAGGCCTCACAATCATGGCTGAAGGCAAAGGAGGGGCAAAGTCATATCTTACATGGCAGCAGGCAAAGAGCATGTGCAAGGGAACTCCCCTTTATAAAACCATCAGATCTCATGAGACTTACTCACTAACACAAGAACAGCACAGGAAGAAACTGCCCCCATGATTCAATTCCCTCCCACCAGGCCCCTCCCATGACACGTGGGAATTATGGGAGCTACAATTCAAGATGAGATTCAGGTGAGGACACAGCCAAACCATATCAACCATGATCTTGGACCTCCTAGCCTCCTGAACTGTGAGAAATAATTGCTTGTTGTTTACAAGCCACCCAGTCTATGGTATTTTTGTTACAGTAGCCCAGGCCGACTAAGACAACTAGTCTGAAGACAGGTACTTCAAGCACGGTCACTCACCCATTCCAGAGCTGCCTACGGGGACATAAAGGCTCAGCCCCCTCACCCTAATGGAGACAGCCCTGAAGACATCCCAACTTCAACCTCCCAGAAGCCTCCACTAAACTGCATCACAACCCAACTTCTCCCTTTCTCAATCTTGCTTTCCCTCCCATTCTACTGGTGTTGATCCTAAGAGCTCTCCCTAATAAGTCTTCTTCATGCTAATCCTCTCCCAGAGTCTGCTTCCTGAGGAACACAACTGGCAATACGTAATTCTAGAGTTGCCGAGAATTGTGGTCATTGCTGCTGTTATTTAAAAATCAGTGCAAGGATTTCAAGATGTTATGAGAAGTACATGCTCATCTGATACAATACACACAGACACAAAGGGACAAGAAGGAAACCTACCACTGTGGATGGGATTATACCCATGTTCCTGCCTTTTCTTAGAGTCTAAAGCTTCCCTTGACTTGAGTGTGTGATTTGGATGGCCAGAAGGTGTAGGGAGAAAGGAACCACATATGGAAGATGGGTAAGTGTGGGGAACATGGTACATAATGGAGATAAGATAGTTCTTTCAGAAACAAAGGGACTTCACTGAAAGCAGAGCATGGACAGAGGGAGGACAGACAGAATCGAGCCATCTCAAGAAGAATAAGCTTGAATGCCCAGAGGCAGCATGGTGCTGGGAAGTGCTAAGTCCAGAAATCGAGTTTTTCAAGTGATAAACGGTAATTGGTTGTGCCTTCCCTTTGCATGTAAACTTTGCTAACACTTCTTAGCACTGTGAACTCTACTGCAAACTTAACTGCTTTGCAGAGACCTGAAAAGAGCTCAGTCAGGTGAAAAATTCAAAAGAGATGAACACTGGGAAGAGTCTGTAATAGGACACTAGCTTGTACGTATGTGTTCTTTGGTTTTGATCCTTATACTAAACCCTTTTCTATTCTTTCTGATCCCCCATTTCCACATACACACTTTTTCATGGTCTCACCTCACACTCGGTTAAGTCTTTATTTTTCTCCCTTTCTTTCTTTCCTTTTTTTTTTTTTTTTTTTTGGTAAGATACTCTGAGTATATCCAGTGGACTAGGGCTTCTGGTTTCAGGACATTCAAGCTGGTGTCTTACAAAGAACAATCATAGCTATTAATCAGAAGATAAGCTTCACAGATATTTTCTAAAAAGGTTGTTTTGCAACACACATAAAAGAAGAACGCCATTCAATGAACGAGGAAGATTACATACTAATCTTCAAATAATCAGTTTTGAACTAAAAGAGATTGCAAAGATCATATTTAGACTAACCTCGTAGTTTTATAAAAGAAGAAATTATTTCCTGGCAGATTTTTTTTTTGTCTGCAAATATTTTCTTCCTTTCTCACCCATAAAGCAATATTTAAAAATGTTTCTGCCCCGCCCCTCTCATCTCAATTTCCCTTCTCCTTTTTAACAGTAACTATGCTGCCAGAAAAAGCACTTCAAGGTAGATAATGTGCAGTCCCTATAAAGGCAAACAAACAAACAAAAAATTAAACTGCACAAGCAAGTGGCTCTTTGCCAGGAGATGGAGAGTTGACATCCTCTTACTTTGTTCCCCAAATCTCCTAGGGCAAGGGGTACTCCTGGACATAGATAGATTCAAAGCACATCTCACTACCCTGCCTCCTGTCTCCGCCCTACCCTGGGTTGGGTCCACAGGGCTGTAAGTCACTCGGGACAGCAGAATTATTTTAGGAAAGGAGGATAATTCCAGGCTGTTGTGGTTGCCTGTATCTTATTCTCTAAGGCCAAAGGCACTTCATTTCCAACTCTGAATCCTCAAAGAAAAAGAAATCCTACAAATAAATGGAATTCTCCATTGAATTTTTTTTAAGTGACTCCTCATTTTCTACATCATAACATATATACCAACAAAAAGGATTATCTGGTTCCTGACTGGGAATAGGCCCACATTTCAGTGCTTAGCTATGGAAACTCCCAAGAATTTGAAATTGAGCAAAAGCAAAATGAGAGAAGCTATGAAGAAACTATTTAGCTCTTGGTTGGTCTTTTGGTAGTTTTCTATGATCTACTGCCTTTTCAAATTATGGTGAGTTCAAGGATGGGCAGGAAGACAACAGTGAAAAGAAATTGTAGTGGTGTCCTAGACACAGTAATTATGCCCAAAGTTCACTGAACGATGTAGACTTTATTGTTCCATGTTGGAGATCCAAAGTTGAACCCCAGTCCCGTTCAAACAGCAAGCACAGATAGGTAGAAGGATATTAACAGGATAACTAAATAACAAACCAGACCCAAACCATTTCCAGACTGTGTCCACTCCTCTATTCTAACCACATGCATATTCACATGGAGATGATACTCGAATGATTCAGAGTTATACACATATCATGCTGTTCCACAGAAGATGTGTAAGTGGGATTCACATTTGTCCTCAACTATTTAAGTGACTCTCCAGTAGAATAAAATATACCCATGCTGTTGTAAAAGAAAAAAGGGCTCTTAATTATTAGTAGAAATAGAAAGCTTTGGGTTGTATATCCTTTAGCAAGTATAAAACAGATGTATGCTTCTAAAAGTGAAATGTTTGCAAAGAATATGGAAAATATCCAGTTCATCAGCTTGTATGTGCATTTGCTTTTAACTTCTATAAGTGACAAAGAAGAACATGGCTTGCCATAATCCTTCTACTCAAAAGATCAATTACACTGAATGGTGCCTGTGCATTTAAAATCACTGAGAGCAAATCGTAAGTATTAGGCAAAGCAAATTGACTCAACCACACAGCCTCCTGGGAGCAAGTACATTTGTTTGAAAACAATATTTCTTAAGTAAATGTATAGCCAATGAAAGGTATTGGATTGATAGTCCTGAAGATCTGATCTTCTATTTCACTACAGTGAAGGCCACAGCAGTGCCAGCTCCCTGTGTCTCCATATGAGCAAGCCTCAATCATTTTCTGAACGGACCACCTTTAGGGTACAAAGATAAAAAGCTGCTTCTGAGCCTAGCAATTTCTGCTGAGCGTGCCAACTATAAGCCATTGTGACAGGGAGCAGCCACAGCCTGGAAGCTAGACGCAGACCCCCAACCAGATCTAGGATGAGGACAACTTACAATGACACTGAGGTGGGCTGCTGTGTGACCAAGGATGCAGAAGAAAAAAACTTCTGTAATTGCCACTTTCCAAGCCAGCCATCTCTACAACCTCAAACACTCATCACTGGCATCTAAAGCTACAGGATTTCCCAGAAAAAACAAATGAATGCTGTGCGTGCACATCCTATTTAAGCCTGGCGCCACTGAGGCTGGCAAAAAATGGAACTCCAGGAACTGTAAAGCCTTTTCCTTCTAGATATGCCTCCTCTTCTGCTCTCCTGCGTCTGACCTGCCAAACACATTTTTCTGCATGTCCAACCCCAACTGTGCTGGAGAAAAATTAGTAAGTGGGAAGTAAGGATAAAAAAGATGTAGTTCTAGTACACAAAATTTTCCTGACATGATATGAGCATACAGAACTGTATCATTTACTTAAAGGAACTGGTCTATCTAGCAACAATGTTTATAAAACCACTTTCTTTTTTTTTTTTTTTTAATTGTACTTTGCAAATGACTTCCCATTGAAGATAAAGTTTCATTAAAAGAGAAAAATACTTACAGTATGAGAGGAGTCCATATGAAAAAAAAAAGAAGAAAATACAATCCAAATCATTTAGATATCAAAGAGCCAAGATGATGATACAGAGTATTGTAATGTGGTAACATTGCTATGACTCCTAACAGTTGATCTTTAAAATAATATTTCTTTTTTTTTCTCTAGGTACTTTCCACAATCTGGGATTTCCTCTCTGGCATCGACCTTTGTCTCACCCTGCACCACAGGAATTTTTCCCATGCTTGACAATCCTATCTCCATATTTGGAGATTCCAGAAAAGTGTTTCTTCTTGCTTCTTCTGTTAAGAATTTATACAGTCTAACAGAACTTTTGTTAGGAATTTATAGTCTAAGAGAGAACCCAGCTATAATATTAATAACACATCTCCTAGTAGAGTTGTAAGATCATTCTTGAAGTTTGAATTGTCACCTTGCATAACATAAATCGTTTTCCTACCAGATTAATTATTTAAGTTCTTAACTTTTTTGTTTTAAAAAACTTTCAAATTTATAGAAAGAGTTGCAAGAATAGTACAAAGAACTCCCACATAGACTTTGCTCAGATTGATTAGATTCACAAATCCTGCCACATTTGCATCTGTCTCCACACACACCCACACACACACACACACACACACTCACACACACACATCTTTCCTGCTCTATTTGAAAGTTGGTTCTAGACATCATGCCCTTTCAACTTTCAATTCTTCAGCATGTATTTGCTAAAAACAAGTACATTAGCTTAGCTAAGCACAGTGCAATTACAAAAGTCAAGAAATCTAACTGACATAATCAATATTCAAATATAACCTGCAATCCATATTTCTACAATCCATTTTCAAATTGTATCACTTGTGCCAATAATATCTTCTATAGATAATATTTCTCCTAATCCAGGATCCAGTACTGAATTGCATATTGCATTTAGTTGTCATGTCTCTTTAATCTCCTTTAATCTGAAACAGTTTCTCAGCCTTCGACATTTTTGCCCACATAGATATTCTCTATTCTCCATTCAGCAGTCAACATGATCAGATCATATCAATCCCTTCTCAAATCCCTCCAGAGATTGCCCACCAAACTTAAAACAAAATTCTACCCTCCCTCACTCCATCAGTCTCCATATCATTGACCTACTTTATTTTTCTTCACAGCATTATCAGATGTTACAGGATAGATAGACTAGATAGATAGATAGATAGATAGATAGATAGATAGATAGATAGATAGATAGACAGACAGACAGATAGATAACCTGGCTGTTTCTCCTATTATAGATAGATAGACAGATAGATAATCTGACTATTTCTCCCAATAGGAGAAAGGAGAAATTTTGCCCATTTATTTATTAATTGTCTTCCCTGTGGCTAACAACTTTGTTTATCTTGTTCATTACTTATTACCAGTGACTAGAACTGTGTCTGGCATGTAGTAATTCTTCAATACATTCTTGTTAAATAAATTAATAAATTATTATCAGATTGCTGAAAGAATAATTAAGGTATCTAGAAGTCAGTGGAATTCACTAAAAAATATGAGAATTATAGAAATTAAATTTATGTGTCTTTGAGGGCAGATATAAACAGGACGGTGGAGAGAGCAAACAAGGTAACAACTTTTCCAAGAAAAAAAGTACTTTCCTTAGGCAAAACTATGGAAAGAGAAAAAGATCAGCAGTTGCCAGGGGATGGTGAGGAGGTGGGAGAAGGGTTGAATATGCAGAGCACAGAGAATTTTTAGGGCAGTGAAAAGATGCTGTACGATACTATAATGTTAGATACGTGTCATTATACATTTGTCCAAATACATAGAATGTGCAACACCAAGAGTGAACCCCAATGTCAACGATGAACTTTGGGAATAATGATGTCAATGTTGGTTCACTAGTTGTAATAAATGTACCCCTCTAGTGGAGGATGTTGATATGGGGACGCTATGCATGTTGGGGGGCAGGTGATAAATAAAAAATCTCTGTATCTTCCTCTTAATGTTGCCATGAACCTAAAACTGCTCTAAAAAAAAATGTCTTTAATAAAATACTCTTCATGGTGAAACACTGAAGGCAGATTGTAAGCAGTGAGATCAAAAGTCAGGATCAACTTCTAGCTTTCTAAGAATAATTTAGTTTAGATTGAAGATTGTAAAAGCATAACAAGCAGCTTTAGTATGGACATTTCAAGTGTTATGTACCCTCTGGGAGTGGTAAAAGGAGTCTCACTAGTGAGATTCAGGCAGCGGAATTAATATAGACCCCTGCATGTCCCTGCTCTTTGATTAACAACTACGGTTCTTGGTCTTTGCTTTTTCTCATTCATATGTTGCTCATAGATTTATTTTTATAAAATGTTCAATTTACATTAAAGATGCAATAATAGTAAAGAATATTCATATACGCTTTCCTTTTTTCTCCATTTGCTTTCGTGGTTCCTCTCTGAAACCCTTATTATTCTCTTTCTGAATGTATACTATATATAATCATCTTATTATGCTCTTAGAGATTACCATTCTGGATAATTACACCATGTAGATTCAGGTTGTCTTTTATTTCCAAATGTTCTCTTGGATTGCAATTTTAAATACTCATTCTGTTCCATTTTCTTGTTTTTCTTCTTCAGGGACTCCAGTTATTCATATGGTGGCTCTTCTTTGCCTTTCTTCCATTTCAGCCTCTTTCCCTCTCACCCTCATCACTTGTTTCTTTGGATCATTGTCATTCTCTTCATTGTTCTCCTGCCTTTCTTCAGTGTCACCTATTTGATTTTCCTTCAAATCTATTCTCTCTTTGACACCTTATAATTTAATCTGTATTGGTAAAAAATAAATGAATAAATAAAGCCAACCATTTTATTCTATTTCTTTCCTAAGTTCAATCAATTTTCATTTCATTTCTTCTTGGGTTTTGGTCCATTTCTGATCTTAGTTTTTGAATTTATGAATCAAACTGTTTTCCATAGTCCACTGTGCTTGAAGCTACTTAATTCCATTTAGAGTACCATGTTACAATATTCTTCTGCTTCACAGTTACTCTTCAGAGAGGAATTTCCATCCACTGAGGTGTTTAGATTTTTCCATTCTGTTTTGGTCTTACAGTGGTTTCACATAGTGATACCGATGACATTTACACATTCAGCAGACAGGATCCACAAGGAGCGGGTTTATAGGATCTCTTGTTCAACATCGCCCCCTCCTGTCAGAGTCATGAAGTGCAGTTTCTTTAAAATTTGGCTTTTGGTAGAGGTCGGTGGAGGAGTGGTATGTCCATCGATGTTTCAGGTTTCTTTTGTCTTGTGGTATTCTAGATCTCCCCATCTTGCCTCTTTTTCTTTCACCAAAAGACTCGAAGGGGTGCCCTTCCCTTACCTGCAACCTTGTTCATCCCTAGAAGCACTGCTTTTCCACAGCTGCTCCCTGTGCTATTTCAAGTCCCTTCCTTTTAAGTTGGTGCTCTTATCTACCTGGATACTTTTTCCATATTTTCACACCTAGATAAACTTTCTCTTTCTAAGGGTGATTTTCATACAATTTCATTTCATTCCCTTTGCACACGATCCCTTTTCTCTTCCCCAGTTTCTCCAAAAACCACTCACCATCCTCAAAGCTTGCAATGGGAGCTCACCAGGCAGCTGTACTAAAAATGAATGTTTATTTTTCTACTTACAGTAACTAGCATTTGCACTGTCCCCTCGCTTCTAGTTATGCTGAAGGTGAGGGATTTCTGTGGTTCAATTGGCTTCTTATTGATTTGTACAGTTTTTTGAAAGCTATAAAAGGAATTGAGATTTGGGCAGCAGCAATTAATTACTTCAGCTTACTGTAAGTTGCTCATTTATAATTCTTAACTAGGTATTTCTTCTTTATGTCTGAAATTAGGTTTCTGGTTTTGCCCTTTTAATACTGTAGTGGATGTTGTAGTGGATACTATTGTGCTCCACCCATGTCCCCTTTTCAGGGCTGAGGCTCTTATTGCCCCAGCTGCTGGGCATTCTTGTTGCTAACTATTTACAGCTGTACCTCTCACTAGGCCAGACTCTTACCCAATGTTACACAGCCCCCTCCAGGATGAAGCCAAGTAGCTAATAGCTGGCTGATACAAAGACACAAAGGGTGGCCCCCTTTGCCTTAATTTGTGACAATTCCAAAGAGCATCCCAGCTCCAAAACTCCCTACAGGATGAGCTGAGGTCTCAGTCATAACTGCATTGCAGATGAGCTCTGCCTGCACAGTCCTACCTTCCTCACTTCCTTACAGGTACATATCCAAGTGCACTCTTCGATATACCTTCTGCAAACAAGCCTCTAGATCAGGGTGTTTTTAGGGTATCCAACCCAAGACAATCGTCATAAAAACTTTGTATTGACTTATGAGACAGGCACTGTTGAAAGTCCATTGAATATATTGTATACATTCCCTCAATTCTTGCAAGGAAACTGTGAGAAGGATATTGTTATTACCATCTTCATATCTCAGATGAGAAAAGAAAAATCATAGAGAAGACAAGTACCTTATAAATGGTCAAGGCAGGATTTGAATACAGATACTCTAACTTGAAAACCCATTCTCTTATCCACTTCACTCCACAGGTTCCCACACTGGCGTGGCATTCACTCCTTCTCTGGCGTGATACTTTGGCAGCCCTTTCCTTGAATCTTTCTTTTTTTTTTTTTTTTTTTTTTGAGATGGAGTCTCACTCTGTCGTCAGGCTGGAGTACAGTGGCACGATGTCAGCTCACTGCAACATCCGACTCCCTGGTTCAAGCAATTCTACCTCAGCCTCCCGAGTAGCTGGAATTACAGGCACACGCCACCATGCCCAGCTAATTTTTGCATTTTTAGCAGAGACGGGTTTTCACCATGTTGGCCAGGATGGTCTCGATCTCCTGACCTCATGATCTGCCCACCTTGGCCTCCCAAAGTGCTAGGATTACAGGCGTGAGCCACCGTGCCTGGCCTTCCTTGCATCCGTCTAAGCTCTGCTGTGGAGCACAGCCTTCAAATCTATTCTCTCTTTGACACCTTATAATTTCATCTGTATTTGTAAAAATAAAAGAGGCTGAGGCAGGAGAATTGCTTGAACCACATGACCACAAACATCAAGATGTTTTCATTTTTTAACACAGAATATTTTCACAAGTGGCTTGGCTATAATGTTAGTTGCTAAAGATGGAATCTGACCTTATGAATTCATCTTTCAAAGCTTTAGCATTATAAACAGAGATGCATGTTTGTAAATCCACCTTATTATCACTCAGCCCTGTCATAGGAATTGTGTTCATATGCACACATATATTAGCAGGTACACAATAGCAACCCCTTCTCTGTAGTTTTGTTTTTTATCTTACTTCCAAGTAATAACAATGATATTATCACATTTCCCAAAATTCTTACCTCCATCTTGAAATTTGCTTAATCTTTCAAAGTATGATGACATGGGGGCCTGTACAATGTCTAAAATAGCCAGAAGTGTTCTTGTTAGCCTTAATAACTCACTGAAACTATAAAATCCAAAGTATATAAGATTCCGAGCCAAGTGGACCACCTTAATAAAAAAAAAAAAGCGGGGAGGGGGAGGGTGAAAGAGTGGAAAAAAAAATTGGGTACTGAAATAAACATTGGCTTTTTTATTATCTAAATTAGCACAGCAATTTCTAAACTTCCTAATTCTTTAACACCTAGGAATTAAAATACTTGCAAAAGCAACCACTTGAACTTTGATTTATTCAAGTCTAGAACTAAATCCAAGCAAGACTCAGAGTGCTTTAAGGTACTTAACAAAATTTACACTAGAATTATTTACATCCTAATTAAACATTAAGTAATTTAAGTCAGCAGGATGCCACTTAATAAATGGTTGCATCAATTAATTACCTTAATAAATGGCTATTATCCAAGAAATTTGCCCAGAAATCTATGTTCCCTATGCTGCTTTGTGGTCTTGTGGATCGCACAGGACATTCCAAGTGCGAGAGTCTACCTCCAAGATGTGGCCCCAGTGCACAGTCTCCCCCTACCACACTGTATCAGAGTTGGTCCAAGTAACCAACAGAAGTGATGACATGTCACTTCCAAGATTAGATTACAGAAGACTGCAACTTCCATCTTGTACTCTCTCTCTCTCTCTCTCAGATGGCTTGCTCTGAGGAAGCCAGGTACCATGTCATGAGGACACCCAGGCAGCCTACAGAAAGGCCCACATGGCAGGAAGCTGAGGTGCCAACAGCCAGCAAGGAGGTGTGGCCACCAACAACCCCTCCAGTGACCTTAGAAACAGACTGTCCAGCCCTAGATGGCTGCAATCCCAGTCAACAGCTTGCTGGCTACCCCATCACAGACCCTGAGCCAGAACCACCCAGCTAAGCTATTCCCAGGTTCCTGACCCATAGAAGCTATGATAATGTTTGTTGCTTCAGGCTGCAAGTTTTGGAGTAATTTGTTATACACCAGTAGGTAGCTAATACACCAGTTATCAAGTAACAGCATCCTTTCTCTAGTTTTGTCACTACATCCCCAAACTGAAAGTATTTCAATTCAGTTTGGTGAAAATAAAAACATCTCCATAGAGATAAAAAAAAGTATCCAAACATTTTACAAAATATGCAAAACTGCCTTTCTTTATTACATGCAAAAAATCTTACACAAATGAAACAAAAAATCAAGGGAAATAGTAATTAATAGACAATTATAAATAAAATGTTTTGTACTGGACATCAAAGCACCAAATCTATCTTCTAAAAATGGCAGAGAAGGCCGGGGGTGGTGGCTCACACCTGTAATCCCAGCACTTTGGGAGGCCGGGGCAGGTGGATCACGAGGTCAGGACATCGAGACCATCCCAGCTAACATGGTGAAACCCCGTCTCTACTAAAAATACAAAAAATTAGCCGGGCGTGGTGGCAGGCGCCTGTAGTCCCAGCTACTCGGGAGGCTGAGGCAGGAGAATGGCGTGAACCCGGGAGGCGGAGCTTGCAGTGAGCCGAGATCATGCCACTGCACTCCAGCCTGGGCGACCGAGTGAGACTCTGTCTCAAAAAAAAAAAAAAAAAAAGCAGAGAAAATAATACCTTCATGAACTAAACTACCCAGTTACCAAAACATCCTAAATATTAGAGGGACAAAGTACCTCAAATGTCAGTTTATTTTTTTCTTTATCCCCAAAAGGAAAGGGCTGGTTTACAACTTCTTTCAAATATTCTTCAACAAATTCCATTGTCAGGGCAAATTTCCTCTTCATATCATTTCTGGAAGAGTCTGTTATAGAATCATATCTGGAAATAGAGAAAGAAGATAACGCAAGTTAAACTGATTGCAATCATTTAAAAATAGGAAAACACACGTAGTTTCCTGGGTGCATAATCTTGGATAAATTAGTTAGCTTTCCTAGAGGCTGGGTCCTCATCTGTAAAATGGGGCTATTGTGAAATGAGTTAGCACGTGTAAAGCAGTTATATCAGTCTACCACAATATTAAGTACTTACAATTCTTGCTCATTACATCAATATTATTTACTGTTTTCTAGAAAGTGCCTTTATTACCACTGAGAGTTATCATTTCACCCTTCAAAACGAGTATCTTATTTGCATTTAGAAGATTAACAACCCAAGACAGGATACACAAATGCCTTTCCACATGTTTCATTTCAAAACTGTAGACATTTGACGTGGAGTTCATCTGATGAATTCCAAAGCCTCAAGACCTTTTTCCAAACATACTCATGAATTGTGATCTTTGTGGGGATTTCTGTCCAGAGCCTGGCATAGCGAACAGGCACCACGGACTCCTGGGGATCCCGGTCAACGTGCATGTGGAGCATGAGGCGACAGAAGGACGCTCGGAGGTCGAACGGCAGGCTCTCATCCGACACACACCGCAGGATCAGGTCTACAGACAGCTGTGTAGAAATCTGGTTTATGGCCAGATACTGGCGATCCAAGCACATCCTTGCAAAGAGGTTTAGCTGGTACCTTAAAAATGGTAAACATATTACATTATTGTCTTATCTCAAGGAAATCTTTAAACGTCATAGTACCAATCAGTATCTATGTTTAAGACACCTGTATTTCCAAGCATTCATGATATTGGAGTCAAACTCTTGACTGTAGTATGTTAACCATTAAGATCAAATGACAAGACATATATGAAACTGTCTCTATGTCCCTTCAGTTACAATACCTCTTACTTGTTTCAGCAAAATGTGTCTGCTGGAGAGTGTCACTAGGCACTCCATTCTGGGTTTCCTAGAATGACAAATACTGCACTCAGGCTGAAGGCTATGGGTAACAGCTCACATGAAACCATCTCTCTCCACCTTCGCCAGCCTCACTCAGCTTCTAGCTCTAGTGTCTACACTCCAGGTTTTGCCCCACTCAGTTCCCAAACCAAAAGTGATCAGTCCAAATGGCATGAGTCACTTGGCTTATCAGCCCAGTTTTGAGATTAAGAATTAGCCTTTGATTTGGTTGCTATAGCTGTAGAAACCAGGGAGCACAAAGCGTCATCTGTCTTTGTCTGATTCTTGCCATTTGGGCCCAACTTGGCCCCAAGGCTTCTGCCTTGGGTTTCTATACCTGCAACTCAAAGATGCCAGCTAGGTTCTTGCTCCCAATATATTGACCACCAGGAACTGCCTTCAGTACTTCCGCTGCCATATTCCGGGGCTGAACTTTCGTTAACTACAGGCACCAGTTTCTCTTAGGCTCTAGGTCACCACATATTCATAATCCACTCTATACTAAACTACTGGCTTACTTGCTCTGAGCTACCCTTGTAGCCAGATCAATTTCCTTAGCTCCATGTCTATATCCCTCTCAACTCCATCACCTAGGTCCTAACATGCCTCTCATCTGCCTCCACTCTACTCAATATGAGGACAAAGCCTTTGGCTGCACAATAATTCCAAGCTAGTGAGAAACCAGGAAATTACAAGTGGTGTATGCAGAAAATATAAATGTTAACTTTTATTTTGAATATTTTAAACAATACTAAATATTTCAGCTACCCTAGTTCTGACATGACTTTTAAAATTGCCTCTTCATAGATACCTAACTAGTGGCTACAGAGAACCAGTTCTCAATTAATATGTGAGACTGGGAATTATTGTAAGATTGTCTATAATACTTAACCTGTAATAGGTAAGAACTTCTAAGTCAGCTTTGGTGCCTTCTTTTGCCTCTTGAGCAAGGTGCCTGATAGCTTTGCCATGAGGTTCCTTGTTGCTGTCAATCCAATAGAGCCAAACTTCTTCATCATCAATGTCATCTGAAAGGATGGAGCTCTCCATGGGGTTGTCTGCTTGCATTGAGACCACCCTTCAAATAAATAGCACATACAAAAATCTACTAAAAAGTACACTTGTAAATATGACAAAGAATTACAGTGCTTACAAATAATCAACAGGAAAATGATGCATCCATTATCTGGGCTTACTTAGTTTGAATGAGAATGTCTGCATTGCCTGGACTCAACATAAATTTACAGATGAGTTCTTGAGTTACAGGGATAGCAGTGGTATTAGACACACACAGATCTGACAAATAATCCAAAAACCTGGCAAAAGAAAAAAATTAAATGGAATATGAAGACAAAGCATTTTATAAAAGCATCACAATAAAGACATAATTTGGAATATAATAAAATAAACTTATTATATGTTTTAATATTATTTCCACACAACATTTGTCTAATGTGTTGTTTATCTACTGCATCATTAGAAACAAATTAAACATACAATTCTTTTTATTTAATATAAGTCTTGTTTCAAAAAGGATGTGTTTGCTTCTATTTATTTTATGATATTCCACCCACAGCACCGTGACTTATGTTTAGAAAATCATTCATCTCCCCTAAAGTGAGTCTCCCCAGAGCTGAATATCAAAACAAAGGCAGATCAAAGCTAATGCTGTACTGAACAAAAGAGAAATAGAGCACACGCCTAATGAAAATTACTATGACCTGGTCAAGTCAGAGGCCCATTTCTACCTTCTAGCATTTATTTGCTGTGCTAATTAGCTAAGGAAACATTGCCAATTGGCTTGACTTGTCTGCACTCATTTCTTCAAGATAAGGCAGCATGGTACAACAGAAAAAGAGCTTGATGTGGAGTCAGAAGCCCTTGATTTACCTCGTATTCTATTCCTATCAGGGTACGCTTGGGCAAGTTGCTCACTCGGCTTCTATTTTCTCATCTCTAAAATGGGGATAATAATATACAACCAGTGTATCTCATACAAGTGTGCAAGGATCTAAATGAGATAATGTATATGAATGTATTTTGAGAAACCATAAAGTTCTATAAAATCATGAGGATTCAGAGTGAAAATCAATCACACTTAAGTATGTCTATAAAGGGCTCTGATCTCTTATGAGGTAATAACTCTTTATTATATACAATTATTATAGCAATAAGCCCAACATAGTTCGTCCATAAAAGTTAGTGATGTGAAAGAACTCTAACTTTTAAAAGTTCTAAAAATAAAACATAAAGCCGCAATCTCCACTAGAAAAGAATACCGCATGAATCATTTCAAACCTTGGCTCCCGATTTCTCCTGAGTAAACTGACAAATGTTTCTATTTCTTTTGCTGTGATATGTTTCTCTAGTAGTTTTCTGTTGTTGTGCAACAAAGCTGTGATAGTATCTTCTGCCAAAATATCATAGCCAATCTGGGACTGCATGACACAGAAATTCTTAGCAATATATTCCTGCAAAGAAGAAAGGCTGTCAGAATGCACTGCCAAACAGCTTACAAATAACAGGTTCTATTAGGGTCAACAACATTGATTAATTTATTCACAACAGAAGGTTCACTAAAAATTTTCTCAAAAGAAAAGCAAGTAAATTTTTCAATAAATAGAGCTTTTTGAGGAAAGACATGAAAACATACTGGCATATACGTTTTTGAACTTCTACTAAAAAATTATACACCTAGAAATAATTATCAGTATAGGTATTTTGGAAATACCTATTTCCAAAGTGGGAAAAATAAATCTAATTAAAGTAAGTTTTTATGACACAATAACTTTGGATTTCATCAGTCTAACAGAGGCTAAGTGGGAAAAATAAATCTAATTAAAATAAGCTTTTATGACACAATAACTTTGGATTTCATCAGTCTAACAGAGGCTTTTCTTCTATCTCTTACTTAAAGTCATAGCCAATGATTTGGGCATAATTATAGAAAAGAAAATGACTGCCTGATATTTCATTCATGAGACATGAGATCTGGGTTGTTACCTGAAGATCCTAGATGGACTTGGATTGATTCCTTTTCTGTGAATAGGCTGGAATGATCTGTAAGATCTTTTCTTTAAAATAATGGTAAAATGTCATATACTTTTTATCTTTAAAAAGCCACCAAACAGGGCAATGTGATTAATCACTTTATTGATTAGATCCATTTGCCCAATAAATGTTTCTTGAAGGCCTATGCTGAAGAAGTGACATTTGAGCTAGGATGGGAATGAAGAGAACGAGGCAGCCATTGGAAGACCTAAAGGGAAGCCATCTAGGCAGTGGGAATAGCCAGTGCAAAGGCCCTGAGGTAGTAGAACCAAGCTTATGTTCTATCAACAGAAGGTGGCCATTGTAGCTAGGCAGTGGTAAGGGGCAGAAAGCAAAGTCGAAGTTTGAGAGGTAGGTCAAAAGAATCCTTGTGAGCCATGGTAAAGGGCAAAGAGATTGTGCTAAAAGTAAGAGAAAGCCACTGGGGAGGTTCAATCATGTTATTGTTTGATCTACTCCTTATTCATCACACTAATTTTCCTATATCCCAAACCACTATTGTTCATCTCCCACGTTCTATCTACAAGCAGCACATCTCACACTGCCATGGGACTGGTGAGCTTCTCCCCCTTCCACCATGAAAGGTTCTTACTTTGATTCCTTGGGATTCTCCCTGGAAATGTGTCTTTGTTTCTCTGACAAGACAACTGATAGATTAGAAAGTGGTTTTGCCTTAGGTAAAATTTACTGGAATGTACCTATTCCTTGAAAATGATATTGGTTGCACAAATCTAATTATATGCTAAGCAGCATTTTTGTGGCCCTTCAGAATGATGGCTTTGTGTATTGGGGAGCCAGTTAAGTAAAGTAAATGTCTTCTGTTATTATATCATTTTAAGGATACATATTGATTTATACACTTTCATGACTACTGTAGTCATACTCTGGTACAAGGCAAACATCCAAAAATGTTAATAAATAACTAAATGAAATTAGAGGTGGTATCAAATTTTATAAATAGTAATAAATAGATCTTCAATATTAAATATATGGGTGAGTGTTAAGTCACAAATGAACTTCCTATTAGGACTACAACATATAGGTGAAGATAAAGAAAAACAAAGTAATTATAGCCATAATGCTATATAATATATACTACATAATAATAATAATATAGAACATTTTTAAATGTTCTAAAAAATCAGAAAGCTGCTTTATGCTTACTACCAAGCATTCTTAACTCAATAGAAATGAGAAAAACATTTCCCAGCTATCACTGAGATTCAATTAGAACACACAACAGAAAGGGAAGAAAAATAAAATATAACCCTTAACAAATGCTGGGGATTCTTTATTCCTTTATCATCTATGCTCTAACTCTATGCTCCAAAGAAACCCAGAAGGCAGGTCCCTAAAGTGCATAAACATGTACCTGAAAGGAGTGATATGACTAGGTAGGGGTGTGTGTGTGGGGGGGGGGGGGTGGGAGGGAACGGGCACGTGCACGAGCGCACACGTGTGTGTGTTTGTGTGTGTGTACGCACACACTGATCCCTGGCCAAGACTGAGAGGGGAGTGAGAAAGAACCATGTGTGCCAGACCTTGAGAGACAGAACTGACACCAGGTAAGACATGTCGCCCAGGGAACCTACTACTGACTAGCAGAATAACCAAATCCAAAGTGAGCTGGCTCCCTGCCATCCCAAAGCACAGGGCTATAGAAAAGGGAAGGGGCCCCAAGTACTCTTCCAAAGGCTGACAGCCATCAAGGAGGGTGCACATCATGGGACCTGATGGGCCTGAGGGCCCTGGGTAGCCTCTATAGACCTGTTAGGTATTTTTTCTGTTAATGTCAATCTCTATAATACAGCACTGCTCGTACGGGTGAAGTGGTGACCAGTCTCACAAGTGTATTTCTCCAAACCCAAGAAGAAAAACCAGAGCAAGGAGAAAACATTGAGCAGCCTCTCATTTCCCTTCCCCACTCCAGACCTCCACTAAAAACTCAGGGTCCGATACTGGGAGCATCCCCTAACACTGCCTCCAAGTGCTTGAAGGAAGGCCATTTAATGTCCTGCTACTTAATTCTTCTTCCAAAAAAATATGAACAACACTATCTACTTCATCTTGCCATCTTAAAGGAACCCAATGAAGTCCGGAAAAATAATTCTAGTGACAGCATTTGGATCAGCAAGAAGGGTGTTTATAACTAGGATTATATTAGACAATATTTAAGGATTTGTTTATATCACCCCTAGCTCTTACTCCTATTCCTTGCCATATTATTTATCTTCTAGCTAATGTTTTTATATACTCTTTTCAGACCTTTCTTACTCTTCAAACAGAATTGTGAAGCCAAAACATTTTAACACAGTCTTCCTCAAGCAAATCTTTTTTTCTTCCCCAAAAATGTTCAAACTACCAAGATGCAATAGTGTGATGATTCAGAGCCTGGGTTTGCATACTGGTTCCATTCTTAAACTATCACCTTGGACAAATTACTTAACCTCTCTGTGCCTCTATCCTTCATCTTAATTCAGTGTTAACTGAATTAATTCATGACAAGTATTTACAACTGAGCCTGGTACAAAGTAAGCACACAATAAATACTACTAACTCTTCCCAAATAACCTCCACCTTCTAGGATTGACATCCTAGGCCCTAGTGGCTTAGCCCACCCTGCCCTTCCAGCCCTCTCCCACACCATCCTTCTTCATGGACCAAACTCATCAATGAAACTTACAGTGATGCACTCTGCCCTCAAATGGATTAAGAGAAACCCTAATTTATCAAACAATAATTAATTTTATACAATTGTATGTTAGACATTTACATTATTGAACACATTGCAAAATATTAAGCTTGTGTTTTGTTTTGTTTTTTATGAGGCAGGGTCTCATTCTGTTGCTCAGGCTGGAGTGTACTAGTGTGATCATAACTCACTACAGCCTCGAACTCCTAGGCTGAAGTGATCCTCCAGCCTTAGCCTCCTTAGTAGCTGGAACTACAGACACACACCACCACACCCAGGTATTTTTCGTTTTTGTAGAGATGGGGGCCTCGCTATATTGCCTAGGCTGGTCTAGAACTCCTGGCCTTGAGTAATCCCCCCACCTTGGCCTCCTAAAGTGTTGGGATTACAGGCTTGAGCCACGCCACCTGGTTTGTATTTTTAAGATAAAAATGAGACTTAAGAGAAATTTCACTTGCAACTGGCAACTGTTAGCTGTACCCCTAGATCCATCTGGGTTCCCTGACCTCAGCAGTTGCAAATATCTTAGGGGAAACGTGTCCTTTCTAGCATCTATCATTCTCACTTCATAGATCTCTCTTCACAAATACCTCTTCCCATACAATTTATGAAAATGATTCTCATCCTACCCAAAGGCTTCCTTCTCCAAGTATTCTTCCTTGGTTCCCAAAGCCACCACTGGGCTCTCCCTCTGGTGAATTCCCATAACTCTATCTTTTCTCTCTGTGTCTTTTCTTTGTCTCCCATCATATCTTTTCCACTAAACTATAACCTCTTTGGTCCATACACGGTGATGCTGTACCTCACATGTTCCTCAAGCCAAAAATGTTCCATTCCTCCTTACATAATAGATCCAGGATGTCCTGGCCACCAGGAACCAATAACAGGCACATATTAGTACTCAGGACATCCTCCCCCAGTGATTCTAATTTCATATGGAAGAATAAAGCCATGTTCAATACAACTCAAAAATACTTACAAATCATTTTTATGTATTGCCCAACATAAAATATTTCATTTCAAAGTGAAATTTCCCATTCCTACTTTCTATGCTGTAGAATTATAACCAAAGAACCTTGCCCATACTTTACATATGAAACAGTTTAAAATGGGGGCTACCCTCTGACCTGATTTTTCCGGTAATCCTGCTGCGAGTGTCTCAGGACGCGGTAACAGAGCCGCAGCATGTACTTGTAGGGTGCATATCTTTGATCCCCCAGATCTTCAAGTCTCAGCATCGAGCCTTCTCCTGCTTTCTCTTTAAAGGGTGCTTTAAGAATTCCAAATACCTATCAGGAATAAAAACAGCCACCTATTCTGATGAATAAAATGTTTTGCAACCTTTTTTTTTTAACAAATAAGAA
Organism: Homo sapiens; assembly: GCF_000001405.40. Lineage (NCBI taxonomy): Eukaryota > Metazoa > Chordata > Mammalia > Primates > Hominidae > Homo > Homo sapiens. The sequence continues at coordinate 26,663,922 of NC_000012.12, forward strand.
CATTGATTCAAAAAACACTTATATAAATTTGAGTATTAGAGTAAACGGGAAAAACAAAAGGATTTACGTTACAGGACCAACATATCAAGGATCAGAAAAGTACTGCCAAAAGGGTCACCTACATTGAGTGACAAAAACATTCTTTAAATAAAATGCTTAATTTTGTTTAGAAATCATATTTTATAAAATAAGAAATATGAAGATGTTCAATTTCACCAAGTTACATGAACATATTCAGATGAACTAAAATGTAGCTTGATTTCTAGGGGCTTTATAATAAGTTTCTTCTATTATTTTCTATAACCTTTCAAAATCAAAATAATATAAAGAAAACATTTACTTTTCTTTAAAACTGACATCAGAAAATGACTTCCAAACATTGCTTCTAAACTGCTTTATAAAAGAGTTAATTTACTGTTTTTGTATACAAAGATGTGGCCAAATCGATGAACATATCAGCATTCAAATGTGACAAATTAGGAGCCACATGGGCAGCTGGTGGCTCCCAGTAAGCCAGATTCTTGTAAGAAGGTTAGCAGTTAGGAAGCATTTAAAAAGCATTGAGGAATATAACTCTTTTCGGCAGCAAGACAGCAGGAGGGATCACCTGGAGATGAGCTGCTAGAATGAGGAAATTGTCTATGAAAGAGCGGTCAAGGGCATGAACATTAATACATGAAAACAAAATAGAAAGGAATTATTCTTTGGAATTCATGAAATATGATATGAACTAAAGTTTCTTTAATAATTTTGTATTCACTAAGCCTTTAATTTTATATTTATCAAACAAAAATAAAATATTTGACATATGTTGGTTAAAATATTATTAATTAATTATCCAAGGTCCTAAAAGTCTTTGAAATCAAATTTTTTATATAATAATTACTCGAAAAAAGTCCTATTAGATTTGCAACCTTTATTTTATTTGAGAAAAAAGTTGATTTTGTATTTTCAGACAATCAGCTACATATAATAACTAACATTATGTCTACTATTTTCCTTTCCCAAATCAATAAGAATATGTGTATCAAGAACATGATTTTTATGTTTTAAGTATCTTCCTTGAGTCTATACTTCATTAATGAAGAAACTCATTAATTTAAATAGCAATTAATAGAATAAAAATAATACATAAACGTAGGCATGTCCATATGTGCATATCATTAGGAAGTGAATCAATTTACTGACGTGTTATGAACAATTTCAAGAAGATGTAATACAGGAGCAGTTCTGTACTTTCAGGGAAGAAAACTAGAATATTGTACAGAGCACTCGTGAGCTGATGAACAGACTGCCCTACTTTCCCAGGGAAGAGAAGGAAAGAAGTAGGAAGCAGATGGAGATGGCACTTTCCAAGTTCACCTGGAAATTCTACCTAGGAATTTTTCCAACATATTTTCTGGAGATAGTCTGACTATGCAGGGTTTTTGGAGGTCCATGGTAGGCTGTCTCTACAATGGTCTCTGATATTCCTGCCTCCTGATATTCATAGCCTCATCGAATCCTCTCTCCTTAACTACGGGTTAGATTTATTAACCCATTTCTAACTAATAGAACACAGTAGAACTGATGTTACTTCTAAGATTACGTTCTACAAAGATGGTAGCTTCTACCTGAGCGTCCTCTCTAGTTCTCTCTTGGATCCCTCAGTTCTAAGAAAGCAAGCTGCCTTGTCTTGAGGCACTCCTGAGAGATGCCTATGTGAGAGGGCTGGAAGGCAAGTCCTCTCTCAGTTGAACCTTGAGATGCCTGCAGCCCCAGCAAACACCTTGACTGCAGCCTGGTGAGAGACCCTGAGTGAGATCTGCCCATGTAAGCCACGCCTAGATCACTACTCCACAGAAACTGTGAGACAAGAAGTATCTTGTTTTCAGCCACTAAGTTTTGGGATCATTTGCTTCATAGTAATAGATAACTAATACAAGGCCTTTCCTGATACTGTAATTCAGAAAATAAAATATACAAATTTAGTACATGAAAAAATTCACCTGTGCCAGTATGTTTTGTTCCCTCATCAATTTTTGACGCTCTCGGTTTGGCTTAGTGATAACCACATCCAGAACTTCTTGTCCATTATTAGGCACATCAGCAACAAAGAATATGAGATCTTCCAATAATTTGGTTACAAACCTATTACAAAATGAAAAGGAAATTTTACTTTACAGTGTGCTTAATTTTGGAAAATGTATAGATAGATGATAGGTAGGTAGGTAGAGATAGATAGATAGATAGATAGATAGATTTTTTTTTACTTTTTCTTCAGGAGTGGAACTCAAATCCATGGAAATTTCTTTTTATTAAATAATAAGAACTGAAACACTTGAAAACAAGGTGTTTTATAATAAAAAAGTATTTAATTGACAAAAGATAATCTCTAAGGCAGTTACTGTTTACCTAAGCCTTTACAAAGAAAATTCCTTCTCCAGCATCTCCAATCTCTACTTGCGCCTCCAGTTCTCATCAAGCGTTTGCAGACTATTATCAAATAAAGCCATGTGAGTCGCAACTGCACACGAGTTGGTAGGATGACACCACCAGATGCCTTTCCACAACTGACTAGCAAAGCAGCATACTTCTGCTTAAGGGAAAACAGCTATACTAAATTCCTAAATTCCAATCCTTTTTCTTTCTTTTTTTACTGTTAAACTACATTTCCTAATCCTCGCCACATTTCAACTTGCCCAATGTACAGAACAGGAAAAACTTAAATGACCTATGAATAGAGACAGAGTAAGCAATCTGACACTCAAAATACTGGAAGTATTAAATGACCTATCAAAATCGTGAAATTCTAAAACCATACACCAATGTTCACTTTTAAATCTATATTTTGGTTATTATTACAACTATTACTTGAACTTCAGTGGCATGTAGTACAGGAAATGTCTTGAAAGCCTTCCTCTCTTCACTTTTCTCCTCCTCCTTCCTCTGCCTGCTCTTTATCATTTTCCATTTGTGTTAGTCGATTGAGGGAGGGGGCAGGGGTTCAAGCTATTGCAAAAATGGGTAAACAGATGAGGAATCTGTATTGGAAGGGTCAAGGCATTTTTTAAATTGTATTAATGGTAAAGTACAACTTAATTACTCAATAAACACATACTTTTTTTGGTATAGACAAAAGCTGACCAATAAACAGTTAAATTAGCTTCATCCATATAGTGTTAGCATCTTTATTCACTGTTATTAGCATGTGAATACAATGATGCTAATCATGAATACATTCATAAGAAAACTACATTTTAAGAGCTTCAACAATTCCAGGAAAGTATAGAATGTATTCAGTTGGAAAACATCTCTTTTCTTCTCTTTCAATACCTTTGGTAAGAAAACATCCTGATCCTATCTCCCGATTTATGTCTTGAAAGAGAATGCACTTCCTGCAGCCAAGTGGACACACCTAGAATCCATAATTTAGTCACCCAGAGAAATTTCAGTATACTTCCAGGGATCATAAACTCCATTCCAAAATTCCTGGGATTCTATGTTTTCTTGGTATGCCTATTTTAAATTGTAACCCAGTCTGTTTCTTTTGGAAAATTGTGTCTAACTGACAGGATTCACTGACATAGTTACGTGTAATCTCTGAAGGCAGCCACAGAAACGTAAAACCCGTTTCATGTGCATCAAAATGTGGTGTGAACTTCTTTTGAAATTGTGATTTAATGTCCTCCAAATCATTCTGTTGCTCTTAAAACAAAACAAAACAAATTTGGAGCGGAGGTTACTTCAGCAAAATGAAAAAAAGTTGAACTTAAGTTTCTATATGCCCAATGCAAGTCCAGTTTGAGCATAAATATTTGTATTTTATTTTTTAAATTAGTAAGATTCCTTTTCTCTTGCTGTTTCAATAACTATAATCAAATATTTAGATATCTAAGAAAGTAAAATTTTGTGAGCAACTACAGATCGCTCTGTTTCAAAGTCATTCAAATGCCCTGAAAATTGGTGACGGTTAATGGAATGATGACGACGAACATTAACAGTCTTGATTGCAAATCACATGTCAACCCTACATGTAAAGCCCACCTCTTCATGACAAGGCCATGGAAGCCAGGAAAAGCAACCTTCTCTTTTGACCTCTGAAACTGCTGAAACCTTTTTTTGACCTTGCACCTCAAGCATCCCCTTTGTGGCAAAACAAAAAAGCTGGTTTGTTTTCAGTTTAGATCAAACTCTGATTCTATACTGGGCAGTGGGTAGCTCCTACTAGCTCACGCATTTGCTTTTTAAGCTTTATGGAAAATGAACAAAATAAGAAAAACACAGTGAGGAACAGGGATGATTTCAACTCTTGCAAGGTAAGAGGGACCAAAAACACATGATAGGGAAATAAACTAAACATATAAAACAGAGACAAACATATGGCTTCTCTAACCTCTTAAAGAAAACTTAAAGTTCAGTGGCCCTTATTTGGGCTTTGGCTGTGCAGTGGTAGCAGGAAACAACAGATACACATGGATAGGGCTGGACCCAGCCACCAGCAATCTCCATGATTAAAGTCTCAAATTACCAGAGAACATGGACTCTCAGCTCTCGATATCAGATCTGGCTCTGGCCTAGTTGAGGGAAGCCAGGTAGAAGCAAGCATAAAACTGATAGAGAAGACAAGTGAATGTAGAGAAAGGAAAAACAAAAATCTCCCACCTAAGAAAATCATGCATAGTAAAAGTCCAAAGCACATAAGGAAAGCTGACATTGAGGAAGATAGCCACCATACAGTATCAGGAGGCTACTCCACCATCAACAAAATCCGAGTAACAAAACAGTTTCAAAATAAGTTTTAAATGAGTGTGTATTCAGTCTTCAAAGAGATAAACAAAGCAATATATTAAAAAGACAACGTATTTTAAAAAGGCCAATATAAATGAAAAATAGGTGGATATACCAAAAAAAAAAATCTGAGAGATAAAAATTATAGGCTGAGCACAGTGGCTCATGCCTGTAATCCCAGCATTTTGGGAGGTTGAGGCAGGGGGATTGCTTGAGCCCGAGTTCAAAATCAGCCAGGGCAACATAGTGAAACCCGTTTGCACAAAACAATTAAAAAATTAGTTGGTGAGGTGGCATGCGCCTATGGTCCCAGCTACTCAGGCAGCTGAGGCAAGAGGAATTGCTGAAACCTGGGAGGTCAAGGCTGCAGTGAGCTGTGTGATTGCACCACTGCATTCCAGCTTGGGTGACAGGGCAAGATCCTGTCTCAAAAAAAAAATTATTATTATTATAATTATTTAAATAAAAATTTAACTGAAGAAGGAAAATTATTCTACATACATTCTAAAAATATTATTAATCTATAAGGCAGTATCAAAAATTGATCCAGATACTAGCAAAGAGAACTATTAAAAGGCAAATAATAAAAGGGAAGTTAAGAGAGAAAGAAGAGGAATTAAGAGGATCCAACATATATCTCATAAAAGTTCCAAAAGACAGAAAGGAGGAAAAAGACAAAGAAGCAATATTTGCAGGAAAACGGCTGAAAATTTCCAAGAATTGAAGGCAGAAATAAGTATTCAGATTAAAAGTATACCTTAAGTGTCAAATGAGAAAAAACAAAAATAAAACTCCTTTGTAAACACATCATGGTGAAACTTAAGACATCAAAAGCAAAGAAAAATAATCTATAAAATTACCAAGTCGGGGGAGGAGCCAAGATGGCCGAATAGGAACAGCTCGGGTCTACAGCTCCCAGCGTGAGTGAAGCAGAAGACCGGTGATTTCTGCATTTCCATCTGAGGTACCGGGTTCATCTCACTAGGGAGTGCCAGACAGTGGGCGCAGGTCAGTGGGTGCAGCGCACCATGCGCGAGCCGAAGCAGTGCGAGGCATTGCCTCACTCAGGAAGCGCAAGGGGTCAGGGAGTTCCCTTTCCTAGTCAAAGAAAGAGGTGAAAGATAGCACCTGGAAAATCGGGTCACTCCCACCCGAGTACTGCGCTTTTCCGACGGGCTTAAAAAACGGCGCACCAGGAGATTACATCCCACACATGGCTGGGAGGGTCCTACGCCCATGGGGTCTCGCTGATTGCTAACGCAGCAGTCTGAGATCAAACTGCAAGGCGGCAGCGAGGCTGGGGGAGGGGTGCCCGCCATTGCCCAGGCTTGCTTAGGTAAACAAAGCAGCCTGAAGCTCGAACTGGGTGAAGCCCACCACAGCTCAAGGAGGCCTGCCTGCCTCTGTAGGCTCCACCTCTGGGGGCAGGGCACAGACAAACAAAAAGACAGCAGTAACCTCTGCAGACTTAAATGTCCCTGTCTGACAGCTTTGAAGAGAGCATTGGTTCTCCCAGCATGCAGCTGGAGATCTGAGAACGGGCAGACTGCCTCCTCAAGTGGGTCCCTGACCCCTGACCCCTGAGCAGCCTAACTGGGAGGCACCCCCCAGTAGGGGCAGACTGACACTTCACACGGCCGGGTACTCCTCTGAGACAAAACTTCCAGAGGAACGATCAGACAGCAGCACTCACGGTTCACGAAAAACTGCTGTTATACAAACACCGCTGCTGATACCCAGGCAAACAGGGTCTGGAGTGGACCTCTAGCAAACTCCAACAGACCTGCAGCTGAGGGTCCTGTCTGTTAGAAGGAAAACTAACAAACGGAAAGGACATCCACACCAAAAACCCATCTGTACATCACCATCATCAAAGACCAAAAGTAGATAAAACCACAAAGATGGGGAAAAAACAGAGCAGAAAAACTGGAAACTCTAAAAAGCAGAGCACCTCTCCTCCTCCAAAGGAACGCAGTTCCTCACCAGCAATGGAACAAAGCTGGACGGATAATGACTTTTACGAGTTGAGAGAAGAAGGCTTCAGACGATCAAACTACTCCGAGCTACAGGAGGAAATTCAAACCAAAGGCAAAGAAGTTAAAAACTTTGAAAAAAATTTAGACGAATGTATAACTAGAATAACCAATACAGAGAAGTGCTTAAAGGAGCGATGGAGCTGAAAGCCAAGGCTCGAGAACTACCTGAAGAATGCAGAAGCCTCAGGAGCCAATGCGATCAACTGGAAGAAAGGGTATCAGCAATGGAAGATGAAATGAATGAAATGAAGCGAGAAGGGAAGTTTAGAGAAAAAAGAATAAAAAGAAATGAACAAAGCCTCCAAGAAATATGGGACTATGTGAAAAGACCAAATCTACGTCTGATTGGTGTACCTGAAAGTGACGGGGAGAATGGAACCAAGTTGGAAAACACTCTGCAGGATATTATCCAGGAGAACTTCCCCAATCTAGCAAAGCAGGACAACATTCAGATTCAGGAAATACAGAGAACGCCACAAAGATACTCCTCAAGAAGAGCAACTCCAAGACACATAATTATCAGATTCACCAAAGTTGAAATGAAGGAAAAAATGTTAAGGGCAGCCAGAGAGAAAGGTTGGGTTACCCACAAAGGGAAGCCCATCAGACTAACAGCAGATCTCTCAGCAGAAACTCTACAAGCCAGAAGACAGTGGGGGCCAATATTCAACATTCTTAAAGAAAAGAATTTTCAACCCAGAATTTCATATCCAGCCAAACTAAGCTTCATAAGTGAAGGAGAAATAAAATACTTTACAGACAAGCAAATGCTGAGAGATTTTGTCACCACCAGGCCTGCCCTAAAAGAGGTCCTGAAGGAAGCACTAAACATGGAAAGGAACAACTGGTACCAGCCGCTGCAAAATCATGTCAAAATGTAAAGACCATCGAGACTAGGAAGAAACTGCATCAACTAACGAGCAAAATAACTAGCTAACATCATAATGACAGGATCAAATTCACACATAACAATATTAACTTTAAATGTAAATGGACTAAATGCTCCAATTAAAAGACACAGACTGGCAAATTGGATAAAGAGTCAAGACTCATCAGTGTGCTGTATTCAGGCAACCTATCTCACGTGCAGAGACACACATAGGCTCAAAATAAAAGGATGGAGGAAGATCTACCAAGCAAATGGAAAACGAAAAAAGGCAGGGGTTGCAATCCTAGTCTCTGATAAAACAGACTTTAAACCAACAAAGATCAAAACAGACAAAGAAGGCCATTACATAATGGTAAAGGGATCAATTCAACAAGAAGAGCTAACTATCCTAAATATATATGCACCCAATACAGGAGCACCCAGATTCATAAAGCAAGTCCTGAGTGACCTACAAAGAGACTTAGACTCCCACACATTAATAATGGGAGATGTTAACACCCCACTGTCAACATTAGACAGATCAATGACACAGAAAGTTAACAAGGATACCCAGGAATTGAACTCAGCTCTGCACCAAGCAGACCTAATAGACATCTACAGAACTCTCCACCCCAAATCAACAGAATATACATTGTTTTCAGCACCACACCACACCTATTCCAAAATTGACCACATAGTTGGAAGTAAAGCTCTCCTCAGCAAATGTAAAAGAGCAGAAATTATAACAAACTATCTCTCAGACTACAGTGCAATCGAACTAGAACTCAGGATTAAGAAACTCACTCAAAACCACTCAACTACATGGAAACTGAAAAACCTGCTCCTGAATGACTACTGGGTACATAACGAAATGAAGGCAGAAATAAAGATGTTCTTTGAAACCAACGAGAACAAAGACACAACATACCAGAATCTCTGGGACACATTCAAAGCAGTGTGTAGAGGGAAATTTATAGCACTAAATGCCCACAAGAGAAAGCAGGAAAGATCCAAAATTGACACCCTAACATCACAATTAAAAGAACTAGAAAAGCAAGAGCAAACACATTCAAAAGCTAGCAGAAGGCAAGAAATAACTAAAATCAGAGCAGAACTGAAGGAAATAGACACAAAAAACCCTTCAAAAAAATCAATGAATCCAGGAGCTGGTTTTTTGAAAGGATCAACAAAATTGATAGACTGCTAGCAAGACTAATAAAGAAAAAAAGAGAGAAGAATCAAATAGACGCAATAAAAAATGATAAAGGGGATATCACCACCGATCCCACAGAAATACAAACTACCATCAGAGATTACTACAAACACCTCTATGCAAATAAACTAGAAAATCTAGAAGAAATGGATAAATTCCTTGACACATACACTCTCCCAAGACTAAACCAGGAAGAAGCTCTGAATAGACCAATAACAGGAGCTGAAATTGTGGCAATAATCAATAGCTTACCAACCAAAAAGAGTCCAGGACCAGATGGATTCACAGCCGAATTCTACCAGAGATACAAGGAGGAACTGGTATCATTCCTTCTGAAACTATTCCAATCAATAGAAAAAGAGGGAATCCTCCCTAACTCATTTTATGAGGCCAGCATCATCCTGATACCAAAGCTGGGCAGAGACACAACCAAAAAAGAGAATTTTAGACCAATATCCTTGATGAACATTGATGCAAAAATCCTCAATAAAATACTGGCAAACCAAATCCAGCAGCACATCAAAAAGCTTATCCACCATGATTAAGTGGGCTTCATCCCTGGGATGCAAGGCTGGTTCAATATACGCAAATCACTAAATGTAATCCAGCATATAAACAGAACCAAAGACAAAAACCACATGACTATCTCAATAGATGCAGAAAAGGCCTTTGACAAAATTCAACAACCCTTCATGCTAAAAACTCTCAATAAATTAGGTATTGATGGGACGTATCTCAAAATAATAAGAGCTATCTATGACAAACCCACAGCCAATGTCATACTGAATGGGCAAAAACTGGAAGCATTCCCTTTGAAAACTGGCACAAGACAGGGATGCCCTCTCTCACCACTCCTATTCAACATAGTGTTGGAAGTTCTGGCCAGGGCAATTAGGCAGGAGAAGAAAATAAAGGGTATTCAATTAGGAAAAGAGGAAGTCAAATTGTCCCTGTTTGCAGATGACATGATTGTATATCTAGAAAACCCCATTGTCTCAGCCCAAAATCTCCTTAAGCTGATAAGCAACTTCAGCAAAGTCTCAGGATACAAAATCAATGTACAAAAATCACAAGCATTCTTATACAACAATAACAGACAAACAGAGAGCCAAATCATGAGTGAACTCCCATTCACAATTGCTTCAAAGAGAATAAAATACCTAGGAATCCACCTTACAAGGGATGTGAAGGACCTCTTCAAGGAGAACTACAAACCACTGCTCAATGAAATAAAAGAGGACACAAACAAATGGAAGAACATTCCATGCTCATGGGTAGGAAGAATCAATATCGTGAAAATGGCCATACTGCCCAAGGTAATTTATAGATTCAATGCCATCCCCATCAAGCTACCAATGACTTTCTTCACAGAATTGGAAAAAACTACTTTAAAGTTCATATGGAACCAAAAAAGAGCCTGCATCGCCAAGTCAATCCTAAGCCAAAAGAACAAAGCTGGAGGCATCACGCTACCTGACTTCAAACTATACTACAAGGCTATAGTAACCAAAACAGCATGGTACTGGTACCAAAACAGAGATATAGACCAATGGAACAGAACAGAGCCCTCAGAAATAACACCGCATATCTACAACTATCTGATCTTTGACAAACCTGAGAGAAACAAGCAATGGGAAAAGGATTCCCTATTTAATAAATGGTGCTGGGAAAACTGGCTAGCCATATGTAGAAAGCTGAAACTGGATCCCTTCCTTACACCTTATATAAAAATCAATTCAAAATGGATTAAAGACATAAACGTTAGACCTAAAATCATAAAAACCCTAGAAGAAAACCTAGGCATTACCATTCAGGACATAGGCATGGGCAAGGACTTCATGTCTAAAACACCAAAAGCAATGGCAACAAAAGCCAAAACTGACAAATGGGATCTAATTCAACTAAAGAGCTTCTGCACAACAAAAGAAACTACCATCAGAGTGAACAGGCAACCCACAAAATGGGAGAAAATTTTCGCAACCTACTCATCTGACAAAGGGCTAATATCCAGAATCTACAATGAACTCCAACAAATTTACAAGAAAAAAACAAACAACCCCATCAAAAAGTGGGCAAAGGACATGAATAGACACTTCTCAAAAGAAGACATTTATGCAGCCAAAAAACACATGAAAAAATGCTCACCATCACTGGCCATCAGAGAAATGCAAATCAAAACCACAATGAGATATCATCTCACACCAGTTAGAATGGCAATCATTAAAAAGTCAAGAAACAACAGGTGCTGGAGAGGATGTGGAGAAATAGGAACACTTTTACACTGTTGGTGGGACTGTAAACTAGTTCAACCATTGTGGAAGTCAGTGTGGCAATTCCTCAGGGATCTAGAACTACAAATACCATTTGACCCAGCCATCCCATTACTGGGTATATACCCAAAGGACTATAAATCATGCTGTTATAAAGACACATGCACATGCATGTTTATTGCGGCACTATTCACAATAGCAAAGACTTGGAACCAACCCAAATGTCCAACAATGATAGACTGGATTAAGAAAATGTGGCACATATACACCATGGAATACTATGTAGCCATAAAAAATGATGAGTTCATGTCCTTTGTAGGGACATGGATGAAATTGGAAATCATCATTCTCAGTAAACTATCGCAAGAACAAAAAACCAAACACCACATGTTCTACTCATAGGTGGGAATTGAACAATAAGAACATATGTTCACAGGAAGGGGAACATCACACTCTGGGGACTGTTGTGGGGTGGGGGAAGGGGGGAGGGATAGCATTGGGAGATATACCTAATGCTAGATGACGAGTTAGTGGGTACAGCGCACCAGCATGGCACATGTATACATATGTAACTAACCTGCACATTGTGCACATGTACCCTAAAACTTAAAGTATAATAATAAAAAAAAAATTACCAAGTCAAGAAAAATTACCAGTGAAGAATAACAAGTCTATTGACAGCAGATTTCTTAACAGCAACAAGAGATGCTAGAAAATAATTAAATTTTAGCTTTAAAATACAGATAGAAAGTAATTATCAATCTAACATCTCTATAAAGTATCACTTAAGAGTAATGGCAAGAGTGCAGTGGCTCACGCCTGTAATCCCAGCACTTTGGGAGGCAGAGGCGGGCAGATCACCTGAGGTCAGGAGTTCAACACCAGCCTGGCCAACATGGTGAAACCCCATCTCTACCAAAAATACAAAAATTAGCTAGGTGTGGTGGCACACACCTGTAATCCCAGCTACTCAGGAGGCTGAGGCAGGAGAATCGCTTGAACCCAGGAGGTGGAGATTGCAGTGAGCCAAGATCGTGCCACTGCACTCCAGCCTGGGCGACAGAGCAAGACTCTATCTCAAAAAAATAAAAAAGAAATATGTTGAGAGTAAATTCTGGCTGGGCATGGTGGCTCATACCTGTAATCCCAGCACTTTGGGAGGCTAAGGCAGGCAGATTACCTGAGGTCGGGAGTTCGAGACCATCCTGGCTAACATGGTGAAACCCTGTATCTACTAAAAATACAAAAATTAGCCAGATGTGGTGGCAGGTGCCTATAATCCCAACTACTCGGGAGGCTGAGGCAAAAGAATCACTTGAGCCTGCGAGGCGGAGGTTGCAGTGAGCCAAGATCACGCCACTGCATTCCAGCCTGGGTGACAGAGTGAGACTCTGTCTCTAAAAAAAAAAAAAAAAGAGTAAAGGCAAAATAAAGATATTTTCATATACATAAAACCTAAAAAGATTATAACCCATAGGCCTCTCCACTGAATGGACTAAAGAATAAATTTCAGCAAGATGAAAAGAGAAAGAACAAGTGAGATACAAGTAATAAAGGCAGGAGGAAGACGTAAAGAAAGGGGCAGAAGAAGAGGTAAAATTGTTTAAAAAATATAATTAATCACTAAAAAAACTTTAGAAACTAAATTTATCTCCTCAAAAACTAGTGAAATAAGATTAAAAAAATAAAATAAATGTTTTAAGTAAAAAAAAGATGTTTCTTTGTCTTAAAAAAAGGAACAAAATTTATCAGTAAAAACAAAAGGTGGTGCATCATGATTTATATTGACACATTTATTCTTTTGTATTTATCAAATTAAAATTTTACAAATGAAGAGAATAAACACAGAACTAAGGTTCTAAACAACTACTACAAGAAAGAAGGGAGGGAGAATGTCAGAGCAAAACCAAAGCATGCCGCGGCACTTTTCTTTCATGGGAGGGGGAAAATAATAGTAACTTCAAGTTTATCAGGAAGAATATATGGTCAAAATGTACGATAAGAATTCAAGGGTAATTGCTAATGAATGAAAATATGACCTAAAGCTTCTAAATCAGTAGAGAAAACAGTAAATTGGGTGGGAGGGGAATATAAACTTTATTAATCTAGCAGAAAGCAAGAAAGAAGTAAAAGGAAATGAAAACAAGCTACACTAAAGAAAGAAAACAAAAATAAAAATGCATTCAAATAAATTTGTCAAATACAAAGTCATTAAACTTGCAAATGAAAATAGACTATCAGCCAGGCACGGTGGCTCACGTCTGTAATCTCAGCACTTTGGGAGGCCAACAAAGGTAGATTGCTTAAGCTCAGGAGTTTCAGATTAGCCTGGGCAACACGGCGAAACCCTGTCTCTAGAAAAATCCAAAAAATTAGCTGGGTGTGGTGGCACGTGCCTGTGTTCCCAGCTACTCGGGAGTCTGAGGTGGGAGGATCACCTGAGCACAGGAGGTTGAAGCTGCAGTGAGCCATGATCATACCACTGCACTCCAGCCTGGGCAACAGAGCAAGACCCTCTCTCAAAAAAAAATAAATAAAATAGACTATCAGATTGGATTGTTACAATCAACCTTAAAAATAAATAAAATAGACTATCAGATTAGATTGTTTCAAATCAACCTTCTGCTGCTCATAAGAGACACAACTAAAACAAAATGACCAGGAAATCTGAATTAAAAAGATATGGAAAAAGAGACATCAGGCATTTCAAATATTAAACAAAAGATTGCTGGTGTCAGGATAGTCATACCTGGCAAATAAAATTTAAGAGAAAATGATGTTGCTCAGAGAAGCAACATCAGAATGACATCTGATCTGGTGATCACATGGTGGATGACCCCTATTCTAGATCCTGGGCTCCTATCATGGGGAATGAGAACCATCCCTCGAGAGGGTAAGTTTCACAGAGACATGGGATAGTCTGTGGCCTTCACCACCACATTAGCACTACATATAGCCATGCTGCATGGCCAAGTGCCTGGCACATACCAGGAGTTCAGTAATACTGAATTAATCACATCTCTGAACTCTCACTGTTTGAGAGTAACCCCAGTATTTTGTGTACCCTCAGAGGTAAACATAGTGCAGAAATGCTGGTCAGGGACTGCCTGTGTCACTTCCTCAAGTTCTGGATGGCAGTTAACACCCCTCCATCTTCCCTCCTCCATCCCTGACAATATGTTCCCAGTCCTCTCTATTTTGTGGGTGCAATTATGTAGAATAAGATTAGAAAATTCCATTGAAAAATATCTAATGTTGAGGGTCTTGAAGCATAACACAGGAACTGTACTTCCAGGGTTCATGTTCATTCCTGGGATAAGTAAAAAGGGAAGACAGAGAGAGAGAGAGAGAAAAAAAAAATTCCAACAACACAGGCTTTTTGAGACAGATAATAATCACTTCATTTTCCATAGGGGGAAAAAAGTCAGAGTTGTCAGTTATTTTCAGAAATAATTTTATATTCAATTCCAAAACTGAGAAAATAATATAAATGCATTCAACTCTGCCAATAAGCTCTACCTTACTGACAGGCAGCTTTGAATGAATTTTGATGGGAGGTGGCTTTTCTGAAATTACTAAATTAAGATCAATAATTGTACCTTCATATTTCTTAGGCAAAGCCTTCTCTTTGCTATTAATACAACGTTTTTCACTCCAAAACAGCAGGGAAAGAAGCAAAGGAAATAAAAATGCATGCTCTCTAGTCAGTCCTAGTCCACCACCTTCCTTAGAATCATCTTGAGAGGTTAAGATAATCTCCAGCTGTGACTGAAGAAGAGTGACTCGCACAGGATTCCAGCCAGCAATGGTGGAGAGACCATAATCTGAATTTTTATCTGTCCTTTTCTTCAAGGAATATCTTAATGCTTAGCAAGGGAGACTTTTTAAGTGAAGCCAAGTAAATTGCTGTGCATATCTAAGAGTGTTAGAAACAAAGAAATAGATTCACAAAAGGAAAAGTTAGATCAATAACAGGCAAATAAAAATTCCTATCTGCACATCAGAATCCATTTCCTGCCATAATTTAGCTCTGATATTTACTTGTCTATAGCCCATAAAAGTGGGCCAGTTGTTTCTGCTTCCGGCCTTTATTCATTTCCCCTAACAGGGTTGGAGGTGCGACTGAATATACAATAGTTGTTTTGAAATGTAAGTTTGCCAGGGAAAAAAATAGAGGTAAGAATAGAGAGGAAGCTGAGAAACAGCTATTCCATTTGTTTGCATATTTAGGATTTTTTTCTAATTGACAGGGATGGAGGGAAGCAAACTTGGATTTTTTGTTCTTTTGTATTGTAAGATGTATATCTAAAAGGTTTTAAAACATATAGCTAAGGACTACTGAAAAGTGAATCCCATGAAGCCATCACCAAGAGCAGGAAATGGGACCCTGCAGGAGCCTTTCAAACCTTCAGGGAGCATAATTCCTCCCTCCCCTCTAAGAAGAAACACCATCCTGTTTTTTGTCACAATGACTTCCTTGCATTTCTTTATGGTTCTTCTAATTGCTTAAACACCCCCAAAGAAATGGAGTTTGTTTTTGCTTGTTTTTGAATGTCACACATAGTACTACAGTGAATGTCTTTGTTGTGTCTAGTTTTCTTTTTTATTTTTATTTTTTTGTATTTCAAAATAAAAACTGTATTTTTGCTTTTCTTTTTTCTTTTTCAATTTTTGTTTTTGTACAAGATTCAATAGTTATCACATATTAACTTATACACAACGGGATCAACCTCCTCCTCCATGTCGCTTCAAGTCCAAATGTTCAGGCTATAGTCCCCAACATTATTTTCTGAGAAATATATTACCACAGTTTGATTTAAATATAGATACAGTATATAATACTTGTCTCTGGGAAAAATCAAATTTTAATATGCAAATGTTTATATAATACAGAAATGGAAAAAACTACAGTAGGCACACAACCTAATTATGACTTGTGGATGATGATTTCTACATACTCTCCTACTGTAAATGAATAGTTAAAAGTCTTAAGAAGATTTTATTTATATGTGCACTTGTGTCCACCTTATCCCATATACTATACATGTCTATTGACAATCTGGGAATTTAAAGGTGCAGCCCTCAAGAGATTGTTAAATCACCAAAAAAAAAGGAAACAGGCTCTATTGGACAAGAAAAACACTCACAAAATTTCCAATTTTAAATTTCATATCAGTAGGAAAGTATTAAAAATAATTTTCTGTATATACATATGGGTATATGTATATATTGAATTACACATATGTCCCACATTATCAATACAATTCAAATGGAGACATTTTGGTGAGTTTTTTCATTAAATGATCACTATGTCAAAATTTAAAAATATTTTATTACATCATTAAAATAATTCACTTGCCATTTCAACAGCTTACACTGTTTTTTAAATTTTTTTAACTCTTCATAACTAAACTCCCTGATCCCTAGTGTTAAATCCCCTATTTAAATTAAAACTTGGTGCTCTTTGTTACTCAGAAACTGATAGATAAAATCACATTTACTTCAAAATTCTATCAATCAAATACATTTTGTTACCTGATTTATCAGAGAATGTTGTGTCTAGTTTTCACCCAATCCATTTGTTAAATTTAGCCACGCCATTGCACATAGATGTAGTTCATTTATTTTCATCGCAAAACTGTATTCTGTTGTATGAAAATAACATAATTTTCATCCTCTATTCAACTGGTGATGGACATTTGGATGGTTTTCCATTTGGGGTTATTTCAAACAAAGCTGAACATTCTTGAACATGTGTCCTGGTACACATGTGGAGGAGAGTCTTTTGGACAGATGTTCAAGAATGTTCAGCCTGGGAGTGGAATTGGTGAGTCACGGGGTGTTTGCTTCTTTAATTTTGCTAGTTACTGCCAAACTATTTTCCAAGGTGCATACATCAATTATCATCTCACCAGCTGTGTATGAGAGCTCCAATGTCTGAATGCCTGGGAAATTGGCAAACAGCTTTTTCTTGTTTAAATTAAAAGGCATGTAGTAGATCATGAAGAGAGGAAATACAGAGGATGCTTGTGCTTAGGCATACTGCAAAGCATATGGACTTTAAACCATACATGACTGAATCCTCCCTTAGTATTAACTATGCAGCTTTACCTTGTTTGCTTACCCTCGTCAGTTTTCCTTTATGTAAAACAGGAATACCTATTTCAAGGCTATTTGAAGGATTACATAAAATATATTTACAGTGCCCAACCTAGTAAGTGACACAAAGCAGGCATGCAATAATCGTTAGCTGTCAATATCATTCTCTTTCTTACTTATTTCCAAAACCAGAGCTGAAGAATCAAGGTTCCAGTTTCTCTGAACAAGGTATGAGGGCAGAGAACTACACCCTGCAGATTTTTTTTTTCTGGTTTTACATATCTGTTTATTTTGTGGTACCAGAGCTGAGAAATGCATCTTGAATAAATAAGATCAGAGAAACACAAACCTTCCTTTAGGTCCTTTAGAACTCTAAATCCAAATATCAAATCATGCGCAGCAAAAGGTATTGCAAATCTCTCACAAAGGATTTAAAAAAGAATGACCAGAAAGTAACTTAAAACAACTATTTTCAAGCAAAGCTAAAATGGGACAAGTAAATATTCCAACAGATTTAAATCTGACAAATTTCACTCACTCACTATGATCAAGAGGAATAAGTTCCCATCTCATTCAGAAGCAAGTGTGCTATCGAGAATGTTCTGAATATTCCCTTAGAGTCATTCATTCATATCAGGCTTACTATAACAATTGACAACTGACTCGTGATTATTTAAGACCAATTTAAAGAGTTACCTCCTTTCATTCTGAGTTATTGTGCCGTTTTCTAGCTTTTTAACTGTGGTCGCTAGTACTTTATTGGCATCATTGGCAAAGTCTAAGTCTCGAACTTCAGACAGTGGAACAGACACGATTGCGAACGCTTCTTTATCTTCTTTGGTTTGGCAGGTTCCAATCTGAAATGTTTTTCCATTAAGCTTAGTTTTATAAACAACTATACAATATTCTTTGAAGACTAACACATCTAGTACTGTTTAAGAAATATAAGACAAGAATAGATCATCCGAACACAGTAACTCCCACATGCATCATCCACTATGAAAGGCTGCAGGGACACAGAGATTTCCTGTGCCCACTTCCTGCCCTGTTCCCAAAGCCCCACTGGAAACTTCTCCCTTTCACACTTGCCCTCTGCTTCAGTTTCGACAGAGTAGAGAAAAGGCACTCCTGGATTCTACTCCTCCATCCATATGCTGCTACCATTCTTTCTGGTGTCTCTGTAGCATCCTTCTGAATCACAGCTTTGCTGCCTCCAACCCATTTAGATCAGCTACCTAAGCAACTGGCAGACATGCATGCTTGATGAAATTAATTGCAATGATCTGTAATATTGGTGAAGATGGAGTATAAGGAACATGTGTCACACAGCATTCCTATCCTAATCCTATTCTCATGGCATTTGGCTGAAAATTAAACCATCTTCAGTGACATTTACCTTTAACATAACAGGCCTCTCTTCATCTGTGTCTATGGGGATACTAGTACTGGTTACCCATGTGTTGGTGCATAAATGCCTTAACCGAACATATGAGTTCCTAAAAGCAAAACAATATAAAAAAACAAATTATAAAAAATTAGCACACTTACATATTAACATCTTTAACAGTTTCATATATTATATGAACATAAATACATATTAACTAGTAATTGACTCAAGATCCCTCTGCTTTAAGGGGAAATTCGGAATTATAGACTATTTCAAAGCATGCAGCATTTTTACCTAGGTAGTAGTTCTCAAAGTGTGGTCCCTAGACCAGTGGCATCAGCATTGCCTGGGAGCTTGTTAGAAATACAAATTCTGAAACTTCATCCCCATCGACTGAATCAGAAACTTTGGGGGTGTGGCCCAACAATGAGTGGTTTAATAGGTTCTCCAGGCAGTTCTGATGCATGCTAAACTAAGAACATTGATCAAATAGCCAACTCAGCTAACACTGCTGGCAGACAGTAGTGTAGTTTGTGTAGTTTAATTGTCTGCATGTGAAAGTATTAATGTACAATCAATCCTCATTATTTGTGGCTTCTGTACTTGTGAATTCTCCTGTTCGGTAAAATTTATTTGTAGCCCCCAAATCAATATTCAAGGAGCTTTTGTGGTCATTCCAGAACATACATAGAGTGGCAAAAATTTAAGTGGCCCAGTAGGCACATTTCCAAGCTGAAGTGGAACAAGGTGATGCTCTGCCTTCTTGTCTCAGCTCTCATGCTATAAACAAGTGTCCTTTTTGTGGCCCATTTAGTGCCATGTTTTTCATATTTCACAATAAGATGGCCCCCACATGAGGTGTAGAAGTGCCATCTAGTGTTCCTAAAGCACAAGAAGGTTGTGATGTGCCTTACAAAGAAAATACTTGTGCTAGATGAGCTTCGTTCATGCATGAATTATAGTGCTGTTGACCACAAGTTCAATGTTAATGAATCAGCAACGTACATTAAATAAGGTGTATTTAAACAGAAGCACACATAGAACAAGGCTATGTATTCGTCAACAAAAATGTTGCGACCAGAAGCTCACAGGAACCTAACTCTATATTTCCCCTAGGAACAATGGTTCAGTATTTGCTAATTCCATGTACCATGAATTTTAAAGATTGACTAGATATGAACTGTGAGAGAATGCCTAAGAAAGGACACCTAGAACTTCATCCTACTCAAGTATTACCGTTTTTAGTAAATCTTTTATAATCTTTTGTTATTTCTTTAACAAATATGTGTATAGTGTCTATTAAAAGAAAAGCACAGTAAGTACTCTGCCTTCAAGTTGCTTACAGATCAGTGTAAAGATAAGGCATAAATACGTCTTAAAACATAAGGTAAAAAGCATTAGGGCCAAGAAAAGAAAACCAAATAAAATGCCAAGGGACTCAGGCAAAGAGATTCATTCAACAACCTGGTTCTGCTCCTTTATAAAAGTAGATAAAATACAAACTGAGCTTCAAATATCTAAAATAGCAGTTCTCCAATCTTTGTTCAAATAACTAGAAATTCTGAAATGCCTCTGTTTTATCACTTGGCATCTTCTGCATTGAATTACACAGGAGATGTAATTTGTACTCAGTTGTCATCAGGTCCCCTGGTGATTTAGTATAGAATAAAGTTTAAGCAGCATTGGACCATAAAGTCTGAGAAACACTGGACTCCACAGTGGAATCACTTGGGTAATAAATGCTTCAAAAAGAGTAAAGCCTGCACCCCACCTGTAAGACTCTGATTTCATTGGTCTCAGTGTGGCCAGGGCATGGTGAGGTGTCAACAATACCCAGGTGGTTCTAATTTACAGTCAGCTTGAGAACCACTGTTCCAACTCAGTCTCTAGTTCCTGATCTGTAAGAGTTACTGCCAGTATGCAATAAGACAATATTTATTAAGAACTTGACACAGGACTTAATACATAAAAAGTGCTTCAAGAGTTATATTATAATAGTAGTTATTAAGCATTAATTAATGTTGGCTTGAATACAATTAATGACAGATGAATCGATGTTAATACAAAATTCTGCACTACACTGAATAGGGCTTCCACAGTTCTGAAAAGTAATAGATTAATTATTCTATATAAAGTGAGGCTCAGTGGCCCTCATCGTGGTTCTATACACTTTCTAGTAAGACCCTTTTATCATTTCCTTAAGCAAATTCTCTTGGTTAGAGTTCAAGAAGGACTCCCTTTTTGCTGACTTAAATCTAAAATAAGTAAAGTCATAGTAAGGATTGATTAAGGTCCCAGTCCTGGGAGGAGAAAGCCAGAGACCTGGGTCAGGTAAAACCAGAGAGGATCTCTTTACAGGCTTATATTGATGGAAAAAAAAAAGAGTGAGAGATGGACTCATATAAGGTATGAAATTCAGCAACATTTCTCATGAATGAGAATAGCCATAAAACACCCTGGGAAGCTCTACCAGCAATGTTTCTCAATAGTGTTATTATAGTAACTTTTTACCCTCCCTGGAGGAAACCCACACAATGCCTGCCTTTCTGCATAGGTGCCTTCAGCTTCACCACTGCCATCTGCCAAGGCCAAGCACAATACTGCTCCATCAAGGCCAATTTAGAGCCATCCCACTAACCCTAATAATATGGGCAAGACTCCTCGATGCATCTAGAGAGTGCATCATAGCCTTATGGTTGAAAGATGGACAGTTGTAGACAAAAAAGCTTAACTAAACTAGTCAAATTCAGCCTGGGCGTGGTGGCTCATGCCTGTAATCTCGGCATTTTGAGAAGCTGAGGTGGGTGGATCCCTCGAGCCCAGGAGTTCAAGACCAGCCTGCGCAATATGGCAAAATACCATCTCTACAAAAATATACAAAAATTAGCAGAGCATGGTGGTGCATGCCTATAGTCCCAGCTACTCAGGAGACTGAGGTGGGAGGATCACCTGAGTACCAGAGGTAGAGGATGCAGTGAGCCATGATTGTGCCTCTGCACTACACCCTGGACAACAGAGTGAGATCCTGTCTCAAAAAAGATAAATAAATGAAAAGTAAAATAAAATGGTCAAATTCAAGCAAAAGAATGTAAGATATTGTCTTACCTTAAGTTCTGGCAATCTCATTTCCAATCCCACAACCCCTCCCTCATTTATGTCTAATTACTCTGCCTTCTCACTGGTCCTTAAAAACACCCAGTAAATTTCAACATTTTTCATTTCGTGTTCCTGCTGCTTGAAATGTTCCTCCTAGGAAGAGAGGACTTGATTCCTTAATTCATTCAGATCGTTATTCAAATGTACTAACTCAGAGAGGCCACAGTTGAACACTCCTACCTAATAGAACTCTCCATACCCTCCATTTTTTCTTCAAAGCACTTTTATTACCTGACCTTATATTAATATTTTATGTCTATTGTTTTGTTTACTGCCTGTCTCCCCCATTTGAATGTGAGAATATAACCAGTTTGTTCACTGTTGTCTTCCCAATGCCAAGGGCAATGCCTGGAATGTAATGGATGTTCAATAGATATTTCTTGACTGATTGACTACATAAATGAACAAATGGATGAATGAAATGGGAAATCTGACATAATAAAAATAAATGATAAATATATAAATAGAAATACTTTTATATTATTTTTCATTTTAGTAACCAAAGGCCATACAAGTAATAAGAATAAATGATTCTTATAAATTTTTCAGAGTTTCTTTGGTCCTGCACATTTTAATTATTAATAAGAATAAAACAAACTATGTTAACCTCCTCACAGAAGAGATACAATGTTTTACACATTTTTCTTCATTTATGTTTGCTCCCTTGATATCATAAAAATATATTAATATTATTATTTTCATTCCTCACCTACTGGTATAATTATTCAAAGAAACATCTTTTAACCATAATTTTTTTTACCTTGGAACCAGGCAGTCAGCTCTCTGAAGAGTTGTGGCATCTAGTTCAAAAAGGGATGCAATGTCATTGCCATGCGGGACTGAAACCAAAGTATACATGATCTTCTCCCCTGCCTGGCGTTTTTTCTTTGAAGTTGGAGGGACTCCATCTCTCTGTTGAGGAAGTACAAGTTTATTTACTTTTATCACGTTTCTTGCTAAACTCTCCAATTAATCAGGTGATAAGGTTTAAATGTGCATGTTATTTCTTCCTTGGATTGAAGAGGTGTCTATTTCACATCATCCAGAAACACTAGCTCTAGCCCGACAGCCATTGAGGTAATTACTGTCAACAATGATGAGTCCCACACTCCTAGGGCGGGGTGGCTTGATCTGCCCACATCATTAAGGCACTAACGGTACCAATAGTTATGGACCCTTCCCTCGTTCTCTTAAACCTATTTACAAAGTAGTAATTTTGACCATTCCACAGTTAAAACAAACACAGAGAAGAGCCCGTGTGTTGAATCATCTAGATTTCTGAAGTTAAAGTAAGCATGGCAGTGTGCAGGAGTTCATACCTAACTCCCCAGGCATAATAATACTTGGAGAGGAGCAGAATCAACAGCAACATTCCCTTTCACCACCTGCTTGCTCCCCTAGATTCAAGAACATACTATAATTGCATAAGAAATAAAATAAAAGGAGATCTCCACACACAGAAGCCTTCATAGTGATGTGGAACTTGGTCAATGCTTCCAGCACACCCTACCATTTTAAGCAGAAACCAACAAGAGATTAATGAGTATGTGTTTTTACTAGAACTTCCCCAAGTCCCAGTACCCCATGGAAGAACTGGTTGCACGAGAAACCAAAACAAGGGATGCAATATAAGCTTGGTAGTTAGTAGATAAAAATAGTGACTTACACATATTTATTAAAACAGGTGAAATCTGAAAATGAGAGTGGAAGAAAGACAGACAGAAACACTGTCACTGCACTATCACAGGAAGGTGAATGAAACTGAGGGAAGGAAGGGATGCTCAAAAGGCAAATGCAAGCAGCCTATATCCATGGACAAGCGTTTCTTCAATGGCTGCTGCGACAACAAGATATTACCCCTGATCATCCCAGAACATTCACTTGGAGTCCCTACCCCCTCCCAGAGATTGTTAATATCATTTTACTTGGATCAAAAAGCCTTGCTTTTTGGCCTCTTCTGTAAATGGTGCACAAATGGTAGCACCGTTGAAATGGGAATGGGCAGAGGGAACTGCCAGCGTTCCTAAACAGGAGCAGGATTGTTATCTGCTAAAGCCCTCACAGCCTCACAGCACCAGGTAGCTCCCGTCATCTTTGACTTCTGTGTCTTCCACAGAGACCAAAATTCAGAGTTAAATGAAAGCAGGGGTTCAGCAAACTCTCCACAAAGGGTGACCCTCATAACAGTAGTTTCTTATTTGTAAATATAAACTCTGTTTATTGACTAGAAAAGGGCATACTTAGCATACTATACATCATAAGGGAGTATGGGCATGTAGGAAGGAAGAAAATGCAGAAACAGTTAGCAAATAATACTTCTGAATTTTTTTTTTAAGACAAGGTCTCACTCTGTTGCCCAGGCTGGAGTGCAGTGGCACAATCAAGGCTCACTATAGTCTCGCTCTCCAGGGCTCAAGAGATCCTCCCACCTCGGCCTCCTGGGTAGCTGCGACTACAGACGTGTGCCACCACACACCACATCAACAATTTTTATAATTGTTGTACTAACTGGACCTCAGTATGTTGCTGAGGCTGGTCTCGAACTCTTGAGCTCAAGCGATCCTCCCTGCTTGGCCTCCCAAAGGCTGGGATTACAGGCGTGGGCCACTGCACCTGGCTGATATTTCTGAATTTATACAAAGCTTCTCACAATACCAAAGCCATTCCTTTGGTTGTTCTCATTAATCCCACAACAAAAAATTTAAGAGAGAGAAAGGTAAGCATTATAATTTCCATTGAGCAAAGAGATGAGTGCAGTTACCTAAAAAAGATGAAAGATGAGGGAAGGGGAAAAAGAAAGGGGAGGAAGAAGGAGAAGCAGAGGAAGAAGAAGGAGAAGGGAAAAGAGGGAAAGAAGGAAGGAGAGGAGGTGGGGAGAAAGAATAGAGAACAAGAGGGGAGCAGTAGATGGTGGTAATGAATGCTCAGCCCCAAATTCAACTGACCAGGGCCTGAATCCAAGCCAACCCAAGCCAGAGGCCAGGCCTGAGGCCCTTAAATACTGTATGAGTCACTCCTCTAAGAGTAAATAAAAACTCATGGCTAAGACCCTCCCCCAAGTCTTCTGAAAAAGTTATCTTGGGTCTTGGGACCCACTTTCACGGTGATTTGCATGAAGGATGAGGAAGCCTAAGAATTGAAGACAAAATATATGAGGGGGAAAACCACCCTCTCATCCCTCAAGAAGAAAGTCTAAATGTCTTTAAATAACTCAATAATATACATGAATAACTGTATACTGGAAATTTGCTAAGAGAGTCAATTTTAGGTATTTTTATCACAAAAATAAAAGTTAACTATGTGACATGATGGATACGTTAATTTGCTTGACTAGAGTAACATTTTACTATACATATGTGTATCAAAACATCATGTTATATACCTTAACTATATACAGTTTTAAAATGAAAAAGAGGCCAGGCACAGTGGCTCATGCCTATAATCCTAGCACTTTGGGAGGCCAAGGCAGGTGGATCACCTGAGCTCAGGAGTTCAAGACCAGCCTGGGCAACATGGCGAAACCCCATCTCTACAAAAAATACAATAATTAGTTAGGCATGATGGCACACGCCTATGGTCTCAGCTACTCAGGAGCCTGTAGTGGGAGGATCACCTGAGCCCGGAGGTCGAGGCCACAGTGAGCCAAGATTGCATCACTGCACTCCAGCCTGGGTGACAGAGCAAAACTGTCTCAAAAAGATAAAAAGGAGAAAAGAAAAAAGAAAAAAAGAGAGGGAGGGAGGCAGGTGGGAAAGAAAGGGAAGGAAGGGAGGGAGGGAAGGATGGAGGGAAGGGCAAACTCAAAAGTGTGTTGGTTCATTGATCTACATCATGTACCTCAACATGAAAATCTAGGTGTTATAATAAGATATGGATGGCAAAGACGCAGTTTTCCCTGAAGGCTCTGAAATCTGATGGTGACACTAAAGCCACACTGCTGTCCAACTGCAAACAGCTGACGCAAGAAGGCCTGAACAAGGTCTATGCAATCCTCTTTTACAGGGCCCAGTAGAAGACCATGTGCAAGTAGGAATTCCTTGTCAAGGTTAAAAACTGTAGTGACATCTGATACTGAAGAGGACAATGATTATGAAGAACACGGCATACAAAAGGAAGGAAGGAGGAGGTTTAGAAGAGGATGTGATAATTCTAAAAGAAAACAAAGGATGTTTGTTTTTAATGATATCCCCAGTAACATGAAAACTTGGGGAGAAATAGACCAGGAGAATTATAGTCACAAAGAAATATTGGAAAAGAGCTTTTTTTCCTGGATTTTGGAACCCTATTGTAGCCAAAAGAAAGAGCCACAAGCACACTGAGTGTTGTAAATACATGTGAGAGAAGACTGCCTCGGAATATAAGGACACAGAAGTTATGAACAAGATCAGTCAGTTATACAAATAACCTAAAGGATTTTTGTGACTATTACGGCAATGGGATTTGGGCACAAGTGGCTTAAGTGGAATATTGGGAAGGCACAAATAAAACATAATATTAACTAAGGAAGATAAAATGTTATCAGTCATATTGAACCATGTTTGAATAAAGGCTTATTAACAGAAGATCAGCATGTAACCCAAATAAATGGAGAATAAAACAGTTTCTCTCACCATTGCCTAGTGTAGAAGCAATAAATGGCAAGCGCCAGTCTTCTTGGAAAAATAGCATATCCTTAAAAGGAGTATGTGTCATCTAATTTCCTGAGTCTCCTGCACCCCAATATTCTAATTTAGCCTTTGATACATATTCTCCTTCAAGGAAAATGCACCAATTGAGCCAAATATTTAGGTCTATTTGGCAATTGAAAGTTGGCATTGTGGTTTATTCATCAGTCTTTTGTGAGTTTATTTAGAAGGAGTTAATCCTCCTGCATTTATCCCTCTTTTAAAATGCTAATGAAATAAATTTTCTAGACTTATAAGAAAAGATCAGACCCAGGTTCCTACAGAATGCCCTCCTACCCTACACTCCTTGGTAATGTCTCCCTGTAAAGGCCCAACAAGAGTAGTCAGGGACCTCTCTATTTTGACATTCTCACACTGCAACAATTAGACTGTCTTCCAAACACAGAAAAAACTCACCAGTTAGGGTTAATTAAAAGAGGTCACTCTGAATTACTCATACTGTTTAAGACCTGTGGTTTTATTTTAATTACATAGGATAAGTAGAATACGCTATTCCACCCTTAAATAGTTCACTTAGGTTCTTGGAAAATAGCTTTAATGAAAAGAAAATCTCCATTTATAAAGAGCATATAACAATTGCTTATGTGTGAATAAGAGCTTCAAACATGTTTAGAAGTTTTTTAAAACAGTGCTGTAGCCTTAAGCATTCTGCTTTCACTCTTTTGCACTCTGTTAATTTGCTTAATAAACTCTCTTGGTAGACAGTCTGACAGTAAACTTCAAGCCCACTCCTTGGAATGTGCCCCTCAAGCCAGCCTCTAATGACATCTGAATAACGTGTGATAAGTATACAATTTTTAATGTATGATTCAAGCCTCAATATAGAAAAAAGTCAATATATCTTTATAACATGAAGACAATTCAGTTTAAAATTGTGTCCTTGTGGCTTTTGTTTATAAACTCACATTGATTTTTTTAAGAAAAAAGACACAGAAACACTAGTTCCCCACACCGAATCACAGAAGCGCAACGCCCTCTCTCTTCAGCATGAAAATACATTAAGGTACGACAGAACTTAAACAGGTATTAAATTTAACCTCAGCTAGCTCTCCAAAACATTCTCAATTTAGGGTAACACAGGGCCTTGGAATGTTAACCTGGTCTACTGAGCTCTTAATCAAACGAGCATTTTTCACTCAGAAAGAAAGCCACATAGCCTCTCAAGTTGTACATGGAGAAAATGCCCCTACGAAAAGCCAGCTGAGTCAACTCAACTAATGGCTCTCCTTGCTTCTCCTGCCGTCCTGGGGCCTGCAGGCATCCGCACAGCAGTCAGCCCCTAGAACACCTTCTCTGCTGACTCATTTGTGAGTCATCAAATTTTTAGCACAGACATCACGTTGCAATTCTGTTGTTGGGAGCCAGAGACATTCTGTAAGAAACGTCTGCATTTGCAGAGTTGGTTCAGACCTGTGAGCGGCCACAGCAGCATAACGATGTGCATGCACGTGTGTTTTTGTTCACATCCTCCAGGGCTCTCACTACTGACTTTATGTAACCGCACACAACACTGCCATTTACAGCTGCAAATACTTCTCTTGCCGAGGTTCCTTAACAAACTGCTACTCTCCAATTAATTTCTGATAGAACCTTTGTTTCTGTGTTTTCCTTATCACCTTGTCACTGATGAATATATAGTAAAACAAGGAAATTCGGGGGTCAGAATCTGGTACTCAGGAAAATTTGAGGGTCTGTCAGAAGCTGGTACACCGCCCCCCCGCCAAATTCTATGGACACAGGATTTTCAGTTATATTTCCACAAAGTTCCCTGGTTCCTGGAACATTTCTGTTGATGTATATAAATGCACATAGACCGGTGGTTCTCAACAGGGAATGATATTTGCCCCCAGGGGGCATTGGCAATTTCTGGGCACATTGTTAGTTGCCACAATCAGGGACCTGCTATTGGCACCTGGTGAGTAGAGGGTGTGGATGCTGCTAAACATCCTACAGGCAAAAGCCATTGCACCACAACAGAGAATTATCTGGCCCAATATGGCCAGAAATTCCAATATCTAAAACAGACATTCCCAAGAAAAATCAGATCATATTCCACATAAATATGGTAATGTTAAGATGGGTAGCGTTAATTCCAAAAAATTCCCCTTCAAAGAGCCATCTGAAAAGATGCAGCTTTTCAAGGAGAAGAAACTAATGACTGTCAGGTTCCCAGCTGGGCTTGACACGGTTCCAATGTTTACAGGGTCCCTGTGGATGCTGTACATTTGTAATATTGGAAATAATAGACTCCTTTGTAGAATAAATACAGCAATTTGTGTCTTAATGGGAGCTCTGACACACACCGCCTCATTTCAGTGGCACCATGCATGAACCTTTGAAACTTCAAATACGGAAGGCAACATTTTGATAAATGTTTCTAAATTACAAAAAAAAAATATTAACTGGGCATTACATAGACAACGTCAGGAAAACTAGGAAAGAAAAAATTAGCATGGTCATAATAAAGTCAGTGTTACTGGAACCCAGATCTGAGGTGAAACAGTATTCTGTTTTGGGAAACTGATTGCATATTTCACAGGCTGGAGATAAACTCTAACAGCTCCTTTGTTTTCTTCTTTAGACAGAAAAATAATTATTGCTCTGTGGCAAATGTTCTATAAAATAGGAAGCCATATTGTTAGCTTTATGGCTCCACATTCTCAATTTTCTTTGCTCTCAAGCTAGGTATTCTGGAGAGGAAAAAAAATTAAATCAACTGTCTGCAGTTGGATGTCTCCCTGAGATGACAGATGAGACTCAGTCATAAACATCTACAGCAAAAGCAGACCCATCTGTGTTGAATGCAATTAAAGTATTGCCAGTAACAACGGCTTAAACAGAAGAGCACTCTTTCTCACCTTTAGAGGTCAATGAAGAAGTTGTTTTTTCGAATAAAAAGAAGAAAAGCTATCAAGTCTAACTAAAAGCTTGATTAACAGAAAGAGTGAACTTCACCATGGATATATGATCATTTATACAGTTTGTGCTGTTCCATAGAACCTCCATACCCTATGTAGTCAACCCTCGGTATCTGCAGAGGATTGGTTCCAGGACCCCCTGCAAATACAAAAATCTGCTCAAGTTTCTCATATAAAATTGCATAGTATTTGCATATAACCTATACATATCCTCCTATATACTTTAAATTACCTGTAGATTAGTCATAATATCTAATACAATCTAAGTGCCAGGTAAATACTTGTTATACTGTATTGTTTTTTAATTTGTATTATTATATTTTGGTGTTTTTGATCTGTGGATGTTTGAATACACAGATGCAAAACCACTGGATAGGGAGGAAGACTGTATTCTCCCACTCTGCTCAGGCCAAAATCATCAGCTGTATCACCGAATATTATGTAGTAGAAAGGAGATGCGCACAGAGATTTAATTAATTTGTACAATTTGAAATTTTGATATGATGCTCTTTTACTAGAAACAACTTACAAATTCAAAGAGTTTCCATCTGTCTGATCTTATTTTATCCTCATGGCATGCAGGTGAAGTACATAAGACGAACATCTTCATCCCATTACACAGGTGGGGAAACTGAGTCTCAAGAAAGCTATCTCACTTGTCCAAGGCCACACAAGTTAATGGTGGTGCTAGAACAAGACTCTCTTGGCCCTACACGATGCTGAAGAAGTCACACAGAATATTACAAAAATAAACCTTGTGAAAGAGAAAAGCAGCAGCCCCTGACATCCAATAGGTGGTCTGGTCCTCTTAGCAAGGCCATACTGTTCTCTGTTGAACAATTTCACAGAATGTCATCAGACAAGGCCACTCTGTGACTGTGATGGATCAAGACAAAACAAGACCATTCCCTAATCATGTCTAAACACAGACAAAATATGAATATTGTCCAAGCCACAAAAATGACTAAATATCCCTCTCCCCCAACTAATACGAGTGACTGTTGCTTCCTTAGAAGCCTGTCCTCCCTATAGGTAAAATTTATTAAGATACCAATTATAGAATTCCTCTTCCTGACAACATTCTCTCCACAGCAAAGCCTCACTTCCTTAAATCCTCCCCAAATCACCTTACACAAACACAAATCCTCTAGTAAGTTCTTTCTAACATGCTCTGAGATGCCCCACAGCTCCTCATGGCATGTTCCTTTCTCACTGCATAAGTAATAAACCCAACTTGTTCAACTACCCATGTGTTCCTGATGGTCTTTGGGTGGAGGCCATTGACAAGCTTATAGTAAGAACCAAAGAAGCCATGATTCACACTTTGCTTTTTAAACCTGGTTACTGACAGCATTTTCCTAAATCATACAAAAGTAAGAACCCAACAATCCTGGGGCAGCCATGTGAAAACCAACAAGAGAAGAGCCCACCCAGTGCGCTAAAATTGAATTATAAATAGGAGATCCAATTAATCGAATAAACCTACCTCTACGTTTAGAGACATTTTGATATGTTAAAGGTTTCATTGGGCCAATTACCTGATACTTCACAGCTTTATTTCTATCGTAAGCCTGGCAGTCAGACAGAGAAGGGGGTCAAACAGGGTTGAATGAGGTACATAAATTCTGATTGGTTTCACCTCCCCCATGTCAATATCCTCACAAATCCTAAAGCTATGTATCAATGCAAAGATACTGGCCATGTTAATTAAACATTCCAATTCTTTCTGTCAAAGGGTAAAATTTTGAATGATGGAGTAATAATACCTACCAATTTCAAAAGGAATTGCTAAACTCCTAAGAAAATTGAATTACAGACCGTATCTAGATTACGCCAAAATATCTAGTTAAATTGCTCTTTAAAACTTTTTAAAAATCTAGCCCAACATCCAGAGATTT
The DNA here is from genome assembly GCF_000001405.40 of Homo sapiens. NCBI lineage: Eukaryota > Metazoa > Chordata > Mammalia > Primates > Hominidae > Homo > Homo sapiens. The sequence continues at coordinate 26,695,222 of NC_000012.12, forward strand.
TGTCTGCATCACATCAAATTGTCCTGAATTTCTGAATTTTTGATTGAATAAAGAAGCCATGTTGTCACCATGAAGCTTTCTTCTTTACAGAAGAAAAAAGGGTAAATAAAACTAAACCTAGACCCACCATATCTCTCAGATGCCAGCTGCCTTTAGCACTCCACCAACAATGGCCTCCAAGTTGCAGAACTCTTCCCAAGCACCCATAATTGAACATCTTCTCATAATCTAAGCCATATCATCTTTTACCTGTGAACCATAGGCTCTACTCAGAAAATCTCTCTGAGCCCCTAGTCTTCAAATTTGCTATTAAAATTCCAATCTATCCATATAAAATAATAACAATATGCTGAGATTTGTTGGAGAAAAGCCAGTTCTACTCACCACATTTTTTCCTTCATTTTGGGCATCTCGATAATCAGGATTAAGCTAGAAAAACAAAGGAAAATTTAGTTTTTCATTGCTATGAAAAGCACACTAACAAGACCATTGATCTTCAATTCAATTAATATTCTATCCTCAACTAAGTTTAATATAAAAAGATGCTAAGAAAGAAACTATTAGTAAATATGACAATTTAAAATACTACCATCAAACCCTAGTTGCAGGAGACAAAAGCTGACATGCCAAGTTCATTGCCTTGGTTTATATCAGAACTGTTGACATCTTTGAAGAAGTAAGAATTGACAATATCACCTCCTCTGGAAAAATATTCAATAGAGTTCACCATTTTACCCTCTGCAAAAACTGCCATTTACCAATAACTCAGACACAAATTAAACAAAAAAAACCAGTGGGACATTGATGATTTGAGATCATGTTTTACATGTTATGTACACAAGGAAAAGAAAAACAAAACAGAGCAAAAAAGGAGCTACATATAAGATATGTGAGCAAATACATGAGGACTACTGAAACAAACAAACACATGTCTTCGGGCTTGGAGAGTGGCATTTTGGGGCCAATCTGATGACAAAGATGAGTTCTGGATGTGCTGAGTACAGACCCTTGCATCATCTGGCTGGTTGAAATCCATGACTCCTCACTCCCACTTGTCCTTACAGTCTCAAAGCGATTCTTAGTTGTTCTGAAATAGTTGATCACTCGTAAAGCAATAGATGTATGAGGTGTGTTTCTTGAAACATCAAGTTGTCCAATTGAATTTAATCATTTTAATGTGAATCAACTGGTGTATACAATGCACAATCCCAGTAAAGTTATCATTTAAAATGTAAGGTTAGGAGTCTTTCTCATAATACCACTTATCTAGCAGCTCTGAGAATTGCCCCTTCCAACTCATCACTAAATACCAATGAGGGTTCTGAAAAAAACAAAAGCAAAGCAAAATGAAAGCAAAAAAAATCCCAATCTCATTAAGAACTAAGGCTGAAAAAACAACATAAATTCCAAATCTTCAATGAACTGATGCTAATTATAAAGTAGATAGTTCTTGGGGACAGGCAGGTAATGACCCAGTTTTTATCATGTGGCAAACTTCAACGTCTCTTTAAGCTAGTGGCCACGTAAACAAAGATAAGAAGATAGTGAGTCAGTTTGAACGCTGACGTAGAAACCCAGAGAATTTACCGACCAAAAACCTATAGAGAAGAGTTTCTCTATCACTGGCAAGCTGCCATGAAATTACGCAGAAAACTGCTTCCCTAGTCTGCTACCTGTCTCTGACTTTACATGACCAAACAGATGCTCAGAAAACAAGTGGGCAGAAAGTGGAGGGAAAAGATGATGGCCAAGGCCTTTCTGAGAAGCATGGTGTGAAGAGAGAAAAGGAATGCCGTATGCTGGAATGACATTGCATGATGATGCAGAAATAGCAAAGGGGTAGGACACAGAAGCAACTGCCTTAGTTAAACCCAGGTGTGTAGAGTCCATAGAATCCATAGAGTCGATGTCTGCTCAAATCTGGGAACTGCGCTGCAAATGCACCCATCAGCCAGCCCTGCAGCTGAACATTTAGAAAGAGGACTGAATTTTCATACTAGAGAATTTAAAAATTGAACAAAAGGACAATCCACTCAACCCTCTGGTTCTGCACAGAGCTCACTCATCTGAGGATAACAAGGAAAGAACAAAGGAAGGAAAAAAGAAAATAGGACTGATGGAACACTGAGTTAGAACAAGGGAGATTCCTTCTCAGAGTCTTTCTCAACATTTCCTATGATATGATGCAAAATGAATTTTCAGGAAATGGTTTGGCATTCTCAGGAAAGTACAAGTAAACATGACCTCTACATAAAGGCAACGAAATAACATAAAGAGCTAAAATGATAGTATAGAAACAATATGTGGCCGGGTGTGGTGGCTCATGCATTTAATCCCAGCACTTTGGGAGGCCAAGGTGGGTGGATCACCTAAGATCAGGAGTTCGAGATCATCCTGGCCAACATGGTAAGACCCCGTCTCTACTAAAAATTCAAAAATTAGCTGGGCATGGTGGCACGCACTTGTAATTCCAGCTACTTGGGAAGCTGAGCATGAGACTTGCTTGAACCCAGGAGGCAGAGGTTGCAGTGACTGCACTCCAGCCTGGATGACGAAGTGAGACTCTGTCTCAAAATAATTATAATAATAATAATATATAAATACTAAAATAACAATATAAATAATACAATATAAGAGAAGTTATGGAATTTCTTCATATTTCAATATACATGAAAACATAAATACAAAATTAAAGTCCACATTAGCACCAACAGCACAGTTACAGAAAATCAGCAATGCAGAGGATGAGCAGCTTAGCAGCTATCCCTCCATACAGAAGGAAGGTATCCAGAAATGATAATTAGAAAAAGAAAATGGTCACAGACAACCAGAGAAGAGACAACCAACTAATGAGGGACCAGAGCTCTCAAATGGAAGAGAGAATAAGTGGAACACAAACAATAATCAAAGATAATAGAAGATAAAATTTTCCTCAGCTGAAGAAAGAATTGTGTATGCAGAGGTTACTCTATCCATTGAAATCAACCACAAAAGATTGACACATTCATTTGAAGATGATAAGGGGAAAAGGCAGAGAAAACAGTGGTAGGGGTGTAAAACAGAGCCAGAAATTAGGCTAAGATTTTAAAAGCATGTCATGTAAGAGAAGAATGATAAACTAAATGTGGCATATTCAAACAATGGAGTACTACTCGGCAATGAACATGACGAGCTTCTCATGCAAGCGACAACCAAGAATGAATCTCAAAGACATTAAGTGGATGAAGGCACACACAAAACACAATGTACTGCATGATTCCATTTAAATGAAATAAACGAACAAACAAAACTACATTATGGTGAAACAAATCAGAAAATGAGTAGGAGTGTGAGGGAAGGGAGTATGGATGGAAAGCATTACCCAGACCAAGAGTTTCATGACAGCAGTCTTTCAGTTTTCAGAACTGACACACAAGGAGGGTAAGAAGATACAGGTCACCTGTTAATGCTGGGACAGCCACTGAGGGGACTTGAGGCTGGCCTCTGTCTACAGAGACCCAGACTTTCCCTCAGATTCCTTAAGTTCCCTTGAATTATGAGTAACAGAATTAGTTTCAAAACGGGATTTAATCCTGCTTTTAGAATCCAAGAGTGAAAGGTAGAGAGCAAAGAGTGAGTTAACTGGCCTCCTTTCTTCTGATTAAAGAAACACATTTTCACTTGTTAGTAAAGAAAATTCTAGCACGGTGTCCAGAAGAAATTTATTCATCTATTTTAGTCAAGTTTCACCATAGCTTTTTTAAAAATTTATTTGTCTTCTGCTTGAAAAATTTCAACTTTTCTTTTAAATTAAAAAAAATCCATCCTAAAATTTTAGCTAAATTATATCCAAATGATATGCAACATGTTCGACCAAGGATGTACCTTATGGCCCAAGTTTTCACTCAATACACATTAGAATGGTTATTACAGACACTTGAAATTCAATGCTGGAAACCATGACATATCCCCCACTAAAACATGCACAAAAACAGGAATTAATGTACCTAAGTCAAACACAAAATAAAATAATTTATGCCCTCTGAAACTTAGATCATATATTCTACCCCAAAGACAATGTTACCTTCTACAATCAGTCTTTACGTATTTCCCCTGCTTAGGATTACCCGTCCCTGACTGGCTGTCTGGGGAAGTGGATTCCAGTCTCTGCTCTATAAGGAAACACCAGCATCTTTAGGAAAGGTGGCCTAATGCCCATGGAACTCAGTGTCCTCATCTGCAAAATGAGAAAAAGACTATGACTAAACCATGACTCTATGTCAATAAATTTTACATATTCATATCTTTGGCAGCAAAACTACAGATGGTGCCAATCAGTTAGATTTTGCCTCATCTGTGTCTCTCAGGCTGCAATATGATTTTTTAAATAATTAACATAGAGAGATTACCTCAGTAAACTCAATAAAGTATAATAATAACAATAATGATGTGGAAGAAAAGGAAGAGGAGAAGGGAAAGAAGGACAAAAAGCCACCCAAATAAATCCAGGGCCATATAAATTTACCAACGTTAACTATTAAAGGCCAAATAAATATATGCTTTAAATTATACTGCTGTTTCCCATCTCTAAATTGAATAATAGCAGTAATTCTTAAAGTAAGAGAGTAAAAATGAATAGAAAAAAATTATTTTTTAAAGAAGGAGGAAAAAGACATGGTCATATGGAGGTCTTTTAGGACTTAATGTCTTTATGTTAAAAAAATAAATTATAAATCTGGCATTGGAGAGCTAATATGCCATTCAATCATTTATTCAATAAATATTAATAGAGCATCTATAATGGGCAAAGCATTGCGGCATATGGTATTTTAGCAAAGACAAAGAGAATATGGTCCCTGACCATAAGACATTACAACCTAGGAGGGAAAATAAGACATAAATACAGTCAGCTGAAATACAAAATAAAATGTGACAAGGGACATAAGACAGGAATGAATAATTTATAAATAATATAGGTCAGAGGAAGGAGGGATCTGTGGTGGGCAAATTTATTCACAAATTATTCATGGAGAAGGTAGCATTTGAGATAAGCCTTGAAGGATGGGTAGAATTTTAACTGGCAGGGCAGGAACCAGGGAGTGAAGAAGGCAGCAAGGCTGGAGGGGCCACTGCCACATGGGTGAGAAAAATGAGACTTCTTTAAAGAAGACCCACCAGTGTCACTTACGAAATACTTTTTTATATGCTTTTACAGGTTAATTCATTTAACCTTACAATTATACTATAAGACAAGATTCTTAACACAGTTTACAGACAAGGCACTTGGAGTACATCAACTGAAGTGCTTTATGCAAAGTCACACCGCTGGGGAGTGGCAGGGTGGGCAAGCACAGGTCTGAGGGCTCCAGAGCCACGTCTTTCAGTTCCTGTAGCACGCTGCTTCCCTCCTGCCTCCATAAAGCAGAGTGGTGTGATGCAAGCTGGGAAGGAGGGTCAGCCCAGATCATCCAGGCCTTTAAACCGCAGGCTAGAGAGTTTGCATCCATATTCAGATGATGCAAGGGGACAGAGGATGAAAAAGGGAAAGTAACTAAGGGCAGTGGTCCAAGGAAGAGGTGGGTGGACCCAAATGAAGATAATAATGCTGGAATAAAAAGGACAAAGTGGATGTGAAAGATTTTGCAGAGACAGAATCAGTAGAATCTGAATGTGTAAACTGAGAGAGAAAACCGTTTATCATGACTCTCAAGTCTTTAACTATGAACTAAGAAAAATCACTATTTTGCAAGGAAACAATTAAATTTTAGATAAATTTATTGATTTTGTATGGCAATGGCATATCCAAGATCAAAGGCAGGGTCCACTGCAGCCATGGCAGTGAGTAACAGAGAGAGAATACAGAGACCCATTACTAATCTTTGAAGACAGTCTTCAATTAACTGGCCAAAGAAGAATATAAAGAAGTCAGGTATGGTGCAAAATGATAGAGAGAGAGAAACATCATAAATACCTGGGCAGTGAAAGTCATGCTTGTACCGCAATCAATTAAAAAACAACTGCACCCCTCCATCTAACACAAAAGCAAGAAGCAGACCGTAAGTTTTTAAGTCCATAATACCTACTTATTTTCTTAAAAGAGAAGCTTTACTTTTTTTTACAATGAAATGTGTTTTGATCAATTTTTATTATATATAACACTGAAATCATAAACATCATGTGTGTATTTTTAAATGATTATATTTATATGTTTCTCTTTCCAACGACTGGCATTTCAGGACAAATCTATTATTGTGATTGATAAGCCTAGAAAAGAAAGGAGAGAAAATAACCTTTACTGGGTGTATATGTGTGTCAGGTACAATTTCTATATTTTGATATGTAACATTTTATTCGTATGTATAGGGTCTGGTCTGTATGTTAGTCTGCTGTATTTATGTATACATATACATGCATACAAACCAGGCCCTTTTCACATACTATGGCTGATACATTTGAGAGAGAACTAAACATAGAGACATTTAAAACTACAGCCCCAATAGTCATAAAATCCTATGCTATTATAGAGTTTCTTGAGTACTGGGTTTTTAGCTAATTAATTAAATCCACAGGCTATTGAATAGTCAGGAAATAAGTGTTTACTGCCATCTGGTGGAAGTTTTGCCTATCTACAAACAAATAAGCTAGTGATCTTTAAAAGGGCTTTTATTCCAATCTTGAATAAATGACATTATTATGCAGTACTTGATCTATATTGCTTTGGAAAGATCATCAAAAGTTTTTGCTTTAGTAAGATCCAAAGAAAGAAAATGCAGAAAGCATCAGATCATAAACTGTGAAGGCTGATTTATAATTCTTCCCACATCTGTGGAAGACCCATTTACTGAGGTCCCCATATTTTCCTATGCAAAATATGGTAAAATTACTTTCTCCCTCACAGACATAGTTGTGAACTTACCTGAACCACTACAATAATAATACAAGTAAAATATCTATGACAAAGTGTCGATGAGTGTGTGGACAGCTGTGTCAAAAATATCAGTGTATATTTACCTTCCCCTCATGCCACCTAACTACATATATGCCCCACAGAAACCAACATTGCAAGAGAAAGGGTCTAATAATATGCTCTGTATTACTTCATGAGATCAAAAATCTTTATCTTGTTCATAATTACTTTGTTCCACATTTTATCCATAGGTTTCTAGCATTGAGGTTTTTGGTTTGGTTTGGTTTTTGGGGGCGGGGGTGGGGGGTTGGTGTTTTTTTTTTCTTTTTTTTTTTTCTCCTTTTATTTTGAGACAGACTCTCACTCTGTCGCCCAGGCTGTAGTGCAGTGGTGCGATCTCGGCTCACTGCAACCTCCACCTCCTGGGTTCAAGTGATTCTCCTGCCTCAGCCTCCTGAGTAGCTGGGGCTACAGGCGTGTGCCACCATGCCCGGTTTATTTTTGTATTTTTAGTAGAGAGGGGGGTTTCACCATATTGGCCAGGCTAGTCTTGAACTCCTGACCTCAAGTGATCTGCCCACCTTGGCCTCCCAAAGTGCTGGGATTACAGTCTAGCACTGAGTTATTTCTTTAAAATTAATCCGAATCCCTAAACTATCCTGTTGGATATCTTTACATTGAATAAGGGACCATTTCTAACCCTTGGTTAGCTTTACTATCTTGCAGGATAAAACTTAAACCGTGTTAAATCTTGTATCATTATCCTAGTTCCTAGGTGTTTTCCGCAATTCACCAAAAAAAAGATGCTATTCTTAAATAGCTTGCAACATATGTGTTTTCTCTATGTGATTCAACTACGGAATTTCCAGCATATCAAATGGTCTGATTTCCTTTGGATAGTGCCCCCTTCACTTCCACATAAATAATTAGGCTTATTACATTTTTCTGAATACCTAAACAATCCAGTTAAGTGCTGGTTAAAATAGAGTATCATACTTGGGCACTGTATCTATAAGTAAATTTTAGATCTTCTTATCTAATTTGTGCTTAGATTTAAGGTTGCAGTCCTTTAAACTTACTGTGAGACTTAGCATGGTCACCTACAGATGTTAACAATTAGACATTACATAGAACCATTTCTCTCAGATGTGCATGTATAGTGGAAACAATGGCAAAAGAGATCTCAATGTCCCAGAGATTGAGTTAATCTAAATTGCAAACTCTTAGAGGACAAGGACCATGTGTTAATCATCTCTGTTTTCTTCACAATGTCAAAGTAGTACTTCTACCTAGTAGGCATTCAATAAATGTATACTTTCAGTATAATACAGATCAGAGTTTCTCAACCCTTAGCATTACTGGTATCTTGAACCCGATAATTCTTTGTTGGGAGGGGCTGTCCTGTGTATAGTAGGATGTTTAGCTACATCCCATTCCCTAACTGTGACAATAAATAGCAGCTCCCATTCCCCAACTGTGAAAATAAAAATGTCTCTAGACATTGCCATCGTTACCCTCAGTTGAAAGCATTCATTCCTAATACTTTCATTATATCGGTTTTTTGATTTTAACAAAATAAATCACCTCTGTGAGCCTGGATTTCTTTTTCTGTAAACTAAAATTATTGGATTTATAACAACAGTCATAGTCCCTGTGATTCATTCATTCAATCATCCAACAGTTACTGAAGGCAAATTAAGTGTCAGGCACTCTTCTAGGCACAAGGCATCCAGCAATGAGCAAAACAGATACAGGCCTTTCATTGCAGGGAACAAAATAGCCATTGAATAGATATACACAATACATACAACAGGTAACAAACAAATGCATAGCTAACTGTGAACTGTGATAAGCCCAAAGAAATGCTATAAACATTTCCTCCCTAAGTGGGGGATTTCTGAAATATCTCAACAGGTTTATGGAGAGTAACTGTGGCATTATCCAGAATCAAAGGCTTTTAAAATTCTAAAATGCTCAATGAACTCTAACTGCGCTATATTATTTAAAAGACCACAATTTAAGTTGCTACACAATAGCGTGAGTTAAACTCAAATGTATAGACCATAAAAAAACTATTTCAAGTTATTCAAAAGAAACTTCATTTCTGCTTTAGAAAAATTTATCTAAAGAATTCAGAGAAATAAAAGCAATATATGTTAAAATATTCTAATAATCCAGGTCATGGATAGTCTTTTCAGCTGTTCTCCTAGATAAGCACTCAGCATACTTTGCCCAGTTGATTAAGAGTAATGTCACCCAAAATGTCTATTTATAAATCACGGAAGTGACTGGCTGGCTGTGTGTTATACCTGACATAGGAACTGCACAACAGATCATGAGATATTATTGGAAGGATTTTCAGTGGCTCCATGAGGCAGTGTTTCCTATGTCAAAGCATTGTAGTAATCTTTTCCAGATAAACATATTAAATAACTAAACTTTGCCCCTATATACTTACCCTCCTTAACTTATCTAAGACATGCTAGTTATTAATAATGATAATAATAAAACACTACTCTGCATTTTCTCTCTGTTTCCTCCCCAAGAAAGCAAACAGACTTAATATTTATTGCATACCTCTCATGTACAAGGTGCTGTACATCCCCTATCTTCTTTAATTCCAGAATAATACTATATAATATACATTCTTAACTTTTTTTACACACAAAGGAACTCAGGTCCAGAGGGGTTAAATATTTGCTTAAAGTCAGACAGATTGTAAACAGTATGCATGGGATTTTTTTCCCACTATGCTAGGCTCTGTCACACTGGCCAATATAAACACCATAAACTCAAAGGCAATTCAAGAATTACATAATCCAATTTACCAGGAATGCCTACAGCACATGAAAGTAATATTTTAAATTATAAATATGTCTGTTAAAGTTGGAAAGGTCATGGGAAAAAAGGTTAATACTCTGCAATATCTAGCCGCACTGCTAGGTACTTCCCTTTAATGCAAAAACAGCAGCATCCTCAACCACCTCATTTTTAAAAATACATTTTATAAAAATCATCTAATAGGGCTCTTAATTTTCCCTGGCCTGCAACTCTGCTTCCCCTTTTCACAGCAGTGCTATGAAAACTCAGTCTGCACCCACTTCTGCTTCCTGGCTTCCTGGTCATTCCTCCACTCCTGCATTCTGGTTTCCACTAAAAATTTTCCCCATAAAGTAACAAATGATTGCATTCTTGCCAGCTGATGTAAGCAGATTTGTTTCTGGCCTGTTTAGTAGCACTTCCTCCTTTGCGAAGTTCTCTCCTTCCTTGCTTGGTATTTGTAATTCAGCCCATTTGATTTTCCAGGTGCTTCTGGCTTCTCAGGCTCCCAGTCTCTCCCTCATCCTTTAAAGATAATTTCCTCATGATTCTACCTTCAAACACCCTCCCACTCTCTTTCTACTCCCTAATGATCTTACCTGCGCTCTGAAAACCCAAATCTAACACTGGTCAATCCCCAAACTTCCAGACGTTTTGAAATCTTCCCTAGTGGACAATTTCATCCAGACATTTTATAAGCATAATCAAATTTGAATGGATTATTTCCCTCATCAATTTGGCACCTCTTCTCATTTTCCCTAATTTGGTGAATGACATCGCTAGTTCTCCAAAGCCAGAATCCTATTCCTTAACCCTTAACACCTGACGGCTTACCACTGCATCAGTTCTGTCTCCCAAGAATGCCTTCAACCCTTCCCTTCCTCACCATTACTGAAGCCTCTCCCTTGGTTCAAGTGCTCAAAATTACTAAAGCAAAAACTGTTGATGACCTTTCCAAAGCAATATAGGTCAAGTAATGCAAAATAATTTTCTTTGTTAAAGATTGTAATATAGCCCTTTTAAAGACAACTACCTTATTTGTTTGTAGATAGGCAAAACTTCCACCAGATGGCAAAGAAAGAAAATGTAGAAAGCAGATCATTCAGACTCTTATCTGGCCTCACTGCCTCTAGATTCAATTTCTTCTAGTCACTTCACCAAGGCTCCAGAGCAGTGCTGCCCACCACAACTGTCTCTTTGGAAATGTGCATTATTTCGTGTGGCGTGGCTGTTGAGCAACTTGAAATGTGGCTGTTGTGAATGAGAAACTGACTTTTTAATTTTATTTTGATAATATTAATTTTAATTTAATAGCCAACATGTGGCTAGAAACTACTATATTACACAGTACAACTCTGGAGTGGTCTTCTTTAATCACAAATCTATTTATTATACTCCTCTGTACTTTAAAGATAAAACCCATTCTCCTTGATATATATGGCCTGAACTGATCAGCTGCACTACACTTCTGGCCCCATCGCTTCCCTCTCACCTTCTAACATTACTTCCTAACTCACAAGTCCTACATATGAAACGAGTTTGTATGGTGCCACACACCTCCTTCCTTGTGTACAAGCTGCCCTCACTGTCTGAACGCCCTTTCTCCCTCTTCCCCATGTGCCTTACTCATTCATTAAGCAGCAACCTCTCTGACCCCCTGACCATTTCTTGCACATCCTTGAGACCCCCTGAGAAAAGTGTGGGCCACTATTCATATTGCTATCATAAATGTATCACACTGTACTGGGATTTTTTTAATGACATCACTGATCTCTACCAAAGGCCTGCTAATAGCTGATCAGTCCCAGCCTCGAGGTAGCTACCAAGTTAAACTTCCTCAAACTTCATTCCTATTACAAACTGGATAAAAGTCAAACCCTTCATTCAAAATCTTAAAGCAAGGAGACCTGTCAGTCATTCCTTTCACAACACCTTCCTTGGGCTGGGCCTCAGTTTTAATATTGTCTATGTATGATTTGGACATTCTGTATCTCTGATGCGCCTTCTTAGCAACTTACACAGGACCGCCCTTTTATTTCTCTAACAGTCCATGTCTATTATTTTCTTTGAGAACCAGTTTGCCCCAAGCAAGAATCTTCAACTAACCTCACACCAGATTCTCTCACTGGAATATGACCCAATTCTACCTGCACATATAATTAGCCCTCCCTGATTGTGCCGCGCTGTCTTCCGAACTAGAAGCTCCATTCTTTGAAGGCAAAGACTGAGTCCTCAGCTTCCTTTGCCGTACCTGCAGCATTCTACCATGCTGTGCATTTACCAGGCACTGAAGAAACATATATTGAAGGTTGCATGAAATCTTAAAGACTATGTTTGCAATTTTATGAATTCCAAAAATAATCATTCCCAATTCTTGCATTCCCCACATCCCAATATGTGTCTTTTTAAAAATAATATCTAGATATTAAAGAGAAAACTGAACAAGTAAAATAAATCTGTGCCATGGAGCCTCTATCGCCTAAGAATAAGGGTACAGGGTAATAAAACAAATAATTCTAGGAGGTTGTCACTCAAAATATAGAGAACCCCCGTCCTACTTGAACGACATGACTAATGCTTTGAAATAAAAAACCTGGGCTATTTTATTTTATTTTATTTTTTGAGACAGAGTCTTGTTCTTTTGCCCACGCTGAAGTGCAATGGCACGATCTTGGCTCACTGCAACCTCCACCTCCCAGGTTCAAGCAATTCTCTCCCACATCTGCCTCCCAAGTAGCTGGGATTACAGGCACCCGCCATCATGCCTGGCTAATTATTGTATTTTTGTAGAGACAGGGCACCATGTTGGCCAGGCTAGTCTTGAACTCCTGACCTCAGGTGATCCACCCGCCTCAGCCTCCTAAAGTGCTGGGAATACAGATGTGAGCCACCGCGCCTGGCCAACCTGGGCATTTTTTGACAAGAGATTAATAACCAGAATATATAAGGAGCTAAAACAACTCAACAGACAAAAAAAAAAATTAATAATCTGATTTAAAAATGAGTAAAAGATCTGAATACAAATTTCTCAAAAGAAGACATACAAATGGCAAACAAATATATAAAAAAATGCTTAACATCATTAATCATCAGAGAAATGCCAACCAAAACTACAATAAGATATCATCTCACCCCGTTTAAAATGACTATTATCCAAAAGAAAGGCAATAACAAATGCTGATGAAGATGTGGAGAAAGGGGAACCCTCACATGGTTGGTAGGAATGTAAATTAGTGCAGCCACTATAGAGAACAGTATGGCGGTTCCTCAAAAAACTAAAAATAGAGCTACCATATGATCCGGCAATCCTACTGCTAGGTATACACCCAAAAGGAAGGAAATCAGTATATGGAAGAGGTACCTGCATTCCCATGTTTATTACAGCACTACACACAATAGCCAAGATTTGGAATCAACCTAAGTATACATCAACAGATGAATGGATAAAGAAAATGTAGTACCTGTTCACAGTGGAATATTATTCAGCCATAAAAAAGAACGAGATCCTGTCATTTGCAACAATATGGATAAAACTGGAGGACATTATGTTAAGTGAAATAAGCCAGGCACAGAATGACAAATTTCACATGTTCTCACTCATATGTGGGAGCTAAAAATTAAAACAATTGAACTTATGAAGCTAGGGAGTAGAAGGATAGTTACCAGAGGCTAGGAAGGGTGACAGGGAGGGAGAGAAAAGGTGGAGGTGATTAATGGGTACAAAAATATAGTTCGACAGAAGGAGTAAGATCTAGAATTTGATAGCCCAACAGGGTAATACACAGTTAACAACAATTTATTGTATATTTTAAAATAACTAAAAGAGTAGAATTGGAATGTTCCTAATACAAAGAAATGATAAATGCCTGAGGTGACCAATATCCCAAATACCCTATGTGATTATTACACATTGTATGCCTGCATCAAGACATCACACGTGCCCCATAAGTGTATACGTATACTATGTGTCCATAAAAATTAAAAAGTTTAAGAAAGAAATAAAGACCTGGGCATTTTTAGAAAGCAAAATGATAAACGTGTAATCATTGCTTCTCAACTGCTGTCAGAGGCTAGTTACCAGCTGTTCCTGGACTAGAAATCATTGTGATTTGGCCACACCTCTAGACACTTTCACACCAGTAAGGACAAGCATCCTGAGACATGAGCACACCAGGATTTTGTCCCAACTGACATAGAAAATACAAAACACCAATGTATGGATGCCAGGATTTTGAGGCTATGATTGCTATTTTGATATTAGAACACTACACAGAGCACCCATTCTGTTACACTAGTTAAAATCAGTAGAAAATAAATTCGTAACTTTCAGTTTTCAGATATGTGCTTAATACTTAATTTTCCTCCTCCCACTAGACCATAAAAAAGATGTTATCTAAAGTATTAAAGGTCAAAGAAAAGGTCCTCTAAATACACCAGACTCTTTAATGGATGAGACGGCACCTGGCATTTAAAGCTGCATTCTCTAGAGACAGGATGAAAGAGAGTCTTTCAAATCTTTTCAAGGAATGATTTGCTTTCTACTTCTCCATTTTTAATTAATTCGTGTATATATTGAAGTCTTGGATCCTCACTAAGGTTAATGAACAATTTAATTCTTAAAAATCTAATCATTTGAATGCATCAAATGGTACATGTTTTAATTATAGAAATTAACAAAGAAAACTAGTAATATACATGTACATCATGTCAGTTTTCTACAGCACATCAGTAGATTTGCTTGAAAAGTGAACAGGGGAAAAGAGCCACTAACATAAGAGAATTTTAATCCTAATTTCTTATCTTTTATAGGATATCTAGTTAGGCTTTTGTAATTTTTATTTTAGACAAGATTCTCTACCTTACTAATGATTTTTGCTTCAATGAGTTGCTTTTCAAAAGGGTTACTTTAAAACATTTACGCTATAAACAGACTGTAAATTGCAAAGCTGTATTTCATCTAGTTGAGCACTAAATAATGTGTTAGATACTTAAAAAAGTAAAAATAATCCCTGTTTATCACATAAAATTAGGCAGGGCACAGTGGCTCATGCCTATAATCCCAGGGCTTTGGGAGGCCGAGGCAGGCGCTTGAGTCCAGGAGTCTGAGACCAGCCTGGCCAACATGGCAAAACCCCTTCTCTACTGAAAATATAAAACATAGCCAGGCATGGTGGTGTGAACCTGTAGTCCCAGCTACTCAGGAGGCTGAAGCAAGAGGATTGCTTGAACCTGGGAGGCATAGGTTGAGTGCATCACGGCACTCCAGCCTGGGCAACAGGGCAAGAATCTGTCTCAAAAACAAAAATTAGTCATGCCAGCATCACTTACCCTGTGCTTACCATAAACCACAACTTCTGCAAGCACTTTGCCTAATTTAATTCTAATAAGTTAAGAGAATTAGAAATATATTTGATTATCCCCATTTTCCAGAAGAAGAAATTGGAGTGTAGTGTGATTAATTTGCCCAATATGTCTCCAAATGCATCTCATATACAAATCCTGAAATCTCCTTCTCCCCATCCTCTATCCATTCACAAAATAGTCATCAAATGCTAAGTGCCCAGCACAGTTCCATGAATGGAAATTTTCATACATCTGGAAAAGACTAGCTTCAAAATTATTTTTCAATTAGATAACCAAACTTTAATTAAAACATTTGTAAAACTTCCATGATGTTATTTCTACCTATCCTTCATATCTTCTGACATCCTTCATATCTGTCTGTCAACATACTTTTAGTGGATAAAGAAAAAGCTTTTGTACGTTTTTACCATTTTATTGACAGTTTTACGAAGAAAACATTTTCCTTCCCAATGATTTGAATAATAAAAGCCACCCACAGTGAAAGAGGCCACTGCAGATGAACCCAAAGCTAGCTAGGCTATATGACACGGGCAATGAACTGATCATATCTATGATGCGGACATTCTGAAAGGGTGAAGCTAAATAGAAAATTTTAGGCCACATCACATACATATGCAAATCAGATGCCCCATTCCAGTTGGCCTTCCAGTAAAACAACTGCAGAGTTTTTGTTGTTATTATCGTTGTTGTCTTAATTTGTAATACTTTGACTAACATTTACATTTTAAAAATAATTTATA
Source organism: Homo sapiens (assembly GCF_000001405.40). NCBI lineage: Eukaryota > Metazoa > Chordata > Mammalia > Primates > Hominidae > Homo > Homo sapiens. The sequence goes on from NC_000012.12 coordinate 26,711,032, forward strand.
TGCCAATCCAGAATACTAGAGGCAACAATCAAATTTGTGTAATGACTGTTCCTGCAAATACGATGTCTTGTGGCGAACCCAACTGCCTCTTTCACTAATTCAGAGTCAGAAACTTAATACCACTTTATCCATTAGTCTTACCTCTGCAGCTAAATAGTTTCCAGTTGCAAGATGCTTAAATCTGAACAAGCTGTTCCACTGTCCTGCACCCCCACGGCATGGGTCATGATGAACCACCTACAAAGAGAGCAACGATAGTAATGGCAAAACAATATTTATGTTCCTGGCAAGCAAACACCAACAGTTTACATGCCTGCCCTCCTGTTAATACTGATCTGTCAAACCTAATATATGTTTCCATGAGAGCATAATGTGGCAGAAAAACAAAATTCCCCATAAATGAGCAAGAGAAATGTTATAACAGTTGTTAACTCGTGCATGCATGACACTTGTGCCTTACATCTGCAAACACAGCTTTACTCAGAAAGACATGTTTCCAAGACCAAAGTGGAAATACTGAGATTTTCTTCCCTTTGTTTTTCAAACATTTACTTGGCAGCTTGCATTAAGAGCCCACTATGTGCCAAGTACCTTCAAGAGAAGAGAAACACAGCAGTGGATAAAGCTAGAGCTTCCATTCTAATGGAAAAGAGAGAGCCAGCGAACAAAGAAATAAGTAAGATTTGACAAGTGCCAGAAACAACACAGGGGAAGTACATGATTGAGTAACTAGGGAAGGCAACTTTAGATATGACCATCATGAGTATGGGCCACTTTGAGATGTCATGTGAGCTGAAACCTGGAGGATGAGAAAGACAGCCACGTAGATTGGAAGAGAGAATCACAAACGTCAAGGCCTAAGGTCTAAACTACTTAATTCTTAGCCCTTTCCATGCATGCTTTTTATTGACAGCATGTCTTTTGATACCTGTCTCTGAATTGACCTTGCCCAGATGCTGAGCCCCTAGGCTCACTGGGAATGAATGCAGTAGAAGCTCTGACACACCTGGTTATGACAGGCGGGATGGGCAGCAGAAAAGCTCGGGTTTTACACTCCAATTCAGGCATGTGAGTCTCAGGTCCACCAATTACTGGGGTATGACCACAGAAAGGAATTTAACATCTTTGAGCCTTATTTCTTCGTGTACAAAATGGGTTGATTCACAGGATTGTTGTGAAGATGAAATATCATAAGGCATATCACAATGCTAGGATAACTTTCATGACTCTCCCTCAGCACATTACGTTCTTTTTGCTAGTACTGACCACCCTTTGGCTCCTGCTGCAACCACGAATTCTGTGTGTTAACATACTTCACTTGCTAATGCCTTTTGCTAGACTCCAGCAACTGTCTTCCCATACTCTCATAACTCAGATAAGATAATAATTATGAAAATACTTCAAAGTCCTTGAGGTCTTACAAAACACTCCCTCTGTGGCCAAAAGCCCACCTATCCTTCAAATTCTCACATCACATTTCTTCCACAAATCCTTTGCTAATCACACTGGCCACTGTGATCTTGTCAGTGTTTGAACTCTTAAACCTTTGAGGGAGGCAGAGATATCTGCGAGAATGTGATAAAATCTAATGTTTGTCTCAAATACACACACACACACACACACACACACACACACACACACACAATTTTGTGGTTTGTATATAAATGCTAAGGTTAACAAATGATCTGAAGATCCCAGACTAAGAACTACTCTCCTATACATCAGTGGGTCTGGCAAGGGCAGTACGGCTCCCTAGAGGGGATATTCTAGAGATTTGGAAGGGAGGGTGTTTTTGTTTATCACAATGATTTTGGAGGGATGCTATTGGCATTTAATATGCAGTGACCAAGATATTATCTATGCTGCAATTTACAGGGAATTCCAGAATGTGATCAACACTGTGTGTGGCCCTCAGGACCAGCCCCACCCTGCTAAGTGCTCCCCTGCATCACAGGGGCTGAAAGCCTCACCCAGCGGGGCTCTGAGGACATTCCCGTTAGAATGGAAAGCAGAGGACAGTAGAAGAGAGACTCCTCTTTGGGCTGCAGTAACAGTGGGAGCAGCTGACTAGTGCCCGCTCCTACAAGGTGCGTGGGTAAGGACCCCTCAGCATGTGAGCAGAGGCCTGCAGGCTCAGAGGAGGAGCAGTCATTGCATTGCTTATCTGCATTCAGATAAGCCCATGTCCCCCACTCCACATTTCCTCCCCAGCCCTTCCAATCATGTTGAACGTAATTTCCCTCTTCCTTGAAACACCTGATGCCCATGCTGGGTAAGCACAGTCCTCAGGCTTCCTCACAAAGCCCAACTGTGACAGCACACAATAGAGAAAAGTCCCTCAAATCTCAAATAGAAATAAGCCTACCACCGATATAAACTGGCAATACTTTAGTACATCAGCAGATAAAAACATTTTACATCAAGTTATATGAAATTCATTACGGTGAGGGACGTTTAAATGAAGTAAAGACATCTCAAAATTATTAAACAATTTATTCGCTCCCTATTCTGGTCAATGTGTCACAGCATTTCCAACTATGCATTTTGATGGAAAGGGTTCACTGCAGTAGTACAGTTACAGCAAAAGCTATAAAACTAAAAGCAAAAATATGAGAGAATTTTCAAAACTCCTTTTAACAGACTCAGAACCAATATTAAATAAGCAGAGACACATCAAATGCAGGTAACTCACTGTATTTCATTAACAGAGTTTTAAATAATATCTCATCTTATTGCTACCTCTATATTTTTTTAATTTTTAAAAACAGCAAAATATTAAGAACTTTATGGTGTGAAAATGCATGCTTTAATTATGTATTTATTTTAGGATTGCCTGTTATTTTTCAGTTTTGCTCTTATGAATGAGGTAGACTTCTGGGAGGTGTTTCATGCAGCCTCGTGTATTATTAGCTTTAGTCATAGCTGTTTTCCCCAGAGCTTCTCAGTTCCATCACCTGTTGATGGTTGTGGTCTCCAAAGTCCATCTGCATGCTAGCGACTGAAATTATTCCTCAATATGTTGTGGAGTTTCAAGATAGAAGATAAGTTCTTTTGTACTATTTCATCTCGATTCTAAACCATGTCATAAACTTAGTTCTTTTTTAGTGTCATATTTATAAATAAGGCTCAGCTCATTTGCAGAGGCATCTTACTTCCTCATTTTCTGCATCTCGTCGGTAATTTGCCTAAAGTATTATCCCTACTTTGATTATGGTTATCTCTCCGTTTTTCAGTTTGTTCCGTTATTACGTCTCCTAACACTGGTTATCATTCAAGGGCCCACATTTACCTTTGCTTTTTCATTTTCCTGTACTTGTATGGGCTGTCTTCTGATCCACTTCTTTAACCACTTCTCTCAAATCCAAACATATCCATCCAAGATGGGCATAAATATTGTATCTTTTAGATAGTCATTCTCATGTTGAAATACATATTATTTTATTATAAAGTATTTTCCTTTTATTTATTCTTTATGTTAGAATTTGAGCATTATACTAATTCTACCTATTAGTATATAAATAATATTACCTATAAATTTCATTTTAGAATATTAAAGGGAGTGTCACAAAATATATGTTTTAAAATTGGGGGCAGGTGAAGAATTTGAAATGGTTGAGAATCACCGCTAGTGGTTTAGATGTTTAGTAAATCTCTTGTTCATAGGCAATTCTGTAGATCTTATCTCCTCCACATATAAAAAGATCCTTTAAGGAAAAATCCATAGATTACATTTCCTTAATTACTCTACCATGTTCCACATTTAAGTGATACTTTTAAAAAGATGAATGAATTCTTAACTATGGGTCTCCTGATTCCAATAGAAATGGCATCTACAGAAGAAATAAACATTGTTCTCCTCAGGGACTGAGTAGTTCTGGCCTCAACCTTCCTCAAAGTGAGGCATCCTACTCCATCTTGACTCCAGTGCCATTTGAGTCACATGGTCTTCAGTCTAACTAGTCTTGACATTTCACAATTGATTTGTTAAAAGTAAGATCGTAATGTACCTTTTGTAAATGTGTGTGTGTGTGTGCACTTGACAGAGAAGGAGAGAGAGAAAATGAGAGCTACCACAGAGAAGACAGGCTTAGGAAACAGTTTCCTTTCAAATTGGTCACAGCAATGAATAGGCACAAGTTGGTTCACAAAAATTATTCTATTTTATGATTCTATCATAAATGATGCCTATAACAATAAAACAACAAGCCCAGTGAATCTTCTCTTTTTGATCTAAATATTTATTAAGTGCCAAAAAACATTTACATACCTCTATTTCCCAGAGTGCTTTAGAACTAGTAGCAGAAGTAGCTGATTGGCGCAAGGTCGTACGAAGGAAAATGTGCTGTTTTTTCTCATATTCATCACAAGTCAAAAACTTCTCTTGTTCCGCATGAAATAATCTAACAACGTCCCCCTAGCAAAAAGGTCAAGAGACATCTGAACAAACAGATGTGAGAAGCAGGTGTCTCTTTCTGGTTTTGCTACTCTGGGCCCTTCTACTAGCTATTTGACTTTTAAAGCTTATTTAAATTTATTTAATGCTTATTTAAACATTTAAAAATGTGGGGGGGAAATTCAGTAAAACACTTAGAGTAAGTATTAACATGTGTAGTCACATTCTAAATTATGAACACCAGTGAATACATAGGTTTTGCATCTAGAATTTCAGTAAGACTACCATCATTTCTCCCAGCAAATGTCCTGTGTAGCACATACTTACTCCTTTTAATACATCCTCTCGATAGGAACTATATTTCATGAATAAAGTGATTTTCCAGCTGGTGTTGCAATTGACAGCATTCACCTATTAATGAAGAAACGTTCAAAGTTATAAGACTACAGATTCCATTCTCTACCAGAAATTATTAGTTCAACTAGTAAAAGGAAATTAAAGACAATTTTGGATAATGAAGTATATAGCTCAATACAAGTATCTTTGAGAGACCATCCAAAAATAGCAATAACTAATCACAGCTATATGTACCTTAGGGATATTAATTAGAATAACTGGGATTATGCTCATGAAAACAATGAAAGAAACTATATTACTTTTTTCTCCCTCTGTCTCATGAGAAAAATGAACACATTCATTCCTTTTCCACTTGAACTTACCTCTTTACACCCTGGGTTATCAAGAAGCTCTATGTTGCTGGCATGTAGTGGCTGCCCTGCATTCACAGGCATCAAAACAACTTTATCTCCTACAACAATCTAGGAAGCAGAAATAAATCACAATTGAGACACTGCATGGATCTTTGGTGCTATATTCGAAGCTAGAAATAACTGCACAGGAGTCCCCATTATTGATCTGACATCTGGTCCTTTTATCCTTCACACAAATTTTCATACAATCCTTTTTCTCTTTGAGGTAAAATATCTTCTAATAAATGATCATATAACCATGTCCCATAGTGCCTATCAGTCTGGATTCATAAAGCTAGTGTGGATCTTTTTCATATTCATCTCCCATTTCAGTTAGAGCTTCCTTAAAGTCAATAAATAGGCCATTATCCCTCCCCACGAGGTCTTATGCCATAAGCACAACAGAAAGAGTAAATGCATCTGTCACCACAAAAAAGTAATCTATCCAAATATTAGAACCACTGCAAAAGCAAGCAGAAAATGTTATACACTTGTATTATCTTTTATAAGAGATGAGTAAATTTGATCTTCCCATAGTCTCAGAAGTGTATTAAAAATTCTAATGTCAGCTCGATTCAGGAAATGCAGAATTAGGTATGACCTTGTAGAAATATGTTTTGTGTTTGAGCCTTGGGCATCCGATTCACTCATATCTTAAATATATTAAACTAATATTGCTCCTTAAACCTGATGTTCATTTTTAAATAAAAACTAAAATTGATTCTTGGAAAAGTGCTCTACAGAAGTAACTCTAATTGATTTTTTAATGTATGTTATTGTAGCAATATCCACCTTCTCTTTAAGTATTTTTATTCATAACTCAAATTGTGGGGAATCAAAGTTATCCTTTCTTCATGATAACAATGAACAGTTTAATTTCCATTATTAAAGTTACTTACATTGCTGAATTTATTTAGAAGACATATTATTATAGTAAATAAAATCTCACTTAAAGAATTGATCACTGTCTCAAAAATGAAAACCAAAACCCTCCCTTTGTATATTTTATACCAAGTAAATATTAGAATAAATTAGTTTGATAGATAAATGATAAAACAAATCAGGATTCAGTCGATATGAATAAACAGAACTTCTCCATGTAGTGTATCTTAATCTAAGCCCAAACTTTAAAAAACATAATTTCATATTTTCAATATCAGATATCCTCATATGGATGATACGGAGGAGTCCATGCTCACATATGGTACTGTTGTCACAAACTATATCTGGCGATTGAAATATAATAGAGAAGCCTCAAGCTCACCAACCAAACAAAGAAAGGTTGTGCTTTGGTTTGTGGAAACAACTCCTGCTGTTTACAGGACTGGTCTCTACTCATCACGTCCATAAGAAGTCAGATGCTGTAACTCACAAAGATTCATCATAGAAGCTCTCTATATACAGTTAAGGAAAGATCATTAAGGAGCAGTATTAAGTGAAAAGATGAATAGGCAGAGCAAGGCATGTAGTATGCTATCATTCGTGTACAAATGTGAGGGAGGGAATAGGAGGATCTGCATAAATAAATCTCTCCAGTGCATACCTGAGGAAGAAGAAGAGTAGAAATCGGACAGATGGAATAAAAAGAGTAGAAGAGAGATTTTTCACAATATATCTTTACATTGTTTTCTATCTTTGAACCATGAATTGGTATCCCTTTTAAAAATTAAATTATGAGCAAAAACAAATGAAAGTCAACATGACATAAGCATATTCCCAATCCCCATTCTCCCTAGGAAAACACGTGCTGTTGCACATGACAGCAAGGCAGCTCCAAGTCACAGAGCCATGTAGAGGCCTGAGTCATCATCCATACTCTAAAGTACTGGGAGCTTGATGCCACATTTTGCCAGTGCTGCATCTGTTCTTCCAATTACATTTTTTTCTTTATTTCTTCTAAAAAACAAAAACAAAAACAAAAAAACAAAACAGAATACATGTGCAGAACGTGCAGGTTTGTTACATAGGTATACATGTGCCCTGATGGCTTACTGCACCTATTGACCCGTCCTCTAAGTTCCCTCCCCTCACCCCCCACCCCCTGACAGGCTCTGGTGTGTGTTGTTCCCCTCTCTGTGTCCATGTGTTCTCAACTTCCAATTTCTTAAAGAACAACTGGATTTGGTTTACTATTTGATTCTCATCTGTGCCATATAAATCCTAGCCAATAAGTTACTAAATATAATGACATATTTTAACTATGTCCTTCCAATTCAAGAATACTTTTGGTTGCACCTACATTCGCTGCTCTAAGTCTTGCTATTTTACTATAGTTGTCTGTAAGCTTTGGGTCAATCCGTATATTTACTTCAAAATACCACCCATAAAACTGTATATATATATAAGGTTTTAAATATATATATAGACTTAAATATATAATATATACAAATATGTGCATATATATAGTATATATATATGTGTGTGTGTATATATATATAGTTTTTTCTGTTTTTTGAGATGGGGTCTCGCTCTGTCACCCAGGCTGGAGTACAGTGGCACAATCTCAACTCACTGCAACCTCTGCTTCCCAGGTTCAAGCGATTCTCTTGCCTCAGCCTCCCAAGTAGCTGGGATCACACGTGTGTGCACCATCACACCCAGCTAATTTTTGTATTTTTAGTAGATACGGGGTTTCACTACGTTGGTCAGGCTGGTTTCGAACTCCTAACCTCAGGTGATTCACCTGCCTCAGCCTCCCAAAGGATTACATAGGCGTGAACCACTGTGCCCAGCCTAACATTGTATATATTAAGAGACCAATCATATAGCCAAAATGTTCCTTGGTATCTGTGAAACAGCTTCCAGTGGTTCATTAAAAAATGGTATTCATAAGTAGAATCTAACATTAATTCAGTAATTTTCAGATCCTCATTCTTATTCTTGACAATGATTACCTTGCCTAACCAAGCTGAATAAAACTTGCAAGTGAAATGGATAAACTACCAATCATGTGAAATAAAAAGAATATTAAGAAGTTCCAGGGAGAAAACAAAAAGGTCTAAGAAATAGTCCCTATTCTCACAGAATTCATACCTAATTAGATAACTTAGCAAATATGAAATATGGTAATATTTTCAAAATAGTGAAGCTCAGGACGTGATTCACAGATGGGGTCAGGTGCTTTCTGAGAAGCTATGTATTTAATATAGAACTTGAGGGTGAAGTCATTTTCTGCCACATCCTAGGATAAGCCATCACATTCACTCTAGTACACAAACATGTTTTTTATAAATTGCAATTCCAAAAGCACTTCTGTTGATTCTATGTAAGAGCCATGTAAGATTCAAGCTGAGATTTCGCTGAAAATAAAGAGGGATATAACATCACTAGCAGCTACCCTTCTTTTGAAGTGGCACCTGGTATGGTGAAAAGAACATCACAATAGGAATCTAAACGCCAGGGTTCTAGTTCCACCGCAGCTAGAAATTCAACACTTTTTTTTATTACACTTTAAGTTTTAGGGTACATGTGCACAACGTGCAGGTTTGTTACATATGTATACATGTGTCATGTTGGTGTGCTGCACCCATTAACTCGTCATTTAGCATTAGGTATATCTCCTAATGCTATCCCTCCCCGCTCTCCCCACCCCACAACAGTCCCTGGTGGGCACACACTTTTTCTAAAACGCAAAGTCTACTTGCTGTTTGAAGAGTTTCTTTTTTCAAGAGTTAAAATTTTCTCTTCATTTAAAGAATATCTGACCTTTATTCCCTTTTAAAATCTACCATAAAAGTAAAGAACCCAAGTTTTCTTAGATCAAAATTGAAAATGAAAAATTAACTATTCAACCATGGGAAGATACATAAAGATAAAAAAATAAGGAAAGAAAAATGAAATATTTATGTTCTCTGCTCATAGCTGTCCCTAGTGACTTTGCAGTTCAACTGCAACCAAGGGCTTTGTATACAGCTGAAAGTACAGGGATCCATGAGTCTATTTCTTCCCCAAAACCATCCATCCCACAATTCCATAAGCTATATCATAAAGTTGCCCTTAAGTAATAGGAACTATTACCTTTTGAAGATAGGGTTTCCTTTCTCCCAGACTATCGTCAGCCTATTTATTGCATTTCATTTGGGTAACAGAACATCTTGTTGGATGTTAAAACCTCATCTTAAAATATCATCTTAAAACCTCATCTATTGTTAAATAGTAAAATATCATTTTAAAAGTCCTCTAAACATTGCAATTTCCTTTTTCTAATTTAATGTGTTTTTAAAGAAAATCAGTAGTAGTTGAACCACTGGTTATGAAGTGACCGTATTTCCAATTGCCTTCCACACAGTCGGTTTATATTTTAGAAATACGCTACCTATTTTAGGGAAAAAAACGAGTATTACAATACAATTATTTATGTGACCAATATAGGGTTGTGGGTGTGCTTATGCTTTCAGCAACCTTAATTACACACAAAAGCTACACAGTGGCAAACAAAAACGGTGAGCTGTTTCAGCAAAAAGCAGTGTGGAAAGTTGTTTCAGCCATGCTTTCTGAAGCACATCCAGATAAGAACTCCTGTATTGCACTTAACAATTACATTGTCCATTTTCACCAAGATTGAGTGTTTGGGTGGTAGGTTTTGTTTTGTTTTGGTTTTCCAGTACAACTAATTATTTGAAATAGTTCATTACATTCAACTCTCTGTTGACTGTGTAAAGGCAGCAAGGAAAAGAATAGATAAAATGAATAAATAAGCAGATAGGATGAATTAATATAATCCACGGCTAATTTAAAAACTCCAATTCATTCAATTATTTCATCACATTCCTTCCGAGCTTGAGCTCAGGTTTTGTTTGTTTTCATATTTAATTTTCATGGACCTCCTGTAGACAGGGATACTATTCAGTGGAGGGCTGGGGATGGGAACAAGCATTGCAAGAAAGAGCCTCAAAGGCACAGGTTGTTCATAAACTACATAATCAGTCCCTGAACAATTGAGAGTTGATTGTAATGAACTATTTAATGAAACTAAAATGTGTATCATGCTCACAGCACACATCACCTGATGTCAAAAGAAAAAAAAGTAGGGTTTTTTTTTTAAGAAATCCAACCAACACAAGACTTAAAGTGCATCACATTCCTGCATGCCATGCTTCTACCAAACCTTACCAAAGGAAGATATCACCAGATAATTTATTAACCAAATTAAATCCAGAAGCTTGCATCCTGTGGAATTGAATTTGTATTTCAAAATTCACTGGAAAAATTAGATTCACGATAAAGACATTCCTAAGACAAGAAATATCCAAAACACATTTAAAATGTAATCAAAGTTTCAACTGAAAAAACTCTCTCAGAATAATTATACTTTTATATTGCTTCGAATTCATGTTAATTTTTTTAAATCTTAACTATTGATCCCCTGATGCAATACTTGCAGGTATTTATGAAACTTATTCAGCGCTCAGTGTCTAGCAGCATTTCCTGAGCATCGTCCATGTGCTAAGGACTATCACGCAGTATTTTATTTATTACATGCAAAAATATCACACTCTAGATCCTATTGACTATTTCTCATAATTTATTCTCTATTTTATAAAGTAGCAGAAAATATTTCAGCAACTACTAAAATTTATGTGCAATACACACATATTCCACAACATTAAAAAAATTTTTTTTTTAGAAACAAGGTCTTGCTATGTTGCCCAGGCTGGTCTTGAACCCGTGGGCTCAAGTGATTCTCCTGCCTCAGTGCCCCAACTAGTCCACAACATATTGTAAACATAGTTGTCATCAATGAGCAGATGCCAACCTTCAGCTCCTCTACTCCATCTCTATTAAGACTTATAGACTGTCAGCAGCTGGCATACAGCCAGTAAATGGAATCCTGTCATGAATCACGGTGTCACTCCATTAATTCAAAGGGCACACACTATTTCCTAAACACAGCTCTTTTTCCTTATGACCAAGCTTCCTCCTAATTAGGCAAAAAAGTAAATTCTCCTTCTCTTTTAAAAGTCTCAGCCAATATTAAGGTTGCTTAAGTTCTTTCATACAAATTCTAGCTGGAAGATTTTAAATTAATCTGAACTTTGTCTTATGACTTCTGAGCACAATTTGTACTATAAATAAACATGTTTAACCTAGTAGATACTAACATAAAAATCAGGTATTGAGTAAAAACTATATTTTCTTTTTTGTACTTTCTGGATTATCTTACTTATTAGGAATCATTTTCTTTATGAACCCACTATTTCCCTCTTAATTGTATATTACATACATTGTCACCCTCGCTTCTCAGTTTCCAGAACGGATGAATATAAAACCAAGACCCTTCATTTCCTGCAGCATCCAAGGACACACGCATGGCATTCTTCTCCAGTAAAGCAGGTAATCTCTTGTTGACAGTAAGATATTTGTTGCTTTTTATATGCAGTAGCTATAGGGAAAAGACATAGATTACCACCTTTATTCTTTGTTCTCCTCTGTTAATTACATTCATATGTTTTATACATGTATCATATATTCATCTAACATGGCTTGAGATGAAAATTAAACAAAGGAGTATTTTCAGCCTCCACACTCACCATCTTTCCTACTTGACTTTCTTTGGGTTCTTCCTCCCCTTCACCCCAATTCTGCTTCATAATGAAGTCGGCATAATAGGGAAAAAAAAACAGGGGACCCCTCCGAGTGATTTTCATCTACTGATAAATAATGGCTAAAACTAGGTTTTCCAAAGGAGACCTTGAGTTTCCCCAAAACCACATCCTTTCTCAATGCCTGCATAGCCACAAAAACAGAATATACTAAAGAAAGGCCAAGAAACTCAAATAATGCACCAACCCACTTACTATTATTAACCAGCCCTGCCCACAGTCAGCCCTGATTCTTCCTCTGTAAGGAGGCAGCTGCTCATCCTAAATAGGCTTCTACACCTTCTGCCAGGGGATGCTGACCCTACCCCCTCCCAGATGAGTGTAAAAGCATCACTTCTCAGATTTTTTTGGACTTTGTGAACAAAATCTTACAAAAACATGATTCTACTGAGTAGCAAAACCAAAACAAAATAACCTTTCCATCTATTATTACAATCATTTCAAAAAACAATGGTCATTTTAGTACTCACAATATAAGTAAGAAATTATCTCAAAATAAAGTACGGTTCTTTAATTGAAAAAAAATCAGCATTTTAAAATGCTCATTATCATACTCTTGGGTCCTTATGTTACCACAAAGCAATGGAAACCCTCATGGGCTGGACTTTGGGATCCACCATGTTCAAGAACATGGCTCAGCCCCTCAATGACCAAGCTAACACCTGCGCTTCGGGTACTTGACAAGAAACATAAGTTCCACTTGCTGACATTTAACCGAAACTTGGTTAAGAGAAACTCTATTTATGAAGGATTGCCCCAGGGACATCCAGCCCACTCAGGTTGCAGGTTTCACATTATCCATCATTCGATTAAGTCATACATTCAGGGAGCTGCCGACCCAGCTTCTCTCATCTTATCCCAACAGTGCACTGCTTTGACTGCCCTGTGTTCTGGCATTTTGCCATTGGCCAGTAACAAAATATCAGGGATATTATTTTAAAAGACAGCTCTATGAAATGCCTCATTGTAGCATTTACTGTAAGGAAGCTGTCAAGGCTATTGTTTACTATATTACACAGTGTCCTCTTTATGAGCACACATAGGAGAAACACTTCCCTGGTCCTATTCCTGGGAACAGTTGTGCTTCTAGACCTCTGATTTGGCTCTGTGCTGCGGATCTCCTAGCCAACGATGTAACAGACTATGCTTCCCTATGGCTAAGAGGGCAAGAAAAAGCCTTCAAGTCAAAATTTACCAGACTTTACAACATGGTTTTTATAAACATGCCTTACCCCGATTTCAATTTATTCATCCAACCATGATTTTCCCTGTGACCAATTGCTTTATTTATTTGTATTTTATCTCACTATGTAGCTCTGTATTTTGGAAAGTGCCTTACATTCTTTTTTGAAAAAGGTGGGGCATATATTAACAAATAACCAAGTAAGAAGCTAAAAAGATCTAAGTGAAACACAGGAAAGGAATGCAGCTGAGATAAAACAGTGTGTGCATACTAATAGAAATAGAAGACCTTCTAATAACAATTCAAGGATGACTTCCAACTGAAAGTGAAAACTTTTCTCTCTTCACAAAATGAAAAGCTAAGCTCCATATGTTAAACACAGTCCCATTAATCTAAAGGACTATTTCAGAACAGGCCTTTAGAAATTGTTTCCTGACCCTCTTCTTTTTGATGTAATAACTTGTGTATACATCCAGATAAGATCACTTCTTTATGTGTAAAATCAGATTTATTCTTAAACATACAGAATAGTGCAGCACATATCAAATGAATACATCACAATACGTCACAACATCGATAATTCCCATCAAAGAACAAACTTCCTGTATCTCAAAATTTTAACGCAGTTTGGCTTTCCTGCCAACTTACTGACAAACTCCACATAAAATACTCACCTCGTTTAAGAGAAAATACTTACTTGTATAACATTACTGTATTTTACAATTTCTCCCAACAGTTTCTTATTCTCCGATTCATTTTGTTTTTGTTCCAGTTCTGCAGCGTGCTATAAGATGATTATCAAATATTCAGTGTAGAAATATAGTAAACAGAGTGTAATAACTGACAAAGAAATTTTTTTTAGGAACAAGACTATAGCCAGGAATAAAATAGGCTAGTAGTAGAGTCAGGACTGTAATCTTAGTTTAGGTGTTTTGTTTTGCTTTATGTTTCCATCATATCATATTGTCTTTCAGATTTTCACGTCATATTCATCCAAGTATTTGGAAACTTGGGGAGTGGATGACTCCCCAAAGGGAGCAGTAATTAAATAAATGATTATAATATAGTGTGATGATTTGTCAATGTATGCTGAAATGCCCTCCAACATGTCTTGGGCCACTTTTATGTTGGACATTTCAGAAAAGTACTAGGCTCTTTGTTCTTTTAAAATTACTTTAAGAAGGTATATTGCTAGAAAAACCAACCAGGATAATAGTAGAATTTCCAAAGTCTCAAAAATAAAAGTTCTTAATTCTGAAAGTACCAGGAATTTTAATGAGGCAAAATTAAGTTCTATCGAATTTACACTCAGACAAACCATAAACAATGGTCTTTCAATTATTTTTCTCCATAGTTTCTTTCAGGAAAAATATCAAGGATTATGTCAAGTAAAATATAACTGGATTTAATATTCTTACAGAGATTCTGAATTGGTTTTCATTTTGATGGGAAGCTTTGAATTAGTCTGGCACACCCTAAAAAACAGCAGCAGTAATGTGCTACCTACATGCCAGGAAATAGATGGTCACACCCTATTACTTGAAAAGCCCTTCTACTTTCAATGTGTTGCTATATGTATTCTAAATCTCTGTGTTTTGGGTGAAAGGACAAAGCTAGAAAGCTCTAAATACATTTTTATTATTGCTGTACTTGGTTAGCCTAAGCCAGACAATTGGAATCCTGGTCCTTACCTGTAGTTTCTTCAGCAAGGCTGCCTCGGTGTGGTTCCCTTGTTTGGCTTGCTTTGCTTTCCAATATTGCTTCTGGGCAGAATATCTGTTCATAGGGCACACCTTGAAAAGGCAGTCTGTGACAAACCAACATACAAAAACACTGTAACTAAGGCTACTAGCATTTCTTAGATTTCCCTTATAGCTCAGCTTTTGAATCTTGGAATCCCTGATTATACAGAACAGTTAAAAGTCATATAGTCCGTCCTCCAGCCAACTCTCCATTCACTCTATAACATCCTTTTCAAATAATTATCTAGACTCAGTTAAAATATCCACTTCTTCATTAATTTAAGTTTTTTAAAGACTACGATAGCCAGTGTATAAAGAAATCAAACCCATGTAATTGTGGTATTATAAGGCATGGATTAATTATAATGGGGCACCTGGTCTTAGAAAGCAAATAGAATGAGATTAGTGACTTTCACTGCCTTATCTGACTTTGCACAATTAATACACATTGGTGCTGTGTATATTTGACAGCCAAAGTGATCCAGGAAGTAGATCCCAGCTGACCATTAGAGTCATCCACTCCCCAAGTTTCCAAATACCTGGGTGAATATGATGTGAAAATCTGAAAGACAATATGATATGATGGAAACATAAAGCAAAACAAAACACCTAAACCAAGATTACAGTCCTGACTCTATTGCTAAACATCAAGATAGAAAATCATAGAGGAATATTATAGTTGTGATATCTCTAAGTCAAGAAGCAAAATATACGTTTTATTTTCAATGAGGAGAATGGAAGAACTCAACAGTTTCGCCACATGCTAATGATTTTGTATGCTTGTGGAATAGATTACAATCTAGAATAAAGGTAAATTCTCAGTATTCTATCATAAAAGAGTAGTAATACAGAAAATTCAAACCTTATTTTCATTTTTCTCATAAAAAACTGTGAGTTCAACATAACAAATTTACTTTATTTTGACTGATGTGTTGATATTTAGAGTCATTCTCATTCGACAAATAACTATCACAAAAATAAAATTCAGTCAACTCAAATATCCACTTTAGCCACATTATTGACTACATTATATAATATGCTTGTTCCACTATTTTCCTTAAAATTAATTGTATTTAAAAAGATGATACCTTTTCAAATATCACTTTTTCATGGTTCTAATGGCATAAATGATCAAGAAATATGGCTGTAAAATTTGTAAGGAATGTAGGAAAAACAAGACAATGATGATTTTTTTCTATAAGAACACATATTCCCCATGTGATTGCCCCACCCCCCATATACAGACAAGGTAATAGTAAACTAATCTTAATTTCTAGTTTAAAGGGTACTGATATGGATAAGTAAATATCTCATAGGTAGTAGAAAACAGATACCTTCAAACTGCTAAAAGTAGGCTTAGAGGCCACCACAATTACAGTATGATACAGGAATCAACACCTAGCACGTGTGTGACCAAAGACGGACAGCCTGGAAAATGTTTTCCTTGGCAGTGTATCATACTAGCCCTAAAAGTTATTTCCTGTATCTTAGCAACTACAAAGAGAATTTTACAAATTTCTTGAAGCACAAATCCACAAGTTGTTTACAGATATTTCCATAAGAGTGCTCCCAATTTAATACAGCAGACTCTTTTGACTATCCTATATTAGGCAAGTGGCAAAACTCTATACTGTCTGCACTCAGCAAAAGCACAAATCCATGATCAAGGGGAACTGAACTCCATAATCTGGAATTTATGCTTCTGACTTTCTTCATGTATAAAAAGGAAAGAGAAAAAATTGTGTTTCTCTTCATTATTACAGATTCCTAATTAAGGTCAATTGGAAATGATCCTTTAACAGAAAAAATATTTTTGTAAATCCCAGACCACCTCAACAGCACTCCTAATTAGCGATATCTTTGGGGAGTCAGCAAACTGGCTGTCAGGCCAAATGCTCCTGAGTGGTGGCTGAGGTCACTGTGAAGTGAAGCCAAACTTTCAGCCAAACTGTGTTTACTGTAATCCCCCTACAGGGGGTCATGCCCTGCACGAACAGGGGTTAAGCCTCAGACCCTGTCCTCAGAAAGCTCACGGTCTACTTGAAGCTTCACAAGGGAGCTCTGGAGGAGATGCTAAGAGCCACAACGATGCACGTGGCCAATTTCACAGGCAACGGAGGTCAGAAAAGACTTCCCCACGGAGAAGAAAGGAGAAAACACAGCCAAATTTTAAAGAACCAATACTCATTCAGCACAGGGGCAAGAGGGCTCCCATGCTAAGGGGAGGGGCGTTCCAAACAGAGCCACTGGCTGGTATGAAGGCAGCGAAGAATGCTAAGGGACCCCTAACCATTCAGGAAAACCACCACTGAAGCGGCAAGATAAAAATGGAATGGTAGGCTGAGGTCAAGATCTACAGTGTTATGTTCTAGGCTAAGGAGGATGGACTATACCCCATGGAAAACGCTGAACTCTTACAGACTTTTAAGCTCTTAGGGCATGTGAAAGATGGCATGAGCAAGGGGCAGGAAGGCCATCCCCGAAACCCGCTGCTGTTGTGAAAAGACAGTAGGGATGGAACTGGGGCCCTACGGTAGTTTTGGGTAGCCGTAGATGTAAAATAAAGCAGCCAAACCAGAGGCTTAATAATCGACTAGATGTGGGGGCGGGAAAAGGTCAAGGAGGGGTAAGTGAAAATAGCCAAATGAACAAGCTTCCACCCACTCTATCTGAAGTACAAAGTCTTGGGTTTCAAAAGCCCTTTCCATTTCAGGGCCTTAGTTTTACAGTCCCTTTCAGCAGCCTCCCACAGGGGACATCTCATTTTATATTACAGTAAATAATTGATCTGTTTCTGCATGGGAACTAATCTTGCAGGACTGTTCTGGATAATAGGAGAGAAGGTGGGGCACACACAGACTTCTGTTAAAAAGCTTTCATTGGTGGCAGTAGGGTGTGTGCATGCTTAATTCTCTCTCTGCCTCCTTTAGAACACATTTTTAAAAATCTACTGTTCTTGGGCTGGTCACACATTTTGTCGGATTCTAAATTTACTGCATAATAAAAGTGCTAATACCTGCCACACCTAATTCACAGGGTTGCTGAGATGAGCAAAAAGAAAATCTGTGTGAAAGTTCTTTGTGAACTTTAAAGTCCTATTATGAATGTAAGGCATTATTATTGATATTGCTTCATTCTTTCAGCAATAGCCTCACTAAGATGAAGAGATGACTAAATCCTTACAGAGCTCTCAGCAAAGAGTAATGAAAAGTAGTTTAAGTTCCTTACACATGCTGGATATTAGACCTTTGTTGGATGCATAGTTTGCAAAAATTTTCTCCCATTCTGTAGGTTGTCTGTTTACTTTGTTGACAGCTTCTTTTGCTGTGCAGAAGCTCTTCAGTTTAATTAGATCCCAGTTGTCAATTTTTGCTTTTGTTGCAATTGCTTTTGGAACTTAAACAAATTTACAAGTAAAAAATAAACAACCCCATTAAAAAGTGGGCAAAGGACATGAACAGACACTTTTCAAAAGAAAACATACATGCGGCCAACAATCACATGAAAAAAAAGCTCAGCATCACTGATCATTAGAGAAATGCAAATCAAAACCACAATGAGATACTATCTCACATCAGTCAGAATGGCTACTACTAAAGAGTCAAAAATAACAGATGCTAGTGAGGTTATGAAGAAAAATTAACACTTCTACACTGTTGGTGGGAGTGTAAAATAGTCCAGTCATTGTGGAAGACAATTTCTCAAAGGCCAAAAGACAGAAATACCATCAGACCCAGCAATTTCATTACTGGGTATATGCCCAAAGGAATATAAATCATTCTGTTATGAAGACACATGCACACATACATTCACTGCAGCACCATTCACAATAGCAAAGACATGGAATCAACCTAAATGCCCATCAATCATAGACTGGATAAAGAAAACATGGTACATATACACCATGGAATACTATGCAGCCATAAAAGAATGAGATCATGTCTTTTGCAAGGACATGAATGGAGCTGGAGGCCATTATCCCTAGCAAGCTAGTGCAGGAACAGAAAATCAAATAAGTTATATTTAGCTCCCACTTATAAGTGGGAGCTAAAAGATGAGAACACATGGACACATAGAGGGGAACAACACACACTGGAGCCTTTTGGAGGATGGAGGATGAGAGGAGGGAGAGGATCAAGAAAAATAACTAATGAGTACAAGGCTTAAACTTGGGTGATGAAATAATCTGTACAACAAACCCCCATGACACAAGTTTACCTATGGAACAAAACTGCACTTGTAACCCTGAAGTTAAAATAAAAGTTTTTTAAAAAGGGGAGAGAGAGAAGTTAGGCATGCAACTGGGAAGCTGAAATAAACCAAAAAAAGAAAGAAAAAGAAAAGAAAAGTTCTCAGATGAAACCTGAAGACACACCAAGAGTGCCCAGTTAATGACAAGGTGTCCACCCCTTTGGTTTAAGATGCCACGATGTGTCTTTGTATACACTTCTCAAATTCCTTGGAACAAAATGACAGTAAGAAGAGGATTAGATCTTCATTACCATGTAATATCTTTTTAGAAATGCAGACGCCATCACTAACATCAGTAAGGGCAAAACCTTTGACAAGCCTACTTTTTTTCAGTGTGCAGGATTACAGCTATTTCAGAGCAACCCGGTCTCACCTGCCCTCCTCATCCTGCTTCTAAACTCTCTAGTATTCCTTGATCTGTAGAGGTGTAATACTGTTAAGAAAAATGTTTTATGGAGTTCAATCAGAAATTGACTCAGCGTCATTTTTTAATTCTAACAACAATCTCTTCAACATTTCAAGACTCAAGGAATAAAAAAAGGAAAGGTTTATCTCATAGAGCGAGCATCAACAGCACAAATAAAAGGAAGTTATTTTTGTTTAATTTTTTTAAAAGCTTAACCTTAAGACCTGAAGCCAACAATTTGCAGAATTACAGAAGTTCAGGAAATGTTAGTAATCCAACCAGACATATGTTCAGTCAGACAATATTATAAGAACAATGGCTTAGAATTACAACTTTTATTTATTTATTTTTTGAACAGTTATGGAAGGAAATTAAGCCACTCAGAAGTGTTCATTTTAAACTGATAGCATTGGTGGCATTTTAGCCTGCTTACTTACAAATGCTAGCAGAGGGAAGAAATACGAAAGCCACTCAAATGGTATGGAGCACGTAACCCACAGCACGTTAACACTGTAAGTCAAAGAGCCAACCTTCACACATGAGTCCATGGAAATCTGGCAGGAAATCAGTCTAAACCTCCACTTACAATAGCTGTATAAATAGTTTTGAAATGTTTTGCTTTGAACCTGTGGAGGTACTTTCTACAATATTTGTATCAGGAGGCCACTCCTGAACCCCAGAAACTGACTTTAGGACTCTATTTAGGGCTATCATATGTAAAGTTCAAGCTATGTCTTGGCCAGCAGTATCCTTTGGCAATGGTGGAAAAAAAAAATTGGTTTTTAATTTCTCCTTCCTCCTAAAGATGTCTTAAGATTTAAATGAGGCAAGTGCCTGTCACAAGGCAGGCATTCAACAAATGGCTCTTTCACGGTAGCCTGTAAAAAACACCTCATAACCATAGGGAACATGGTTACCAAGGGCTTTATTCTCCCTACGTGGAGAAAGGTGGGGAGGGAAAGCCTCGGGGACTTTTGTTTCTCTCTTTATGACACAAAGTGGATCCAGAAGAGTTCAATGAAGACAATGGTCTCTGAAACAGAAGAGCAAGCTAGAACCTTCCCAATGATAAAATGGAAAGTGGTTAAAAAAGAAACTCTCCTTAGGATAAGGGGCAGGCAGACAAGGGGCCATTAGCCACTAGAAATTAGAATTCAGGTCAGACACAGTGGCTCATGCCTATAATCCCAGCACTCTGGGAGGCTGATAAAGGGGGATTGCTTGAAGCCAAGAGTTCAAGGCCAGCCTGGGCAACAAATTGAGACCCTGTCTCTACGAAAAAATTTTTTTAAAAAATCAGCTGGGGGCAGTGGACTACAAGTCCGAGCTACTCAGGAGGCTGAGACAAGAGGATCACTTGAGCCTAGGAGTTCAAGGCTGCAATGAGCTATGATCACACCACTGCACTCCAGCCTGGAGGACAAAGCAAGACCTTGTCTCTTACAAAATACAAATTTTAAAAAATTAAATATAATAGAATTCAGAGTTGATGCAGGGAGAGGAATGCATTCATTAGCTGAAAATACAACTCTAGGTTGTTTTCGTTTTTCAGTTTCCCTAAGAAATGCATCCTGAAATACAGTGTTTGTATAAAACTCTTTATTTTTAGAAGTTTTAAAAAGGAATGTGTTTTAAGAACACAAATTTCAAACCAAACATCTATCCCCCCACCTGCCTTGCCTAAGGCAACTGTAAAGAGAGGATCTAAGAGGGAAAGTGTCCTCTAGAATGCTATGAAGGCTCAGGGAAATGTATTGCATGTGTTAGCAAACATGAAAATTAATCACAACACATGGGTTAGCAACCACAAAGATCGCAATGTAACTTCCTCTAGCTGAAAGTCAATTATTATACTACGAAAGAGGAAGAGAAATAGCATTTTGTCATTACAGGCTTGTAGACTGATAAAATGTTAGCACTCAAAGAAGCCTCAGATAAAATCCAATCTTTCCCTTCCTTGAAGCAAAGAAGCAAAAACTCAAAAAGTGAATTCCCTAGATCCTTCAGGATAGTATTTCCAGATTAGAATATTATAAATATGAAGAAGTTCAACCACACATAGGATGCTTGAATGCCCTGACAAGTGACTGCCTGACCTCTTAGTGGTAGGGACACCAATGCCACACTTGGTTTGTTCAATACAGTTTACTACCATGGAGCGCTTTGTAAACTATAAACAGCACTACACATTGATAATAAAGATCACTGGATCTTCACAAGACTCTCAAGAGTTAGCCAGGGTTATTTTCTCCATGTTACAGAGAAGGAAACTGAGACTTTTCTTCATGAGGAATTGAGATGAAATATGAACCAAGATCCTCTGAACCCTACGTAGTGTACTGTAGCCATGCAGAGATGCCACTGGGAGCAGGTTGTCATGTTGAGGCATAATCTGTCTCTGTTTAAATGCTGTTCGTAATTCTACATGTACCTCAAGGCCATTTAGAACAAATCTAATCTGGCTTCTACTTAACAGCCCTAAATATCCTCAGACAGCATCCTTCTGACTTCTCCACCCCAACTTTGATTTGATCATCGTGGCAAGATCTCCTCAAAAAGTTATCATTTTTATTACCAAATACTAACTGCCTCTTTCCCATAATAGATGTGATTTTAGTCAATTAAAGACTGAATTGTTAAAGCATCTATTAATGTATTTAGCAAATACAGATGGTAAGAAAACCACTGGCCAGGCCAGGCACGGTGGCTCATGCCTGTAATCCCAGCACTTTGGGAGGCTGGGGTCAGGAGTTCAAGACCAGCCTGGCCAACATGGCAAAACCCCATCTCTACTAAAAATACAAAAATTAGCCAGGCGCAGTGGCGTGTGCCTGTAATCCCAGCCACTCAAGAGGCTGAGGCAGCAGAATCGTTTGAAACCAGGAAGCAGAGGTTGCAGTGAGCCAAGATCATGCCACTGCACTCCAGCCTAGGTGACAGAGCAAGACTCCATCTCAAAAAAAAAAAAAAAAGAAAAGAAAAGAAAAGAAAAAAGAAAACCACTGGCCAGAAAGTGAAATATGCATATGCCTCAGTTCTCATCCCTACCACAGTCTTGCAACACAACACAACCTCTAGAAAAATATTATCAAGATACATATACATATGTGCCACAGTTATAATACTTAAAAAGAAACTAATGAGTGGTTTTCAATGGGAAATATACTATGTGTATATATAATTAAATGCTAAAACATAAATAAAAATATTATGAAATCTTAGTCTCAAAGAGATTAATTGCCTGATTCATACACTAATAGGTAAACACTCAAGAACAAATGAAGCTTTATCCTTTGCCTAATTTGGAGTGGGGAGGAAAAGTAAAATTCAAATGCATTAATGCTAATTTGTATTCTTGTCAAGGTTTGAATTTCAGCATTGATTGAGCAAGCCACTACACTAGATGTAAGTGAAATCTGCTACCAGAAAAATCATAATGTATAATTTTTCAATCATTTTTCCCATTCTCAATGTGCCATGTTAACACTGATAATAAAAAAAATGTAATAAGCTGACTGATTCAGAAATCAAAATGCAAGCCTCCAAATTTCATTACATAAGTGTCAGATTTGAAAAAGGAAGTGATTTTTTACATATATTTATGTTTCTACACACATACATGCAGACAAGATACACACATATATAATATGTATAGATGCATAATATATTTTATGTATATTTACATATGAGTATGTACTTCCATAGCGTCTCCTTTTACATCAGGTCTTGTCACATACATTATCTCATTTAATTCTTTCACAAATGCTTTGAAGTATTAGTTCTATAAATGAGGAAAGAGAAACTCAGAATGTTTTAGAGCTCTAACCTAAAATTTCAAAAATTGTTTTTAAATTTAGTCCAGATCAACCTGCCTCCAAAGCCCATCTTCATAATTCAATAGAAGATGCTCTATATTCATGAAATTAAAACTTTAACAAATACATTGAGGTACATTCACTGAAATTAAAACACATAATGTGACAGTCCACGTTCTCTGGTTTCAAATTCCCAGATTCCTTGCTGAAATTATCCTACAAGGGCCCAAAAATGTGTTAAAAGAGACAATCCAAACACCTGTAACTATCAATACGACAGAAGAGCACAGTAGCAAGCCAGAGAAGTTCACGGCTTCAAGCCCTCCACTCAGAAAGCAATAATTTTCTAATAGGTGAACAATTAAACTATTAATACAGGTAAATTAACTTTATAGAGGTAAGCTTGCCTTTTTAAACCAATTTGAGCATGACTGTAACAACTCCTGTCCTAAATTAAAAAAAAAAAAAAGTCTAACACAGGGTATTTTATGCCAAGTCACAGTTATGTAATAGCAATATTTAGAGTAAAGAACTGCTTGCTGTTCATTGTCCTGGTACTGAATTAATTGCTGTTCTCATATGGGTGACCTAAAACAAAATCAGTTTGTTATGCTAGTTCCTCCGTAAGCAGAGATTTATTCATAATAACAAAAAGATCATGGAGTCTTATTCATCATTATTATTACATATTTATACTCCAATAAGACTAGCTTTCTTTTGATTATTATTACTACCAAAAAGCATCTACAGATAATTTAGGAGTCAATGGACAACTCCAGAGCAAAGTTTAACAAACTGTAATTGTGTAATTGTGCAAGCCAGTCTTTTTTTTTTTTTTTTTTTTTGAGATGGAGTTTCGCTCTTGTTGACCAAGCCAGAGTGCAATGGCACGATCTCGGCTCACCACAACCTCCGCCTCCTGGGTTCAAACGATTCTCCTGTCTCAGCCTCCTGAGAAGCTGGGATTACAGGCATGCATCACCACACCCAGCTAATTTTTTGTATCTTTAGTAGAAACGGGGTTTCACCATGTTAGCCAGGCTGGTCTCGAACTCCTGACCTCAGGTTATCTGCCTGCCTTGGCCTCCCAAAGTGCTGGGATTACAGACGTGAGGTACTGTGCCTGGCCTAGCCAGGCTTGAAATCAAATTATTTGGTCTCAACCAGCCTTCTGAATGGAATGAAATTGAATTGAATGGAACAGGAAGAGAAAGGGAAAGGGAAAGAGAAGGGAAGGACAAGGGAAACAAAATGGGAAGGAAAAGAGTAAGGGAAGGGGAAGGGTAGGGAAGAGGACAGGGAAGGAGAAGAGAGGAGAGGGAGAGGGGGAAGGGAGAAGAAGAGGAGGGAAGAAGAGGACATTGCAAAGTAGCAAGTATTCTTTCAAGAAACTTCTGTTTCTGGTCATGTGTGGGTTTGTGCATGTGCACACACACATATGCACATGTGGGATTACAATGTATAATGTATTTCTTACTGAGAGTTGCAACTAAAAGTATTCAAAAGCCATACTTCTGGAAGTCTGCACATGTGTACAGGTTAGGGTTAAATGAACTTCAAATTTATATAAACATATCCTGTGGTCAAGAGGAAAGGAAACTGAGACCAGGAAACTTTCCTTTGCTCTATGAATGACTTCTGAAATACATAAAAACTATATTTTTAAATTAACTGCCCTGTCAAATTTGTATATAGACCATTACAATGGAATGGGAAGATGCCCTTTTAAAAATGTCTTCCTCTTTTTAGCCCCACGCTGGTTGGCCTCTACCTTTACTATAGCACCCATCTATCAGATAGTGCTTCCTATTAGATAACATGTTTACATGTAACTCTATATTCAGCCCCTATTAGCTACTATAAGGAAGATGCTCAAAATCTGTTTGCAAAAGAAAGTTCCTGCCAAGTTACCTGAGAAACAATCATTAGATATCTATTCTTTCTGCTCTGAAGGGTTTTACCATCTTTTTTGCGGGGTGGGGGGAGGTCTCCTATCAAAATACAAACACCTGAGAAGGGAATACCCTAAGATCTTGGTTCTCAGTTGACTCCTGCTGCCTGAGAGGTCCATGAGGGTGAAGTGATTGGTACTGAGCATCTGGGAAAGGCACCTTTTAGCTTACCAACGACTGGGAAAAATACACAGGAAAGTTGTTGATCAAATTTGCAGATGATGCAGAGTGAAGAGGAGTAGCTAATTAGGCAGATTAAAATCTAGATTTTTTTTAAATCCAAACATCAATGCAATTAACTTTATACAAACATAAATATAAGGTCAGAAAAAAGTCAACTACTTTGGTACATGATAGAGAGGAGCACCAAGGCTATTAGCAATTAGTATTTTAAAAACTGAAAATTGCCTAGACCTTAGGCTTGAGTTCAACTTAACATAATTAGAATGCCCTATAGCCCTGTGTGCCCAGGACAATTCTGGTTTATGCCTGTTGCCTGAGCTTAATTATTAGCCACGTCCCCCTTTCACTCTCAAGAATGTCCTGGTTTGGGTGATAAGTATATTATCACTCCAAATATAAATAAGTGAATACTGTGCTGAACCGGCGGAAAAGCTGATGCCGCCATTTTAGGCTGATTCATATTAGACTGATTCCTCAAACAGAGGAAGAAGGAACACATCCATGTTGGGTCCAGTTCTATAGATGGCACATTTTAAGCAGCATCCTAACAAATTAGCCAGTATCCAAAGTTCAGCAAGGGGGAAAGCAAGCAAAATACACAAGTCTTGTTATTTGAGCAACGATAGTTCAAACTGGGAAATGTTGCCTAACAGAGAGAAAACAAAGAGTTGGCATAATCCCACTTTGTGTAGCTAAACTTCTACATGTAAACGAGGGAGGAAAGTTTTTCCCTATATTGATCCAGGATCAAAGAAAATTTCAGTTCCATGCAAGGGGAAACTCGCCAGCAATTGGAAAAAATCCAAAAAATACAAATTACTCAGAGGCAAGTAAACTTGTACTCATCATGTTGAGGCAGAGGCAGATGCAGTGCAGCAGGAATCTTGCCTTGGGGAGGTCTTTCCCAAATACTACCTTCTATTTTTCTTTTTTTTTTCCTTTTCGTTTCTTTCTTTCTTTCTTTTTTTTAATACGGAGCCTCGCTCTGTCACCCAGGCTGGAGAACGGCGCTATCTCAGCTCACTGCAACCTCCACCTTCCAGGTTCAAGCGATTCTCCTGTCTCAGCCTCCTGAGTAGCTGGGATTACAGGCACGCCCTACGACGCCCAGCTAATTTTTGTATTTTTAGTAGAGATGGGTTTCACCATGTTGGACAGGCTGGTCTCAAACTCCTGACCTCGTGATCTGCCCACCTCGGCCTCCTAAAGTTCTGGGATTACAGGCATAAGCCACCGCACCTGGCCTACCTTCTATTTTTCAATGGAAACTGTGGTGGAGGTGACTGGCAAAAAGGGAAGGAGTTCATGTTGTGCATTTACATAAAAAGCTCAGACACCTCACCTGCTTCAGCTGTATTTATCAAACTGTGGTTGGTTTGGCATCTCGGTATTACAGAAACCGGAAATTTCAGCACCCGGACCCCATAAGTCTTCTACTACTAAATATCTGTCAGTGCTACATCAAAATGCTCAAAGTTAAAGCACTATGTAAATATGTATTATTATTACTTCCAACTTTACATTCCACATGAACAAATACAGTTGTGTTTATATTTTGCAGTATCGGAAGCATGATGCTCGCTGTGGTATTTTGTCACTTAAGTTTTTAGTTTGGTAAGATACTCCCAGATTAAAATAAGATTAACAGAGAGTCAAAGGTAGAAGGAATAATAACAAAGAAACACGCTTTCCCCACAACACACACACACACGCACACACATACACTACACAAATAGCAGCTATAATACTTAATGACTGAGCACTCTATGCCAAGTACAATGATAGAAGCTTTACACAGATTCTTTAATCTCTGTAGAAAACTTTGAGACCAGTATTACTATTGTTCCCATGTTACAGATCATGAAACTGGAAATTTTAAAGGTTAGGTTCTGCCCAGGGTCACAGAGGTAGGATTCAAACCCAAACAACTAACTTCAGAGTCTGTTCTTTTATACACTAAAGATAGAAAGGACATAACCCAGCTATTTTGTATGTTTGGAAAGTAGAACAGTAAAATATTAAAGAATTGGGATGTGGGAGGAAAGGTAGGACTTCCAGAAAGTGGACATGAGAAGTGGGGAACAGAGAGATGAGGTAACAGAGTAGAGAGGAGACAACATGGTGGACAGGCCATGGGAAATGAAAGCAATGGTGGTGGTGTGTTCTTCTCTTGGCATTTTTTTGTCTCCTCCTTTCCTACCTATTCTTTTATTCTCCATAACTGTAAATTTGTTTGTTGTTCTCTTCCTCTATTTTTTAGCTTCTCTCTCTCATTACATCTCTTTTTGTCGGTTTTTGAGAAGGGGGTTGTTTTTGTTTTTTCTTTTTACCAACAAGAATGAGCTTGGGTCTCTTTGTAGTTTTATCTCCTTCTCTTTCCCTAATTATTTTCTTCCTTTTACAGTCTCTTATTTCACTCTCTCTCCAATATTTCCTTTATCAATTCCCCAAACTTTTTCTTTTCTTTCTCTTCCTTACATGATTATAAAATTATTCTTTAAAAATGTATCATGTCCTTTGGATAAGATTAGGTCTTTTCTATTTCAAATAAAAATTTAGATGAGTTGAACATTTTCTTATCAAAACTCAACCTGAAAGTAAGTTGCAAAAGCAAGCACATTTCTAACAGAGGACTTGGATCCAGAATACAGAAAGTGCTTTTACAACTCAAT
This sequence comes from Homo sapiens, assembly GCF_000001405.40. NCBI lineage: Eukaryota > Metazoa > Chordata > Mammalia > Primates > Hominidae > Homo > Homo sapiens. Next base: position 26,738,980 of record NC_000012.12, read on the forward strand.
AAAAGAAGACATACAATCCAATAAGATTTAAACAGATGTTTCACAAAAAAGGGAAGGCTAACAAGTACATAAAAATACACTCAATACCACTGGTCATTAGAGAAATGCAAACTATGACCATAATTAGATACCACTACAAAACCACTAGAATGGCTACAATTAAAAAGAATGACAATGTCATGTGTTATGAGGATGTGGAGCAACTGGAATGCTCATACACTGATGGTATGAACACAAATGGTTCCCTACTTTGGAGAACATTTTGGTAGTTTCTTGAAAAGTTAAAAGATACTTATTATATGATCCAGTAATCCCATTCCAAGATGTCTACCCAAGAGAATTAGAACATATGTCCACACAAAGCATTGTATGCAAATGTCCACCTACATTATTCACAGTTTCCCAAAAATGGGGGAAAACAAACCAAATGTCCAACTCCAAATGTAGTGGTATATCCATACAATAGAATACTACTACCAAAAACAAAAGAACAAATACTGACACATGCAGTACTGATCCTGAACATGGATGAATCTCAAACACATCTTACTAAGTGAAAGAAGCCAGACACAAAAGACTACACACCACATGAGGCCATTTATATGAATTCTAGAAAAGGCAAAACTATAGCATCCAAAAGAAGGTCAGGGGTTACCTGGAAGTGGGGTGGAAGCAAGGATTGACTGCAAAAGGACAAAAAAGAACTTTTTGAGATGATGTAAGTGATTTAAGTATTGGCTGCACAACTGTATATATTTAACAAAACTCATTAAGCTGAATATTTAAAAGGAGTAAATTTTATGGTATATAAGTTACTATTCAATCAAGTTGAAAATAAAATTACTACAGTTGTATATAGTCCTCAATTGTTCACTTTTCTATGGATCAATTGTTTCTCATAAATATTTTTAAGAAAAAAGATAAACTTTAAAGACATAATAAGGATTTGTTTTATTAATAGTTGTTGTGGTTTGGTTTGCTTGGCATGTGGGAAGAGGAACACTGGGTTGACTTGTTTGCTAAATCACAGGATCTAGCTTGACTTCCCCGCACACGGCAGCTCTCAAAATCATTTGGTGATTGACTGATAAGGCACACCCAGGGGTACAGCAGGTACATCTAATTAAATCTAGTGAGATAAATTTTTCTTAACACAGCACACAATAAAATTAAGATTTAATCCACAATTTAATTTCAATTTGAAGAAAAGAATAGCCTGGAATATCCTGTCATACCTGAAAGTGAGGAAGAGACTATTGAGTCATGCCAAAAATACTTGAGGGTCCCAACGAACAAAATTGAGACTACTGAGCATTGAGATGAATGGCCACATTGGATTGAAACACACCAAATATGTTAAAATCCGTGAGCTCATAATTATTTTTGAAAACACATATTAGTCATCTTTGGAGGTCAGAGTACCAACTCATTATTCTAAAAACTGGAAGATAAAGGGAAATACGCTATAAAAGCAAGAAAAGAGGAAGGCAGATCAACATAAACACTGAAGGACATCTGCGATACGTCACACAGTAGAAAGAGTAAGCTTCATTCCGCCGTATAAGGTGATCCCAATGTTATAAAATTCAACAAATCTATACAATGCTTTTATAGACTTCAATAAAAACTCAAGGAAGATAAACTATTTACTGTGGTTACCCCTGAGATACGGAAATGGATGTTGTGGAGGAGGAAAAAAGATTTTCACTTTGTATGTTTTATTACTTCGGTAAAAATTTTAAAGCAACAAATTTCTAGACAAAACTTTTTTGTCTTCCCAGGGGAAAAAAGTCTAATTTATTATGGACTATATGTTAAAGCCTTGTAATGATGCTGCACTGCCTACTGGATGAAGCCCAAATTTGTTCTTAGAGGGAAAAGTATCAAATAAAAGTTTCAAAAGATGTAAATAAGAAAAGCTTACTCTAATGTTGCTGTTTCTCTTTCTGTCTTTGGAGAAATGGACCAGAGAATGAGAATGGGCCACCATGATTCCACTTCTGCTACCACTGTCATCAAATTATTTTAAAAATCATTTAGAAAAGATCTATTTAATTTTCTACTTCATTTAGTCCACACCTGCTCTTTTCCGAGGAACTCTGCAATTGAGTGGCACCCAATTATTCATCCATTAAACATGTGAGACAGGAAACTCAGGCTGAGGAGAGGAGGCTCCCATTGAGGGGGAGAGCTTGGGGTGAGCACATCCCACTCTGATGCCAGCTGTCCCTGCGGCAGAGGTGGCGCCTTCCAGGCCTGGGAGGGCCCAGCTCAATGGCAGTGCCTTCATTTTAATCTCTAGTTAAGAAGTTTAACAGGAGTAGCAAAGGATATAATTAGAAACGTTCTCAACTGCTAGCAGAATTGAAAAGAATGAGGATTCCATAACAATTAAAATTACTTTTCTAAGTGCTGATAATTCTTACCTCCTTTGCCAGCTGGGTACAAGTCAGGACCTCTGTTTTAGCCAGTTTTATACACATGTTTTATAAACATGTTTTATACACATCTCTGGAAATATAGTCCTTCCATTTTACCATGTCAGTTGACACAGGGGAAGTTTTGTTTGAAAAAAAAAAGTCAAGGCATTACAAAGTAGAAAAGAAGGATTCTTAATGTGGGAACCACGAGCCTACAGCGGATGGGATTCATGGAGGTCGACAAATCCCCTGAACGTGTAAGAAAACCTGCATGTGTGTCTGTGTGTGCGTGTGTGTGTGTGCATTCACAGATTCATTTCTCTATGGGAGGACACATAGCTGTTATGAAATTCTGAGAGGGCTCTAGTCCCCTCAGAAACCCATAGTAATCACTCCTGAAAGGGAGTGTACCATTATAAATCATCTTAGGCTCTCAAGCCAGTAACTAAACGAACACAGTCAGTTGCAAGCAGGCATGAGCTAAACTCTGCTTTGTTAAACAATGGAAGAGGAAATACATTGGGAAGGAGAGGGTTCCTAAAAGATGCTTTAGAGAAGTAGAAAGAAGATAAGTCAGTCCTAAATGTGGGCCCAGGCAGGGAAGGGAGATCCCTGGACCAGGTCTACAGGAAGCACATTTCCTCTGCAAGGGAGTGCCCACACCAACAAGAACAAGCATGACAGAATGCTCTGAGAGGACAGATAAAGAAAAAGATGAATGAGCCAGCAATTCCATGGCCAGGTATTTACCAAAGAGAAATGAGTGCTTTTGCCCACCAAAAGACACACAAAGCATGTCACAGGATTCATCACAGCCCATTGATTGGATAAGCGATAAATAAATAGTGGTATGGTCACAGAATGGAATTGTAAAAAGTAACAAGAAAGAATGAACTGCTGCATGCAATAACATTAATGAATTACATAGATGTCATGTTGAACAAAGAAACAGCCACAACAGAGTATGACGGAAAACCTGTCCATGTCCACACAAAACCTAATGTTAGGAGCAGCATTATTCATAATAGTCAAAAAAGAGAAAAACCTAAATGTCCATTAACTGATAGATGGACAAACAAAATATGATATATCCACATCTTGGAATATTATCCAGCCTTAAAAAGGAATGATGTGGCCAGGTGCAGTGGCTCATACCTGTAATCCCAGCACTTTGGGAGGCTGAGGCAGATGGATCGCCTGAGGTCAGGAGTTTGAGACCAGCCTGGCCAACATGGTGAAACCCTGTCTTACTAAAAATACAAAAATTAGCCGGGAGTGGTGGCGGGTGCCTGTAATCCCAGCTACTCAGGAGGCTGAGTCAGGAGAATCCCTTGAACCCGGAAGCAGAGGTTGCAGTGAGCCGAGATCATACCACCGCACTCCAGCCTGGGTGACAGAACAAGACTCTGTCTTGGGAAAAAAAAAAAAAGGAATGATGTACTGATTCATGCTAAAACATGGACAAACTTTGAAAACATTATCTAAATGAAAGAAGCCAGTCACAAAAGGCCACATAAGGTATGGTTCCATTTACATGAAATGTTCAGAATAGGCAAATGTATACAGATGGAAAGGAGCTTCGCCAGGGCTGGGAGGAGGGGGAAATTGGGAGTGACTGCTAATGGCTGTATCTTTTGGAGGTGATGAAAAGGTTCTAGAATAGAAAGTGACAATGGTTGCACAAACTTGTGAATACACTAAAACTACTGAATTGTACACTTTAAAAGATGAATTTTATGATGTATAAATCATGTCAATAAAAACCAGTTAAAGAAATAATAGGTATAGTATGGTTTCATTTATATGAAGTTTGAAAACAGACAAAAACAATCTATGGTGTGAGGGTAAAAACAGTGGTTACCTTTGGCAGAGGAACCTCTGCAGGGCTGTAAATGTTTTATATCATGATCTAGGTGCTGCTTACATAAATATTTATATTTACATTTATTTATATATGTTTATATATACATACACACATATAAAAATTTATCAAGCTTACATTTAATACATTTGAGCTCGCACTTAAGATTTATGTGTTTTGTTGAATGTATTTCAGCAGATATTTTAGAAAAAAATATTTTTTCCATAGCATTGTGATAAGGATCAATGCATTATTAGATGTAAATCCCTAGAACCAAGTTTAGAACATATAATATGTTCAGTGAAGCAATTTTACCCTACCAGTTGCCTACATTAAAAACCTCATGTCCAGGCCAGGTGCAGTGGCTCATGCCTGTAATCCCAGCACTTTGGGAGGCCGAGGCGGGGGGATCACCTGAGGTCAGGAGTTCAAAACCAGCCTACCAACATGGAGAAACCCCGTCTCTACTAAAAATACAAAATTAGCTGGGCATGGTGGCACATGCCTGTAGTCCCAGCTACTCGGGAGGCTGAGGCAGGAGAATCACTTGAACCCGGGAGGCGGAGGTTGAGGTGAGCCGAGATTGTGCCATTGCACTCCAGCCTGGGCAACAAGAGCAAAACTCCATCTCAAAAAAACAAAACAAAACAAAACCTCATGTCCAAAACAATGACACCTCTATAGGTTCTACCTTTAAAATAGATCTAGCAACCGATTTCTTACCAACTCATCATCCTAATCTAAATCACCATAATTTCTCTCCTGGCTGCAGCAACAGTCTACTAACAAGTCTCTGCTTCTGCCCATGCCCGACTGTGGATTCTTCATGCAGCAAGCACTGTAAGCCTGTTAAACAGAAGTCAGGGCCCAACAGCCTCTGCTCAAAACCCTTCAATGCCTCCACCTTACTCAAAGCAAAAGCCAAAGGCCTCCCTGTGGCCCACAAGGCCCTATATGAGCTGCTCTCTGGTTCTGCCACTCCTAGTGACCAGCCCGACCTCCCCACCACTACCTGGCCACTCACTGGCTCCACCCCAGCCACACCATCCTACTTGCCATTACTGCAACTTATCTAGGACACTTCCACTTCAGGGACTTTGCCCTGGATGCTCTCTCCACCTCTGCCTGTTCCCCAAGATTTCTGCACAGGTAACTCTGCCCCGACTCAGGCCTCCGCTCAAGTATCAGTGAGGCCTGCCCTGGCACTGCAAACACAGCAACCCTTCCCAAGCTAGCACTCTTGGTCACCTTGCTTTATTTCTCTACATAGCATGTCACCATCTGATAAATGCCTAGCACTTAGTAGGTGCTCAATGAATGTTTCCTGAATCAATGAACACAGACATGAACATACGAATAAAAAAAACATTAGTTATATTAATTCCTGAATATGGAATGAAATCCCATAACCTTTGGTACAATTTGAATTTTTATCACAAATGTGGATTATTTTGGATCGCAAACAGGAAGTAGAGAACACAGTCATAGCAGCCTGTAATTTCACTGGATTCTATTCATGATCTGCCTATAAAGAACAACAAAAACCCATAAAGCAAAAGGAAATATACTCTCTTTTCTTGTTTGCCTCATCAAATACATAGCCTTATAAAGAAAGAGGCTACTATGAGATTTTAAAAGGAAAATGTGAGTATGGAGGACAACAATTTTGCAGGCAAACTGTTATGCACGTACAGATTGTCAGAAGTTTTCTGTTAAAAGTTAGGCAAACGATGGTAGGTGCAACCTTTTTCAGATAAAATGTTTTGCAAAAATGAGAACTATTTCCCAGGTAGCAGCATTATAAGTGTTCTCAGGGTCATCCTGCCCACAGATTAGCAACGGCTTTGCCAGAACGGGCTTTGATGTTATCCAGGAATGACGAACAACAGACCTCCTGTGCTCCTTGCCCGCTAGATGAAAACATGAGAACATAAAGAAGCCCTGGTGCTTCTTTCCTTTTATCCTTGAACAAACACAGACATACAGCAGATGTGACCTCACTAAATATGAGCTGGTTCAACTGATGCTGAGTTTCTATTGCACTTCTAATGATTGCACATGGTGATGTTCCCACTCTGTGGGACTGAATCCAGGCAAAAGACAAAAGCAACCCTTTGCACCACAGACATAAAAGTTTATTTGAGGCATAAGTTCTGAATATTCTAACAATCCGATTACAGGATTATTTTTCTATAGCCCAAACTGCAAAGTTGAACTATCTGCTTGTGAGGACAATTGCTACCAAGACAGCTGACTTTCATTGTTTGAAGAAGCACGCTTGAACTCCTTCCTTAGAATCACAGCCTCAAGAAAGGAGAAGAAATTCCCTAACAAATTCCTCACTTACCAAAGGCATATAAGTCTATAGGGGAATTACAATTTAACCAAGCAAAAATTAGAAAATACTTGGTTTCAGAGAGACAGAGAGACAGAAAGGTAGTTATAACGTGTTTTTTGTGGAACACAATTATCAAAAAGCATTTACATGGCTCCACCTAATACAAAGAGGATTACACCAGAATGGTTTCTCACTCATAACTCAAATTTTAGTCCCATGATTGAGCACACTGGCATAATAGATATTCAATAAATGCCAATTTAATTGAAATTTAATGAGATTTAAAATTGAAACCTCATTTTTCCAAGAAGTCTTCCCTGATTATATCAGCTCACAAGAAACCCACTTCTCAGACTCCTATAATACTTACTATCCAACAATGATTATAAACTGTTCTTGTTGTTCTTTAATTATTTTTTGTATAGATCCTCATCTCCCCACCTAGACTGTGAATCCCTCAAATTCAAAGACTACACATTAAATTTCTTCTAAATTACCCAGAAGAATAGGGGTTGGAGGCACAGAGTAGGATAAATATGAAACATATCACCCCATTCATCCCAAGTGAGCACAAATAGCTGTGTATTCCTACAACACACACACACACACACACACATACACACACACAAATGTTCCTGCATGCCTCTTCATGAGCTGCTTCTTAGACGAAGACCTAATAAAATATGCATGCAAATGGAGGGAACCTGGAGAATGAGCCCATTCTGTTTTGCCCCATGTCCCACATTCACTGAGCTTAGAGAAGACAGAGCTAGTGTTTGCTGCGGTACTCAGGAAGCCCTGGACGTGAGTTTGAATAGAAAATGAGCAGAAACAACCTGACAATTTGCCACTCTAAAACATGTAAACTTTCTTTAGCTGCAGCTTGGTCCTAACTGAGTGTGTCCTGCCTCTTAGCGATCTGATCTCATGACTCATGTCTTTCTCAAAGGAATCTGTGGGAGATTTCATCTGTAGATTCATACCACCCCTGGCTTGTTGAGAGCATCACAAACTTAGTGTAGTAGTGCTGTTATCTTCCTTATTACTGATGCACACATGTGCCATTTGTGACTAATTTATGCTCACCAATCAGATCTGCATGAAGCAGTGGAGAGAATTTTCAAGGTAATGCAGCCAAACTAGGTATCTTAAAACAATGTGTGTTGCATGTACCTACCTTTCTTTCCAAAGAGCACAAGTGTTCTCTTATCAGGGGTGCATGCATGTGTGTGTGTGTGTGTGTGTGTGTGTAAGCATGTTAGGGAGTGTTATTTTGTTTACTTTCTTAACTAACTTGGGTCTGATCCTCTTAGTGGCTACCTAAAAGTGACTAGAAAAGTAAGCAAAAACATGCTTCCTTTTCAAATTCACAAAAATACTTTTTCTCTTGCTAAATATTCAAGTAACTCCAAATTGAGCAATTGACCAGATCAAGGCCAAACTTTCTGATGAAGTAATCAATCTCCCAAAATTTCTCTACACTGGTTAAACGCCACTTAGTCAAAGCCTCTATTCTTTTATCTGAGACTTTCCATTGTACATAAAAACAGACACGTTTAAAATTTCAAAGAAAAAGTATTCATGAAATTTGCTTCCTTGCTTTCTCCTTCTTTCCTTCCTTCCTTCCCTTTGTTCTCAATACTACAATTCACTATGCTACCAGCTAAGAGCTCTGAAAATGCCGGTAATCACTTAAGGCTTTTGTCCTCACTTAACTGGCAGAATTGCAGTATCTTTGCAATTCTTGGTTCTTCACTGATGCCATTGTCCATTTTGAAGAGTAGTCATCTCCAACCCAAGCCAGGTGTCTATTACAAAGAACTATTTAAAACTACCACTTTTGTAGGTTTAAAAAGTCAAATACTGGTAACTTCATATAGGTCAACCCTAATGTAGGTTTATCAACATCTTCGACGCCTCTTCATGTTACTCATGCAAATGTTATAAAACTTTATCTAATCAAATCCATAAGGTCTTTCCTATATGTCTCTTGTTCTGTTTTTACTGCTACACTTCTCCACTTCCTAAACATCACTGAAGCTCATGGCTCATCACCTCTCAGCAGAAGAACTGAGAATATGTCCTTGCTTGACTCTCCCCTTCCAATACAATCTTGAGACCAATGGTTCAGGTTCTTCCAACAATGCTTTTATTTCCCTGTTCAAGAATTCTTCCATATCAAATGCAAATGTTTCTCTTCTTGAGCATCCTACAACATGTCACCAGTCTCACGTCATTATTTCATTAACCTTTTTTCATTATTCTCCAACAGATTTCTATTTGAGACAAAATTCGCTGCCCCAACTCAATAGCTTGTTATTCCTTCCTAAGGGACTTCTGTGTGCTACTCCAGTGTCCGAATAATTCAGTCTATCAACTTCCACCAATGCAAGTCCCTTCTAACTTCAAAACCCTGAAGAAATCATTTTTCCAGGAAGGCTTTCCTAAGAGCTTTTTGTTTGTTTGTTTTGTTTTTTTGAGATGGAGTCTCACTCTGTCACCCAGGCTGGAGTGCAATGGTGTGATCTCGGCTCACTGCCACCTCCGCCTCCTGGGTTCAAGTGATTCTCCTGCCTCAGCCTCCCAAGTAACTGGGATTACAGGAACCTGCCACCACACTCGACTAACTTTTATATGTTTAGTAGAGACAGGGTTTCATCGTGTTGGCCAGGCTGGTCTCAAACTCCTGACCTCAGATGATCCACCCACCTCAGCCTCCCAAAGTGCTGAGGTTACAGGTGTGAGCCACAGCACCCAGCCGAGGCTTTCCTAATTAATTTTATTACACTTAATCCTATACTATTACCAAGAAATCATTCTTTCTAATATTAGGTTGGTGCAAATGTAATTGCAATTTTTGCCGTTAAAAGTAATAGTAAAAACTACAATTATGTTTGCACCAACCTAATAGTTTTGACGATTGCTCCTATCTGAATTTCAGATATGTATCTTTAAATCACCTTCTCACAAGAGCTTCACTACAATGACTTCTAAATTGTCTGCAGAACATATCCACTGGGTGTCTCATTTTTCATGTGAGACAGACTTGCATTTTAGTCTTAGTGAGAATTATGATGGTTATCCTTGATACTTGCTTAAGTTATTTTTTAAACTGTGAAACAGTAGGTGGGATTCTAAAATACCATTTCCTTCAGGAAACCCATGGGTGATGAGTCACTGGAGAGACTGGGAGAGTTAGAAGGAACTTAAAATGTAAATTTTGCAGCCCATCAGTACAAAGATGTCTAGCAGGGTTAAAACATGAAGCCAGAATTGAAAAACCCACAAGACAAGTAGCAACAAGTTTTTAGTAATTTAAGCCACAGAAATAGATAACATTTAAAAATGAAAGTCTAAAGAGCGTGAAGGAAATGGGCAAAACCTGGGGAAATCATACCTTTTATGTATGTGTTAAATGACTAAACGAAGTGAGATTCATTACTCAGATTTGACTACGTGATATCAGGTATACTCAAATACCTGCAGTCTTTCTTCAAAGGTATTAGCTTGATTTCCCTATTAACCATTTGTGGGTTATTATCTCTACTCTGCAGTTTGAAAGTTCAAGATGGAAACTAGAGGAAGAAATTGAACTCATGGTTATGATTAGTTAGGACTGACTTTTAAATGTCCAAGCCAGGTAATTAAATATGAACTCTGATCCAAAGCAACAACCACTCGGACATATGACTCATACATTTCTGGAAGAAAAGTTACTGCTTATTCTATAATGTAAAATGTCAAGCATTAGTGGAAAAGTCTGAGCTGCAGTTATCTTTTAAGTCATAACTGATTTTTTTAACTCTAGTAATCATAAGGTTTCAATCACTATTTTTTTTCTCCTGAAGAAACAATGAAATACTGATGTGGTCCAATACATTCACCACCAGCTCCTGATTCTAAGAGAGGAAATAAATAACATTGTTTTCGAGTATTGTGTCAGGGTTGTAAAATTTCAGGGTGATGATCACAGGATTATGTTCGCTTTAAAAATCCAAGCCTACAGACCTCAGGAAATATAAAAGTTAACTTATCCATTAGTTTCTTATGTTACCATTTCCAATAAAGGTCATGAAATAGGATTAAAAATCAAAACACCTTAATATTCCATTTTCTTCATAGTGGCATGTGTCCCCTATCTATGACTTCCTAAGTAAAGTAGTAATTTTAAGTACTATGCCTCAAGAACACAGTTATAGAAATTACTTGAAAGTGAAGAAAATGTGCATTATTCAGTAATCATGTATGGGTTTCTTTTTCTTTTTTTTGCTGACACTGTTAGAATAAACTTCACAATTGCTAATTCATATTTGCTGAGTGTCTAGTAGGGTTAAAACATGAAGCCAGAATTGAAAAACCCACAAGACAAGTAGCAACAAGTTTTTAGTAAACATTAGGGGAACAAGAAACTATACTGCTCTTTCTAGAGCACCTGGTGCAGAACAAGAAGACCTATTTCTAACTCCTGCTATGAGTGTGAGTGTAACCTTGCATAAGAGTAGCACATTTTATTCCAAATCAAAAGAACATTTTCTCAACTTAGAAAATATTCACCATGATGCTGAGCCTCAGATTGCAGGTTCGGATTTCCAAGTTCAATGCCCAGTAAATTCTGGATTTTCATTGTTGCAATGTGGGTAGACAGCCACCATGGTTATAGACTCCAACTGTCCAGCCCTCTCCTAAAGTCATCTATTGTTCTGTGGATTAATAGTGACCTCTTGTACTAGACATCTCTCTGAGGTCATGTCACACTCACCATGCCACCCCATCATGTCCTTATAGATGGGACCCTCCTCTTCTGGTTAACACATCATCTGAAGATAGCCAGAGAGCCATCTCTAAGCTGTGCAATGACAAGGAGTCATCCTTCATAGAAGACATCTGCCCCCCAAACAGGTCGTCTATACTTGATGGTGACTTGTTAAGAAGTTCACCCTGTGCTTTATTTCCAACTCAGGACACCTGGAAAAGGTAAAAGAACCACCATAGTTGTACTGGGACAACAGGTGGAAACCAGTATTGCTCCAGGCAAAATGGGTCATATGGCTATAACCAATTAGGCCAAACAGATCCCCTCTCTGTACATGAGACTTAGAAAGGAAACCAGAAGAAACACACAGACAGAAGGCTCTAAGCAAAGTCCTGACGCAGAAGAAAAGGAAGTAGGTATATGAATGAACAGAAGTCGTGAAATAGAGGAAAATAAAGAGAAACTCACCAAAGGGAAAAAATAGCTAATGTTTCATACACTGTGCTAAAAACTTTAGAGATCAGGTGGCATTTAATCTCCAAAGCAATCCAATGAGATATGTACAATTACCGTCATTTTACAAATCAGTTAAATAAAGATATCTGCTCAAGATCACGCAGCTAGTTAACACCGCCCAAGCAACGAAAACGGCTGAGTCACCACACTGGCAAAAGACCAGGGCAGGGGGTTCAAAAAGGGTGTGCACATTTCAGGGGAGTACCCAAACAATCTACTAGGATGTGGAGGAAAATTCCAGAAATCAGATTTACTTTTATTTATCCCCTATTTTAGAACTTTCTTCTGCTTATGTTCAATAATGTGGGCAACTCAGTACTATAGTAATACATATATGTAACTTATAAATAAGTGTGTATCGATTATGCTTACTTTTTTTCTGATGGGACATATGATCCAAAAAGTTGAAAGATCATGTCACAGTGAGTTTACCTAATAACAAACCTACACATGTACCCACGAACCTAAAATAAATGTTAAAAAAAAAGTTGAAAGGTCATTGTCCTAGAGTTCAGAACTACTTTTACAGTTACTGTGGCATAAACAGGACTAATCTCAAACTACTAGAACCAGCGTTGTAGCCTTGAGGCCCAGGTCAGGGGGAACGAGATCAATTCATATTCTTTTTATTACTCTATATATTCTGACAATGAACTCCCATCAACTCAAATCATCTGTGCTTGAAATATCAAAAAATCATCTTATATAAAAAGTTTTACAGGCCAGGTGCAGTGGCTGATGCCTGTAATCCCAGCACTTTGGGAGGCTGAGGGGGCGGATCACAAGGTCAGAAGTTCGAGACCAGCCTAGCAATATGGTGAAACCCCGTCTCAACTAAAAATACAAAAATTAGCCAGGCGTGGTGGTGGGCGCCTGTAGTCCCAGCTACTTGGGAGGCTGAGGCAGGAGAATCGCTTGAACCTGGGAGGCAGAGGTTGCAATGAGCCAAGATGGTGCCACTGCACTCCAGCCTGGGCGACAGAGCAAGACTCTATCTAAAAAAAAAAAAAAACAGTTTTACAGGCCCTAAAACCCACACTGTAAAACCACATCATTTCGAACCCAGACACAAATTTTTACCACATGCATAATCCCAGAATTATAGAGATATGTCTATAGTCTTGAGTGGGTCAATGCATATACAAAATTAACAATTAATTTTCATGGGTAAACAGTCTCCTTTTCCAAAAATTTGTTAAATTTTCACATTAGACATCTAAAAACCCACCTTAATTTTAACAGCCCTCTTTGTTAGTAATTAAGTTCTTATTGTCTATGCTAAGTTCCTCAGAATACTTACTTGAGTTTGTTTCTCCTATTGCATTCTCAGTTCAGATAATGACTATACACACAGTCCCTGACTTACAATGGTTTTGTCAGAGGCATTTAAACCAGAGCAACTCCATCTTGAAAAGGAGCTGGGTAAAATGAGGCTGAGACCTACTGGGCTGCATTCCAAGATGGTTAAGGCATTCTAAGTCACAGGATGAGAGAGGAGATCAACAGAAGATACAGGTCGTAAAGACCTTGCTGATAAAACAAGTTGCAGTAAAGAAGCTGGCTAAAACCCACCAAAACCAAGATAGCCACAAGAGTGACCTCTGGTCATCCTCACTGCTATACTTCCACCAGTGCCATGGTAGTTTACAAATGCCATGGCAACGTCAGGAATTACCCTATATGGTCTAAAAAGGGGAGGCATGAATAATCCACTCGTTGTTTAGCATATGATCAAGAAATAACCATAAAAAAGGGCAAGCTGCTGCACTTGGGGCTGCTCTGTCTATGGGGTAGCCATTGTTTTATGCCTTTACTTTCTTTATAAACTTGCTTTCACTTTACGGACTCGCCCTGAATTCTTTCATGCACAAGATCCAAGAACCCTCTCTTGGGGTCTGGATCAGGACCCCTTTCCTGTAACATCATTCTGGAGACCACCAAGGGACTAGAGTGAGGAAACCCCTGACCCAAAAGCTAACTTTAGGGTAAGTGGTGGTGTCCTATAACATCTTTCTGGTGACCACGGAAGCAACTATAGTGCAGAAACCCCCAACCCAAAAGCTAACTTTGGGTAAGTGGTGGGGTCCAGTAACATCTTTCTGGCGAACCACAGAATGGATGATACTGAGGTGACCCCCCACCCAAAGGAAATAGACTGCAGCACTGATTCAATAACTCTGGGTAAGTGGTGGTGGGGTAGCTGGGTAACGAATGGGATTGGGTTAGAGGCCCAACTTAGGGGAATTAGAGTCTCTCCTAAGACAGAGTGGATTAGAGGCCCCACTTAATAAAAGGCAAGGACACTTGACTGACCTTGGGTTAAAGGCCTAACTTAGGATGGTTAGAGTCCCTTCTAAGACTTAGGGGGTTAAAGGCCTCTCTCAGTAAAGTCCCTCTTGGTAAAGTCCCTTTTGCCTAAGAACGGATTTGACACTATGGGATGTTAACTGCTATTCTGTTTGGAATAATCTGCCTTGTACTCTTTGCTGACCGCTATGGGTGACAGAATTAGGCATGTACAGGATCGTGGGACATGGGGAGCTTTTTTCACCCTAAAAGGGGAAACTTGAGAGCTGATGGGACTGCTGGAAAAGATCCCTTCATTACCGACAAGCGGTCACCTGAACTTTTCAGTGTCACTGCAGTGTGTGGATCTTTCCCTGGCCTCTCTAAGTAACTCGCCTTCCCCACCCTGCTTCAGGCAATGCTTTCCTCTCTCTCGCTCATTCTGTGCAAACTGGTTGAATGAATGGTAAAAATCACTGTTTATCTTCTGTAAAGTTTTGATTCATGGGAAAAAGGATTTGTGAGGCTAGTCTTAAGCTGTAACAAATCCGGTCTGCTTTGCATGTCTTTCTGTATTGTTCTGTCATCAAGAGAGGTACATTAGGACAAAACACAGGCTTTGGACACCTATAAGCCTGCTGTTCAAGACGACCCAGCAAACTGGCCAGTTACAAACTTTGCTGCAGGTCCCTGAAAAAAATGGATGAGGTTTCCCTCTTGTCTTGTATGTCCTTGGGAGCTTGACCTTGTAACCGTGTGGCCATGCTTTCTCTTGTCACAATGGCAGCCTAGGTTCAGGGTTTGATTCCAAGCTTAGGGGATAAGTCCTTTATCTTCTTCTGTCTGTGTATTTATATGTATTGTGTGTGTGATGTTTATATATGAAAGAGCTTTGATTAATTGGTTTAATAATAAGAGGTTAAATCAAATATTTTGTGAGAAAAGTAAAAGGTATAATGCCTTTTATTTAGTTCACGTGATTTAAATAATCTTTGGGAAATAAAGGTAATTGTAAAGGATTATTGGTAAAATAAAATATCTTCAGAAATGTAAACATT
The DNA here is from genome assembly GCF_000001405.40 of Homo sapiens. Classification (NCBI taxonomy): domain Eukaryota; kingdom Metazoa; phylum Chordata; class Mammalia; order Primates; family Hominidae; genus Homo; species Homo sapiens. Next base: position 26,754,212 of record NC_000012.12, read on the forward strand.
TAGTCTAAATTATGCTGGTCAGATATTAAGTTTGCTAAATGCTTTAGGGTAATAAACTGCTTCTTTGACTTTTGAAAACTGTTCAATTGATTTTGGAGCATTAGATTCTAGATACAGCTGGGGACATGTGGAGTTAGCCACACCCCCTAACTATGCTGGAAAAAGTCAGCTCTTATCTGCACTTCTGTCTGCTGTCCTAGGCTCCACGCATGGTACATAATTAAAATCCCGAACTTACCAAGGTTTTCATCAAAAGTAAAAGTTGCTAAGAGTTAACATTGTTACATGTAATTGAGACTACTGAAGGAACAGTTTTACATGCGAGGTGTATAAAGAAAGTGAAATGTGTTTTTGGTAAAAGATTATAAGAAGCCATGGGAATGTGGATTTTTTTTGCCTAAGTTTAGAGAGCTACAGGATTGTTTTAAGTAAGATAGGAAAAGCTGAAGTTTTAAGCAAGTTGTGGAAAGTTTGTGAAAAATTAATCTTGTAAAACAAATTCTGTCTGTGAACATATTGGCTAAAGTTAAAGGGGTATTATTCAGTTTTTCTGTAAATTAAACATTGGAATAAAAGCACAATAGGTTTTTCTTAGAGCAAAAACCTGCTTATGATCTGCTCTTTAACAAAAATTGTACAGGGTTATAAAAGGTTTATTAAAATTTTACCTTATGATCAAACTGATTAAGATTGAATACATTTGTCTGTAAGGTTTCATTAAAAATTGGGTTTAACATCAGTAGTGCACTAATGCAACAGTGATATCTGGCTTACTTGATATTAAAATCCTACAGGAAGCATTGTCAAATATAAAATGGTGTTTGGTTTCCTTTGGGCTGTATTTGCATAAATGTGTTTTTGGTATATGTTCCAAAATTATGGGAAACTCCTATAATTCTAATATGACTTAGTGTATGTTTTTAATAATTGTTACATAAAATCATTGTATGCCACAAAGCTAACCAAATTTCTTTATCAATCGTGTTTTTTGACTGTGGTTGTCCCAAGATATTTTGTCATCCACAAACAACTGTTATCTTGTTTTGGTCCTCTTTAGAAGTTGATTTATAATTAACTATAAAATTCTAGCAGGTGTTCTTGAATGCAGGTTTCTGATAACTTTGGAGATTGTGACATCAGAAAAAAAGGGAAAAACTTTCAGGACTCATGGAGAGCTGAAATGTTCATGAATATCAAGCAAAACGAATTAACTGAATTGACTGAACCAATAGAAGTCTAAAGTAATCTTTTTAACTTTGCTTAAAATGTTGCTGATCCTTTGTTTTTCAGAGTCAAGAAAACTTTTCTTTTGAGTTATTTAAGGCTTGTAACAATTGAACAAACTCCTGTGAACAAAATTTGGAGCATATTTGTTTCTCTCTACCTGATTTCTCCAGAATTTGGAAAGTAGTTGTAAGTATTCTTAATTTATGGCAATATAGTTACTTGCATAAGTGCAATACAAATCTGTTTTCTTTTGCAATACTAAGACACAATTGAAGAAACCGGTTATTTTACCGAGGCTTTGACTGGAATGGTGTGCTTTCCTTTAAGGACTCAAACTTGACTTGTAAAGCCAATAAAAGCCGCTTGAGGAACTAGCCTTAGACCTTGTCTATGACAGTCCCTATACAGAGTTTCTGACCTGTAGTAAGTAAAGAATGTGACTTTCTAACAAGTCCAGGAACCCCAAGTTATCTTGGGACCTCAAAAGGAAAGGAATTTACCCAATTCATAGGTATTAGAGAGTACAAACCCACAGCAGGGCTCAGCTCTAAAAAAGTCTTATCTAAGAATCCTTCTATGGAACAGAGTTCCATCAAAGCCAATTTGAAAGAGCTTATGTGAAAAATAATTATTATAATTATTCTTGCTGCACTTATACAAATAAACAGGCCAAGTATAATAAAGCAAATCAGTCTTACCATGATTTGTCTTTAGTAAAAATGGGAAACGGGAGAGAGAAAAATTATATTTCAAGAACTATGGTACATCTGTTATTAGATTATAGTCTCATCAGTTGTTTTTAAGTTTGTTTCTGTAACTTAGGCTAACGCTGCTTATTCCTGTGAACCAACCAGTAATCTCTGACTGCTGCTCAGAAAAAAAACAAAATGGATGGGTAATGTAAAAATCTGGATCAGTATTCTAATTCTGTGCATATATTGGAATTGGCTAGCAAACCCATATCAGCTTGGTTCCAACAGTTGCCCAGTTCATGGAAAGCCTTCTTACTTGGTTTTCTTGAGATATTTTTACTTATGTTGCTTTACTGTTGTGTAATGTATTGCTGTTGTAGTCTTTTTGTAGAAATGCAGGACAAGCTTTCTGAATGTTTTCTTAAACTAAACACTTATTAATCTTCCAGATATTGCCTCTTGTCGGAACTCAAGAGTCACGGATAGCCCTCACCATACTGATGCTTTCTGACTGAGCTCCTCCCTACCCTGAACACAAGAGATGCTAATAGGCAGAAATACCATCACCCCTTTCAGCCTGAAGAAGTTACAGAAGATGGATATTTATCCCTCTGCAACCCTTAGGATTAAAGGTTCTCTTATAGAAGGGAGGGGGGAAATGTCAGAGGTGTTTAAACCAGAGCAACTCCATCTTGAATAGGAGCTGGGTTAAATGAGGCTGAGACCTATTGGGCTGCATACCCAGATGGTTCAGGCATTCTAAATCACAGGATGAGATAGGAGGTCAGCAGAAGATACAGGTCATAAAGATCTTGTTGATAAAACAAGTTGTAATAAAGAAGCCTTTACCAAGATAGCCACAAGAGTGAACTCTGGTCATCCTCACTGCTACATTTCCACCAGTGCCGTGACAGTTTACAAATGCCATGGCAATGTCAGGAATTACCCTATATGGTCTAAAAAGGGGAGGCATGAATGATCCACCTCTTGTTTAGCATATTATCAAGAAATAACCATAAAAATGGGCAAGCAACAGCCCACAGGGCTGCTCTGTCTATGGGGTAGCCATTCTTCTATTCCTTTACTTTCTTTTTTTTTTTTTTGAGATGGAGTCTCACTCTGTCACCTAGGCTAGAGTGCAATGGTGCAATCTTAGCTCACTGCAACCTCCGCCTCCTGGGTTTAAGTGATTCTCCTGCCTCAGCCTCCCGAGTAGCTGGGATTATAGGTGCCCACCACCATGCCTGGCTAATTTTTGTATTTTTAGGACAGACAGGGCTTTGCCATGTTGCTCAGGCTGGTCTCGAACTCCCGACCTCAGGGGATCCGCCCTCCTTGGCCTCCCAAAGTGCTAGGATTACAGGCATGAGCCACCACACCCGGTCTTATTCATTTAATTTCTTAATAAATTTGCTTTCACTTTACTCTATGGGCTCACCCTGAATTCTTTCATGCTTGAAGTCCAAGAACCCTCTCTTGGGGTCTGGATTGGGACCCTTTTCCTGTAACAGCTTGACTTACGATATTTTCAATTTGTGATAGGTTTATCAGGACATGTCCCCATTGTAATTCAAGGGACAACTGTGGTTGGTTCTCACACTTTGCATGACTTTTGAAATACATGAAAATACTTAATTCAACCGTTATTCTTTCTCTCTCTGATCCAAGTCCATCTCTGTTTAATTTTATTGGACTCTCAGGAAATATCCCATACTGTGATAGTGCTTTAGGCAGAGTCCTTAGCAAAATATCCTCTTGGGGATGTGGAAGATGGGAAAGTAAGGGTGGAAAGGGCTGCTGTGACTCTCCTGTTTGATTATTTCTAGAGCATTAAAAAGTAATTGCTTAAGCATTAATTTGAATTCTAAGGAATAGTAGTAGTTACTAAAATTTGATTCTGAAGTAACTGTCCAAATTACTAATCGAGGTGAGAACCTCTCCACCTGCTTTCTATTCCCTCCATGTAGCTTCTCCTGTCTCTATCTCTCAATCTCACCAGAGTCAGTGTCATCCCCATCCCCTTTTCTCTTACCTTTCTCACTCTCCATCCCCCCATTTCTAACCTTCTTACTTCCTTAGAGATAGTATACATAAAAGCATATTTTAAGTATTCATTTAATATACATTGATGTCTCCTTTTCTAAGTTATAAAAGATTAGTTGAATATGAAAATTTAGAAATAACAAAATACTACCTAGTACATAATAGATGTGTGTTAATGTTCACTCATTTCCCCATTTAGTTTATTTGTTGTATATTTTTGCCTTACAATTGGCCCTTGATTAATTTTGTCAGGATCAATGGCAGGATTAATGGGGAGAAAACAGGATTCCCCATCTTAACGCTAGCCTTTCTCCATTCCATGGTCTTTCTAGCCATAATGGTCCCCAAAAATTCCAACTTTATAATGTTACTGTTAAAAGTTGCATGTCTAGTATATAAGGCCTCTTATTAGAACACAGGATGTTCAAGTCTTCACAGATTAGGCACTGGAATGAGAAGCTCCAGGTAGGACAGGGCATCTGACCCAGCAGCCAGATTGTCTTAATAAGTGTCCATCTCCAGCAAGGCTGTTTTACTTGCTGCAACTTACATACTCTTCCCTCATTGGTCTGTGGCTGCCTACATAGAACGAGGTATATGGATGGCAGAAGAATTTCCTACATTCTACTTAGCTCAAATGAAATCCACCAGCACTTTCTTTTAAATGTTCTTAATTGCCAAAGGAAATATAAATGGAAATATATAAAAAACTTATAGTTTTTCAAACAACAGGTTATTGATCCTCTATGGATCACATCCTCCTGCATACAGTCTCTTCCATGACTGAGATCAAGAGACCAAACTTAAACCTTCTGGACATCATGGTCCATTTGCACCAGGAAAGCAGAAACAGTACCCATATTGCCTACAATTATATCTCCAGTGTCTATCACAGTACCTAACACATAAAAAGTGTTCAGTAAATACTTCAGAAATAAATGAATGATACATGCACATAAATTCTCACCGTTTCAAAAAAGAAACACCCCCTCCCCAGATGTAGGTGAACTGGGCCATTACCCATTACATGAACTAGCAAACAGGAAGAATTTCTTTTAGTAACAAGAGAGTTGTTCTTTCAAAATTATCTTACAGGAATCTAAATTATGTTAACATTTCAAAGCAAATTCAAATGAGTAGGTTTTTTTTCCTTTGTCCATGTAAATCAAACAACATATGACCAAGAATGTCCTAAAACACTTTGTTCATTTCCTCACAGCACCATAGCACAGCTCTTTTTCAAAGGAAGAGAAAGAGTAATTCGTAACTGTTTGCCTCCCCTCAACAGCTGCTATTTAAATTATGAGGTGTCATCCTGTTGTAAATTATATCTTACCTAAGGAAATTGCACTAATTTGGCAAATACCAAGTAAATCTAGCCAAATTAAATACAGAGTTACTTATACTAAGAGCTGGAACACACAATCTTACTAAGGCAAAGTGACAAGAATTACTTCAAAGACTAAAGAGCAATTAGAGGTGCAGAGCACAACTAAAGCAGGGTGCAATAATGACACTGAAATAGCAGCTTTTGACAAGCCCGACAACAAGGGCTCCTTATGACCTCCACATCATCTTTTCTAAAGCTTCTAGTGATTAGTGACAACTCTTCGGCTAAGCCCAAGCAAAGTCTGAACTAAAAAAACTAACAGCAATATGGAAGCCAGAATCAAATATGATTTCACTGGAGTAACAAAGATAAAATTAAAAACAACTCTCAGCATTTCAAGGAAGAAAGAAAGAGATGGAAAATGTAATTAGTCATCCCTAGGTATCTGCTGGGGAATGGATTCCAGGACCCTCTGCAGATACCAAAATCTACAGAAGCTCAAGTCCCTGATATAAAATGCTATAGTATTTGCATATAGCCTATGCACATTCTTCTGTACACTTTAAACCATCTCTAGATTACTTATAATACCTAATACTCCCTATCCATCACTTTATTCATGTAGATTCAATGTAGTACTCAGGGTGCAGCAAATTCAAGTTTTGCTTTCTGGAACTTGGCAGAATTTTTTTCAAATATTTTCAATCTGCAGTTGGCTGAATTCATAGATGTAGAACCTATGGATACTACTGTATATATTAACATACACATCTCTGATTTCTTACAGAGAATGGGAGTACCATTCTATTTTGTGCCAATAAATGTGCTAGTTACTTTACAAAAATTATTTTATTTAATTTCTAAATAAACCCAAGATGTCTACATCACCATCATTTTACAGTATGTACACTGAAAATGAAATAGGTTTAAATAACCACTCAAAGTCATACTCCCAGTAAGTGGCAGTGCCATGGTCTAAGTACAAACCCCAAGGCAGGAAAGAGAAGTTTCATAGCACCAACAAAGAACTTAATGCCAAAACTGTGTGTGATTCTGGAGAGAAGTAAGCCCTAATGCCCTAACAAATCCCTTGTCTATAACAAATGAACTTCTCTCCTACCCATCTAAAATGAAAAGGATGGTTATATATCATCCTTTGGAAAACTAAGAAAACAGTTATGCATATTATTATCTGTGTTCTGTGGTAGATGAGGAATCCTGGCGAGAAAGACTAGAATGGAGAGTATGATAGTTTCCTATTAATAGTGTGAAAACACATTCCCTGAGATGATCCAGCAAAGCTACTCCTAGGAAAATACTCTATTAGGAATGTGCCATGGTAGTCTGGTAAAGCTCATGGAACCTTTCCCAGAACAATGATTTATAATCTACATTCATAATTGAAGGCAATAAGCTAGCCTCCATGGTCCCAGGCACCAGGCTGGCATCCACAGACCCAGCCTTCAGGAACACCCCTGTGGACCCAGGTTCTAACCTGGCTCCCATAGGTTCAGGCTTAAGGGCCACCCCAGCACCTGGCCAAGTTCTGTAGAGCCAGGCTTCAGGCCAGGCCCATGGTTACAGGTTTCAAGTCCGCCCCCATGGACCTAAGTGCCAAGCAAGCCCAGTGGACCAAGGCTTCAGGCCCAACCCCATAGATTCAAGCACCAGACTCATATACCTACTGACCCAGGCACCAGGCCAGCCTGCTCAAGGACTGTATCAGCAATCCTGCCTGAGAAATCCACCAGACAGCCCATCAAGAATCTCTGGACGGGCTGATTGGTGAAGGACTTTCCTTGCTGAAGTTAGTTAAGACTAGACTAGATGCCTAATTCTTAAAATGTGCAGACACCAACACAAGGTCACAAAAATCACAAATAATCAGGGAAACACAAAACCACCAACAAAGAACAAAACAAAGCAACAGTGACTGGCCCTAAAGAAATGGAGATCTATACATTTTCTGATAAAGAGGTCAAAATAATCATCTTTAAAAAGTTCAGTGAGGTGGGCATGGTGCCTTGTGCCTGTAATTCCCAACACTTTGGAAGTGGAGGTGAGAGAATCGCTTGAGGCCACAAGTTTGAGACCAGCCTGGGCAACATAGTGAGAACACATTTCTACAAAAAACTTTTTAAAAATTAGCCAGGCATAGTGGCACATGCCTGTAGTTCCAGCTACTCAGGAGACTGAGGCAGGAGGATCACTTTAGTCCGGGGATTCAAGGCTGTACTGAACTATGATCATGCCAACACACTTCAGCCTGGGCGACAGAGCGAGATCCTGTCTCTAAAAAAGAAGTTCAGTAAACTACAAGAGATCTCAGATTGACCACCAAACAAAAACCAGGAAAACAATTACACAAAATTAGAAGTTCAACAAAGAGACAGAAACCATAAAAAGAACTAAACAGAAATTCTGGAGCTAAAGAATACAATGTCTTAACTGAAAAATTCCATAAAGGGCTTTAACAGCAGATTTGATCAAACTATAGAAGGTGAGCTCAAAGGCAGGTCATTTGAAACTACTCAGTCAAAGAAACATGAGAAAAAAAGAATTTAAAAAGACTGAAAAAAGCCTACATGAGTATAGGATATCATCAAGAGAACTGATATAGGAATTACGGGGTCCCAGAAGGAATAGAGAAAGAAAAAGGGGCATAACAGTTATTTAAAGAAATAATAACAGAATACTTCCCTAATTTGGACAGGAAATGAACATCCAGATTCATGAATTCCAAATAACACTAAATAGATTAACTATAAAGAGATCATCACTGAAACACATTAAATCATTCTCAAAAGTCAAAGTGAATTTTGAAAGCAGCAACAGAGAAGCAACTCATCACAAACAAGAAAACTTACATAAGACTATCAGCAGATTTCTCAGCAGAAACCTTGCAGGCCAGGAGACAGTGGGATGACATATTCAAAGTGGTGAAAGAAAGGACTGCCAACCAAGACTATTACACTCAGAAATGAGGGAACGATAAGGACTTTCCCAGAAAAATAAAAGCTAGGGGAGTTTATCACCATGAGACCTGCCTAACAAGAAATGCTGAAGGCATTTCCTAAAGTTGAAGTGAAAGGACACTAATTAACAACATGAAAACATGTAGAAGTATAAAATTCACTTTAAAGGTAAGATTATAGTCAAATTCAGAATCATCTACTGTAATGGTGATGGATAAATCGCTTTTAATTCTAGTATAAAAGTTAAAAGACAAAAGCATTAAAAATAAGTGTAGCTATAATAACTTGTTAATGGATATACAATATATAAATATATATAAATTGTGGCATCAATAACATAAAATTATTATAAAAACAATTATACAAAATTAGAAGTTCAACAAAATTAGAAGCGATGTAGAACTCTACACTTTAACTTATCCTGGGAGGAGAAGTTAGTGTAGAGTTTTTGTATGCAGTTGAAGTCACACTGCTATCAGCTTAAAATAAACTGTTATAACTACAAGACATTTTAGGTTACAGAGCACAAAGTTTCAGTTAGACAGGATGAATAGATTCTAGAGATCTATTGTACATTATGACTATAATTAATGAAATGCATTTTATACTTTAAAATATCTAAGAGAGTATATCTTAAATGTTCTCACTACAATAAATACATTTGTGTGGTGATGGATGCGTGTTCTGGGGCATATATGCTTCATTTAATCAATTCATAATGTATACATATATTAACTCTTCATGTTATACACCATAAATATATACATTTTTTCTTTGCCAATTATAGTTTAATAAAGCTGGAGGAAAAAATTAAACCTACCAGTTCAATAAATAAATAAATAAATAAATGTAATCAAAGGCAATGAAATAGTGAAAATAATGAAAATTGTGAAAACAAGCTAGTGAAAATAAAGGTATGACTTTTTTTCCCATCGAAGTTTATGAATCCAAAAAACGATGAGATGTATATTTAATTTAGGGATACATACACATGTGATAAATGATAAAACTAAAGAAAATAAAGGGGATGGTTAACACAAAACTCAGGATAGTAGTTATCTTTGTGGTGAAACGGGGGCTTCTAAGTTACTTGCAAGTGCTCTTTCTTAAGCTAAATGAGAGGCACTTGTGTAATTTTTATTTCTTTTAGAAGTTCTATTAGTGGGGAATTTCTTCCCCACTTCCATTGTTTCCTTCTGGTAATGGGAATTTGGAGAGTGAAACTGTGGCATTTCTCCATTCTTTTACTTGCACAGCCCTAAAGAAGTGAAGGGACTTATATGATTACCTGAATGCTAAGACTGGGTAAAATTACAGGTTCAGAATTGGCACACCCACTTGGCCAAAATACCTAAAGCCAGATCTTTACATCTAGCCTCTATTACATAAAAGGTGGAAATTTGGTATCCATCTTCCCTACCCTCCTCCTCAACCTTTCTTTAGTGAAACGAACAGGTCTATTTAACTTCAAAACCTGCTATAAAGCTACAGTAATCAAGACACTGTCATGTTTGTGAAAGAACAGACAAACAGATCAAAGGAACAGAACAGATAGCCCAGAAATAGACTTACATAAAAATATCAACAGATCTTTGACTAAGGAACAAAGGCAATAAAATTAAGTAAAGGTAGTCTTTGAACAAATTATGCTAGAACAACTGGACATCCACATGCAAGAAACTAAATCTAGACAAAGACTTTTCACCCTTCACAAAAATTAACTAAAAATGGATCATAGACCTAAATGTGAAGTGCAAAACCATAAAACTCCTAGAAAATAACATAGGAAAAAAATCTAGATGACCTCAAGTGTGGCAATGACTTTTTAGATACAATACCAAAGGCACAATCCGTGAAAGAATCAAATGATAAGCTGGACTTCATGAAATTTAAAAACTTCTGTTCTGCAAAAGACAGTGTCAATAGAATGACAAGATAAGGCACCAACTGGGAAAAATATATGCAAAAGACATACCTGATAAAGGCTATGTCTTTGTATATTATTATCCAAAATATACAAAGAAACTTTAACGCTCAACAACAAGAAAATAAACAACCTAATTAAAAACTGTGCAACAAGTATACTTATGTAACAAACCTGCATGTTCTGCACATGTATCCCAGAACTTAAAGTATAATAAATAAATAAACCACAAAGAAAAGGAATTATTGGGTTAATATCCTAACTATCAGAATCACTAATGTGGATTTCTAAATAAAGCCCATAAACAACAACAACAAAAAAACTGTACAAAAGACCTGAACAGACACCTTACCAGAGAAATTATATAGATGGCAAATAAACCAATAAAACAAATGAACAAATAAAAAGATATTGAGAATGTATACTGGAAAAGCCCACATTTCTTTTTAATGACACTTATATTTCATATTTTACTTAACCATTCCTAAATTGTTGAATATTGTTATTGTTTTCTCTTCTTTAGCTAAGGAACACAGCTAATGAAAAACAATATTTCTGCAAATTTTTTACCCACATTTGGGCTACCCTAAAACTCAACTGGAATGAAGACATTAACTGATAAGATTATCAGGCCCTTCCATCTAAATCTGTTGTCAGACAACAAGGAAGCTCTAAGTGGCATAACCTACAACATATTTTGTATAAGTAGAACTTGAACAATACCCACAGAATTTTGTATGAAAAGTCAACAAAATAGCCCGTATTTTCTATGGGACATGCATCAAAACAACTAATGATACTCTTATTTGCCTTGAATTTTGCCCATCCCATGTTGACTCAACAACCTATGTTAATTATAAATTTTACAAGCAAGAAAGTGTATCATTGAATGTGTGTACTCATGAGTAAATGGAGATACAATTTTGTTATTTATTGTTTAAGATCAGAATTCTTTGCTTGCTGGTTAGTTTATATTTTCCTTTCTGAGCCAAGGCCTTATAAATATGTCTGGTTCATCTGACAGCTCTCTAGAAAGTGTACCAATGTATACTCTTTCCTTCAATGTGACAGTGCCTATTGCCCTTACCTTCTCTTAAAGACTGTAATTTTTACATATTTCTGCTGATTGGATGGATGTAATAACATACAACAGTTGTTTAAACTTGTAATTTATTATTTGTGAGTTTTAACATTTTATCTATGTTGGCTACATACCTTTTGGTTTTTTAACAGCTTTATTAATATATAAGTTACATACCATTAAGCTCACTTATTTAAAGTGTGTAATTTCAATGATTTTTACTATATTCACAGTTGAGTTGTGCAAACATCTCAACTAATTTTAGAACATTTTTATCAATTCAAAAGGAAATCTTGTACTTACTGCCTCTCTTTACCTCCTCTTCCACCAGCCCTCGGCAATCATTAATCTAATTTCTGTCTCTACAGATTTGCCTATTCTTGACATTCCATATAAATGGAATCATGCAATATGTAGCATTTTATAACTGGATTATTTCACTTAGCATAATATTTCCAAGGCTGATCTATGTTGTAGCATGTATCAGTAGTTCATTACATCTTATGGCTAAATAATGTTCCACTGTAGGGATATATCGTATTGTGTTTGTCCATTCACCAGCTGCTAAGCATTTGGGTTGTTTCCACTTCGAGCTATTATGAACAATGCTGCTATGAACATTTGGGTACAAATTTTTGTGTGGACATACATTTTCAACTAGGGGTAAAATTGCTGGACCAAATGGTAATTTTATTATAGCTTTCTGAGGAACTTCCAGATTGTTTTTCAAGGTCCTACACCATTTTAAATTCCCACCAGCAGTTTATGAGGGTCTCAATATCTCCACATCCTGGATAATACTTTTTATTATCTGTTTTTTTTTTGTAACTATAATTCCAGGTTTCAAGTGATATCTCATTGTGGTTTTTATTTGCATTTTTCCTGATGTTTAATGACAACATCTTTCCATGCGTTTACTAACCATTTTTACGTATTTTTTTGAGAAATATCTATTCAGATCCTCTGTCCATTTTTCAATTGGGTTGTCTTTTTATTATCGATTTATAAGAGTTCCTTATATATTCTAGATTCAAGTCCCTTACCAGATAAATTATTTGGAAATATCTTCTCCCTTTCTTTGGACTGCATTTTCACTTTCTTGATGGTGTCCTTTGAAGCACAAGAGTTTTTAATTTTTATGAAGTCCAGTTTATCCATTTTTTTCTTTTGTCACCTATGGTTTGGTGTTGTATCTAAGAAATCACTGCCTAACCCAAGGTCATACAGATTTACTCCTGTGTTTGCTTCTAATTGTTATATAGTTTTAGTTCTTACGCTGAGGTCTATGATCCACTTTGAGTTAATTTTTTGTAGGGTCCTTTCACTTTTAAATGTCACAGATTTCCTATATTCTAAAGAGAGAAGAAAAAAGGTAAAATTGAGGCAATATAGGACAATTTGTGTTCTACAGCACTAGAAAATGGAAACCACTGAAAACATTAGCTAGTACGATGTATATATGCAGGTGCATGTGTGCGTATATATATAATACATCATACATACTTTTAATTATTATTTTTTCCTCCTATAATAAGCCTAGGTTTTTTTCCTTCCAAATGGCAAAGGGAAAACAAGGCTGCCAGTCCCCCAGTCATTCCTTCTTTCCTTTGTTGTTCTTACTGCTACAAGCTTTCTTGTGCTTTCCTTGATGGCCCTGCAGCAGGCCGGCCTCCTTCTGAGCCTGGAGTTTGTTAAAGTTCTTCACATGGAGCATCAAGTACTGCAGTTCAAATTAAAGCAACTTCTTGTACTTGTGTCTTTCCTCTAGTGTAGGCAATATCTGGCTGCCAATGCCCACCTCTGCCTGGAGCTCTCACCTGCCTCTGCTCCCTCCAGAGGTTCAGAGCAGCTTCACACAGGCAGCAAATAAATAAAGTTCTGAGCCTAGGGCAGGAAGCTCTTTCAATATGAAACTTGACCTGAACCTTTCTCTAGTGGCTTAGAAAAAGCATGTATGTATGTGTGAAAAACTTGGACTTTTTTCTAACTGTAAAATTGATGTGTCACCACTGAAAACATTTTGGAAAATCAAAAGACTATAAAGAAAATATCACACCTCTTTTCATGTCCCAGAGTTAGACATGATTATCATTTTGTTATGTATCTTTAGAGAGACAGACAAATTTGCCAAAGTGTACACTTGTACATGCATATATATTTTAGATAACCAGAAACGTATTATATACACAGTTTCACATGAAGTCTCTTTTCCATTTCACATTTTGTAATGTCATTAAATATTACCTGAAAACATTAATTCCCTCCTAGAATAAATTACGATGTATTAAATCTTTTTCTTCTTTTTATATATTTGTTTCTTCCATTATAAATAATCCTGCGATAAACATCTCATCTGTTTCTCAACATATGTTTGATTCAACATTATTTATACTTATCAATTCGATCATTGACAAACATCCTGCTTTATAAGCTGTGGTAGAGATACAATGTGGGTCCTCAGAAAGCTCACAGAAAATAGGCTTTCTCTTGCTCCCTTATTTCATGCCGCCTCCTTGGTATACCCGCTGACTTCCTGATTTCTAATTACTTTCCCTGACCATGATTCTTACCTAATCCTTGCCTATCTACTGCTTTTAACATGTGCTTTTTCCCCATAGCTGAACTAAGCTTATGGATACCTAATGTAGATGACAGGTTGATGTGTGCAGCAAACCAGCATGGCACATGTTACATGGCACATACCTATGTAACAAACCTGCATATTATGCACATGTATCCCAGGACACAGGAAGGGGAATATCACACTCTGGGGACGGTGGTGGGGTCGGGGGAAGGGGGAGGGATAGCAGTGGGAGATATACCTAATGATAGATGACACGTTGGTGGGTGCAGCGCACCAGCATGGCACATGTATACATATGTAACTAACCTGCACAATGTGCACATGTACCCTAAAACTTAAAGTATAATAAAAAAAAATTAAAAAAAAATAAAAAATAAAAAATAAAAAATAAAAAAATAAAAATTTTGTGCAACTCAAAAAAAAAAAAAGAAAATTGAAATTCAGATCTAAAGGTATTAGTTAGTAAAGTAAGAGAATGTCAAATGGATGAATACAAATATATATAAAAAAAAAAAAAAAAAAAAAAAAAACCTCCTGTTTCCTGACTGTTCCTCTAGCAAGCATTTCTCAAACTTTTTGGTCACAGGACCCCTTCACACTCTTAAAAATTATTAAGGACCCACATCTGGGTCCTTAATTATGCAGATATAATCAGAGTTCAAGTTGCATAACTGTGAGGCTTCCTACAACAATTTGTAACTGCACTTGTGTTTCATGCAGCCTGTCTAAATAGAACCAGAAGGACAAATGTCCACAGCCCTATTTCTAAACAGAGCTGAAGCTTCTGCCCTTTCAAAAATGCTAGTAAAAACCATTTTTAGGGTACTTCCAAGATAGGACACTCTCTAGATAAGCATGTTATCCTCCAGTTCTTCATGGCCCTTCAGAGTCTCTGTAAGTTTGACCACCTCCAAGTCATCCAGTAGAACACACACACACACACACACACACACACACACCCCAATCTCAGCCACATAGTAAAACATTACAGAAGCACCAGGACTCAGTGGGTTCCTGGGGAGCCATCACTTTCATTTTCAGGCATAAGTCTCTCTTTGCAGGGGTTCCAGCTGAAGGGCAAGCAAGGTTCCAGGAGAACAAGGGTGAGTCAATGGTGCCTTGCCAACTGAGACTGGATCTCCATTCATGTGGGCTGCTCTATTGGGTTATTATCCACCTTATTCTTTAAAAGACAATTTCTAAACCACTTCCAAGCATTTGTAAAACAAACATTGCCACCCACCAGCAATGTTTGCTTTATTCTGAAATTGCTGTATTTACCTTGAAAACCACAAACTGTAAACAGGGCACCTGTTCAGAGAAGATCTTCAAACTGCTCACTCACTAAATCAACACCTGGGAAGGAAAGGCAGTTGACTTCGGCTTGAATACACAGTGTACAAATCAATCTTTTATCTAAAACTCTTGGTGGTAGCTTGAATAAGTTAATGATTATTAAGCTTATGGAGCAACACAGAGACTTCCATAAACAAAATATAACTTTTGTTAATCTGTTTAATACTCAGAAGAGAGAAAAACAAGTAAGACTCACCTACCATAAACCATAGAAGCACAATATTAATGCACACATATTTCCACATAAAATAATAAATATTTATATAATACCCTCCTTCTCAGTGGAGACACTTTATACTAGAGAATAGGTAAAAAGGGAACTGATTTGATATATTAATATGCCTAATACATGACACAAGAGAAGACCGGATGGGGGGAGTGGCTTACTTAAAAACAGCTATATTTAATTCATGGAAAGTATTTTGACTGAGCCAAAGTTTCATTTCCACAAACAGTCCATGTTTCTTACCACATCACGTTCCTAGAAATACATTATCAAAAGAATGCATTTTCCAAGGGAAATTCTACTGGTGTAACACGATTGGGAATAACTTCCTAAAGAATACAAACTTAATAATGAATATAGCATAGATAGAAATACTCTAACCCTATAACCTCCACATCATTTAGGAGAGCAACATCCTATAAAAATGATTAAAATGTACTCTGTTGTACTGTTATAAGGATCATCCTTTTCTCCAAAAGTAGATCTGTATCATATAAATATCTGAAGACTTCACCAAGGACCTTCCTATATGGGTTGAGAGAGGCAAAGGATTGAATAAATAAGGTCTTTCTCCATCTTCCCACACAGGCAGCCTTAGAGGTGAAAAAAGTCACAGAACTGTAGACTGGGGAGGCTTATTCTTTTTTCAGTGAAGTCAAGAGAGTATTTCTGGGTCGACTGAGCTTCTAACTACCCCCACAAACTGGTCATGCTATTTCATACCTCTGTGCCTCAGCCAGAAATGCCTCTTTCTCCATCATCCCCTCCTCTCTGCCTGGTTAACAACTGGCCATTCTTCCTCTGCATTCCAAAGCCAATCACAATTCTCTTCTCTGTGCTTCTACAGTCTCTTGAGTTTAAAGGCAGTATAGTTGGTAGCTAAGGGTCTAGATTTCAATCACAGCTTTGCTTGCTTCCTCCTAGATGTATGACAAGGAGCAAGTTACTTAACTTCTCTGTGCCTCAACTTCCTCATCTATAAAATGAGATATGATAGAGAATGTTACTCCTCCCCCATCCCATATCCATTCTTTTCTTCCTTTAGGTAGTTTTAGGTTGGCGCATGGCCAGCCCACTAACCACCATGTTCCTCAGGCTCCTTGCAGCAACATGGAGTCAAGTTTATTAGTTTCCTGTGACTGCTACAACAAATCAACACAAAATTGGTGGCTTAAAACAACAGCAATTTACACTCTCATAGTTCTGGAGGCCAAAAGTCCAAAGTCAAGGTGTGGGTAGAGCCATGTTCCCTCTGAAAGCTCTAGGAGAAAATCTTTTGCCTCTTCCAGCTTCTGGTGGCTCAAAGTCCTCCTCGGCTTATGGCAGCAAAAGTCCATTTTCTGACTGTGTCTTTATGTGGTCTTCTGTGTGCGCCTTCTATTCGTATGTCTTGTACAAGGATATATAAGATTTAGGACCCACCTGGGTAATCCAAGGCGATCTCATCTCAAGATCCTTAATTTAATTTGCATAGACCATTTTTCCTAATAATGTCACACTTATAGTGCCCAGACGTTATATAAAAAGACATTATACATAAAGACTTGGACATGTAGTTTGCAGGGCCACCATTTGATTCAATAAGCTATATGACTATGAGATATGAGTGAGACTAATTTATAAAATTCCAGGAGCCCTCCTGAAGGAAGAATCTACTTTCCTTGTATTCCTTTTACCCCCTTTCTACCAACTAGGAAATGCTGACTACTGGAACAACCTTGGAAGCCACGTGCTGCGAATGACAGAGCTGCCAAGATGGTCCCGGACCACTCACCTAGGGACTATTAGGTGAAAGAGAAATACATTTCTACTATATATAGAAGTCATTGTGGGTTGTTTGTTTTTTGTTGTTGTTATTATTATTGTTTTTGTTTTGTTTTTTTGAAACGGAGTCTCCCTCTGTCGCCCAGGCTGGAGTGCAGCGGTGCGATCTCGGCTCACTGCAAGCTCTGCCTCCCGGGTTCACACCATTCTCCTGCCTCAGCCTCCTGAGCAGCTGGGACTACAGGTGCCCAACACCACGCCTGGCTAATTTTTTGTATTTTTTGTAGAGACAGGGTTTCACTGTGTTAGCAGGATGGTCTTGATCTCCTGATCTCGTGATCCGCCCATCTTGGCCTCCCAAAGTGCTGGGATTACAGGCATAAGCCACCGTGCCTGGCCTGTTTGTTTGTTTTTTGGGCTTTGGGGGGATTTATGTCACAGCACTTTATCTAATATATGGGGACAATAATATTTAATAATAATATATACCTCATATTGCTGTAAAATATTAAATGCATTAATAGAATATAAAGCAGTTGGAACATTACCTGACATATAGTAAGAACTAAATAAATATTAGTTATTTACAGCAGTGGTACTCTTGTCACATTTAGTTGTCATTGATTTACCGTGTAACAGCTGCAGAAGACCGAACGGATTGGGGTAAAGGCTTGGCACTTTCATCTCAGTATTATACTCGAAAGAATACTAAACATTCCATTACTGTTTAAAGAAGAAATGCAACTGAACTTGGCACATCAAACATTATCCTAGGAACTAATTTATCATAAAGGTGCATATTGGGCCCAACAAGTCTACATGTCCTTCCCTACAGGCACAAATCTCTCAGGCCAAATGCCATCTCAATTAAGAAGCTTTCCTCATCACTCGAAACAGGAAATTAAAATCTTCATCCTCCCACAACATGTCACCATATCTTTTGATTTAGCCCTTATCACTTTCTACCTTGTGTTATATTATATATATATAATATACACATTTATATATATTATATATAATACATGTATTATATATATTATATATATAATACATGTATTATATATAATATATATAATACATATAATACATGTATTATATATAATACATTATTATATATAATACATGTATTATATATATAATACATGTATTATATATATATATGTATCTTATCTTCTTCATTAGATTATAAATTCCTTGAGAGCAGCATTCATTTCTGACTGGTCTGAACTGTAGCAACTACTTCATACACTGAATTGCACATGGTACCGTATGTGCACATGGTGTATATTCGATAAATCTGCTAAATGTATCCAATATCTTTTTTTTTCTTTTTCTTTTTTTACTTTAACTTCTGGGATACACGAGCAGAACATGCAGGTTTGTTATATAGGTGTACATGTGTCATGGTGGTTTGCTGCGCCTATTGACCCATCATCTACATTTTAAGCCCCGCATGCATTAGGTATTTGTCCTAATAGTCTTCTTCCCCTTGTCCTCCACCCATCGAGAGGCCCCAGTATGTGATTTTCCCCTCCGTGTGTCCATGTGTTCTCATTGTTCAACTCCCACTTATGAGTGAGAACATGTGGTGTTTGGTTTTCTCTTCCTGTATTAGTTTGCTTAGAATGATAGCTTCCAGCTTCAGCCATGTCCCTGCAAAGGACATGAACTCATTCTTTTTTATGGCTGCCCAAGATCTTACAGTGTTGAAAAACAAGCCTACCTTCCCACCTACCATCTATGTGATTTGAGCATGCTGCTTCTCTAAAGTGTGGTTTCCACATTTGTAAAACAAGGCTATTCAGGATTAAGTAGGCTAACATGGAGAAAGGCCGTTATAAGCACTCAAAATTAAGAATTTTAATATTTAGGACTTTCTATTCTTAAATAGTCTTGGCTGTTAAAATACAGAAAAAATACATATTTATTCAGCACTCACTAAGAATTTAGACACACAACTCACTTCATATACACCATGGGAAGGAAGATTTTTACACATGAGCCTGCAGCTCATGAAAATTAACCCCAGAACACAGGATGGGTAAGTGAGGGAGCTGGAGAGCTGTTCTTACCCCACTATACCACATGCACCACGATTGTTCCTTTTCTGCCCATTGGTTCCTATTCTGAAGGGAGACAATTGAATCTCACAACCAAAGCCACGAATCACTCAAAATTCACACACTGTTCATAACTCAGAGACACAATTAATTGTGTGAGTGCTGCCTTAAACAGTGGTTCATGAGACTTCCAAAACAGTCCTACTTTATCACTCAGAACCACAGCAACTTCCCTCTTCCCAATACAGAGGCTCAAGTATTTTAAAGTATAAGCACTTTTACAATCCTGACTAGCTTTGACAGGAGAGGCAAAGAGGCAAAGCAATGTGGTGTTCTCATTTCATCCTTTGGCCCTTCTCTGAAACCTCATGGAGGAGAGTAAACTTATTATCCAATTTCCACTGCCACTTAAGAGGTTAATAATATGGCATTAGCAGTAAGGGTTATAAACAGGATGACTCACCACAAACACACAGGATAAACATAGAAACAACATTCAACTGGAGAATTTTTTTTTTTTTTTTTTTTTTTTTTTTTAGTATAAAGCATGTAACTCCTGACTTGGAAATCCACTGCAATTTTCTGAACTTCTTTGAGTAGCAGCGAATTACAAACTACTAAAAACATCTTCACTTAATACATGGAGAAGTTTTTGTCTTCTGTTATTTAAACTAAAGATTTGTTAGAATCCATACTGACACCTGTGAACTTAAATTTAAAGGTGTAGAATTTAAGACTATAACAAACTAATAGGTCTACAGGTTGCTTTAACATAAAACAACTAATCAAACAACTATGTTACATGCTCGGTAGTGGTAAGACACTGAAAAAGCATCTGGAGACAGAACTGAAACTATATTGCCTTTAAAAATTATGGTTCTTAGCCTGGGTGTGGTGGCTCATGCCTCTAATTCCAGCACTTTGGAAGGCTGAGGTAAGAGGATCATTTGAGGCCAGGAGTTCGAAACCAGCCTGGTCAACATAGTGAAACCTTGTTTTTATAGAAAAGTTAATTAAATAATTCTTTTCTAGAGATGTATTCATTAATTCAACAAAAATTAAGTCAGCACCAACAATATGCTAAACACTGTGTTTGATCTTGGTGACTGAGCAGAGCGCAAGGCTAACACAGTCCTGACCCTCATACAGTTTATAGTCTAATCACAGGTCTTTCAATTAAAGAAACAGATAAAATTCTGACGATCCACAAGAATGTGAACATGTGTCCTCAGGCCCAAGTTCACCAACAAGTGCAGTAGACAATTTCCAACATGCGAACAGCTTCCCACCTCAACTTCCTGGATCTCTCTTTTTCTCTGCATGAGAGCTCTCCCTGCCACATGGAGAAACAGCAGGAACAGTGCAGAAGTGTATTGTGGAACGAAATGACAACACCGTCTGGTGCAAACAAAAACCCTTAGTGGATGGAAGTTGGCCCCAGCCTTCCTGTCCTTCGTAGGAGGTTCCAAGGCATGTTCTGCATGGTTTCCCAGTGGCCCTGGCAGGACTGAGCTTCAGTTGCTTCCACCAGGATTGAGCTTCACTAATGCACGCTGTCCTGCCTTTTCTTCCTTTCACCCCATTTTCCCCCAAGTCCTCATCTGTGTTTCCTGGGATCACCTCCCAAATAGATTACCTCTACCAAGTCTTCCAGGGTCTGATCCACAGGTACCCCAACTTATACTATCCTAATCTATTGCTCCTCAGATATATTCAATAACAACAGAATAACATGAAATGAGATTATCACAATACATACCTTTTATTAACTTTACAAATTTCAAGATGTCATGAGGTTGGGAATTAGAATAAATAATTTGAATGAGAGTTAAGATTTAAAAAAAAAAGAAAAAGAACAAAACACAAGTTTATTAGGCTAAAACAAACCTAGAACAATGAGCCAATGCAACAAGGTAAAAAGTAACAGGTTCTCCACTTGATTCCAAAGAACCAGTTACACAGCACAGGAAGGACGAAACAGAATCCAGAGATGCAAATGAAAAAGCATCAGGAGTTTCCATTGACTAAAAGCAGGAGGAGAGTCAGGGACTCTGGCCCAAGATTATTGGGCTGTGTTATGGTTAATATTAAGTGTCAACTTGATTGGATTGAAGTATTGATCTTGGGTGTATCTGTGAGGGTGTTGCCAAAGGAGATTAACATTTGAGTCAGTGGGCTGGGAAAAGTAGATCCACCCTTAATCTGGGCAGGCACCATCTACTCAGCTGCCAGCACAGCTAGAATATAAAGCAAGTAGAAAAACTTGAAAAGGCTACACTGGATTAGCCTTCCAGCTTACATCTTTCTCCTGTGCTGGATGCTTCCTGCCATTGAACATTGGACTCTAAGTTCTTCAGCTATGGGACTCGGACTGGCTTCCTTGCTCCTCAGCTTGCTGATGGCCTATTGCAGAACCTTGTGATCGTGTCAGTCAATACCACTTAATAAACTCCCCTTTACATATATATATATATGTATATGTATATCCTATTAGTTCTGTCTCTCTAAAGAACCCTGACTAATACAGATTTTGGTACCAGGAGTGGTTCTAGAGGAACAGAATATTAAGGATGGAGTTCTTTCTTTGGTTTTGGGATTTCTGGAGCTGGCTGCTTAATATGATTAGACCCAAAAATGCTAAGGACTCTACTTCTAACAGTATGGAGAACACTGATAGTCCTTAGCATGAGCTGTTTAAAGAGTTACGCAAAATAAACGCATTTGACACTCCTGACTCACCACTCATGAGAGGCAAGGAATTTAGTGACTCTATATATAATACCTTTGATTATATGTGGAGAACCAAGGAACCTAATGAAGTTGGTTGGTTGCTCCTAAGTTCACTGGACAAAGTGATGAAAGAAAATGAGGAACTCAGGGATTCTAACTCCTGGCTTCAGAAGCAGCTACGGAGCCTCAAATCTGCTAAGACTGCCCTGAGTGAGAGTCTTATCTCCTGTAGAGAAAGAGCTGAAATTGTAGAAAAATAGACACAAGCTCTTATGCAAGTGGCTGACCTGCAACAAAAAGTGCATGCACAGCCTTGCCAGATGTCTACTGCTAAAGTGAGGGCATTGATTGGAAAAGAATGGGACCCTGCAACTAGGAATGGGGATGTATGGGAGGACCCTGATGAAGCTGGGGACACTGAGCTTGTAAACTCTGATGAACCATTTTTGCCAGAAGAAACATCTTCCCCATCCCCAGTAGTGGCAACATCCCTTCCCCAACTCATGTTGCCATCAACCTTTCCACCTTTGTCTGAGTAGATAAACCCTGCACTGCCTGAAGCAACAGGGAAGGACCCCTTAGGCAGTTGCCAGGCAAGATAATGTTGATTCTCCTCAGGAGCCATCCTCAACACCCCTGTTTGCTTCTAGACCTATAACTAGACTAAAGTCCTAGCAGGCCCCAGAGGTGAGGTTCACAGTGTGACCCATGAGGAGGTGCACTACACTAAAAAAGAATTGCTTGAGTTTTCTAATTTATATTAGCAGAAATCTGAAAAACAGACATGGGAATAGATATTAAGGGTATGGAATAATGGTGGAAGGAACACAGAGTTGGATCAGGCTGAATTTATTGATTTGGGCCCACTAAATAGGGACTCTGCATTTAATGTTGCAGCTCAGAGAGTTAAAAAAAGGTTCAAATAGTTTATTTACTTGGTTAGCTGAAATATAAGTTAAAAGATGGCCCACTGTGAGCAAGCGGGAAATGCCTGATCTCCCTTGGTTTAATGTGGAGGAAGGAATTCAAAGGCTTAGGGAGATTGGGATCCTAGAGTGGATTAGTCACTTTACTCATCCCAGCTGGGAGGGTCCAGAAGATCTACCCTTGACCAATGCTTTGTGAAACAGATTTGTGAGGGCAGCACCTGCATCTTTGAAGAGGTCTGTAACTGCTCTTCTCTGTATGTCAGATCTAATAGTAGGAACAACAGTCACTCAACTACAAAATTTAAATACAATGGGAATAATTGGATCCCAAGGTGGTAGGGGCCAAGTGGTAACATTCAACTGTCAGAGGCACGGTGGGTGTAACTACCATAATGGAAAGCAGAGGCAAAGCAACCATCAGAATAGTCTGACTCGTGTAGAGCTCTGACATTGGCTAATTAATCACGGTATTCCCAGAAGTAAAATTGATAAATGCATTCCTACTTAATTTATAGAAGCAGAAAACTTCCAGGTCGAATGGACAAAAGACTAATTTGAATTATAAAACAGAGATTCATGGCCCTTCAATCAATTTTCAGACTTGAGCCAGTTTACAGACCTAGAACCACTTGAATGAAGGGGAGGTCCTTCCCCTTGATGAAGGACCCCACTACACTACTGACAATTTATACTGTTAATCTTTCTCCCATCCTTCCCCAAGGAGACCTTTGGCCTTTTACCTGGGTAACTGTGCACTGGAGAAAGGGAAATGATCAGATATTTTAGGGACTGCTGGACACTGGCTCTGAGCTGACATTGATTCCAGGGGACCCAAAATGTCAGGCAGTCCTCCAGTCAAAGTAAGGGCTTATGGAGGTCAGGCAATTAGTGGAGTTTTAGCTCAGGTTCAACTTACAGTGGGTCCAGTGAGTCCCAGGAGTCATCCTATGGTCATTTTCCCACTGCCAGAATGCATAATTGCCATAGACATACTTAGCAGCTGGCAGAACCCCCACATTGGCTCCCTGACTGGTAGAGTGAGGACTACTGTGGTGGGAAAGGCCAAATGGAAGCCACTGAAGCTACTTCTACCTAGAAAAATAGTAAATCAAAAACAATATTGCAACCCTGGAGGGATTGCGGAGATTAGTGCCACCATCGAGGACTTGAAAGACACAGGGGTGATGATTCACATCACATCCCCGTTCAACTCCCCTATCTGGCCTGTGCAGAAGACAGATGGATCTTAGAGAATGACAGTGGATTATCATAAGCTTAACGAAGTTGTGACTCCAATTGCAGCTGCTGTACCAGATGTGGTTTCACTTCTTCAGCAAATTAACACATCTCCTGGTACCTAGCATGCAGCCATTGACTTGGCAAATGCCTTTTTCTCCATTCCTGTCCATAAGGCCCACCAGAAGCAATTTGCCTTCGGCTGGCAAGGCCAGCAATATACCTTCACTGTCCTACTACAGGGGTATATCAACTCTCCACTTTGTTCCATAATCTTATTCAGAGAGACCTTGATTGCTTTTTGCTTCCACAAGATATCACACTGGTCCATTACATTGATGACACTATGTTGACTGGATCCAGTGAGCAAGAAGTAGCAAACACACTGGACTTATTTGTGAGACATTTGCGTGCCAGAGAATGAGAAATACATCCAATTACAGTTCAGGGACCTTCTACCTCAGTAAAATTTCTAGAGGTCCAGTGGTGTGGGGCCTGTCAAGATACTCCTTCTAATGTGAAGGGTAAATTGCTGCATTTGGCCCCTCCTACAACCCAGAAAGAGGCACAACATCTAGTGGGCCTATTTGGATTTTGGAGGCAACACATTCGTCATTTGGGTGTGTTACTCCAACTCATTTATTGAGTGACCCGAAAAGCTGCCAGTTTTGAGGGGGTCCAGAACAGCAGAAAGCTCTGCAACAGGTCCAGCCTGCTGTGCAAGCTGCTCTGCCACTTGGGCCATGTGACCCAACAGATCCAATGATGCCTGGGGTGTCAGTGACAGATAGGGATGCTGTTTGGAGCCTTTGGCAGGCCTCCATAGGTGAATCACAGTGGAGGCCTCTAGGATTTTGGAGCAAGGCCCTGCCATCTTCTGCAGATAACTACTCTCCTTTGGAGAGACAGCTCTTGGTCTGGTACTGGGCTTTGGTGGAAACTGAACATTTAACTATGGGTCATCAAGTCACCATGTGACCTGAACTCCCTATCATGAACTGGGTGCTTTCTGACCCATCTAGCCATAAAGTGGGTCATGCATAGCAGCATTCTATCATCGAATGGAAGTAGTATAAATGTGACTGGGCTCTAGCAGGTCCTGAAGGCACAAGTCAGTTACATGAGAAAGTGGCTCAAATGCCCATAGTCTCTACTCCTGCCACCAGGCCTTCTCTCTCCCAGCCTGCATCGATGGCCTCATGAGGAGTTCCCTATGATCAGCTGACAAAGGAAGAGAAGACTAGGGCCTGGTTCGCAGATAGTTATGCCCAATATGCAGGCATCACCCAAAAGTGGACAGCTGTAGCACTACAGCCCCTTTCTAGGACATCCATGAAGGAGAGCAGTGAAGGGAAATCTTCCCAGGGGGCAGAACTTCAAGCAGTGCACTTGGTTGTGCACTTTGCATGGAAGGAGAAATGGCCAGATGTGCGATTATACACTGATTCATGGGCTGTAGCCAATGGTTTGGCTGGATGGTCAGGGGCTTGGAAGAAGCATGATTGGAAAATTGGTGACAAAGGAATTTGGGGAAGAGGTATGTAGACGGGCCTCTCTGAGTGGTCAAAAACTGTGAAGACGTTTGTATCCCATGTGAGTGCTCACCAACAGGTGACCTCAGCAGAGGAGGATTTTAATAATCAAGTGGATAGGATGACCCATTCTGTGGACACCACTCAGCCTCTTTCCCCAGCCACCGCTGTCATCACCAATGGGCCCATGAACAAAGTGGCTATGGTGGCAGGGATAGAGGTTACTCATGGGCTCAGTAATATGGACTTCCACTCGCCAAGGCTGACCTGGCTACAGCCACTGCTGAGTGCCCAACTTGACAGCAGCAGAGACCAACACTGAGCCTTCGATATGGCACCATTCCTTGGGGTGATCGGCCAGCTCCCTGGTGGCAGGTTGATTATACTGGAACTCTTTCATCATAGAAAGGGCAGAGGTTTTTGTCCTCACTGAAATAGACACTTACTCCAGATATGGGTTTGCCTATCCTGCACGCAATGCTTCTGCCAAGACTACCATCTGTGGACTCACAGAAGGCCTTATCTACCATCATGGTATTCCACACAACATTGCCACTGACCAAGGCACTCACTTTATAGCTAAAGAAGTGCAGCAGTGGGCTCATGCTCATGGAATTTACTGGACTTACCATGTTCCCCATCATCCTGAAGCAGCTGGATTGACAGAACAGTGGAATGGCCTTTTGAAGTCACAATTACAATGCCAACTAGGTGACGATACTTTGCAGGGTTGGGGCAAAGTTATCCAGAAAGCTGTGTATGTTCTGAATCAGCATCCAATATATGGCACTGTTCCTCCCATAGCCAGGATTCACGGGTCCAGGAATCAAGGGGTGGAAATGGAAGTGGCACCACTCACCATCACCCCTAGTGATCCACTAACAAAATTTTTGCTTTCAGTTCATTCGAACATTATGTTCTGCTGGCCTAGAGGTCTTAGTTCCAGAGGAAGGAATGCTGCCACCAGGAGGCACAATTACATTAAACTGGAAGTTAAGATTGCCACCTGGACACTTTGGGTTCCTCCTACCTTTAAGTCAACAGGCTAAGAAGGGAGTTACAGTGTTGGCTGGGGTGACTGACCCAGACTATCAAGATGAAATCAGTCTATGACTCCACAATGGAAGTAAGTAAGAGTATGCATGAAATACAGGAGATCCTTGGGGCATCTCTTAGTATTACCATGCCTTGTGATTAAGGTCAATGAGAAACTAAAACAGCCCAATCCCGGCAGGACTACAAATGGCCCAGACCCTTCAGGAATGAAGGTTTGGGTTACTCCACCAGGGAAAACATCACGACATGCTGAGGTGTTTGCTGAAGGCAGAAGGAATATAGAATGGGTAGTAGAAGAAGGTAGTCATTAGTACCAGCTATGACCAGATGATCAGTTGCAAAAACGAGGACTGTGTCATGATTATTTCCTCCTCCTTTTGCTAAAAACATATTTTAGCATGTACATATATGCATAAACTTGTACTAAGAAAATATTTTCATTTTATTCTCTTTTTCCTTTATTATGTGACATAAGATTTATTGACCTCATATCAGCATTTAAGTATTCTTAACTTTATGTAATAGTATTTGGGCTGGGGATTGGTACATTTCCGGTTGTACAAAGGACAGTTGTATCATGTTAGGCATAATTATGACCTTATTATTGTCTTTATTTGAAGATTATGTATGAGCTCAGGAGATGTTTATGGGTTCAAGTTGACAAGGGGTGGACTTGTGATGGTTAATACTGAGTGTCAACTTGATTGGATTAAAGTGATCAACTTGATTGCAAAGTATTGATCCTGGATGTGTCTGTGAGGGTGTTGCCAAAGGAGATTAACATCTGAGTCAGTGGGCTGGGAAAGGCTGACCTACCCTTAATCTGGGTGGGCACCATCTAATCAGCTGCCAGCACGGCCAGAATATAAAGCAGCAGAAAAATGTGAAAAGGCTAGACTGGCTTAGCCTCCCAGCCTACATCTTTCTTCTGTGCCGGATGCTTCCTGCCCTCAAAGTTCTTCAGCTTTGGGACTCAGATGGCCTATTGTGGGACCTTGTGATCATGTGAGTTAATACTACTTAATAAACTCCCCTGTATATATATATATATATATATATATATATATATATATATATGTATAGAGAGAGAGAGAGAGAGAGAGAGAGAGAGAGAGAGCGAGAGAGATCCTATTAGTTCTTAATAAACTCATGTATATAACATAAACTCTCCTTTACATCCTATTATCCTATTATACAGAACTATATTGTATTAGTTCTGTCCCTATTAGAGAACGCTGACTAACAGAGGTTGCAAGTGTGGCATCCAAAAATGAGAGGAGTTCTCATTAGACAAAACTCAAATGCACTATGTTCAGTTCTTTATACACAGCTCAGAATTAAATTGACAAACAGGAGCCTAACCATAAAACAAACAAAGTAGTATAATGAAGACAGAAAAATCCCTAAAGAATTTGTACCTGGCAACAGTTAAAAGAACTAAAAAAAAAAAAGTAAGACTAGAAGAAAAGATCCACAGGAATATGGTCATTCTAAACAAATAGTTAAAGGGCTATTGTGTAGGAAAAGGATTAGATTCAATCAATGTGGCTTTATACGACTAACAGGTAGAATTTATAGGTGGGACTAATTCAATAGATAGTATGGCACAGTGGTTAAAAACAAACAGCTCTAGAGTCATAGAACTTGGTTTAAGTCCCAGTCTTAACACTAAGGAGCTCAGCAACTTTAAGATGGTTGCATAACTTCTTATACTTACTTTCTCCACTGCAAAATCAGGATAGCAATAATTTCTACTTCATGTGATGACCAAATAATAATGCACAGGAAGCCTCAAGTACAGTGTAGCATGTATTACATGTTCAATAAATCTTAGTTGATTTCAAATCTGAAATAGTTTCAGTCTTCAACAACAACAACTGAAAGTATTCTAACACCAAACCTGAAGAAATTCAATATAGCAATTGTTAAGCGGGTGGAGCAAGTATTCATCATGGGCTGAGAGTGCAGAATCACTGTTAGACAAGCTTGACATGTTCGACTGCATAAAAAGTCAAAGCAACTGCCTAGCAAGAACACACTTTCATTTATACACATGAGTGTGTAACCTCCATGAGCAGAGGCAAAAGGTTAGGCCCAGCTTTCAAAAGGACTTCCCTGAATTACTTGAAGAAAAGGAACTGAGTTAAAGAAGAGATTTTCTCCATTTTCCCCCAAGTCCCTAATTACTACCTGCTTTAGTGTTCATTGCACAGCAATGAAATTCTCTATATTAGTTCCAATTCCTGAAGCATTCTGACTTATTACTTCAAAACAACTGATTGTTGCTTGCCAGAAGTGGCCCCATGGTAGGCATGGTACATTATGAAATAGTCAAGTGACAAATGTTCAGAGAATCTCAGAACTGGAACCTTCAAGACCAAATGGCCCAACACTGGGAAATACCTAATCAACCAAGAGAAGTGGCTGTCTTCTCTTCCCTCCACCCTCCAGGAAATGGTCCCTGGGTTCTCCATTACTTCCGTGTTTTATCACCCTGATGGTAAGAGAAGGACATAAACCTCTCTTTAAGTTGATTTAAGTGGACTTCTCCTAATAGAAATGGCACATATATCAATATGCAGACTTTTAGAAAAATGATACTAAGAAGAGTTTTCTAGAGAAGGGGGAGAAGGGTGGAAAGGAACAGGAAAAAGCAAAAGAATATAAAATCAATTAAAATAACTGCCTTTATTAAAGGGAAGACGATTAAATTGTACACAAAAAAATAAGACCCATGATGAACTCTGTTGGTATCATATGAGGGCATAATACCCTCATTATGAGGTATTATATGAGTACATAACGTCTGTGGTAGTCTCAAAATTTTAACTCCAGTCCAACCATGACAAAAGCATCAGACAGACACACAAGGCATATTCTATAAAATACCTAGCTAGTACTCTTCAAAAGTATCAAGATCATGAAAAGCCAGGGAAGACTAAGACCGGGTCACAGAATAGAGCAAACTAAGGAGACACAATGACTAGATGCAACTCAGGATCATGGATGGGTTCAGGAACAGGAAAAGGACTTTAGTGGAAAAGCTGGTGAAATATGACTGAAGTCTGGAATGCAGTCAAAAGGACTTTAGTGGAAAAGCTGGTGAAATATGACTGAAGTCTGGAATGCAGTCAGTAGTAATGTACAAATGGTAAATTCTTAGTTTAAACTAATGTCCCCAGTGAGATGCAAATAACAGGGGAAACAGAGTGGAAGAGAATTCTATGTACGTTTTCACAACTCTTCAGTACAGCTACATTTATTCCAATGTTTACAGTTTCTCTTTTAAAAATGGAGAATCTCCCTCTCCCTCTCCCTCTCCCTCTCCCTCTCCCTCTCCCTCTCCCTCTCCCTCTCCCTCTGCCTCTCCCTCTCCCTCTCCCTCTCCCTCTCCCTCTCCCTCTCCCTCCACGGTCTCCTTCCACGGTCTCCCTCTGATGCCGAGCCAAGGCTGGACGGTGCTGCTGCCATCTCGGCTCGCTGCAGCCTCCCTGCCTGATTCTCCTGCCTCAGCCTGCCGGGTGCCTGCGCACGCCGCCACGCCTGACTGGTTTTCGGTTTTTTTTTGGTGGAGACGGGGTTTTGCTGTGTTGGCCGGGCTGGTCTCCAGCTCCTAACCGCGAGTGATCCGCCAGCCTCGGCCTCCCGAGGTGCCGGGATTGCAGACGGAGTCTTGTTCACTCGGTGCTCAATGGTGCCCAGGCTGGAGTGCAGTGGCGTGATCTCGGCTCGCTACAGCCTCCACCTCCCAACCGCCTGCCTTGGCCCCCCAAAGTGCCGAGATTGCAGCCTCTGCCCAGCCACCACCCCGTCTGGGAAGTGGGGAGCGTCTCTGCCTGGCCCCCCATCGTCTGGGATACGGGGAGCCTCTCTGCCTGGCTGCCCAGTCTGGAAGGTGAGGAGCGTCTCTGCCCGGCCGCCATCCCATCTAGGAAGCGAGGAGCACCTCTTCCCCGCCGCCATCCCATCTAGGAAGTGAGGAGCGTCTCTGCCCCGCCGCCCTGTCTGGGATGTGAGGAGCGCCTCTGCTGGGCCGCAACCCTGTCTGGGAGGTGAGGAGCGTCTCTGCCCGGCCGCCCCGTCTGAGAAGTGAGGAAACCCTCTGCCTGGCAACCGCCCCGTCTGAGAAGTGAGGAGCCCCTCCGTCCGGCAGCCACCCCGTCTGGGAAGTGAGGAGCGTCTCCGCCCGGCAGCCACCCCGTCCGGGAGGGAGGTGGGGGGGGGTCAGCCCCCCGCCCGGCCAGCCGCCCCGTCCGGGAGGTGAGGGGCTCCTCTGCCCGGCCGCCCCTACTGGGAAGTGAGGAGCCCCTCTGCCCGGCCAGCCGCCCCGTCCGAGAGGGAGGTGGTGGGGGTCAGCCCCCCGCCCGGCCAGCCGCCCCGTCCGGGAGGTGAGGGGCGCCTCTGCCCGGCCGCCCCTACTGGGAAGTGAGGAGCCCCTCTGCCCGGCCAGCCGCCCCGTCCAGGAGGGAGGTGGGGGGGTCAGCCCCCTGCCCGGCCGGCCGCCCCGTCCGGGAGGTGAGGGGCGCCTCTGCCCGGCCGCCCCTACTGGGAAGTGAGGACCCCTCTGCCCGGCCAGCCGCCCCGTCCAGGAGGGAGGTGGGGGGGGTCAGCCCCCCGCCCGGCCAGCCGCCCCGTCCGGGAGGGAGGTGGGGGGGTCAGCCCCCTGCCCAGCCAGCCGCCCCGTCCGGGAGGGAGGTGGGGGGGTCAGCCCCCCGCCCGGCCAGCCGCCCCGTCCGGGAGGGAGGTGGGGGGATCAGTCCCCCGCCTGGCCAGCCGCCCCGTCCGGGAGGTGAGGGGCGCCTCTGCCCGGCCGCCCCTACTGGGAAGTGAGGACCCCTCTGCCCGGCCAGCCGCCCCGTCCGGGAGGGAGGTGGGGGGGTCAGCCCCCCGCCCGGCCAGCCGCCCTATCCAGGAGGTGAGGGGCGCCTCTGCCCGGCCGCCCCTACTGGGAAGTGAGGAGCCCCTCTGCCCGGCCAGGACCCCGTCTGGGAGGTGTGCCCAGCGGCTCATTGGGGATGGGCCATGATGACAATGGCGGTTTTGTGGAATAGAAAGGCGGGAAGGGTGGGGAAAAAATTGAGAAATCGGATGGTTGCCGGGTCTGTGTGGATAGAAGTAGACATGGGAGACTTTTCATTTTGTTCTGTACTAAGAAAAATTCTTCTGCCTTGGGATCCTGTTGATCTGTGACCTTATCCCCAACCCTGTGCTCTCTGAAACATGTGCTGTGTCCACTCAGGGTTAAATGGATTAAGTGCGGTGCAAGATGTGCTTTGTTAAACAGATGCTTGAAGGCAGCGTGCTCCTTAAGAGTCATCACCACTCCCTAATCTTAAGTACCCAGGGACACAAACACTGCGGAAGGCCGCAGGGTCCTCTGCCTAGGAAAACCAGAGACCTTTGTTCACTTGTTTATCTGCTGACCTTCCCTCCACTATTGTCCTATGACCCTGCCAAATCCCCCTCTGCGAGAAACACCCAAGAATGATCAATAAAAAAAAAAAAAAAAAAAAATGGAGAATATTTGATCATTAAAGAAATTTTATTCGCATAAGAAAAAGCTACTATGTTTCTGTTAATATCAATCTATTGTATGGTTTCTATCGAAAAATGGCTGTCCATCAGGTTTGAAATAACCCTTTGGAAATTGTTTATTTGGTAAAACTTAGTTTCCTCTGTTCACAAGTGAGGTAATGAGACACAGTCAAAAGAACATTTCACTGTGGAACTTGGTTGCCACAGTCAAAAACATTGGAGGAGTTGTACTAGATTTACTTTTAATTGCCTACCCGCTCTAAAATGTTATGATTCACTTGAACAAATCATACCATGAGTATGAAAAACAAAAATCTTTTAAAATTAATTTGAGAATATCATTTGTCTGGCTGAGGCAAGAGGAACTGAGGTGCAGCTGAACTGTTGATATGCTATTGTTTCTTCACCTTATCTAAAAAGTAACAATAAGGGAGGGTGCTCTGGAAACTTGGCAGGGCAGTCTGGAAATGCTGGGATGGTGATTCTGGGAGGCAAATCTACGAAACAGCAATGGCTTTTAAAGCCAAAAAAAAATGGGGGAAATATATTCATGCAGAGAATGGCCTAAGGCAAGAGCCGTAAAGACAAGCTATGCAAAAGGATGAGGCACTTGGTCAGGCACTGTCTGCTCCTGGCTGTTAAGAAGGCCAGGGCAGAGGCAAGCCCAGCTCAGGGAATTCTCTGGGACTCCAGCTGCATAAACAATGCATCATGGGAGAAAGGCTGGAGCTTTAAGATAAGACAGAACCCTGAGTTCCCAATAGGAAAGAACCCTCCTTTTCCAGTGATGATTGTAGTAAGATAAATGATTTAATCTAAAACTGGAGGTAGAAAATGAGAGTAAACCAGCAAGGATAATGACCTCAATGACTGGATTACAGGAAAAGCCAGCCTTTCACCAGAAGGATGGAGTGTCTGAAAAAGTGATTCATGCTCTGAACCAGTGCCCAGTGAATAATATGAGACCAAGTATCAGCATATAATTACCTAGTGGGTACAGAGCTGTTACCCCAGGTTCCCTTAGATACTCTAAAATAATCTTTGCAAATTTAAAACAATTTACTTCACTGTGGATTGAAAGAGGGAAAGAGGAAAGGCACCCATGAAGCGTAAATGTTTATCTTTGAAAGATTAATTCTTCCTGACCAACAGAGGAGTAAGGCTGCCCAGGCTCATGCCTGTGAAACGTGGGCACCCCTGGAAACCAAGTTTTATCACATGATCCCAGAAAAAGTTTGAGTGTCTCATCCAAAAGCACCTAATGGCTATTTTGGGGGATACAGACTATGAGACTATGGGCAGAGCACTATGCCTGGAAAACACAAAAAGAAGAAAATAAAATCCTGCTCTTGAAGAGGCAATGATGTAAGGGTTGAGTCAAATATGTTTAATAGAAATGCATTATGCCTTTCTATCATAAGGTGACTATCCTTTTTTTTTTTTTTTTTTTGAGATGAAGTTTCGCTTTTGTTGCCCAGGTTGGAGTGCAATGGCGCGATCTCGGCTCACTGCAACCTCTGCCTCCCATTCAGGTGATTCTCCTGCCTCAGCCTCCTGAGTGGCTGGGATTACAGGCATGAGCCACCATGCCCGGCTAATTTTGCATTTTTAGTAGAGACAGGGTTTCTCCATGTTGGTCAGACTGGTCTCGAACTCCCGACCTCAGGTGATCCACCCGCCTTGGCCTCCCAAAGTGCTGGGATTACAGGTGTGAGCCACCATGCCCGGCCCATTTGTTTAATGACTTAAAATGCTTTTACATTTATTCTCTGGAAATATTTCAGGGCTCACAAAACCTCGTGTGGTAGTCATTGTTCTTGTTATTAGCCACTTCTACTCCCATTAGCCAATGACAGATGTCCTCTGAGGCTCGAAGCAGGTAGGTGACCTACTTAAGATGACACAGGCAGCAAGCAGTACAGTCAAAACCTGAACCTCATGCTTTTTCCTGCTACAAATACAGATTTGTTGTCCCAGTCTGCTTTTAGAATTTTTCTCTTTGTCTTTAATACCCTATAGTTCACCAAAGAGTGTCTAGTGGTGGATGTGGTTGTTATTTACCATCACTACTCTGAACTCAGTGTGCCTCTTCCACCTGGGGAAGAGTGTTTTTCCTCAGTTTAGCAAGTTCTCACCCACATTCCTCCACATATGGCCTCTATTCCAGTCTCCCTAGCCTTTCCTTCTAGAATTCAGTTAGACACTGCGGGACCTTCTCAGCCTGTCCTCCAAGCTTTTCATGACTCATCCAAATTCTTCTTCTTTGTATCTCTCTGTGCTATATTCTGGGTGGTTTCCTCAGATCTCTCCTCCAGAGCCCTAATTCTCTCCTCATCTTTACACAATGTGCTAGCTCATTCTTTTCAGAATCTACCTTTATTCACACTATCTGTCCTTCCATTAGGGTTTCTCTACCCTCTTATCTTTTGGGTCATTTCACACACACTTCCTGCATTGTCTCTGGCAGGTTGTTCCTGAATACTAGTAGCCTACGTGTCCCCTCAAGGTAGCTTCATTCTAAGTCCATCCTCAGTGGAAACTATTTACTGCAAGAAGACCTCACTTGCCCAGGGTTAGGAGAGTATCCCTACTGAGTGATTTTGCATGTGTTTCCAATGGGTAGTTTGTCTTCCACATTCTGCGCAAATTTCTCTACTTGGGGAGAAATCTGGATCTCTTATAAAGTGACCAATTTAACTCAAAGGACATTTTTTTGTGCATGTCAGTTTCTCTGCAAGGATCTCAGTCTAGAGAAAATGAAATAAATAAAACATTCCCATAAGAGATATTGTAAATAAAATGCCTATCCCAGAGAGTAAAACATGGTAAATATTAACCCAATGCTAACTGTCTCCCTTTTCCATTGCAGTAAGCAGCAATCTTCACTTGGGCTGGTGCTCTGAGAATCCCTCCGTCTCTCTCCAGCTTTTAATCCTTTATTAAGGCCGTTTTTCACCATTATGAGAATGAATGGTTATACATTGTTCAAAATAAATGCCATTTTAAAATTATTTTTATTATTATAATTATGTACCAATTATGAAATTGATTTGGGCAAGCTTTTAATGACTAGTTTTAGCTTTCTGTGATTCTCTATAGATTCCATTAATCCTTCTTTTGTAAGAGTTGAGTTATAATCAATCTCTTACTAGGATCAATTTCTCATTTGAGGAAATTATCAAGCTATTTCAAAAATTATACTTAGGAGTTCTAAGACAATTGTCAGTTATTACACACCATAAAATTGCTATTTTAAAAAGTAAGCTAACACATCATTGCCACACTCCTGGAGAGTTTACAAAGATAAATTAAAAATCTAACAATGCAACACTATAACATTTATAACTGTCAGAGAAGTATATAAATAAATACTGTTCAGCTGCATTTACTGGCTTGACAAGTAGCCTTTCACAGTTAATTACCAAGATTTCCTTTTAACAGATAGACCATTGTCTGGCAAAACAAAAATCAAAACTATTCTTTCATTGTAAATCCCTCAATATGTAAAAGAAAAACAATGGAAAAATTGTTGAAAGAATTTTCAGTGAACATATTTATATCTGAAAGTTTCACATTGAATAAAGTTTTAACATTACTTACTTTGAGACATAAAAATAATCCTCCCTCTTAGCTCACACAATTAAAAAAATATATGTATTTCTTACCTCTGAACTTCTTGGGAGGGTTGGCAAGGTCCCCGGCCTCTGGGTGCACCACACATCTGTCATCCACTAACCTAGAAGGAAAAGCATGTTTACATTGTTAACATCCTTGTCATATTCATAAACCACAGACTGCACATGGATATTGCATAAATATTTACCAAAAGTTTTAATACCTTTCTTCACTAAGTAACTTTTTAACAATCATGGGTCTGTAAAAAGATTTGGTTGTAGAGATGTTAATTAAAGCCTGGTTTATGAAATTGAAACATTGGAAACATTGTTAAGAGGTAGGAAACTAGTTAGATAACTCATGACATGGAACACTGCGGAGCTGTTTAAAACTACATTAAACAAAATGCACTGGCCTGCAAAATGTTTACAGTATGTAGTGAATGTAGTGGTAACCAATCAATAAGATACATATATGCTTACACACACACACACACACACACACACACACACTTCTACACATACATATATAAGGAATGGAACACAGCAAAACATTAAGAGTGGTCAGATTACCCATAGTTTTTATTTTCCTGTCTTTTATTTTTCCCGGTGTGTATGTATGTTTTACAGGGAATGTGTAAGCTTATGAGATCAGGCTTCTGGAGTGCCCATAGAGTAGGTGGTTATGCCTTCCTGGCCTGCATTCAATCTCTGGCTTGGCCACTTCCTAGCTAGGTGACTTCAGGCCTCCTTCTTTATACCTAAACAATAAGGATAAAAATATCTACCTCACAGTATTGTTAGAAAGATTAAATGACTTAGTATTTTTAAAGTACCTAGTACAACTTCTGGCAGTTTCCATTTAATGGACAAATAAAATCAAGAATCTTGTGTCTTCACATATTCTCTGCTTCTAGAAGAGTGCCTGACACACTACAAGTGCTCAACAAATATAAGTAAAATGAATAAACTGCCTTTGTAGCTACAACAACATGTTTAATCTCTATTAAAATATTTATGAGAAGACAATTTGTAGGACAATTTCAAGACAGAGAAGCTGAATCTCTGAACCGAGAGCCAGGAGACATGAATCCCCTGTTCAAAGAGAAAGATCTCTTAATACCAGACTCACTAACATTCATTTCTCCATTGGTTACGTGGTGTGAATACCCAGGTTTTTTTCCAGAATATTGTGAGAATGCATGTTAATTAATTACATGTATATGAATTCATTTAAAGGGAGATGCCCAAATTGCAACCTTGTGGTTTAAAAAAAAAAAAGAAGAAGAGGAAGTATTAACCAGACTCACTAGCATGCATCAACTCCAGCACAGGAGTTGAACTAGGATGACTGACTTAATCAAAATGAAACTTTTGGTTCCTAGTTTATCTAGTTACTGGAAGCAGACACTTCCTAAATCAACAGATTTTTCTGTGGAATCCAATTTCCACAAAACAAAATGCTGATTTGGTCAAGAAATACAGTTCCTTGATTTTTTTAATATACCCTTCATTCACACTGGTTTACTAAAATGTGGTTTTACAAGAGCTGCCAGGCATGCAAGAAATTCCTTTTAAGAGTCTCTAGAAACTGATTTATTAGAAACAGGAAGTCACATTGGGTCAAGAGAAAGCAAACCCAAACTTCCACAATGTCCAACTTCAGCCTGTAACATTGAATCTGAAAGGCTCCAATAGTTGTGATAATATTACAACGTAAGATGTAAATAAAAGTGCTGTGAGGGAAAGGTCAGCTTTTCTAATTGGTTAAGACATGTTAAGAATTCAAATACAATGGTCAAAAAATCATAGTCTTATTTACAGCACATAAAAATTACATAATGTAAAAATTACAAATGACACTGACATTCTATTCATTCCTTGTACCTGTGCATTCCCACAAAAATACAGACTTTTATGAATGTCACTGAGTCCCCGCCTGTGTGGACCAGCCATCAAGAGGAATGAGAACTGAAGCTATAAATCAGATGACAGTGTATTTATGTGAACACTAATATCTATCCTCAATTATCTGATAGCCCAGATAAAAACATAATAATTAAGAGTGACTTCAGTTCTAAAAATTTGTCCTATTCCTTACACAAAAACATCTGTGAAAATCACTAAGGCAGTCATTTCATCCTGAAGACTTAAAGAATTGGAACTGAATTTGAAGATAATGGAAGGAAGGAAACGACAAGAAGAAGCAAGGAGTCTGAATCTGTTACAAGACATATATGATCACTGGCATTAAAAGTCAAACAGGATTTTAATGGTAATTGGAATCCTGTTTGACTTTTAATGCCAAAATCCTGGAACAACTTCTACAATATCCCCAACAACCTCTTCTTGAATACTTCCAAGGCCAACTCATCTACCATTTACCATCATTCTGACAGCCCTAATATTAGAAATGTGTTTTATATGGAGGTAAAATAGTACTTACTACATTTTCTTCTATCTACTTGCCTAATTGTCTTGAGTCTTCCAATAAATTTTAAGCTCCATGAAGTCAGAGATTGAATCCATCTTGTTTACCATTATATCCTTGGCATCTACTAGAATGAGGTGCAATAGATACTAAATAAATATTTGTTAAATAAATAAATGAGTCAGTGAATAAATGATGTTGGCTTCCCAATTAACTCTCCCTCTTTGTTCCCAGTTCTTTCTTCTGGGACTATATAGACTAAGTTTTCTTTTTCTGAGATGGGCAAGCTGATTTCTCTCCAGTGCTTCTCCATGTGGATATTTACCAGGAGTTCAACATCCTTCATACACCCCAAGTGCCAGCATCCTCTCACCTGTGATCCTAGAGACTATCCACATGAGTCTAGATGTGCCCCAACGAGGGCAGAGTACAGAGGACTATTACCTCCTTCTTTCTGATACTAAACTTACAGAAATGCAACCTACAATTTTAGTAGCTCCTGTGGCAGTTAAGGTTCCCCTCTGACTTTCATTGGGTTTATAGTAAACAATAATTCCAGATCCTTTTCATGTGTACCACTGATAAGCCAGGTTCTCCCACCCACCAGTAGGGCAGTTAACTTTTATAAGCTAAGGACCAGAATTTACAACCAAATAGGGATAAATACAAAGATTGACCTTTGGTCTATGAGAAGAAAATCATCTGAAAAACATTGATCTATTCCATCCCTAGTTAACTCATTTAGACCATGTCATAATTTTGCCCATTTTAACCACTCATGATCAGTGTTCCCCAAATTTGGCTGAATCATTTGGGGAGTTAAAAATAATAAGGATAACCAAAAAAAAACCTTCCTTTGTCCAGACCTATTAGAATAAAACTTTCTGGGGACGAGGACTGTGTGTTTTAAAAAGCTTTCTAACCCTCTTTAAATTGAGTAGGAGGATCTGCTCTGCACTCCCACAATACTCTAGGCTATCCTCTACCAATAGACTGTATCACAGCCCAGTATAATTTTATAATTTCATGTATATATATATGCAACATCATTATAAGCTCCAAGAGAGTCAGTCCATTTCTGTCTTACTCACCATTATAGGGCCATCTTTAAGCATTATGCTTAAAATATAGATGGTGCTAAATAATTAATTGATGAATGATTAAAGTGACATTTAAAATCAGTGATGCTATTTTTGGTAGTTAACATAAACAATAAAATAACTAGAAGCAATAAACAGTCAACTAATAGGAGACGAAAGAGAGATTTGGAAATATTCCCTATGTAGGTATGTCCCAGAAAATTATCAAAAATATCATATCCTGAAAAAGGCCAAGAGAGCCTGCCCTAAAAAACAATATCTCAGGTAGCACCTTTCAATCCAATCCATCAGTGCACATCTTAATGGGCTACATTTATTTTTCTTAGAACTAACTAGTGAGTAAGCCAAACAGGCAATTATAGCAATAGCCTAAAATTCTCAATTTTTTTACTAAAACTCATCTAACATAAAACCTGTTGTTTTTCCTACCTATCTTCTCTTCATAAGGTCATAACTGTAAATTATTTGTTCAAATTTACTTACAAGAAAAAAATCACTCAACAATTAGATCTTCGAAAGTATAAGGAAAATTTAATAGCTACTTTGATTTTATACATAAGTATGAATTTTGTAAATGTGAATGGAATTTTAACTGGACATAACAAGAGTCTTAAAAATTCTGTGAGAAGTGTAATATCTACATGAAAAAGTTACGTTTATGCATTAAATTCAAGTCCACTGATACTTTGTCAAAAATAAAGTATACTATTAATTATTTTCACAAATGCCAACAGTCAAGAGAAAATGCATCGTTTTCTTATCTATTTTCTACGTTTTTATTGTTTAAGACACTTTATTGCTGTCCATGTCCAGAAATATAAATGAAATCCATCCATCCAACCTGGCTTCAATCTATAGAAATTAACTGAAATCCATCCTTTGAACACATCTTCAAGTTTCATTTCTTCACTGAAGCTATATTCCCCGTGATGAGATATTCTTCTGTGAATTCCCAGAGCAATTTTAAGTATCTTCTAGTTTACAAGATATAAGTATGACATACACATTAGTCTTATCTTCCCAACCAAATGACAACTATAATCTATCAATCACTGATTGCATGCCACATACTGCTCTATATGTTTATAAACATAATTACTAATTTCCAAACAATTTTGCAAAATATTTTTCTCTTGCAGATTAGAGAGATCAAATGATATGGTGGAGATGACAGCTCAAGAGCAAAGCCAAGATTTGGACCCAGATCTACAAGACCAAAGACTTGGCTCCCTCCTTCTGTTCTACCAGGCTGAACTTGTATTCTCTTACATATCCACATACTCTGCTTTCCAAGTATACATGCATGGTAAAATAATGGAGATGTAGTAGACACTCCAATATTTTTTACTGAAATGCTAACTGACTTTTGTCGATGTCTATTCCAGCTTTAGCATCTCATAATTCTATAATTCCATTTTTATAGTATCTAAAATTAGAAAGCACAATTGTATACTGAAGTATTTTATAAACATCATTAATTTGCATAATGCCTTCCTGATTTGTGCCATATCTAGAAACTCAACACCAAAACACATTAAGGTAAGGAAAGGATGAACTATTAAATGATGTTAGGATAATTAGTTGTCTATTTGGGGAAAAATGACATAATCCCTTCTTCACATAAGAAGTTAATACCACATGAATTAAAGCCTCAAATGTGATAAGTAAAACTATAAAACGTGTAGAATACATGGATGATGATATTTATGAATCGGAGAGTAGAAAAAATTATTTAAGCCAGACTAAACAAAAAGGACAAAACATAAAAGACCGATAAGTTTGTCTACATTAAAAGTAAGACTTCCATCCACCTAAGGACAATATAGACAATATAAAGGACAAAACGTAAAAGACCGATAAGTTTGTCTACATTAAAAGTAAGACTTCCATCCACCTAAGGACAATATAGACAATATAAAGGACAAAACGTAAAAGACCGATAAGTTTGTCTACATTAAAAGTAAGACTTCCATCCACCCAAGGACAATATAAAGAGACAGAAGAGTCACAAGGCCACTGCTATGCTTGTGCATTTGTAGAAGCATATTATAAAAAGGGTGGTAGCATCCAGGCATGGTGGTTCAGGCCTGCAATCCCAGCACTTTGGGAGGCTGAGGTGGGCAGATCATCCGAGGTCAGGAGTTCAAGACCAGCATGGTCAATATAGCAAAACCCTATCGCTACAAAAAAATACAAAAATTAGCAGGGCGTGGTGGCACGACCTGTAATCCCAGCTACTCTGGAGACTGAGGCGGGAGAATCGCTTAAACCCAGGAGGCAGAGGTTGCAGTGAGCCCAGATCACGCCACTGCACCCCAGCTTGCGCAACAGAGCGAGACTCTGTTTCCAAAAACAAAAAAAAAGGGGGGGGGGGCAACACACAAAATCAGTTCTGAAATGTGGTCTATGTTCCACTGTTGAAGCCATATACAGTGGCACAAGCTGCACCTGCCCAGAAATAATGGTATGTTTGCACAAGAGAACAGCCTGTGCAGCCAACAGAGGCCTTTTTTCTCATTCATACAAAGAAGCCATAAATACTAATGGCATCCCTTAACACACAAGTTACAAACTAGAATATATTTGCTACAAAGGCTTAGTATCAGAAATTTATAAGGAATGTCTATGAATCAATAAGAAAAAGACAACCAAACAGAAAAATGCAAAATAACCCAGGAATAAGCCTGAGGAACCACTAATATCTTTTAGAAGTCCGATAAAATGTTCAACTTCATTTGTAATCAGAAAAAAATTTAAGTCAAATGAAAATCTTACTACATATCCAACAAATTGGTAAAAAGTAAGGTAAGAAAAAAATTGAAATGTTAGTAAGGTTTTGAATGAATGCAAATTTTCATTCACTGCTATAGAGAGTAGAAATTAGAACAAGCAATTTGGAAAAAATGTGACATTTAAAAGTTGAACACGGGCATGCCCTTCCATTCACCATTTCTATTTCTAGACACATATATGCTCTACAGAAATCTTACAAACTTGCATCTGAAGACATGTACGAACAAGAGTGTTCACGGCAAAACTGTTTATGATAGCAACAACTGAAAAAAAACAAAATTTTCATTAACAGTAACATGGATAAAGAAGTTATGACTAGGCCAGGCGTGGCAGCTCACACCTGTAATCCCAGCACTTTGGGAGGCTGAGGCGGGTGGATTGCCTGAGGTCAGGAGTTCGAGACCAGTCTGGCCAACATGGTGAAACCACCCCCGTCTCTACTAAAAATACAAAAACAATCAGCTGGGCATGGTGGTACGCACCTGTAATCCCAGCTACTCGGGAGGCTGAGGCAGGGGAATTGCTTGAACCAAGGAGGTGGAGGTTGCAGTGAGCTGATATCACGCCACTGCCCTCTAGTCCGGGCGACAGAATGAGACTCTGTCTCAAAAAAAAATCAAAAGGTATGACTAAATGAATAATTTCATACAGTAGAAAACTACCAAAAAAATGAATAAATTGTACTGCATGCAACAACACTAAAAATCTCAAAAACATAAAGTTGAGCTTTAAAAAAAGCGAATCCAAAAACAACAAATGTTATATAATTCCATTATATAGATGCATATATAGGCTACACTAAACAGCATATATTTTAGGAATACACATGGGGTATAAAAAATTAATGTATAAAATATGTGGCTATCAGATTTTTAAATAGATTTCTAAAAGAAAGCAAATAATTCCTTTGTCTCCAGTCCCTCATTATTCCAACAACTACAAAGAAAATGCCACATAACTGATAAAATATTAGTTGTATCTTTTCTCTGATGAAGCCATAAATGCTATTTCCATCTGGAATATATTATAAAATCAGCATATTATTTTCCTGATGTTTGTTTACCACATATATCTGATTCATTTACCACTAAGTGATATAGTTCATTTCTAACAAAATGGCTCTGAAATGCATTTAAATAAAATGAATTTGGGGAAAGAGAGAAGGTGGGGCATCCACAATTGACATTACTAAAAGCTTTTACTAGAGAGGGGGTTAAGATGGTGGATAGATTCATAAGCATCATGGAATTGTCTTTTTTTTTTTTTTTTTTTTTTTTTTGAGATGGAGTTTTGTTCTTGTTGCCCAGGCTGGAGTGCAATGGTGCAATCTTGGCTCACTGCAACCCCTGCCTCCCAGATTCACATGACTCTCCTGTCTCAGCCTCCCGAGTAGCTGGGATTACAGGTGCACACTACCACACCCGGCTAATTTTTGTATTTTTAGTAGAGATGGGGTTTCATCTCGTTGGTCAGGCTGGTCTCAAACTCCTGACCTCTGGTGATCCGCCCACCTCGGCCTCCCAAAGTGCTGGGATTACAGGTGTGAGCCACTGCGCCCAGCAGAATTGTCTTTAAAAGAACTTTCAGAACTTTATCACAAATAACTTGATCCCCC
Source organism: Homo sapiens (assembly GCF_000001405.40). Taxonomy (NCBI): domain Eukaryota; kingdom Metazoa; phylum Chordata; class Mammalia; order Primates; family Hominidae; genus Homo; species Homo sapiens. The sequence continues at coordinate 26,798,045 of NC_000012.12, forward strand.
AACGCTGGGATTTTCACTCTGCTTGACTACATGAATTTCTCCCTCAGCTGCAATCTTCTGGCTTCTCACCTAAACTGTCCCTCCACCCCATCAATCTATCACAGGCCCCCACAACCCTGGCACGTCATTCAACTCCCTCTTTCACCTGCACTTAGAAGCAGCAGTAGAAGAGAAGAAAAAAACCTGACTTCTCATCCTTGACCAGCTGTGTTTATGCTAGTTACTGAACTTCACTGTGCCGCATTTTTGAAATGGGGCAGCTGTGTTCCCACACGTTCCTCGTATTTCTGTGGTTTCTTGTTTCTCTGCTCCTGTTTTGTGACTAGAGTTGGCTTGTCATCCTTCACTAGCGCCCTCTGACATGTATCATAATTTATACACTGTAGTTTGAAAGTTTAAGTGTTTAGCATCTATTTTTTTGAAGCTTACAAATTATTTTATCATTACAAGCTAAATACCAGCACTAAGTGGTTTTGTTCCATTCATTCACCGTAGTCTTAGAACACATTATTTTTAAAATGTAATATCTTGCTATTTAGTAATATGCACATTTTTTAACTTAGCCAACACTCAAGTTGCCCAAATAAGAAGTAGATCCCAAGGATGTTAATTCATGTTTGTATGGTAATTAATTTTTCTCATAATCCAGAATAACTTAAACAGAAATAGAAGTTTCTACAAATGTCCAGTTTTCCACCTTATATCTGACAGGTCCTATGGCCACTCCTGTACAAGGCCATAAATAATTCAAATCATTCAAAGAAGGAAGTAATTTCATTGCAAAACTTTCTGCCAAAATGTTTTCTAACTTATAAATGCAAAACAGATGCAACATGCCACATTCATTCATGGCTACACTCATATTTTGCCTGTCTATGATGACAAGAGGAGTTAAGTGCACCTTTGTTTGCCATTTGAAATGTGTGGTTTTATTGATTTTTAAATTTAAACAAATAAATTTAGCATTATCTCCTATTTTTAGACATGTCTAATTTCAATAATGTTGACAAACATATATTTTGGTTTAAATATTAAAAGTATGTTTAATTCCATATATAAGTTTTCAATCAAGCATAGGTTTGTTGCTGCCAATATTTCTAAAACTGGTTTCACTCAGAGTTAGAATTGTGCTTGCTCTTAGGTATTCAAAATATTCCCACTTATTTTTCCATGAAAGACATAATTAACCTATACCCACACATAAATTACAGTATAAACACTAAACTTTGAAGTACTACTAAAAATACTGGATGAATCCATACATTTAAAATGTTTTGATGAATGCTATCACCCTGACCAAATGATTTAATTTAACTATTAACTACCTTTTTAAAATATGGGTATCACATGACTACAAGGAGAATGCTATTTCCAACATATTAATCTTTTCATAAAGCACTGCAAGAAGCCATCATCTTGTGAAGCGATTATCTTCAGAGTATCAGTACTGGTGAAACTAAGGGGAAAAACAACTAAAAGAGTTACACATAGCCTTTCAAAGAGAAACACATCTATCTGACAATGATTTCAGAGAGGATTTGCCCGTATATTTTGAAAGCTTACAGTCCTAATCCAGCCAAAGAAAAATCATCGTGACTTTTTCTTCTGGGCTTCTCTTTCTCCATCTAAAATAACTTCCTTTTCTTGATCCTCTTGACCCTGCCTCCTCAACCTCTTTGAACCCAGTGTTATTGCAAGTCAGTTTGTGAAGCATTTTGTCTGAGCTTGTCCATTACAGTTCTCATGAAAGTCAAAGCATCTGCAAAGTACTTTTCTCAGAATATAAACAGGCATCTCTACCAGTTGAGATCAATTATTTAGTGGTGGCTGAGCTGACCTTAACTACTACCAGTTCTCAATCACCTGCAAAGAGCCAGAAAATCATTGGTGCTAGAAAAAGTGACTCACTAGACAAGTTCAGGTCCAGATCTTTACCACCATCACACTGTCATTCCTATCTGAGTTTTCACCACCTGGTTGACACCAATTTGCAGGTGCTCTCAGGAAAAAAGGCCATACAAATCAGAAACCCACCTAGTCTCACTCTCTTCTTCCAAGTACAGACACCTCCCCCACCCCAGGTTTCTGTCTGCTTTTGGTCACTCTCCAGTGGCTACACATAGCTGTTTTTTATATTTTGTCCAGAATTTACAGTTGTGATCAAGAAAAAACTTTCCATTCAAAAAAAAAAGACCAAAAAAAGTTTTATACTTGATATACTACAGATTAAATTCAAAGAAATATGAACTCAAATATTTTAAAAATTACTAATAACACAAGGAAACAAGTTACTATGCATGAGTCACCAAAAACAACAACAAATATTGTAATTATCAACTAAAAAATATAAAATAACTATTATGAAATGTTTAAAGAAATGGAAGATAAATTTTATAAACAGGGCAAGGAGGAAGAACACATCAAAAATGGTCAGATAGCTTGGCATGGTGGTACACCCCTGTAGTCCCAGCTACTTGGGAGGCTGAGGCAGGGGGATTTCTTGAGCCCAGGAGTCTGAGTTGAGCCTGGGCAACATAGCAAGACCCTATCATTTTAAAAAATATGGCCAGATAGATTTAGTAAAGAATTCCTAGGAATGAAAAATAATTATTGAATAAGTAAGTGGACTGAAGACAGTAAATCAGACACAGCTAATTAATATCTTAGAAGAAAGGTTTTAATAATTTCTTGGAATGAAGCAGAGGACAACAAGGATAGAGAAGATACAAAAGAAGGTTAAGGTATATAAAGGGCTGGATGAGAAGGTTACCATGCATATATAGTTAGCATCCATAGCCATTGTGGCTATGGATGGGTTCGCCTTGGGTGGAGGCCTGGAGCTTGCCCTGGCCTGCGACCTCCAAGTGGCAGCTTCCTCGAAAGTCATGGAACTGATTGAGAGACCACTCGAGGGCTCCTCCCAGGGACAGGAGGTACTCAGAGGCTGCCACACTGCCTGGGGGTGGCCCTGGTGAAGGAGCTCATCTTCACAGGCTGACGACTGAGTGGGCACTGGGGTTGGTGAATCATGCTGTGGCCTAAAACGAGGAGGGTGATGTCACCTACCACTGGGCACAAGCACTGGCCCAGGAGGTCCTGCCCCAGGTCCCCATTGCCATGCAGCTGGGCAAAGTAGCCACTGACCAAGGCATGGACGTGGACATTGCATCAGGGATGGCCACTGAAGGGATATTTTATGCCCAGAACATTCCAACCTGGGACTGGCTGGAAACATGGCAGAGAGAACCAACCCCCAAAATTTGTTGGCAAATGATCCCCATTTAACCTTCAGCATGGGAGATACACACCTTGAAACAACAGGATCCAGAAGGAAAATTTGCATCAGGACTGCCCTCATCATTTCATCTCTCTGGGCTTCGGTTCCTCCATAAGGATGATGATAGATATGATATGATTGGCATTATGCCTGGAACCAAGATGCTGACCATACCACCTACTGCTACCTTCCTTGATGTCACCCTAGGGTTGGGTTTGCTTTGGAGGATGCCTGTCTCTCTCTACTCAAATGAAGAAGAATTAAAATAGATCCCTCTGGGTCTTTGTATCATTGGTTCTCAGGCCCTGACCTCTCTCTCAGTCATCAGGCGCTAACTAGAGATGTCAAGAGATTTTAAGATACCCCTAGTTTTTTCCTCTGGACAATAGAGATAATAAACTCTGGTATTGGTTGTACATGTGCCAAAAGTCAGACTGCAGATGCCAGTTCTTTGCCAGTTACTCACTGTATAACTTTGGACAAATTGTTTAAACTCTGGGCCTCAGCATTCTCATCTGCAAAATGAAACTGCTGTAAGGATTTAACAAAATAAAAATACTTCATGTTAAAAAAAAAAAAAGCTAGATTTTGTAGTTGGATTAAAAAATCCAGCCATAGGCTATTTACAAGAGTCATACCTAGAATATAAGGACAGAACAAAACAAAGCAGGAAAATACTAGCCAAAGGAAGGTATGGGCCAGGGGTAGTAGCTTATGCCTGTAATCCCAGTGCTTTGGGAAGGTGAGGTGAGAGGATCACTTGAGGCAAGGAGTTAAAGATCAGCCTTGGGCAACATTGCAAGACCCTGTCTCTACAAAAAATTTAAAAATTAGCCTGGCATATTGCATGCACCTGTGGTCCCAGCTACTCAAAGGCTGAGGAGGGAGGATCAGTTGAGCCTGGGAAGTGGAGGCTATAAGCAGCTATGATCATGTCACTGCACTCCAGCCTGGGCAACAGAACAAGACCCTGTCTCTAAAAAAAAAATAAAAATAATTTTTAAAAAAGAAAAGTATAGTAGCAGTGATAATATCAGACAAATAGGGCAGGTATGTTGGCTCATGCCTGTAATGCTAGCACTTTGCGAGGCCGAGGCAGGAGGAGCATTTGAGCTCAGGAGTTCAAGACCAGCCTGGGCCACATAGTGAGACTCTGTCTCTTTAAATTAATATACATATCCAACTATTTCCTCCTAGGAATGTTTCTCAACAAACTGCAGAGGAGATATATATATATCTATATATAGATATAGATATAGATATATCTATATATAGATATAGATATAGATATATATAGATATAGATATAGATATACAGATAGATATAGATAGATATCTATATATACATATCAGAAAAATCAAAAAAAGAGAAAAAAGCTTTATTCAGAATAAAGAGAGCCATTACATCATGAGAAGTGTTTCACTGCTTTAAGATATACAAATTCTAAATGTATATGTAACAGCCTCAAAATAAACATAATTTACAAAACTACAGGGAGAAATTAACAATACACTATCTTAGTGGGAGATTTCAACACACTGCTTAATTACTGAAAGGGCAAACTGACAAAATTTGTAAGGATATAAGTTTTGAAACCTGTAATCAACAAGCCTGATCTAATAGACATACATAAAATAGAAAATATATTCTTTTTGAGCATATATGGAATATTAACATACCAGTTTCCTCAACTGTTTTCAGATTATATGGTTTTCATATCCCCATTCTGTTTCTAAAATATAGCCTAAATTTACAGTTTTGGCTTTTAAAAAACTATTATTATCTTGGCTTACACTGAACTTATGTTTAACTAAAAACCCCACACTCACCCATCCTCCAGAGGCTTAGGGTCTCCTATGATCCCACCATATTTGACATGCTATTATTGTATTGTATTATACTTCAAGCTGTTATCTTATTGTATGATACCTCTAACTACATGTCTCCAATAAACAATGAGCTCCTTGGGGACAGTACAGTATATTTTTAATCTTTATCTCCTCAATACCCAGCACAGTGACTGGCATATAGTAAGTGCAAAAAAAAAAAATGTTAAATGAATCCATTGATATTTTAAAGGTAAAGAAAACAAACTGCAGAAGACAAAATGAGGTAAGTGATGATATAGCAGAAAGAAAGATTATAGGTAGGAAAGATGGAGCAAGTATGTAATAATGATATAGCTGTTTGTCCTTGGCTCATACCCTCAGCAAACCATAAAGTAACATTTAATTACATATTCTACAAGTGGATGGCTAGAGGAGACCTCTGAAAATAATCCAGTTAGTAAGAGCTCCTAGACAGAACAGAACATCAGTTAGCCAAAACATTTTTTTCCTTTGAAATCTTCACACTACAATGCAGTCAGTGATTCGTTCTGTAGCCTAAGGACCTGCCTCTTCCCTGTTCCTTTATGCCTCCTTCTTCAAAAAGAGATGAACATGAGAACCAACTACCACTTCCTGACTGATCAGACATAAAAGAGAAACATTCCTAGGAGGAAATAGTTGGCAAGAGAACTTCCCTGGCCAGAAAAACCTCGGGCAACTGTAGACCAATTCCCACAATCATTACAGCATGAGAAACTAGACTCATACTACCAGAAACTTGGAGGCTGTAAATCTGATCATTACACATTATATACAGGTAACAAAATATCACATGTACTCCCAAAATATGTGCAACTATTATATATAAATAAAAAATAAAGAAATAATTTTAAGTTACCTTGTGAAATTTCCAAGCAGATGACTGTTGTTTCTGAGTCAACTAGTAAATAGAATCTTTCTGAGAACTACCAGAAAAGGGAAAAGCTAAAAAACAAAACAACTTCCCATTCCCAGGTAATTCCTTCAGACAGAGCTTCCAACGTTTAACATTGGCTAAATGTGAATAAACATGGGTTTTAGAAAAAAAATACAGTTGTCATTCCAAATTCACACTTTTAATTGGTATGGATGGAATCAATGGGCATACAATCCCTCTTTTAAGACATTTCTGTGCACAAAGAAAATATTCTCAGATTTATTTAGGTTACTGGCAAGGGACTAATTGTGGCTAGAATGACAGATATACCTTCTTCTGGAGAATTTTAATTAAAGTGCAGAGACCTCTCTTTCTGGGAGGGAGTGAGTAAGTCCTTACCCGAAAATAATGAAGCAACCCACATGACCTCTGAAAGCTGAGCAAACCAAGGGTAAAATCAAAAGGAAATAAAAACAAGCAGAAAAGTCTGATGGCTGAAAAGAGCTACATCTGTATGCATTAAATTAAATCATTTCCCTCGCTTATAGGCTGGATATTTTTTCCAACCCCTGGAGGCAGAAATAGTAGTACTCTTAAAGTAGAATTTATAATTAATAATAGATAATGAATTTATCTCTAAATAAAACAGACTCTTATTTATTTTATTTTTATTTATTTATTTATTTTGAGACAAGGTCTCTCTCTGTCACCCAGGCTGGAATGCAGTGCTGCAATCCTGGCTCACTACAACCTTGACCTCCCTGTTCAAGCAATCATCCCACTTCAGCCTCCCTATCAGTTGAGACTACAGGCGTGCACCACCACACCTGGCTAATTTTTGTATTTTTAGTAGAGACGGGGTTTTGCCATGTTGCCTAGGCTGGTCTTGAACTCCTGGGCTCAAGAGATCCACCCACCTCAGCCTCCCAAAGTGCTGGGAATGCAGGCGTGAACCACCGCACCAGGCCAGAGATCCCTAATTCTAATCCCTAATCCTTCAGACAGTGATCATGACCACAAATAAAAATTCGTAAAGAGACATACTGGTTTGTAACCTAATAGGACTAAAATGGGAAAATATAAATTTAACAATATATTTTTCTATTTAAGAGTCTAATATCACAATTGTATCTTTTCCATACTAAATCTGTGATGTTGGGAAAGTCGTTTCTCTGGCCTAACTACAAAATTGAGATAATAATAGTACTAACCTCATAGGGTTTATTTTAAAATTAACTGATTTAATAAAGCAAAATGCTCAGTACAAAGTTATATGCAATAAAGGTTAGCCATCATTATCATCATTATTAATGTTATTTATTCAACACCTGACACCAAGTACATACTCAGTAATGATTGGCTATCGCCATTTTCATCATCATTATTTATTACTGCTTAATTGTTGAAAGAAGTTCACCAGTAAGATAGTCACTTCAGAAAAAAATGAATTTAAATATCTTCACAAAGAAATGTATTCATTCCACAAATATTTACTGACCAGCTACTTTGTGCCAGGCTTGATCTAAGAGCAAACAAAACTAATACTCTTCCAGGAGGGAATGGGGAGGAGACAAATCACAAGCAATAAGCATAGTAAATCCATAAATTACATAGCACGCTAAGGGATAAACACTATAGAAAAAAGGAAACATAAAACACGGCTCTACAGTGGGACCGTGTTCACTATGTTCCAAGACCTGCAAGGAAGCTAATATGGCTGGCAGGAGCCAGGAAGGAGGTAAGTGATTGGCAAGGACATCTGAACCATTAAGGAATGGAAGGCCAGACCTGCAGGGCCTCCCAAGTCATAGGAAACACTCTGGTTTCCATTCTGAGTGAGATGGGAGCATTGGGAGCACAGGTAGCTCAACGTGATCTGGTTTATTTCTAAAAAGATCCCTCTGGCTGCTGGGTTGAGAATAGATAGACTGGTGGGGAAGAGAGAGACAGAAGTGGGAAGACCACTTTGGAAACTAGCACAGCAATCCAGGTAAGAAAAGTGAGGGTCCATAAATATGTTTCTCAAAAGCTATCAATCTCCCAACTAGGGAGCACAGCAGGAAATTTCAGAGGAGATACAAACAGTTGCTCTTTTTTGAGAGCTGTTATATTGATTTTGGAGTGGAATTATATATGGCAATATAGTAATGACCATAAATATAGTGCAGTTAAGTACTTCAGAGCCCGAAAACTAGACCCTGCCTGGCACGGAGTAAACACTGAATATTCACTTACTGAGTTCAGTAAATATGAATGTACTCAACTTCTTGGTGGAAAATGTTATCCAAACATGATTTTTAATAGGAAAAAATAAGACATAGAAAAAGCCTTGAAAAAAAAACAAGAGACTGTGGTTACCCTCTACTCTTACAGTACACTGTTTGTTACACATTAATTTATATTCACTCATCCTTTTTTAAACAAGTATAACTGACCACCCACTGTGTGTCAAGTACCACATTACCTTCTAGTTGAATCCCTTCACTACGTCTTAAGGGGAAAGAGAAGAATAAATGTGTGGGAATATTCTGGGTAAGTTCACATTTCGTTACTAAACATGAAAAGAATTTCAGGATAAGGATCTGGAACTACTGAGTGGTAGTAGCTGGGACTACAGGCACTTGCCACCATGCCTGGGTAATTTTTGTCTTTTTGTAGAGACAGGGTTTCGCCACGTTTCCCACTCTGGTCTCAAGCACGTTTGCTCAAGCAATCCTCTTGCCTCGGGCTCCCAAAGTGCTGGGATTACAGGTATGAGCCACCATGCCCAGCCCATTGCAACCATCTTAATTTATCAAAATACATGTGAAAGATTTAAATGCATTTGAATCACCCTAAGGGTGTTATTCTCAAAATTTCACAAATATTATACAAAGAAAATATCCCTCTTCTCTTTAAGAAATATATATATATGCACTATTAGACCAGCCTGGCCAACACGGTGAAACCTCATCTCTACTAAAAATACAAAAATTAGCCAGGCATGGTGGTGCACACCTGTAATCTTAGCTACTCAGGAGGCTAAGGCCTGAGAATCACTTGAACCTGGGAGGTGGAGGTTGCAGTGAGCCGAGATTACACCACTGCACTCCGGCCTGGGTAACAGAGCAAGACTCTGTCTCAAAAAAAACAAAAAAGAAGATATATATATATTCATTGTTCGAAAATCCATGTTAAATGAAATATATGTCAAAAAATAATAATTGAAATTGTAGTCATTTGAAATCTTAGTCATTGATTCTATGTTCCACTGTAATAAAACAAAACACATAGGAAAGGATTTCAACAATACCCATACATTGCAAAGTATTTCCTTTCCCACCCAGAATCAACCTGCACTGATTCTACTTATGAACCCAGCCAAGCACAATGTGTTCAGTCCATGCCAATGTCCTGCTGCAGGCATCAGAGGGTAGGTGAGAAGTCAAAGCTGGAACACAATGTCATATGTGGGGAATCCAAATCACTGCCTCTGCAGTCTGAAGACAGCAGCTCTCCGTGATTTACAGCAGGTTTCACAAGATTCCTATAATGCTCTCCTAGTTGTTGTCTTTTTTGTACATATGTTGGTATTTATTCTCCTAATTATTAAAAATTCTGCAAGAAAGATAGTCTTTACTTTCAGAATGTAAGTGCATTTGGTGATACCACCCAGAAAACCAGTTGCTTGGTAAGGGACATTCAATGGACCTGCTGACATCTTAAGACCATAATATCAACCCCAAATTAAACTATTCACGAAAGGTGCCATGGATATCAGTTACAGTTTAGTCTTTTTCTTTCCCTTTTAGAGATTTCTCTTTCCCAAGTACAACTCTTAAACATGGCATGAAGAACCAAAGGAAGTCCTCCACCACCCAAGGAAAGGTATGAGACCTAACTAAGCTGGCTTCTTTCTCTCCCATTACCCCCAGACACAGTTCTTGATCCAAAGAACAAGTACTTAACCCAAGCAGGGCCAAAGTGCTTTTACAAAGGCACATATGCCACACAGGTTCTACTTCCTTCTAAAATCAAGCATCATGAGGAAAAGTGTAGGCCTAGAAACCATTCTTCACCACCATGGCTGGGAAAAAATCTGCCAGAGAACAAAGCCTACAAGAAGGAGAGAAGCCAAGAAAGAGAGGCAAAATCCTGGTGTCATCAATGGAGCCCTTGGTTCCAGTTGTACCTAAAGCCAGATCCCTCTCTTGAACTTCCCAGCAATGCAAACCATCCAGCTTCTATTTTGCTTATTTGGGTTTCTGTTCCTTTCAGTAGAAGTAAATGTAGCCATGAAGGTCACACAGCTAGTAAAGAACTAATAAAGTACAAGTAACCAAAAAAATCCATACCTGCCACATACTAAAAAATAAAATGTTCATTTTGTCATTGATTTATTCATTCAACAAATATTTATTGAGTGTTGATTATGAACCACGCACTGTTCTAGGCACTGGGGATAAAGCAGTGTACATGACAGACCAAATCTACAGCTTAAATTTTAATGTTAGAGCCATTATTGCATGTTAGCACAAGTACTCCCAAGCTTGGGTCCAAGCTTGGGTCCAAGGGATAGCCTTCAAGGAATCTTGAAGACCCTCAAATATATGTAAAATCTTGCGGTTAGGCATAGTAATGGAAAGCTGCACAAAAAATTTTCTCAGACTCTTAAAGGCACCTATGACCCCAGAAAACATTAAGAAAAACTCTTAAAGCATAAGCATAACTTGGCATCAATATGTCTCAAAATGATTATGGAAATTCTGATCTCTTAACTCTAACACAGAGGTGTGTTCAAAGAGAACACACTCTATTCAACAGGCATTTCACAGAAATACTACACGCCTTTACAATACGTTATGAGGTTAACTCCTTTAATAATCCTTTTTCCTATGAAAACAAAACTAACAGCTAACAACTGGAGTCTTAACCACCTGTATTCTGCCCTTCATTTGAGTGGGTGGTGAACATCTCAGTCTCTACTTTCTGATTCCTTTTGAAGCATATGTTTCATCCCTGCACTTCCTGGACCCAAAAGGAAAGGCATCTCCTCTCATCTGCAAAATAGTTTTCTTCTAAACTGATACTGATCAGATTCCTCTCTGGTTAAAAGGAAAAACAGGAACCAGGGATGCTGCTTTTCCTTATTCAAAAAATGCCTTCCAGAGATGTCTAAACAGCAGCTAATTTCATTATAATTATTTTGTCCCTAAACGTCCCCTAAGAATGTGACTCAGTGGCTTATGGTCTGGCTGTTCCTACTTATAGACTCCCAAAAGTAGATTCCTTTTCAATGCAAAACAACTTATTTCTCAACCTTCAGCTATTCTGTGGAATGAAACTGAAGGTTATGTAATCAAATGTACACAATGAATTTTTTTAACCTGCCCAAATAATTCACTGATCCATATTCTCCAGGTACCCACTACCTCACTCTTCCCTATGAAATATCTCCCTAGGAACAGGCAATCTCATTTGACATTTTGGTAAGATTTTACCAATTCTCCCCAAGTGTGTATGACCTTCTATCCATATCTGCCTTTCTCACTCTCTTTTATAATGTCAGGTTTTAAAGATATTTTGAGTAAAACTTACCCAAAATATTTTCAACTGGTTTTCAGGGGCTTGGCGGGGGTTGGGGGAGTAGTTTAGCAGCTGTTCTTACGGCTTGATGGCCTTGCTAATCTGATGATTTCCAACCAAACCTAATCATGAAAGAGACAAACCTCCATAGTTACCTCATCCTGTTGGGCATGCTATAAATAACGAGCGTAGATTTAATAATAGACTCCCTCTTTCCCACACTCCAATACAGATTTCAGCTTTTCTTTTTTCAGTTTTCTTAGCTTTGCACATTAAGTCATAATGCCATTCATAATTATAAATTACATGGAAAAATACATCCATTAGAAGACAAACAATTCTTCAACTGTGTGTTGTTTCTGGATTGTACACTAAGGGCTTTGTCACTGAAAGGCCACATCCACGCAAGATGATGGCATCTCCTGCCAGGGGAAGTAAGACTTATCCTAAATCATAAAAGAATAAAATAACTTTCGCAATCTCACTTTGCCCTTGCTTTTGTCTAGTCTGAAGAAGGTCTGTGATGGGCACATGACTGAAAGGTTCACTCTGGAAGGAGATTTAGTATTGCCAGTAGAACTACCCCATTCCTTTTTTAGTTTTCTTATAAAGTAATTTTGTGGATAGTTCCTACAGTGAATGGTTGCCTCAAATCCTTATAGCTTTTTTTTCATAGTGTCCTATATTTCAGTGTTAAATCAGTGAAATGACATCTCATCAGTTACCTGCTTTATTCAATGTTTGAAATGTAAAAAAAGCCATAAAGTGGGGACTCACTATTATCCCTGTGCCCAACCTTTTTCCTACTTCCCTTCTGCTCAGCACAGCCCGGCTCAGACATTCAGCCTCCCTTCCTTTCACACACCAATCAAAAGCCTCTTCCCTGACTGACTCGATTCCAAGAACTTGGCAGTCCAGGGCTGTCGCTGGGCCAGTCTCTGCATGAGCATTCCAAGCGTTGCCTAAAGACTTGCTAAGCAGCAGAAGTTTTCTTTAAAGGACTTGGGATTTAAAAACAGGAACAAAAAGGATGTGATAGGAACTGTTTTATTTTCTCTCCCTTAATGTTACATTCCTTTCATGTATGGACATCTTGACTTAGACACATAACTGTGTTTAGTATTTCACCCTTTAACTTCCCTGAATGCTGCTGGAGTTTGAAGAAACAGCTAGACCAGTTTCATTTTTTGTTTGGTTTCATTTATTTATTTATTTTTATAGACAGGATCTCACTATGCTTCCCAGGCTGGTCTCAAACTCCTGGGCGCAAGCAATCCTCCTGCCTCAGCCTCCCAAAATGCTGGCATTACAGGCATGAGCCACCACACCTGGTCTGTTCTGTTTTTTTAAACAAACAATGAAGTTTAAATCCATGTCTCATCTCCTCTCTTGTGTTTTAAGTTACAAAAAAAAAAAAAAAAAAAAAAAACAGAAAGATACTCTAATGACACTCCAAATATCATGACAGACCTGCTGAATTGTAGTCAGATATTTGGAGTGTAGTTTTAAAATGACTGCCTAAAACAAGATGTTTAATTTTGTATAGAACTTATTTCTATTTTCCAAATATGTTTCTTCATTAATAAACACAAAATAAAATCAAGAAAATACCCGGATATGAAACTAATTCAACATTTTCTTCCTATTTGCATCACTGCTGAAGAGGAAACGTTGTTCTGCTTTTCAAAGTATAGAAACCTAGGGCCTGGTGGCTCATGCCTGTAATCCCAGCACTTTGGGAGGCTGAGGCAGGCGGATCACGAGGTCAGGAGATCGAGACCATCCTGGCTAACGCGGTGAAACCCCATCTCTACTAAAAAATACAAAAAATTGGTTGGGCGCGGTGGCTCACGCCTGTAATCCCAGCACTTTGGGAGGCCGAGGCGGGCGGATCACGAGGTCAGGAGATCGAGACCACCCTGGCGGGCGCCTGTACTCCCAGCTACTCGGGAGGGTGAGGCAGGAGAATGGCATGAACCCGGGGGGCAGAGCCTGCAGTGAGCCGAGATGACGCCACTGCACTCCAGCCTGGGGGACAGCGAGACTCTGTCTCAAAAAAAAAAAAAAAAAAAATTAGCCGGGCGTGGTGGCGGGTACCTGTAGTCCCAGCTGCTCAGGAGGCTGAGGCAGGAGAATGGCGCGAACCCCGGAGGCGGAGCTTGCAGTGAGCCGAGATCGCACCACTGCACTCCAGCCTGGGCGACACAGCAAGACTCCGTCTGAAAAAAAAAAAAAAAAAAAGAAATCTAGGGCCGGGCGTGGTGGCTCAAACCTGTAATCCCAGCACTTTGGGAGGCCAAGGGGCAGATCACTTGAGGCCAGGAGTTCAAGACCAGCCTGGCCAACATGGCGAATCCCCATCTCTACTAAAAATACAAAAAATTAGCTGGGCATGGTGGCACACACCTGTAGTCCCTGCTACTCGGGAGGCTGAGGCAGGAGAATCACTTCATCCCGGGAGGCGGAGGTTGCAGTGAGCCGAGCTCATCCCACTGCACTCTAGCCTGGGCAACAGAGCAAGACTCCATCTCAAAAAAAAAAAAAAAGTAAAGAAATATAGAAAAATAATCCGTTGGCACTAAAATGTGTCATATGATTCAATTCCTGCTAATAAATAGGTTTAGGTAACCTTATGATTTTACCATTTTAAAAAAAACCTAATACGGCCGGATGCGGTGGCTCATGCCTGTAATCCCAAGCACTCTGGGAGGCCGAGGTGGGCAGATCACGAGGACAAGAGATCGAGACCATCCTGGCTAACACAGTGAAACCTCATCTCTACTAAAAATACAAACAAATTAGCCGGGCGTGGTGGCAGGCGCCTGTACTCCCAGCTACTCGGGAGGCTGAGGCAGGAGAATGGCGTGAACCCGTGAGGCGGAGCTTGCAGTGAGCTGAGATTGCACCACTGCACTCCAGCCTGGGCGACAGAGCGAGACTCCGTCTCAAAAAAAAAACCTAATACTAATTTTTAAATGTCTAGCTGTACCAGTACAGCTTACAGCTTACAGCTTTCCAGATACTCAAACAGGTATAATGTCATTTCTTAACTCCAAAGGACCACTGAGGAACACAAGAGAAGTGTTATCAGTACTCCCAATATAAAGATGAAGAATTTAATTCAGACGTTAAATGATGTTTTCAATTTCTCAGAATTTCTTCAGGACAGAACAGAATTCAGACCCAAGGGCTTGAGCAGCTCTCTCTGCAAACAACACTGCCTTTAAAAAGCCACTATCAAACATCTATTTATTCAATGATTTGACTTTAACTTTGAAATTAAATTTGATTTTCTAGATAGTCATGTCATAACCAACCAACGTCTTCAATAGTACAACATGGACCTGAGTTTTAAATACTTAAAACAGAAGAAACAAAAATGGTTGAAGATACTGACTTTTAAGAATGCAAAAAGCTTACTTTGACTTTTCAAAAAAGTTACATAAAGATCACATTTCAAATATTATGTTAATTATTAATTATAATTCATATTTAGTTGTAGCATAAAATAAATTATATTTGTTTTACTGGGGAATTTTTAATAAAAAGCATTTTAGCAGTAAGATTTTCTAATTTCTGAGATCTAAATTAACA
This sequence comes from Homo sapiens, assembly GCF_000001405.40. Lineage (NCBI taxonomy): Eukaryota > Metazoa > Chordata > Mammalia > Primates > Hominidae > Homo > Homo sapiens. The sequence continues at coordinate 26,813,226 of NC_000012.12, forward strand.
ATTCCTTACTTTTAAATTTTACATTTTAAATTTTGAAAATTTTAAACCCTGCTTATATAACACCTTGCTTTGTGTTCATCTCTATCACAATAATTATTAATTCATGCTTGTTGTGTACACATAAAGAGCCACAATTATTCATAGACACAAGATAAGCTACTTGCATCTAAGCTAAAAGTGGGAATATTCACAAATTTACTGTGAGAAATATTCATAAACATATGCTTTCATGAATGAGATTCATTTATCAAAGTTCTGTGATTCTGAATAATGTGCTTATTTGGGAAGTTTGTTTCAGAAACTCCCCTCCCTTTTTAAATCTCGTAGCAGCATTACTGAGGTATAATTTAGCCACACCAAACTGCTGCCTTTCCTCTTTGACCCCTCACCATTACCCCCATCCTTGATTTCCTTAGAATCCTTTTTTTCATTAGCTGATGTCAAGGTGAAGTTTAGACCAGACCAGAGCTTTGAGGCTTTGTGGCATGTAAAAGGACTCGGATAATTCTCCTTTCCATCAGGAAGTGTACGCCACCTGAAAGAGTCCTAAAATAAAGCCCCAGAACAATGAACTGGAAATAAGAATAGTATAAATACCAAAATCATTAAAGGCTTCCAATTTTTATATCCTGCTTGTAAGGACTTAGGAAATGTGGCTTCGTGAAGGTAAAGGGGTGATTTTATTTGGCCACAGTGTACATGTGTTGTCTCCGCCTATCCATCATCCACTGTCCTTCCTCTGGCAACAGAGCCCTACATGAAGAATGGAGAACTGCTCTTCTCCTACTCGTGATGACGTCACCTTTGCCATCAGAGCAGCTGGACCATCATCGAGCCAGCCATTGCAACAGTAATAACCATAGTGTTTTTTTCTGGAGTTTAGGGGAATGAGGCACTCTTTTCAGCTCTGGTGTAAGAGGACAGAGGTAAGGCTGCGGCAGATAGCAGCCATGCCATAAACAAAACACCTGCGCAAGGGCAGGACTAATGCTGATGACGCCGCAGAATGAAGGAACCCAGGAGATTATGCCAAGATTTCTCAGTTACCTTAATCACAAGGTTCTCTTTTGGGGTGAAAATTGCTTGGGTTGGGTTTTCTCACTTTTGCAACCAAAAAGCACCCTAACTAATAAAACTAAGTGTAATAAACTTAGAAATAAAACTAGTGTCTTCAGTTACACCAGTTCTGTTGAAGGAATGAATTTCAAAATTAAAAATAAAAATAAATTAAAAATTACAAAATAGATACACCAGTTCTTTATCACATCCAGGAGTGTGGCACTTTGCAAGCTCTTCTCCACCACCAGGTACTCCAGAATCCCTAGAAATAGCAAACTAGCTCAGACTTCACCATCAAGAATTTATGTTAGCTAAAAAGAAATATTTTCTCACAGAGAAATTTTCAAATAAGAGTTTATAAAGTGGTTTATTCTTCAAAGTGTTTTTTAATGCTTTAATTTTTTAAAAGGTTTTCCAATAATTTGTATACACGTATATACTAAGTTTCCAATAAACAGTAAAATCTCCTTTTATGGCACAATTAAAAGAAGGGTAGGGCCTGAATAATTTTTATTCATTAGGTAAATCTAAGAAGCAGAAATAAAATACACTCTTTATACCTTTTCAATCCCAATGACTTGTGTAAAAATCATTAATACTTACAAGAGAAGCATGATAATTTGATTAGTTACTATTTAAAATTTGACAAGATTTTCCTAAACAAATTTGTTTATCTGTAAAATGGTTAATTATCCAAACTAGATAAGTGTTTTTGCCAATTCCTCTAACAGTCACAGAAGTTTAATCAGAATTCTTAGCCAATAGAATGGGACTCTAAGCACAGTAGCTCATGCCTGTAATCCCAGCACTCTGGGAGGCCGAGACGGGTGAATCAGTTGAGGTCAGGAGTTTGAGACCATCCTGGCCAACATGGTGAAACCTCATCTCCACCAAAAATTAGCCAGGCATGATGGTGCACGCCTCTAGTCCCCAGCTACTCAGGAGGCTGAGGCAGGAGAATCACTTGAACCTGGGAGGCAGAAGTTTCAGTAAGCCAAGATTGTGCCACTGCACTCTAGCCTGGGTGACACGGTAAGACTCAGTCTCAAAAAAAAAGGAAATCTCAGAGAAGGGATAGTAGCACCAGCTGTCCAATGAAAACATGCAAAAGATATTCTAATGGTTCCAAAACAAACACTTGTTTTTAATCTCAAAAAATAAAACTAAATTGTTTCTTTCTATTACTATGTTCTAATCGGGATGAAATATTAGCAACTAAAATAACATGTTGGTTTTAAAACATTTAAAAAGTTGAAAATTCTAGTCAAGGAAGATATTGTAAATATATGCTAAGCAATTCTAAGGTTATTATTAATGTTGATGTAGTTCAGGTGTTTGCATTACATCAAAAGGATAGCATGCATCAAACCAGTAACAAAAGATAAATATAACTACCTGCAATTGAGTAGCGTGCATTATCAAAGTAAGGGAGAAAAAAAAAGTCCAAAACCAAAATAAATAATAGATAAGGCAATATGCCTTTGAACAGCCTACTAAACAAATAACAGCTTAAAAACAGGTGTACTGTGGCCGGCGCGGTGGCTTACATCTGTAAACCCAGCACTTTGGGAGGCTGAGGCAGGTGGATCACGAGGTCAGGAGATCGAGACCATCCTGGCTAACACGGTGAAACCCCACCTCCACTAAAAATACAAAAAATTAGCCGGGCGTGGTGGCACACGCCTGTAGTCCCAGCTACTCGGGAGGCTGAGGCAGGAGAATGGTGTGAACCCAGGAGGCAGAGCTTGCAGTGAGCTGAGATCGCGCCACTGCACTCCAGCCTGGGTGACAGAGCAAGACTCCGTCTCAAAAAAAAAAAAAAAAAAAAAAAGGTGTACTGCAAAATGATATAAACATAATACAGCAGAACTTTTTAACATCAATGTAATATTAACTTAGCCAAGCTTCCAAAAAGAAACTCATGCTGATTTTTCAGATATACTACTAATAATATAAATAATAATAGCTTCCATGTATTTAATACTTTAGGTATCTGATGCTATGAGCCTGACACTTACTAAGTGTTTTACATATGTTAGTTGCCATTAACGTCATGGTGATACTATAAACTGGACAATAATCCTGCTTTACAGATAAGGAAACTGAGGTGTTCAGTATTAAATAACTTCTGAAGATCACACCATGAGAGAGTGGAGTCATCATATAAAACCAGGTTTGTCGGAACCAAAAGCCCATGTTAACTATATGCTAAAGCATTTTTCATTCCCTCAACATACTTCTTGAGTATCTACTATGTGACAGACATCGTGAAAGACCTGAGGACATGATTATTAGCAAAGCCAGACATAGTCACAGCCCTTACAGAGTTTAAAGTATAGTGGGTGAAACAAACATAATCCAATATTCACAAAAATAGAAGCAAAATTAAAACTATAATTGCGGTAAGTTTTGTGAAGGAAAAGAATATGGTGCTATCTGAGTATATAGTAAAGGGGCCTCACATAGTCTGGGAGATCAGGAACAGTTCACTATAGATGAGTCAGAAAGCTGGAAATCCACATAATAAACAGGTGAGAGGTGTGCAGGTAAGATGGGAAATTGACCAGACAGAGGGAAAAGCACATAAAAAGGCTCGGTGGCGAAAGGGAACTCAGAATGTCTGTGTAACTATAAAGGTGAAAAAGGTCACTTTGGGAGGCCAAGGTGGGCGGATCACGAGGTCAGGAGATCAAGACCATCCTGGCTAACACGGTGAAACCCCATCTCTACTAAAAAATACAAAAAAATTAGCCGGGCATGGTGGCATGCACCTGTAGTCCCAGCTACTGGGGAAGCTGAGGCAGGAGAATCACTTGAACCCGGGAGGCAGAGGTTGCAGTGAGCCGAGATCACGCCACTGCACTCCAGCCTGGGCGACAGACCGAGAGTCTCTTTCAAAAAAAAAAAAAAAAAAAAAAGGGCAGTACGAACAAAGCACAGAGCTAGAGGAAGGAGAAACGACACAAGATGACGTTTGTATCTCAGAAACCTGAAAAGCCTGCGATAATGCTGGGTGTAATGACATGTTATTCAAATGTGAGCAAACAAAAGAGAAACTTCAAATCTGTATGCTCAGTTTCAAAACTAATAAAGCCTCAATAGCAGTGGTGACTATCTTAATTCATACATCTTTTCTAGGCCTAAAGTGAAACACTAAACAAAGATACTGTCCCTTCAGTGCTTCTGCTGACAAGCTGCTTTTCAGCCCCACTACAGCTGTTTGGTGCAGGCTGCTGTGTATCAATTCCTCCTCTGCCTGCCATTTTCAGCCTTTTTCTATTCCTCCTTTTTACCACTGACTGATTTTTCTAGAGCAAAGTCTGATTATTTCATTCTCCTGCTTCAAAATCCTTCAATAGCTTCCCATTACCTAATAGGGAATACATAATCTGGCTCTTGTCTACCCACCTAGTTTCATCTTTTTAGACCATATACAGTAGAGCCAGCATTTGAGGACATCTGGAGAACTGTTTCATTTCTTGATGCTCTATTATCCCTAGTGACTGACCTCATCTGTATGGTCCAAGATGCCATTTTCCCATGTCCATATTTCAAACAGTTGAATGGGGTAGGGGCAGAGGGAGGGTGGGGGAGGCAGTAAATCCTTCCTTAAAATACCTGACTGCAAAGTATAGCCTGTGGTCACACCTGGCTACAAAGGAGGCTAGAAAATGTGGTCTTTATTCTGGGTACCCACAAACTCAATTACTTCTATTAGTATGGAAGAAGGGAAAAATGAATTTGGAGAAATCACTAGTAGTCTATGATACAAAAACTGAAATTAGCATGCATTTTGTTCAATTAAATATGTTTAAAACTAAATAATGTGGTTATTGTTTAGAATTTATTGGATTAATTATAACTTCCATTTTGAAAAAAATGTGTAATACAAATATTGATCTAATCTTTAGAAATGTTTATAGAATCACTTCATGGGTATCCATTGCCAAAGAAATTACTGCCTCTCAGAACTCCTATGCGACAACTTACCCAAACAGTTCTTCATTCAGATTCTCCAATTCTTAAGAAAGTGCTTTTACATTTGCAATGTGATAATACTTTAAAAGACCTTCTGAGAGATTCTTTAGCCACTGAGACTTTTTGAAAGGATCCATTTGGTTTCTCCCCTAACAGATAACAATGACTTCGTTGTACTGACCAGGAAAGGAGGCTCATTCTTCGCATGGGTTTTAAATTGGAACTCAGCTATTAAATCATGACCTGTCAGGTAAATAAAGGAAGAAAGGTAAATAAAAGTCCTTTTCTCATTTATTAATATTCCTGCACATGGATTAGTGTAGTCAGGTTTTTAATAACATTTTCACTGACAGTGAATCTTGATTTGACTTAAAAGGTCACTTAATATTTATCATTCCTAGCCACAAGTATAGGACTCTGAGTACAACAAAATTCCTTTTTTTTTTTACCTTCCCTACTAATGTAAAGAACCAGAACTGAAATCATCATCTTTGAAAATATGGTTGAAGTCAAAGATCTACCCGAAATGCAAATGTTTAAGTAGTTATGTCCCCGATATTAGCAATGACCTTGAACACTTTAGCCAAACACAGTAACTGTTCCTTAAATCATTAACTTACTTTGGATTCCTAATGTAACTGTGTTTGGTGATTTGGGTAATAGAATTTTGTTTTAAGTCACTATCTTTATTGGTATGATATACTTAAACTGGATTAGTTTGGATGTTATAGAAATGAAACAAAACTCTGATAATACTTGGTATCTTCACCTCAAAATTGCTTTTCTAAAGATATTACATTTTTAAATATCTAGCAAAGAGCATTATAGGATGTTAGAACCAGAAGAAATCAAAATATGTGTTTTATTTTTCAAGTTATTTTGTAATTTGTACATATCTATATTTCTCACTTTATTTCTCTGTCCTATATGCAAATAACTCTCAAACAAGTCCTCATTTGTAACACTGTTACCAATGAAGATTCCTAGCATAAGTCAATAATAACACTGGAGAATTTCAAATTCTTGAAGAAATTGGCTGGATATTGTATCTTTTGGAATTGGCTTAAGGCAAAGCTCATTACAACAGACTTAGTCAATAGATATGATATAAATTAACGAGGAACAAAATTCTGCCCATTTGTTCTCCTTAATCTGTGTTTAAATGCTTATCATTTTCCAAACACTTATTCTTGAATTTTAAAAAGAAAATTACAAGGTGTCATATGCCCTATTCTATCTTTCTAAAGTACTATAAATTCCCCAACTACTCGCTGCATTTTTATCAGCAAATTCTTTTTAAATAAATTTTTCTGTCAATAGCAGTTAAAGTATAAAATGTCTCCCTGGATGTATAATGTACTACCCACTAAGAGAAAAGGCCCACCTAAATTAAGAAATGGCTTCACAAAATGCTTACAAATTCACTCTTTGAACACGTAAAAACAAACTGAATTTACAGAAATATTAACCTTTCTTTAATGTGGCTATAGCATGCAAATCATTAAAAAAAAAAGGCCATGTAAGTCAGGTGTGGTAGCTCACGCCTGTAATCCCAGCACTTTGGGAGGCCGAGGCAGGCGGATCACTTGAGGCCAGTAGGTTGAGACCTGCCTGGACAACATGGCAAAACCCCATCTCTACTAAAAATACCCAAAAAAATTAGCTGGGCATGGTGGCACGAGCCTGTAGTCGCAGCTACTCCAGAGGCTGAGGCAGGAGAATTGCTTGAACCCAGGAGGCAGAGGTTGCAGTGAGTCAAGATCATGCCACTGCACTCCAGCCTGGGTGACAGCAGAGTGAGACTCAGTCTCAAAAAAAAGAAAAGGCCATGTACATTACTTTTTCAGAGTGTAAGCTTTACCACATATTGATCTGAGTGTGTAGAGAGAGATGACACAACAGATTATTAAAAGACTGATGATGGCAAGATTTAATGACACCATAAACCCAGTGACAACTCCCATCCATTTTAAAAGAATTGCCCATGGATCTCAAGGTATTTAAGAAATATGAGACATTATATTGACTTTTTTCCAGAGAGGAACTGATGTTAACAGCTACTTAGAGATTTTAAAATTAAATACGTATATGGTAATGCAACAAATATTTATTAATATTTATGGAGCCAAGCGCTTTGAGATATTCAGTGGCAAAACAAAAAGATCCCTGCCTTCAAAGAACTTACAGTCTATCGGGGTAGACAGATGATACACAATGGATACAATAGATAATAAATTATATTGTATGTAATAAGATTATATGGAGGAAGGAAAAGTAACACAGGGTAAAGCACATAGGAAAGACCAAGGTGAAATGCTAAACATAGCATTACCATATGACCCAGAAATTCCATTGCTAAGTATATACCTAAAAGAATTTTTAAAAATATATATCTATACAAAATCTTGTACATAAATATTCACAGCTGCATTATTCATAATAGCCAAAAAGTGGAAACAATCCAAATGCCTATCAACTGATGAATGGATAAACACAATGGATCATATGTCTACAATGGAATAGTATTCTCAATAAACAGGAATGAAGTACTAACATGTGCTGCAACATGGATGAACCTTGAAAACATTAAGTAAAACAAGCCAGACACACAAAAGGACAGATGAATATTGCATGTTTTCACTTATACATGGTACCTAGAATAGGCAAATTCATAGAGACAGAAAGTAGACTAGAGGTTACCAGGGGCTGGGGTAAGGAGAGAATGGGAATTTATTTTCTAAAGGATACAGAGTTTCTGTCTGGGATAGTAAAAAAAAGTTCTGGAAATGCAGAGCAGTGATGGTTGCTCAACATTGTGAATGTCCTTAATATCACTGAATTATATCTTTTTAAACGGTCAAAATGATAAATTTTATGTATATTTTATCGCAATTTACTTTAAAAGGCACTAAAATCTGACTATTAAGATGCCTACTAAGCAGTGAAATCCAGCTCACACCCAGCATCTTTGTTCTCTTTCTCCCATACCACACTGCCCCAGCAGCAGGCAGAAATTGGAGCCCTGCTCACAGTGATTTCCCCGGTAGCCAGATCTGGGCATTGCCACTTGCCGTCATGGATATAAATGATTAATCCTGATCCAAGGGGGCCAAATTCCATCACCTCATAATCTGAAGTTTAACAAGAGGGACACTGAATACAGAAATTGCTCCATTCAAGTCATGTAAATGATGGGACCCAAAGAGTAGGTCCTGCTATTGAGATTCCCAAAGCAGCCCTAGGTTCCTGCCTCTCCTGATGCTCAGTTGTTGAGCTCATCATTTTATTTCTTGGAGCTCCTCCAGTATTCTCACAGTAAATTTCCTTCTTTCCGTAAGCTGGTCAGAGATGGTTTCTGTTCCTCACCAACAAAGAACGTTACTTCTAACACAGTTTTTCAATTCTTAAACTTCATCCATGTGGGCAAAGTGATATCCAAGTATCCCCTGCTTTCCAAATCTTTAGAGCTTTTGAGATCAAATAGTAAGAATGAGGATAGCAAGGGATGCCTATAAATTATTTTCAAGAGTTCCAGGGCAATTCACTACAAGGTTTGCAAATAATTTAATTAAATGTGAGCTGCAACTTGAGTTGGTGAGTACTCTATTCTCTGAAATTTTTACAAATAATACACTTTGATTTGCCATTAGAAAATTAACAACTTTTAAACCAGTTTTGTTTTGGGTTTTTGTCAGGTTTTGTTTGCTTATCTGGTCATTTGAGCTCTCATCTTTAGTTCTGATGATCCATGTAAGTTTCCTACATAATGTGAAGAATCCTCTTTTCCTTAGTGATTATTTCATAATTAGTCATTACAGGATCTCAGAGAGCTAGAGAACTAGACATTACTTCACTAAAAATCTAAGTTTTCTCTAGGACTCTGTCGAGGAAATCTCTGGGATAATCAATATATAATAAAAGTCCAGCATTTTGTAATCTGCACAAAGAAATTTTTATGATGATATTTGTACAGTGACTCAAACATCTCAGTGATAGATAGAACCTCATTAACACATAGTTGAATTCTAAGAATTCAGATTATGCATTGTTCACTTCCTTTAGTCTTCCCTGCATTCATGGGAATCTATCTATGGCTTTTTTAACATGTTAAAACACCAAAAGGAAAAGAGAGCGTGATGGACTCCATATATACCAGAAGGGTACTCTATACCAAGTGGGAGACTCGTGTATGTGTGTGCTATATTAAGAACTATTAAAATAGTTCTTAATAGTTCATTAAAATAGTTCTTAATAGTTCTTAATATCTGATGAAAAGTTGTCCATATTGCCAATGTTTCCAGGCATTTATAAAATTCTAATTAAGTTCATGATTCATGAAGAAAAACTACTATGAAATACTAGGGATGGAAACAAATACAGGGAAAGGAGGTAAAAATATAATAGCCAAAGGCACTGGGTACTTCGCATAAATTTCTCCCAAGCAACTGCCAAGTTTCTTCCTGACTGGGCTTTATAGTACTAGCCTCATTATCTCAGGTCTCAGTAAATTCACCGCATGTGACAAGGATGGAATGCCATCTTATTCTCAGAGGATATGAACCAAGCTTAAACCTTATGGAAAATAAGCATAAAATAGGTTCTCAGATTATTTCTTCTGTCTTTGCATATCTCAACAATATTGAATTGTTTGCTTTAGTTTTTTGGAGCTATTAAAATGGACAGTAAAATTTTACCAATTTTTTTAAATGAAAGAAAAAAGTACCAAGAATACATAATCAATCATGGGCATAGATTTGAGACAAATATTCTAATGATCCTTCCAAGTTCAGCGAAAATGCCACCTCCTCCTTGAAGCTCCCGCCAGGTCATCCCAATCAGGAGAGAAAGAATCTGACTCTTCTGACTTTCTGTGGTACTGTTTTAATCATCTTTTGGGCACTTGGAAAAAAACAAAAATTGCCTGACATTGCAGTTACTCAATGCCAGTGTTACCTCCATTGCTAAAAAATTACTACAATAATTGCACAAATATTTATTAAACACCTACTATATACCAGCAATTTTGTCAGGTGCTGAGCATACAGGATTAAGAAGACAGTATCCATTCCTGACCTTGCAACATTTGCAACACTGAGAGCAAAAAAAGTGTCAAATGCCTTGATGTCTCCCACAGATCCTAGCCAAGAGTCATACTACAAATTCGCAAAGGAAGATTAAGTTTTTCAGATAACAATTAAAGTAACAATTAATCCATTGAGATAATAATTAAAAACAGCTTAATATCTGGCATCTCTTTACACATATTGCCCGGCACACAGAAAGGGCTCAAGAAATATCTACTAAATGAATTAATGAGTCATTCTGAAGCATGCTTCAGCATAAACCACATCTCCAGGATAGTCACATGTGTCTTAATATGGACACATTTTCAATTGTATGATTAAAGTTTTGTCTAAAGAACCTGATATTTTAACTTATTCTTAATTCAAGGTTGGAAATCTTTGGATAGGTTGGTATAAACTATGGTAACCCATTATTGATTTGAATTTTGAGAGAGCTAATCCATCTATTTCAAAGATAGTCAATAAAAACAGTTGATTAAATTTCAATTACACACACACACACAAATCTCCTCAAAAACTAACACTATAGAAGTTGACTCAAGCAATAAAAGTTTCATAGTGAGTACTAAGATTACTAAAATGAACAAGTCAGCCATGCTAAAATGCATACTTCTTAACATGTGTCAATAGACTTCTAAATTAAAAGACTACCAATACTCTTCAACTTACAATGGGGTAACATCCCAATAAACCCATTGTAAGTTGAAAATATTCTTAGTCAAAAATTCATTTAATACACCTAACCTACCAAACAACATAGCTTAGCCTAACCTTCTTTACGTGTTCTCAGAACACTTACGTTAGCCTACACTGGGCAAATACAAAGCCTATTTTGTAATAAAAGTGTTGAATATCTCATGTAATTTATTGAATACTATACTGAAAGTTGAAAACAGAATGGTTATTTGAGTACTCTAATATGGTTTCTACTGAATGAGTATTACTTTTGCACCATCATCAAGTTGAAAAATTGTAAATCAAACCATCAAACCATTGTAAATTGGTTATCATCTGTATACATTTACTACATGAGTTAAATCAACCAACTTAATTGCTCAGCATTACTGGTCAGACAAACATTTTTTCCACAATACACCTTAAAATATCAATAATAACCAGGAAAAAAAATTTCATGGTAATTATATGACTGTCTATTTCAGTAATAACAGTTTCTCAGTTTGTGGTTTTCCTCCACTGACCATAACTAGGAAAATAATTTATTTATGCTTTTTAATGTAAATATTGTTGATTAACAGTAATAAGAAATTGAAGAGTCCTTAAAAACCATTTTAGTTAACTTTCCTGGCTATAAAAGTAATAGATGTTTAATTTAAAACCATACATAAAACTGGGAAATACAGAAGAAATAAAAATTGAAATTAAAATCATCTACATACTCACCATAAAGGGTCAACCACTGCTAATATGCTGTTCTATTTTCCATATATATTGTTTTGAATATTTTTTATTAAAATTGTGGTTTTCTAAAGCTATATATTTTTAAACATTCCCATCAAAGTCATCATGGGAGTAGAAACATGACACCAAAAAATGCCATCAATACATTCAAAAGGCACAGTTTTATTCATTAAATAAGTGAATGGGCTGGGCGCAGTGGCTCACACCTGTAATCCCAACACTTTGGGAAGCCAAGGCAGGTAGATCACCTGAGGTTAGGAGTTTGAGACCAGCCTGGCCAACATGGCAACACCCTATCTCTACTAAAAATACAATAAATTAGCCGAATGTGGTGGCGCACACCTGCAGTCCCAGCTACTCCGAAAATTGAGGCACAGGAATGGCTTGAACCCAGGAGGCAGAGGTTGCAGTGAGCCAAGATCACGCCACTGCACTCCAACCTGGACGATAGAGCAAGACCCTGTCTCTGAAGAAAATTAAAAAATAAAAATAAGTGAATGAACAAATGAACGATCATTAAAATTTCATGTCTGGTTATAACGCAGTGATCTATTACCAAGTTCTGATATTTTAAAAACCATAAAATTCACTGTTATTATAGCATAAATCGGTCATAAAAGTCCACTGTTAATTCTTTTATATTTATATATGAAGACCCTCTGCCTGGAATTTAAGTTTTAAAGTTTGAGTCTATAGTATTCTGTCTATATTCTCTAAGTTATCTACACACTATCTGCATGAGAACAGTTACAAAAAAAAAAGTGTCATTGTGAAAAGCGCTACCTGTGCACAAAGAAAATGGCTCTGTTCCACCTAGAATAAAGCCAAGCAGTTACCTCTGACTTCTATCAAAGCCAAGCCATCAGGGCTCTTGAGGAGGGGTGGTTGTTTACTTGACTGAGCTCTCATTGCCAGAGGGGGCTGAAAAGCTGTTATGGTATTTATAGAATGACTTTTAGGTTTAAGAAATAGTCACCCTTTCAGCTTAAAATATACTTTATGTTCACCACTTCAGAAACTCTCTTTGTACTTAATTTCAAGTTCCACAACATCACACTTCTAACACTTAGACTTTCCAAAACAACTCAGTATTCAAGCTTCTGTCATCTTCTTCCTCCACAGTGAACACACATGCAAATGTCCAATGGACTTTTAGATATATTTATCACATTATCATATGCCTTAGCCAAAACAAAGCTAAGCTTATATGCCTGGTTATGGCAGGAAACAACAGCCATCATTTGGAAGAGTTCTGTTTGGAAGATACTAAACATCTTATACAAAAATAAAAGTTAACTATAACCATTCCAAGCTTCATGTACAAACTCCCCACTGATCAAAAAGTCCTATTGAGGCTGGGTGTCATGGCTCACACCTGTAATCCTAGAACTTTGGGAGGCTGAGGTGGAGGGATCGCTTGAGCCCAGGAGTTCAGGGTTGCAGTGAGCTGTGGTCAAGCCTCAAGAAAAAAAAAAAAAGTCCTATTGAGGAAAATATTTTTAAAACTGTAATAAGAACAGCATAATTAAATAAGATAAATCAAATCTACAACTATTTAAACATCAAAATGTTTAGCAGGAAAAAAGATCAGGAAGAGAAATTTGAGGGACTATAATTGGGAATAGTAAAATGTAAACAGTTACACAGTCTCATTCTTCTAAGGAATTAAGTCAGAATTATAAACTGTGTGACCCCCTCCCTATCACCCTACCAGACATCCATCCCTGAACATGGAAACAAAGGAATGGAAAAGTTAATTGCATTGGCCAAAATCAAGCAGGAAGTAAAAATAAGGGCTCCAATCCTCTGTCACTCTGACTAAGAGACTATGATGATGATGCTTATGATGCTTTGAAGTCAGCGCATCAATTGGTAGTCACCTGATAGTTACTGAGACCTTAACTTCTAGGTGTTGGTTCTGAGGCGATCCTGAGAAGAAACCTCAAGGCAAAGGTGGCTATCACTTAAACATACATATACAGATGTACACACACACACACATATACACACTTTTCATTTACGAACCCCTCAACCATGCCGAGAACAGCCAAGGAAGGACCGATGCACCTTACACTGATTCTACTATCCCACTATCCCAAGAATTCTGCTATGCTCAGTCCCTACTCTGTGGTACCTGACCATTGGTCAAGTTGACGTACACAGAAATGTGAATATCTGTTGTCATCAGATGTGGCAGCAACAAGAAAGACAAATCCTAGTATAGAAAAAATGGAAGGAGGAGAAAGGGACAATCAACACTACATTTGAAAGTGGACAGCACATCCCAAGACTCCCTCCTTCACCTTTAAAAGAGACACAAAAACTATAACCTTAAGACATGCCAGTAGAAAATAAAAATAGTTTATTTAAAATAGATTCACCATCTTCGTCCAATAGGATTTAAAGCAATTGTCCATAAGTCAATACAAGTATTTCTTAAATTGATTCTTTAGATGAAAATTTAAATTAGGAAATACAAAGCAGGCCCCTTTGCACTTACACGGAGAAAAGAACAATAAACTCGGAGAAAAGAACAATAACTGTAACTCGGCTTGCAACAATTCAAGATTCAGAAACATCTAGTAAATACAGGTAAAGGATAATGGGGAAAAAAAGGAGAAATGCCAATCTTTGCAACTAGGGCATTCAAATTTTGCACAAACAGACTGATAAATCAACCTGAGAAGCTGGGCCACTAAGCCTAAGAAAATCCTCCCACATCTCCAGTCAGAGGGGCCTCCAAGAGAGGTCCGGTAAACTCAAATATAGTGAAACTCCATGACTTTTCCAGCTGAAAAATTCATTACCTTATGGCAGAAATTCCCAGCAACTACACAATAACAATGTATATCATCCAAAACTTATTTACATGCTAAACATTGAAATCAAACAAGATTTATTTGCAAATAAATGTCTATTCATTATCTTGAAATACTGTGTAAACTCAGTTCTCATTAAACACCTTGCTAAGCTGACTTTGAAAAAACATCATGCTACTAGCCATCATGCATGGCTGAAGAGCTAAAATGGAAATCAAAAACTTTTAGTCTAATTTTTAGCTCCCCCGTTGCGTTTTTAATATGACAGTGGAATAAATTGTCACTAAATATATACAGTGTCAATGTCTCCAATCTGATTCACTTTAACAATTCGTACGCCTTTGAAGAAAATGTGCAATTTGACATGCAAAAATATAAGCATAATGTAGATTTTCCTAGCAATTTTCTAAAAAAGAAATCTTTTCTTTCTGTCTCTATCACTTGTTTTTATAATACCCCCAGGGGGATGGGCCACAGCATCTTCTCTCCTTCTTAGTTTTCAGGAAGACATACTGACATGAAAAAAGAATAAACGATAGGAACAAGGCCATATGGCTAATTAGCAGCAGACCTGGAGCAACAGACCTCCAACTAACAGAAGAGAAAGAAAATTCAACTAGAGAGATGCACTCTGTCTTTGAAGCAGAAAGTGTACAAATAATGACCCCACAACAAGACAATGAGAAATCACAACTACCACTCTGCTTTGGTTTCATAGCCCTAAAACCAACTTGCAAAATAAAATATCTACCAATTGTACTCCGAGGTAAAAAATAGGGAGTGCTACCCCTACATGTACCTAGATAAGATTTCACGTGGCACAGACATATGTTCCCATGAGTTTTATAATTCCTAAAAATCTGAGCCCAATGTGATTCCACAGCCTTAAGAAAGTACTAAAACCAAGCATGACGGACCATTAAAAAACTGCAATGTCACAGACAGAAAGCAGAGGGAACAAAATCATGAATCAGTCTGACTTCTCAGGATAAAAGCATCAGATGTTATATTCCATGGCCTTAATTAAGCCATTATGAAATTAAATGGGATTATTTCTCAATAGCTGAAACTTTTTCACCCCGAATTTTAGGAAATTATTTTATTTATGGATTCCCAACCTTGAAAACCACCCACATGTTAATAAAAATCGATGAGATGAGTGCAAAATACATCAGTTTAAATTAGGATAAAGTAGCTTGGTTTACTTATCAAAGCCAAAAGTCAGTTTTAGCATCTTATCTAACAACTGCCACAGAAATACATACTCTGATGGCTGGAGGTACAGAGTAGAGGACCGCAAGGAGCCGTGGGCAAACCTACAGCCCTGGGCACAAGAGCCACATAGTTTTGTTGAGATGGAAGACCTATGGTCAGGAAAATAAATTCACTTCTTTCTTCCTAAGTTTCCTCTTCTCTCTTATATGAATTTTAAATGTAATTCTTAGAAGAATAGCAAATGAACAGCATGGTTTCTTTAGAAATTAAATGAGCCTTTTTCAATGACGTGCCAGATGCTTTCTGAAAGCAACTTTCAAGTGTTTGCAACATTATTTGCATATCCCACATACAGCAGAATTTGGAAATGTTCATTAATAAGATAATGATTTCAGGTTTAATTTTTTGATATTCCCAATTTTTTATTATAAAAAAAATTAACGCTTTCTGCACTGCCCTGTTTTCAAAGTAGAAAACTGCTATATTTTTATGCATCATAAAAATTTGATGCACATTTGTCAAATGAGATTTCATAGCACCTTTTTTTTTTAGACAGGGGCTCTCTCTGTCACCCAGGCTGGAGTGCAATGGTGTGACTGTTGCTCCCTGCAGCCTTGACCTCCCAAGCTCAAGTGACCATCCCACCTCAGCCTCCCAAGTGGCTGAGACCAGCTGGGACCACAGGCGTGCACCACCACACCTGGCTAATTTTTTATATTTTTTGTACAGACAGGGTCTCCGTCTGTTGCCCAGGCTGGATCACGGCATTCTTAATTTTACAGTTTGTCTTATTCTATAAAGAGATTCACTTCACCCAGGACCCATTTAAGTCCTAGGCTCACCATGCTTCCCTTGAGTATCCTTTGGACACTATTCCAGTGAAGGCCAGGAAACTGCACCAGGGCACATCAGCAATGACTTTTACTACAACTGTCCTTTGAAAAGATGTTCAGAAGCAAGTACCAGGAGGGAGGCATGGTCATATCCAACCTCTGACTTCTGAAGTACTACAAAGTTATCTGAAACTCTGAGCAGTCTATCTCAGAAAAAGAATATCCAATCAAAGCACCAGGTTTCACCAATAGCAGCATTTCTTTTTGTTTTGTTTTGTTTGTTTTTTTTGAGGCAGAGTCTCGCTCTGTCCCCCAGGCTGGAGTGCAGTGGCGCAATCTCAGCTCACTGCAACCTCCGCCTCCCAGGTTCAAGTGATTCTCCTGCCTCAGCCTCCCGAGTAGCTGGGACTACAGGCGTCCGCCACCACGCCCAGCTAATTTTTGTATTTTTAATAGAGATGGGGTTTCCCCATGTTGGCCAGGCTGGTCTCAAACTGCTGACCTCAAGTGATCTGCCCGCCTTGGCCTCCCAAAGTGCTGGGATTACAGGCATGAGCCACTGTGCCCAGCCCAATGGCAGCATTTCTAAAGACCCTTCTTCACCTTAGAATCTAGCAGCACGAAGGCTTTGTCATATTAACTTCAACAAGACTCAGTTCATTAATAGAAAAACAATATATTGCACAAATGCATACTAAGGAAGCTCAACCTTCAAAACACCAACAAAAAAGTTGAATACAAATCAGAGATATTTACACAAATGTATATTGTACATTAAAGGTTAGTCTAGCTTATTTTTCTCAAGGTTTAAAGATTATTATGTATAACCAAAGAAAAGCACTCTTGGCTGGGAATCTGGAGACAGGATTAGGTTCCAGGTTTTGGCATTAATGCCCTCTGTTTCCTGGGTTAGTCACTTCATTTCTCTTAACCTCAATTCCTAATCTCTAAAATGATCAGGGTCGACTCCACAACTGTCAAACTTGTAGCTTCCTGATATGCCATCTATATAGTCCTTCTGGTATTTGTTTTATAAGTTATCCATAAGCATACATTTGCTGAATTAGACACTAAAAAAAAGTTCTTTTCTTTGTCTAGGTTTTATACTCTATTCCTAGTCCTTGTTATTATTTTGTCCACAAATATAACTATGGCTCACCGTCACCAAGGCAATGATAATTACTACAATAGCTAACACATCAGTGCTTATACTGTGCCAGGTACCATGCTACTCACTTTACATATATTAATCTCTTCTTCCTCACCACAACCCTATGAGGTAGAAACCATGCCTATTCCCATTTGTAGAACTGAGGAGACAGGGGCACAGAGTTTATGTAACTTTCCCAAGGTCATAAGGTTTACAAGTGGAAGCGCCAGAATTCAAACCCCAAGTATTCTGTCCATGGAACCCCCTCTGCTTAACTACTACATCACACACACACACCTGGAGAGTCTACGGAGGGTGAAGAGCAGCAGAGTCCACCTGCAAAATGTTGCTGGAGGCCCAGAAACTGAACTTGTATCATGAATGATCTCAAAAACAGTGGTAGCTCATGATTCACAAACCCAGCAGAAGCGCTTGGCACTAACGTGTTTTTCCTACCACGCTTTAGTTGCATAAGAAAGTAACACTGATGGAAAAGGGATTGAATTAAATCTACCTCCCTTCTTTCACTCATTAGGGGGAATGCACAAGTAACAGGAACTGTGGAAGTACTGGTGACTTCCACGTCCCAGTGCTTGGTAGGCAGCAGTCCGTTATAACACAGCTCGAAGTCACTGTCCCGGGTCGTTGCAGGTTAAGTCATCTGCCCCAAAGCCTAACAGCTGAAAACAGTAGCCAGACAGGAGTGGAAACACCAGTTCCACAGCCTGAAATGTAGGGCGGGGGGACCTAAGTGTTGAAACAACGAGGTAACAAAAAATTTCCTGTGCATCAAAATATACTGCAGCGTGCAATTAAACTGCACACTGCTATTCCCAATCAGAACAGAGAAAACAAGGAAGTCCTATTTAACCATTTGGCACACTGTTTTATATATAAATATATATATATATTCTACATAAAATATATAAATATATATTCTACATAAAATATATAAATATATATTCTACATAAAATATATAAATATATATTCTACATAAAATATATAAATATATATTATACATAAAATATATAAATATATATTATACATAAAATATATAAATATATATTATACATAAAATATATAAATATATTAATATATATTTCCCTCATTCATAAACATATATACATATATGTGTATATATATATATATTTTTCCCCCCATTCAACTCGAATCTCAAGAACTCTTCACTTGGCTAAATTCCAAGAGAGGCTCAGCATTTCAGTGGGCCAAGGCCTGGGAAGGAGAGATAGCAGGTCTGAGTTCTAGAACCCAGGAAGCCCTCAGAGACGTCCAAGGGCCACAGCGCTGCAGATGCCCCTAGGGCTGCCCAGGCCAGTGGGGCGAGTCCTGGTTCGGCAAGGCCAAAAGGAAACTGCTCCAGCGAAGAGGGGACGGTGAGCTCCTCCCGCAGGACAACGCCACACTTTGGCTCACCACATCGCTTGAGTTTCATGTCCAAGGCCACGGACTTTTATCGACTGCTCTTTCAAACCCGGCACTGAGAGACCAGGGGCTGAGGACGGTAGCGAGAAACGGTGGAAAAGGGGGGTGTTTTGTTTTACCTTCCAGGGAAAACAAGCACACATTTTAATCAAAACAACCCAGGGAGAAGCCAGCGAAGACCTCTTCGCCGGGCCCGTCTCCGGGCTTCTGAATCACTTCCTCCTTTCTGATGTGTCTCTGAGCTTGAGATTACGAAGTTGCTGAGAAAGTCTTGCCTCTCAGGGCAGCTTCCTGCGAGCGGGCGAGCGAGAGAGCGGAGCGCACGGCGCTGTCCGCGGGCGCCGACCCTGCCCGGCCGGGCCACCACGCGCGGCAGCGGGAGGACCGGGCGGCGGAGGAGGGACAGGGACTGGTTCCCAGGACCCGGAGCGCGAGCGCTGCCCAGCCCTCGTCTCCCGCTTACCCCAAGGTGCTGATGAAGCCGTTGACCGAGCCCTCCGCGTACAGGGACACGATGTCCCCTATGTAGAGGAAGCTGGACATTTTCTCAGTCATGCTGCTTCATGTTCCACAGTGGACGTCCCTCTTCTTCCCTGCGCCCTCGCCGCCCTCTCTCCAGGGAGCCGCCGCGGCAGAAGCGGATCGGATCGCGGGACTACAGCGGCCAAGAGCCGCGGCGGAGGGCACGGCCCGAGCCACTGAGCGTCGCGGCTCAGCCGTGCGTGCGCGCCGGGGAAGCCAGACCGGGGCCAAGCCGCAGCTGCGGACACCCCGCGAAGAGCGCAGCCCAGGCGCCCAGAGAAGCCGCAGCCGCCGCCGCCTCCCCGGCAGGTTTCCTGTTCCTTTCTGAAGTTTTCTCTCCAACACCTTTGCTCCTCCTCCTCCTCCTTCCCTCTCCGCTCCCCACTCCGTGTCCACTCCCTGCTCTGCGACCCGCTGCGGCCGTCACAGCCGCCCGGCGGGAGCTGGAAGTGGCCGAGCCCCCTCGGTCCCCTCAGGGGAATTTTTGGACCAGGTGCCGGTGCCCATTGGGCGAGGAGGAGGAGAGGAGCCCTGGAGAGGTGGGGGGGCGGCCAATCAGGGAGCAGCGGCCGGGGGCGGAGCTGGGCCGGGGCGGGGCGACCCTCGGGAGGCCGGGCCACCCGGGAAGCCTCTGCTGCCGCCGCACCGGCCCGCGCGGGGACGCGACGCTGGGCGGCGCTGGAGGGGCGGCGGGGGACCCCGGCGGGGGAGCGGGCGCGTGCGGCCGCCCTGGAGAGGCCGGACCTGGGGCGCGACAGTCGCTGCCTGGGAACTCGAAGAAGCTTGATGGGGGCAGGGAGGGTGAGAGGTGGCGGCCGGGCGAGCGCACTGTAGGACCCGAGCACAATGGAGAGAGCCCCCGAACTGCTGGAGATGAAAAGGTGGAGCCCCAGCGGGGTGGGTAATTTGCTGGCCAAGGAAGAGGTAGGCGTTGAAGTAAAGGAAAAAAATACAAATAAAAAATAAATGCATGATGAAGAAAGTAGAAGAGAGGAAGGAAGAGAGTGAGGGAAGGAGGATGATCTCGATTTCGTTATGTAGTTTGGGTGGTCTTTTTCCTCTTCTTTTCTCAAGTACGCGGCGTTAATGAAACTCGACCCGTCCGCTGATGTCCAGGTGGACGCGAGCCTCCAAGGAGGTAAACGTCACTTGGCCAAGCCAGTTTTTGTAGCCAACCTTCAGCGGTGAGGGCTCAGTGGAGCTGAGCTTTAAGCCTCCGAGGCCGCGCCTCCTGCGCTTCGTTAACTCCAAGCCGAGGTTAACCTTCCACCCCCATCAGCCCAAGGTCCCCGGCTCAAGACAACCCTGGCTTGTTTACGTTTAAAGCTGCTGACTCTTAAAGCTCCAGCCGTTATAAGCAAAACGCAGCTAGACACTTTTCCACGCCTTCTCTGTTGCTTCTGTAGCCCTCTTCTTAGAACATGATTTTAAAAGCCTTTTGCTCTTCCCTTCTAGAAGACACAGTGGAGGCAAACTGTATGGCGGTTTTGATACCAGCCACCTAATTTAAAAGTGCTACATAAGTAATCCCCACAGAGCAAAGTTTGTAGAAAGGCAGAGGAACTTGGGGTGTGCAGAAGCATGTTGTGTCAAATTGTGCAACTGACCAAAATGTAACTTACAGTCAGATGTCTTACATGTCTTACAGTTCAAAGATGGTTTAGATTGAGACTTATAATCACATAATAGAAAATGAAAGAATTAGCCCAGAATTCAAAAGGCCAGGCGCAGCGACTCACGCCTGTAATCCCAGCACTTTGAGAGACTGAGGCGGGAGGATCACTTGGGGTCAGGAGTTCAAGACCAGCTTGGCCAACATGGCGAAACCCCATCTCTACTAAAAATACAAAAATTAGCCGGACGTGGTGGCACAGGCCTATAATCCCAGCTACTCTGGAGGCTGAGGCAGGAGAATTGCTTGAAGCTGGGAGGCAGAGGTTGCAGTGAGCAGAGATGGCGCCACTGCACTCCAACCTGGGCGACAGAGCAAGACTCCGTCTCAAAAAAACAAAAGTTTGTGTTTAAAAAGCCTGCTAGATAGAAGGGAATAGACACTGAATCCAGGAAACACCAGTGCAAAGCCTGTGTGTGTTGAGATAAACTGGACCCAGTCATTGTAATAGCATGCAGCTGACAGATCTCCTTTTATGTGTCCTTCTTTGTAAAAAGTTACTTGACAACTTAGAAATGCCTGTTACATAATCCAGCCCTTCTCTGTCTACACACATTATATCACTGTTGGGGGCCACCAAGACATTGGGCATAGGAGTTATTAAAAAGCTGAGACAGAACAACATAGTGACCCTGGAAATGGAAGTTTCTGTTTATCCAAGAGATCTGTGCATTACATTGTATTGTTCCCCATATTGCACGGCACTACTGTGCTATACATCCAGTGGATGCTCAATTATTGATCAAAGTCATGAATGATCTTTGTTTTAAGTCACAAACTATCTGTGGCCAACACATACAAAATGAGTAGTGGTTGGCCAGGCACGGTGGCTCACGCCTGTAATCCAAGCACTTTGGGAGGCAGAGGTGGGGGGATCACCTGAGCTCAGGAGTTTGAGACCAGCCTGGCCAACATGGTGAAACCCCGTCTCTACTAAAAATACAAAAACGTTAGCTGGGTGTGGTGGTGGGTGCCTGTAATCCCAGCTACTTGGGAGGCTGAGGCAGGAGAATTGCTTGATTCTGGGAGGTGGAAGTTGCAGTGAGCCGAGATCGCGCCATTGCATTCCAGCCTGGGCAACAAGAGCGAAACTCCATCTCGAAAAACAAAACAAAATGAGTAGTGGTTGTTTATGCTAATGAACAGGTGCAAACTTCAAACCGTGTACCCAAATTATTGATCAAAATTGTGAATAATCTTTGTTTCAAGTCACAAACTATCTGCGGACAACACACACAAAATAAGTAGTGGTTGTTTATGCTAATGAACAGGTGCAAACTTCAAACCATGTACCCAAATCCAATGTCTTCCTTCCTCTTCACCCTGTCCCTACCACCCACCACTCAACACCCACAGAGGTATCCAATATAGTCTGGGGACTGGAGCTGGTCACTCTTCTGTGTTGGCATGGCAAAGATGGTTAGCTGGCCACAGAGAGGTGGCCTAAGGGGTGGCCAAGGGATTCATACAAAGTCTTGGGATCACTTTTTATTTGTTTCTCTACCTAGTTCTTCCTTTCTATTATCTCAAATATGTCTCTTTTTCACCTTCTCCTATATCATTGCCCTCTTCTACACAGTTGCCTGTTTCCACCCTTCCAGTCTCTCCCACTTGCTATCCCATAGCAAGCCAGAGCTTTATACTTACAAAGTTGATCTCATCAAAACTGCTCAAACCTCCAATGACAGCTTATTGTCTACAGTAAGGCCTACCTGCTGATGTGAGTGTTAGATGTGAACGTCAGTCACTCTAAATAGACTCTCCTATACTAAGAATATGAGACAGTTTGCCAAACCCTCACTCACCATGTCCTGTATTCCACACCATCCATGATCTGGTCTCCTTCTCCTTTTACAACCTGAGTTTCTGCCCTTCCATTCCTGGTATCCAGGAAAGCCAGACTTTTCACATGTAACCTGGCACTTTTAGTCTCATGTCTTTGAGTGTGATGTTCCCTCTTCCAGAAGTTCCTCTTCTCCCTTCTCCCACCTCTGCATGCCCAAGTTCTCCTTCCCCAGTGGAACTTCCTATATACTGCCAAGGCAAAGTTCTGCCTCCTCCTGAATTCCCATAGCCAGGCCAACTTGCCCCCTAACATTTGTGGGTTTCCATGCCGAGAGTATCAGAGGCCCTTATTACGTAGTCTAAATATTAAAGGTTGCTAATTAACTAATAAACTGTAAAAGGTGGTGTAGTGTAGAGAGAGTTGGCCCACGTTTCCAGCTTCTGTCTCTATACTTGGGGAAATGAATTTATGTATGAGATTCTGGGATCTTGGACACTCAGGACACAGTTTAGAAGCTAGAGGAGGAAGTTCAGGCTTCTGGTGAGCGTGTCCCCTTAATCCAGAAGATCCTGTAAAACTCAGAGCCCAGGTCAGGGACTCAGTTGCCTGGTCTAAGGGCACATACCTTTTAAGGTACCTCTCAACACTTTCCACCTTGCCTTCTTGTTATATCTGTACATCTTGAGTCTTACCAAACTAGAAACATCCTGAAAATGAGAACAGTGTCTAATTCATGTTTTACCCCTCATGGGGACTAGCAGTACCCATTTATGACTTCAATAAATATTTGGTAGATAAATGAAATAATAAATAATTTAGAATTTTTGAATGCTTAAATATGTTTATTACTTTGGATGATGAGAACAGTCCACCAAATGATATTCAAAAAGTCTCCTGTGCTGAGACTATGAGTCACTTCAGCAAAAGCCCAAGTTATCATGCCCTAAAAAACCCATAGGGAGAGATAATAAATAGAGCAGGATGTAATATTTGAAATGTTTACTCCCAAAGGATTGCCTATATTAAAAATAAGGTTTCAGTAACAAGTTCTTCTAGCGGAGATGTTTTCAGGGTAATTTACATTCAGTGTTCACTTGGATATCCTCAGATCAACACTAGAAGTGAAAGGGTTTGCAATCTATTATCTGTCAACTGAGTGTTTTGTGAATCCCTTTTCTTATTCCCTGCCTTGTAATAAATATAATCTTTTTTTGAGATGGAGTTTTGCTCTTTGTTACCGAGGCTGGAGTGCAGTGGCACGATCTCGGCTCACTGCAACCTCTGCCTCCTGGGTTCAAGCAATTCTCCTACCTCAGCCTCCTGAGTAGCTGGGATTACAGGCACCTGCCACCACGCCTGGCTAATTTTTGTATTTTTAGTAGAGATGGGGTTTCATCATGTTGGCCAGGCTGGTCTCGAACTCCTGACCTCAGGTGATTTGCCCACCTCAGCCTCCCAAAGTGCTGGGATTACAGACATGAGCCACTGCGCCTGGCCTAAATATAATTTTTAATAGTAACTGGTTTATTGAGCAGTCTGCTTCATGAGGTGCAAATAAAATATGGGGTTTTAAATCATTCCCTTTCAACAAAGGGAAATGTTCTATCAAATCTACATGTTCTGTCTTTTAATAATATTTCAAGGAGAGCTCTTAGATTTAGAGTCATTGTCATTTTTGGTTATTAAAAATACACACACATGACCGGGTGCGGTGGCTCACGCCTGTAATCCCAGCAATTTGGGAGGCCAAGGCGGGCAGATCACCTGAGGTAGGGAGTTCGAGACCAGCCTGGCCAACATGGTGAAACCCCATCTCTTCTAAAAATACAAAAATTAGCGGGGCCTGGTGGTGCATGCCTGTAATCCCAGCTACTCTGGAGGCTGAGGCACGAGAATCACTTTAACCCACGAGGTGGAGGTCGCAGTGAGCCGAGATCATGCCACTGCACTCCAGCCTGAGTGACAGAGCGAGACTCTGTCTCAAAACACACACACACACACACACACACACACACACACACACACATTCCAGACTTCCTTAGATCAATAGGCCAGCATCAGGGAGGGATGTGGTCTTCTCTTTTACTCCTTCCCTTACATCTTCACATTTTAGCTTCTTGGGTGTTGGGAAGGGAATGCAGGATCAGGATGAAATGAGCAAACATATCATTCTGACCTGGGTTTGCAATTTCAGTCCTCACGACTCCACTGCTCATCTAGTAAACTCTGACTGGTTGCAGAGGCCTTCTTGTCAGGTGGTTGTCAAATAGCAGTTCTATGCTGGGCATGTGGATGAAGATTTTAAAAGCTCTGAAAGACCTCGCAGTGCACAGTTCTTCGAAGTGGGAGAGCTTGCCCCAGCCTGACTTCTTCCCAACCCCTTCAGCTCCACCCCTGACACTATTATCCACAGGCCAACAAACCTCTTGGGTGGGTTCTAGCAAGTCTGGCCTCCTTTTGACCACATGAGATTTAGGCAGGGTCTGCTTCATGGTGTTGCAACCTGTGCAATAGCACAGGGCCCCATGATTGGTTTGATGTTTTGTTGGTGCTATCCTGAAATTCTTGATTATTTTTTAACAAGAGGCCCCACAATTTTATTTTTCACTGAGCCATGAAAATTTATGTAGGTAGTTCTGGATACAGGCATCCTTACCATGCCAAAGACTGGGCATGTAAACGGCTCCACTGATCCCCCTCATTCCATCAATGTTTCTATCAATCTCCAATTCCTTTTTCCCTACTCAGACAGATCAACAAATCTGACATACCAAATCACTTCCAATTAGAACATCCAAGGCCAGGCTCTTGTAGGTGAGAGGTGACAGTGTGCTGGCAGCCCTAGCTCGCTCTCAGCGCCCACTCTGGCTGCGCTTGAGGAGCCCTTCAGCCAGCCGCTGCACTGTGGGAGCCCCTCTCTGGGCTGGCCGAGGCCGGAGCCAGCTCCCTCTGCTTGCTGTGGGGTGTGGAGGGAGAGGCGCGGGCGGCAACCGCGGCTGCAGTGCACTTGTGGGCCAGCTCGAGTTCCGAGTGGGCATGGGCTGGGCGGACCCGCACCCGGAGCAGCCGGCCAGCTCCGGCCCCGGGCAATGAGGGTCTTAGCACCTGGGCCAGCAGCTGCGGAGGGTGCGCCGGGTCCCCCAGCAGTGCCAGCCTGCCAGCTCTGTGCTCGAATTCTCACCGGGCCTCAGCTGCCTCCCTGTGGGGCAGGGCTTGGGACCTGCAGCCCACCATGCCCAAGGAAAAATCTCTGCTACTCCTCACTAGGCCAAAAATGAACAACTCTGCTAATTCACCATAATCAATTTGTATTCAGTGTGGAGAGTTTTGTGAATTTGCTCTCTAATAAATATACATTAGTCACGTATACCTCCTGTTGTGAAATGTTGGACTAAAAATGTGTCCTTAAGGCCTCTGGGTCAAAGCTAAAAGGAAAAAGGTGGGCGGGATAGGGGAGAATGTAACCATCTCAGCCACTATCATCTTAACAGTCATGTGAGACAGATCCTGTGGCCATTTCCCCTATCCCCAGCCACCTTTCCCCCATAGTGTAACAGCCCAATGGGGTTAACCCCACCCCCAACTCCAAGCATGGTTCTTAACTAGGCTAAACCAGTGTTTCTCAAGCTTTAGTACACATAAGAACCGCCTGGAGAACTTGTTAAAACACAAATCCTTGGGCCTTAGCTCCTGAGATTCTGATTTAGCTTGTCTTGGTGGGGACTTACTAACATTCCTGAAGGGGGTGATTGTATGTCGGTAGGGGTTGGGGAGAAGAGGTTGAAACAAACCTTGGCTAGTGGCTCAGAAAATGATCTGTTTTTAATTTTTATTTTGAAATAACCTCAAACTTACAGAAATAATCTCCAATTTACAGAAAAGTTATAAGAATACCTGTGACCTAAATTCAGTAATTTTTATAATTTGCCACATTTGTTTTATCACTGCCTTTACACACGTACGCATGCAATTTATTTTCAGAACCATTTGAGTGTAGGTTGCATACATCATGCCCTATTGCCTTTTAATACTTCATGTATACCTAAGAACAAAGATATAGCCACAGAACAACCATCGAGTTCAGGAAATTTAACTCTGATATACCACTGTCTCAATAGTGTCTTTTACATCATTTTTTTCTTCCAGGACAGAATCCTATTTAGAATTACATATAGCATTCAGTTTTCATGTTTTTTTTGTCTCTTTTAATCTATAACAATTCCTTAGCCACACTTTGGCTTCAGTGACATTGACATTTTTTAAGAATACAAGCCATCTGGCCAGGCACAGTGACTCACGCCTGTAATCCCAGCACTTTGGGAAGTCGAGGCGGGCAGGTCACTGGAGGTCAGGAGTTTGAGATCATCCTGGCCAACATGGTGAATCCCCGTCTCTACTAAAAATACAAAAATTAGCTGGGCGTGGTGGCAGGCACCTGTAGTCCCAGCTACTGAAGAGACTGAGGCAGGAGAATTGCTTGAACCCAGGAGGTGGAGGTTGCAGTGAGCTGAGATCGCGCCACTGCACTCAGCCTGGATGACAGTGCAAGACTCTGTCTCAAAAAAAAAAAAAAAAAACAGAAAAAAAAAACAGAAAAAAGAATACAAGTCATTTACTTATAGGCTGTTCCATAATTGGATTTGTCTTGTATTTCACACTTAGATTTGATGAAGCATTTCTAGCCAGAATACTACAAAAGTGATTTTGTGTTCTTCCCAGGGCACCCTAACCTTAGGCACACGATGTATAGCTATATCTGCTCTTTGTTGACAGTGTCAGTTTTGATCACTCTCAGAGTGTTGTCTAGTGGACAGGAATTTAAGAATAATCCCAAACCAGATCTGTTTTGAAGATGTGGCCCAGAAGAAACAATCTTAGCCTGGGAAAACTCTGGAAATGCAGGCCAATCTCCAGGCAACAAAAAGTCTGACATTCATCTCAAAAATATTGTCTATCACATCTTTTGACCCTTAACCTCTCTGTTTCCAAAGCCAGAGTTTGACATCAATCTACTGTGTTTCCCTACCTGCAGGAGACAAATATAAGCTTTCCATGTGGTGCCTTTGAAGTTCTTCTCACTAGATTAGATCTGAGAGTCAAAGACTTCCCTCCCCATGACTGACACACACACACACGCACACACACATGCATGCACACGTTCTTCTCTCCTGCACTGGGTATGTACGGCGTGAGACGCAACAGAGCAGTAGCTCATTCCAAAACACTCACATCTCCAACAGCCCAACTGTTTCATATCCTTGGTCTGGGAGAAAGATTTTTAAGCATTGTATCCCTTGTGGTCAAATATTTCCTTTCAAAATTTGCATCTTGGTCTTACTGATGGTATTTCGATGCCTCCACTGAAACTCCCAACTTCACATCCCATTAAAATATTCTTCTGAATATTATATATATTCACCATAATCATATGGTGAATATTATATATATATATTATTTGAGGGTCACAGTTCTTAGAAGTATTTACACTACTTGCTGCTGAATCGCTTATGGCTTGATCTGACCCTAATGTCATAATTCTGTAAGGGCTTGGAAATGAAAAAGAGGAGAGGTGTTGTAATTAGAAGTATTTTATGAAGAACTGATACAACTGATACCATTTGGTTCTAAGAACCATGATCAATTAGAGCTGAGAATCATCAAAATATTGAAGAAAAGAGAAAATGGCCCAGTCTCTATAACAGAAAAGAATGGGGAGTTTTAAGAAAAAAATGAGCCAGTCACTGTGGTTCACACCTGTAATTCCAGTTCTCTGGGAGGCCAAAGTAGGCGGATTGCTTGAGCCCAGGAGACCAACCTGGGCTGCATGGCGAAACCCCATCTCCACCAAAAATACAAAAATTAGCCAGGCGTGGTGGTGCATGCCTATAGTCCCAGCTACTCAGGAGGCTGAGGCGTGAACCCGGGAGACAGAGATTGCAGTGAGCCAAAATCACGCCTCTGTGCTCCAGACTGGACGGCAGAGTAAGACCCTGTCTCAAAAAAAAGTATGCATATCTAAAATCTTGCCTACTTCAATTTGCAGTGATTCTTCCCCAAATACAATTTAATGTTCCCATGTAGATGTCAGAAAGCATTTATCAGGCACTTAAATGAATCCCATACCTGTATGCCACAATAGTTAAGGACACAAGTATTGCATAGACCTGGGATGAGTTACTAATTCACAATTTACTCTCTACCAGGCTTTATGCAAATACATAACCTCTGGGGCCTCGTTTTACTTATCTGTAAAATGAGGACAATAATGGTATCTATCTCATGTGGTCTTTGTGAGGTTTAAATTAGAAGTTACATTTAAGGGGCTTGATGTGGTGCCTGGCATAAAGTGCTTAATAACCTTTCATGTTTTTTGTTTTGTTTTGCTGTTTTTTAGAGAGAGGATCTCACTCTGTCATCCAGGCTGAAGTGCAGTGGTGCAGTCATAGCTCACTGCATCCCAGAATTCCAGGGTCAAGCAATCCTTTGGCTTCAGCCTCTCAAGGAGCTAGGACTACAAGGCATAAACCACCACATCCAACTTCAATAAATATTAGCTATTATTATGATTATGATTATCTGTGAGAAAAGCAGCATGAAATGTCATAAGAAAACCAAGCATCAGAGGTGTTTCTGTCTATGCAATAAGACATGCCAGTGACTGAGCCCACACCAGAGCTGTCTCCAGAGCCTCTGGGCCACCAGCTCTGCCATTTACAGATCAATCCCTTCCATCAACTGTAGCGAATTCTTTTTTTGTTGTTTTTTGTTTTTGTTTTTTGTTTTTTGTTTTAAGATGAGTCTTGCTCTGTCGCCTAGGCTGGAGGGTAGTGGTGCCATCTCAGCTCACTGCAACCTCCGCCTCCCAGGTTAAAGTGATTCTCCTGCCTCAGCCTCTGGAATAGCTGGGATTACAGGCCCCCACCACCATACCCAGCTATTTTTTGTATTTTTAGTAGAGACCAGGTATTGCATGTTGGTCAGGCTGGTCTTGCACTCCTGGCCTCAAGTGATCTACCCGCCTCTGCCTCCCAAAGTTCTGGGATTACAAGCATGAGCCACACTGAGCCAGGGCAAAATTCTTGATAATTATTAAATTTTTCTTTTTCAAGGAATTTGAATTTTTTAAAAAATATGTGTAAGAGAAAGAAATCAATTTTTTTAACAGACACGTTTCAGACATCAGGGAAAAGCAAATTTTGAGACAAAAGAAACAAAATGGCTAAATTTCCAGCCTGGTGCTATAAAACCACCCACAATTGTCACATGAGAACTCTGCTTTCCACAAGCTGACAGCTTTTTATCTCTTCAAAGAAGGTAGCGGATAAAACCCACAGAGAAAACTGCCATCTAACACCAGAGAATGCTGCCATGCTTGTGGTTCCTGATTTTTGGGAAGACATAATACTTTGGTTGGGCAAAACCAGGGAGAATAAATCCAGGGAAAACTTCCTGGAGTCCTTTTTCTCACCCCTGTGATTCCCCCAAGTTTACCTTTGTTTTCTCTCATTTATGAATCTAGTTTGAAATGCAGTAATGTGGGTCTACTTTAGTGCATTATTTCGGATGTATACATCCTGATTACCCAACTAATTAGCATCAATTTGTTTAAGGCAAGAACTCTGAGTTGTACTTTTTGTTTCAGAGTGAACACCTAGATGTGAAGGAAGCTGTTTTGTACCTGTTTTTTGTACCTATAGGCACAGTACCACAGTCTACAGTCCTGATTATTTGTAAGAACTCAATATATAAAAAAGAAAGTATAAGAAATCAATGGGAAAGCATGAGATTATACAAGAAATGATGTTATTTACTTACATGGAGAATACTAGTTTAGCAGTTTTAAGCTATCACGTATCTTAAAAATAAATCCAGGGCCAGGTGCAGTGACTCACGCCTGTAACCCCAGCACTTTGGGAGGCCAAGGTGGAAGGATCACTTGAGGTCAGGAGTTTGAGACCAGTCTAGGCAACATAGCCAGACCCCATCTTAAAAAAAAAAAAATTTAATTTAAAAAATTTTAAAAACTACATCCATAGTCCCAGTTACTCAGAGGCTGAGACAGGAAGATCTCTTTAGCTCAGGAGTTTGAGGCTTCAGTGAGACATGATGGTGCCACTGCACTCCAGCCTGGGTGACACAGTGAGACCTTGTCTCAAAAATAAATTAATTAATTTTATATTTAATGACTTAATGTATTCATCTGAATTCAAAATTCACCAAAATAAAGGGAATTGAATATTTACCATCTTAAGAACAGGGGATACCTATGCTTAGAAATACATATGCATTAATATAAAAACATAAAGCAAATTATGAAGTAAGTTTAATTCTTACAACTTTAAATTTTTATGTAAAAATTCTAACACCAGTAAGGGAAGGGGAAAGGGTGAGTGAAGGGAACAAAAAGCGATATAAATGTGTTTACTACCACTGAACTGCATACTTAAAATGGTAAAGATGGTAAATTATATATGTATTTTTTCTTCTATTTTTAAAATGTAACAAAAAACTCAACTGAAAGTAAAACAACAAAGTGGGAATAGTTTGCAACAAATATTATAGGCAAAAGGTTGGTTATAGGCAAAAAAATAAAAGTAATATAATAGTGAGATATCATTTCTCATGCATTAGATTAGCAAAATAAAAGTTTTTAGTTATTGTAACCAATGCTGTTAGTCAAACAGCCAATATCATATTTTGTACAACCATTTTAATGGCAATGTGGACATATGGAATATAACCTAAAGAAATAATCCTATGTATGAAAAGTGCTTTATTCACAATTATGTTTATCATAGTAATAATAATAAGCATGGAGAAGAAAATAAATATTGAACAGTAGCAAATTAGTGATTACACTGTAGCAGCTGCCAGGGAGTATAGTAAGCAATTCTTACTAAGAATATGTAATAATATGTAAAATGATTTATATGATGACTTTATTTTTATTTTTTTATTTTTTTTTATTTTTTTGAAACGAAGTTTTGCTCGTCGCCCCGGCTGGAGTGCAGTGGCACGGTCTTGACTCACTGCAACCTCCGCCCCCTGGAGGCCACAATTTCTCCATTCCCAGTTGTCCGGGATATTTTCTCCTAGAGTTGTTCCATAATTGCCTGTGTCTCTGATACTAGGGATTCTTAATATATGTCATATACTCAGCCTCCTGAGTAGCTGGGATTACAGGCACCCACCACCACGCCCAGCTAATTTTTGTATTTTTAGTAGAGACAGACAGGGTTTCACGTTAGCCAGGCTGGTCTCGAGCTCCTGACCTCAGGTGATCCACCCACCTCAGCCTCCCAAAGTGCTGGGATTAAAGGTGTGAGCCATCTCGCCCTGCCTATATGATGACTTTAAAAGCAAGATTGAATCACTAGGGAAAAAACAATAATCAACAAAAAATACTACTATAATAAAACTATGGTAATTTTTTCTCCTTTCTTCTTTTAGAGAGGATCTATTTTTTAAAGAAAAATATAAACTGTTCCACAATAAATGGCATTTGCTTTTAAGAAAAAAAAATTCCCCCCAAAATTATAAGGAAGGCTTTTTCCAGCAAAATCTGATAATGGCACAGTAGAGTGAGGGCAGAGCAGTAAAAGAGGGAATCATTAGTTTCCGCTGCGCAGAAGACATGATGGGAAATTCCCTCTCGGTGTTTTAATTGATCTTTTCCTATAGGTGCATATTTTTAAGAAAATGATTATCATGTTCTTTGTAATGAAATCATAAGGACAGCACATACAGCTTCGTGGCGTTTTAGCAATTCATTTTTCCTGGGCCAGTATCTCCTGGCATCTTTCAGAATATCTCAGAGGAAAAAAGTACATGTGGAAATTCAAGAAGCCAGTAGAATTTGAATCCACCCTTCCTGGCAGAAACAGATTTCTGAAGATTGGAATGTAGTTCTCCATGACAACCTTATCAGTGTCTGGTGTCTGCTTATTTCTGAGTACCATGTTCCAGGAAAGTGTTGCAACTAAACTTGTTACCATTTTTGCGGTAGCTATGAGCTCCCGGCTAAGCACAGATGTGGCCTCGCTCACCGTTACAATCTCTGCTTATCAAACTGGAGCAGGCTTTGCATTGAATAAAGCTTGCAATAAATGATACAGAGACACTGACAGAGAGGTAAGATGCTAAACTCTTTTCAATAGGAGCTTTTTAGAGATAAGTCAAATATATGGACCTAAACTTAGCTCCCCAAGCTCTTCCAAATCAGCTTCCATCTACTCTGAAGAATGTTCTAAGACAGGTGTGAATCTAATCCAGTATTTTTCCATTGAAATAGGTTTACACTAGAGAAAACTCGAAATTTTTTTCAAATAGTACGAATATACCCATCACAGCTGCTTCACACGGACTTTCATTTCCCTGAAATGATAGACACCTGCTCCATACGTCACTTCCTACCCATATTTGTATGTAAACTGAGATAACAGGACACCAGGTTTTGAATATGTGCTCACTTCCTTGAGACTATTTAAGCATCTGTATTGTGGAATTTCTGAAAGAAAGTGTAAATGGCAATGTGTGGAACTAAAGGGTAGGCAGGTAGATTAAGCAGTAGATTAAGCCAGCAGTAACTGTTCTGTTTGCTTCCGAAAAGCATGCTATTTTACCCACAGGCCACAGTTTCTCCATTCCCAGTTGTCCAGGATATTTTCTCCTAGAGTTGTTCCATAATTGCCTATGTCTCTGATACTAAGGATTCTTAATATATGTCATTCCTCCAACACACAGGCATACACACATCCATATAAAGTTCTATTATATTGGTTTTTCAGCAACTATATTAAAAATCTACATTGGGCCGGACGCGGTGGCTCACGCCTGTAATCCCAGCACTTTGGGAGGCCGAGGCGGGCGGATCACGAGGTCATGAGATCGAGACCATCGTGGCTAACACGGTGAAACCCTGTCTCTACTAAAAATAATAAAAAAAAAAATTAGCCGGGTGCAGTGGTGGGCGCCTGCAGTCCCAGCTACTCGGGAGACTGAGGCAGGAGAATGGCGTGAACGTGGGAGGCGGAGCTTGCAGTGAGCCGAGATAGCGCCACTGCAGTCAGGCCTGGGCGAAAGAGCGAGACTCTGTCTCAAAAAAAAAAAAAAAAAATTCTATATTAACTTTACTTTCACTCTTAAAGTTTAAAATTATCATCTGGTTGTTAGTCATTAGTATTTTCTTCTAACTTGATGTTTATCTAACTTTTTTTTTTCCTTATAGATTTTCTTCTTGTCAGCCTATTCTTCGACCAAAGATGAATATTTTGGGAGAGAGATCTCTTTCTCTCTACTCTCACCCTGCTAAGACACATCCCATCAATCCAAACAGCATCAGTCATCAGGCACCATTCATGGTTTTGGTTTGTTTTTTGTTTTTAAAAACAAGGTCTCACTCTGTTGCCCAGGCTGGAATGCAGTGGCCCAATCACAGTTCACTGCAGCCTTGAATTCCTGCGCTCAAGCGATCCTGTGCCTCAGCCTCCTGAGTAGCTGGGACTACGGGTGCACACCACTATTCCCAGCCATCGTGGTTGTTTCTATTGGGTTGGTGCAAAAGTTACTTTTAATAGCAAAACTGCAATAACTTTTGCACTAACCTAATAATATAGCTTTTGTCTAAGTCAGTGTTGCATTAGATGCTTTCACCTTAGTCCACTTTTTCTTTTTTTCTTTTCTTTTTTTTTTTTTTTTGAGACAGGGTCTCCCTCTGTTGCCAAGGCTGGTGTGATCAAGACTCACTGCAGTCTCAACCTCCTGGGCTCAAGCAATTCTCCTACCTCAGCTTCCTAAATAGCTGGGAACACGAGCATAACACCACCACACCCGACTAACTTTGTTTATTTTTTGTAGAGGCAGGGTCTCACCATGTTGCCCAGGCTGGTCTCAAGCTCCTGGGCTTGAGCAATCCTCCCACCTCAGCCTCCCAAAATGCTGGTACTATAAATGTAAGCCACCACGTCCAGCCTCCACTTCTTAATATTCACCCGTTTCTTCCCCCACACTAATAAAAATATCAGCTTTCATTTTTCTCTAAACTGGTGTGCACCATGACTGGGTCAACTTGTAGCCAATCAGGTACAGGATTTGGGGGGGAAAAAACTATGTTATCATCTGACAATGTTCTATTCATAAAGCAAGCAGATATGAACATTTTAATGCTTTAAAATGTAACTGGTCTGTGGTGGCTTACATCTGTAATCCCAAGCCTTGGGCAACATAGTGAAACCTTGTCTTTACAAAAAATAAACAAAATAAGCTTGGCATGGTGTTGCGCACCTATAGTCCCAGCTATTCAGGAGATCGCACCGCTGCACTCCAGCGTGAGGGATACAGCCAAACCCTGTCTCAAAAATAAATTGAATAATTAGTACCTGTTTATTGAAAGTTAATGGGATATACTGGCAGTCATTTTACTCATGCAGCAAATATTTATTGAGCAACTACTGTGTGGCAATCATTATGTTAAGTGGTAGTTATACATGATCCTGCAAGGAGTTGGACTTAACTATCCCTTATAAAACATCAGACCATTTTTGTAAGCCATGTAGAATGGTCTAAGGGGAAAAGGAAAAATTAATATTAATTTTTTATGAATTACACAGTCCAGTTACATCTTGTTTGATGATTGACATCTAAAATCAGAATTAAAGTAAAAACTGAATTAACTAAAGAACAAAACTTTTTTATTTTTTTTGAGAGTCTCACTTTTCATACAGGCTAGCATGCAGTGGTGCCATCACGGCTCACTGCAGCCTCAACATCCCTGGCTCAAGTGATCTTCCCACCACAGCCTCCTGAGTAGCTGGGACCACAGGTGTGCACCACCATGCCTGGCTATTTTTTTTATATATTTTGTAGAGACGGAGTCTAATTATGTTGCCCAGGCTGAAAAAATTACCTTTTAAGCATTAGAATCTCATCAAGAACCGTCAGGTACTCACACTCCCAAAGGCATGGTGCCTACTGAGACAAAATAGCAAATGAACAACTCCCTTCTCATGTTCTTTCCAGGAGCTAACCCTAGTGAGAAGCAGGCAAAATCTCCTCCACTACTAAAATGGTTATTTTCCTCTTTATTTTCTAAACAAAATGTTAAGCCGAATTAAACTGGACTGTGCTTCAACTTCACAATAAAAATTAAGCCCCTGAATTTCTTGAGCTGCCACATTCCAGTAACAGGGAGATATGGTCATATATGTTGTTAAAAAGCACGTGGTGGGGTGGAGGAAATAAGAGTTTAGAAAACCAATACTCTGAGGGGGAAAAAAAAGAATCAAACCATACATGGTCATTTATAAACAATAAGTATAATGACACACGTCCTCCAAGTCATACATGCCAAAAAAAACCCTCAAAACGTAATATTTTAAGAAAATTATTAATTGTAGAGACTATCAATTACAGAAAAGGTAGGTGAGTTATTTGTATTAAATAGAAGAATGTTAAATATTTTCAATCACAAAATATATTAACAGCCTGGGCAACATAGCAAGACCCTGTCTCTACAAAAAATTTTCTTTCAATTAGACAGGCATGGTGGCGTGTGCCTGTAGTCCCAGCTACTCAGGGGGCAGGGGCAGAAGGATTGCTTGAGCCCAGGTGTTTGAGGCTGCAGTGGGCTTTGATGGGACCAGGCACCACTGCACTCCAGACTGGGTGCTGACAGAGCAAGATCCTCTCTCCAAAATATATATATGTATATATATATATATATATTAGCTCAACAAAATAGCTAAGCAATAAGGTTCAGCATTTCTGTAAACAGTATTTTCTACTTATAAAAGCCAATTTTTTTATTATCTGTTTTCATTATTCATCCCAAATTGAAATAGATGCATAGTGTTTGCTTCGTGTGTGTGAACATCTTATAATCGAATATTATTTTGGAAGTGTATTTTTAATATAATGACACTTGCAAATGTGTTTTATGACTTCTAAAGAAGGCAAAATTATGAATTTCTAAAAAGTTTTACAGACTTAAAATTTGCATATTAATTTTAATCAGATATATGGTATATTTTGGGTTCATGTCATATTTGCAAAAATTGCCGTTGAGGGTACACAGTTGGTCTTATGCCTTTTTAAAGTTAGTCTGTAGTAATGTGGATAATAAAGAAATGTTTGCAAAGCCAAACCAAAGCAGAAAATTGTAGTAATTATCAAATCAGCATATGTCACTTATCATCAACTACCTATTGTTCATTGGCAATGTTCAACTCACCTGCACTCATTGAAGCCCAGCAAGGAAAAAAACCTCCGTATCACAATCCCTTCTCAATAACATGGTCTATGTATAAAGACACAGACTTGTGTAAATATTAATATTAAACATAAATTCTAATAACAAAATTATCAGCCTAACCTAATAAGGACTGCTTAGAACAACTTTGCCACTTATCACATATTTTAATAATTTTTAGAATTTTCAGAATTACTTTCGTACTCAGTTGAACTGTACTCAAATAGGTACAGTGAAGAAAGGGGGGAAATGCTGTCATTATAGGTCTGAAAATAAGAAGGATAAGAGTAAATGCAAGCAAGACTGAGAGGTATATAATTAAATTACTAGAATTTGTTTCTTTGGTGACATTTCTGGGCAAAGAAAATAAAGAGTATTTTCTCAATTATTATCAATCTCCTAATTTGTAATGAAAAACACCCTAAGAGCTTCCAGCTGTGTACTTAGCTTGTCCACCATTGGATTTTTTATCTTCATTCTGAGTTAACAGAGGAATTTCTCAAATTGGACTTTATTAGCAGAAAATGTAACTGTTCTCTATGTGGGACAATGCCAAAGTTTATATTGCCAAATTCCATGTAATCTAGAGGAAATTACCATGTAAATTTGCAACAAATTATGTTTAAAGATCAAATCTATATTCCTGGAAGACATTCTGTAATGTCACCATTAACTTTAAAATGAAAATTCTTGTATGTCACTATAACACTTGACTATTCCAGACGAACAGGAAATTCCTTATTCATCGGTTTGTTCAACATACTGCATAGTCCAAGATGTATTATAGGAGTAGAGGGTGTGCCTGAGAGAAGTGAAAGGAATCAATGATCATGAACTTTATATTACTCAATCCTAGTATGAGAACTGACTGAATGAACAAAATTAATTATCTTTAATGTCCCTAAAATAGCAATAATAAGGTGACTATTTCTATAGATAACCTTCAGTTAATATTTTTAAATTATTTAAGATTTTGTAGGTAAATGAAAACACTTAGTTTTGTGGATGTTTCTGTTGGTGTTTACTAACAATGCAAAACAAGGTGGAGAACTGAAGCAGCTCTCTGGATGATTCATGCCCTATGAAATAGCCAATTTCTTGAGTTTAAGCTTAGGTATGTGCTTTCCTTTCTATTTTGTTGTTTTGTTTGAACTCAATTTTCCTATTGATTTTGCAAACAGGACACTCCCAGACTTGGTAACATCTCCACACCTAGATGAATATCATCTTTTTCCCAATGTGGAAATGAAAAAACTAAGGACCAAACAAATTGGGTGACTCATCCATAAATCAGAAATTAAATCATAATTTTCTTTTTCAAATCTATCTTTTCATTGTTAATCCTAATTGTAGTAACTATGCCTAATTTTTAAATAATGTACAAATAAATCATGCTTTAGTAGAAAAATAGAAAATAAAGATTAATTAGAGGGAAAAAACTCCCATTTATCCTTCCAGAGATAAGTGCTCTAATCATCACGGTGTACTCTTTTAGCATTTATTATTATTATTATTATTTGAGACGGAGTCTCGCTCTGTTGCCCAGGCTGGAGTGCAGTGGTGTGATCTTGGCTCACTGCAACCTCCATCTCCCGGGTTCAAGTGATTCTCCTACATCAGCCTCCTGAGTAGCTGGGACAACAGGTGTGTGCCACCACACTTGGCTAACTTTTGTATTTTTAGTAGAGATGGGGTTTCACTATATTGGCAAGGCTGGTCTTGAACTCCTGACCTCAAGTGGCCCACCTGCCTCAGCTTTTCAAAGTGCTGGATTTACAGGCATGAGCCACTGCGCCTGGCCCCTTTTAGCATTTGTTATTTATGTATATTTATACAGATAATATATTTTATAAAAATGGGACAATCCTAGATAATATCTATTCCTTAGTGAGAAAAGCTGGTTTCCAAATGGAATTTGGAATATCTAAGCAATAGATATTTCCATTATGAATACATTTTATGTGCTTTGTTTTTCAAATGCTTACTTCAATTATAAGGAATTTAAAGATAGTTCAATCTATATTAATACTTTCCAATTAATTTTAGAAATTTAGTTATTATTAGCAATTAAAATTTATTGAGATGACCACATATTTGAAACTGTTGCCATCACTATCAGCAAATACCCTTATGAAAGTATTTTTTGCTCTGATTTTTAAATGTGTAACAGGTATCGTATTCATTTTGCAAGTATTAAATGGAGCCATTTTATACCTCCCAACCCCTTAAATCAGGTTTCTACCTCAGATATCAAGCCTGCAGGCTTATTGTACAATGGCTAGAATGGACTTTTGGGGGCTTCTTGATCAAGACAGTAAGCTAGAAATCCAGGCTGGTGGCAAAAGAATTTACTAAATTCTTTGTCTCCCACTTAACAAAGACCATCTGCCACAGGGTAGGGAAGGTGCCTTTGGTGCCATTAATGCACTCAGCACTGCGGCTAAAGTGAAAGGTAGGAAAATGTGATACAGGAGAAATGAAGACATGCTGCATTTGATAGAGTCTAAGACAGCATTGATTACAAGGTGCACCACCATACCACCAAGAAAGAAAAACATTCTGCTAATTAAACTAGAACATGACAGGAATTCTAAGACCCCATTTCAAAGATGTGAAAATATGGAGGGGGTTGGAGAGTGCATCTTAGAATGCATGAAATAGAGTAAAAGAAAGGACAAGAGAGGAAGCAAGGAGGCCAAGTGCGATGCTCTGACCTGCTCACGCTGGGTCTTTAAAGCTCAGCTGAGGCCCATGCTGGGGACAGGGGTCTTGCCCTGCTTCCAGTAGGGTTTGGAGGGGAGGCTGCCTCTTGGGCACTCCTCACACTAATGCGGACAAGTGGGGTGCCATGTCAGAGAAAAAGCTGTGACTCGGTGTAATGGGGCAGAAAGGGAGGTTAAAGCCAGGTCCCCAGGTTTACCTCTACTCCTATATGGTTCAGATAGGAGCCAAAGTGCTGGTCCCGAGAGTGAGAATGTGAAGGCACATGAACTGAGACCCAGTGGGGTTGCCGCAGGGCCACTGCAGCAAATCCCTCCCAATTCTGTGGCAAAGGGTGAGATGATCCCATCATCCACTGGGCCAGGGGCCAGATAGAGAACAGGGCAGAAACTCAGAAAGGACCACAATGAGCAAGGTACTGCCAAGTCAGTCAAGGAGAACCACTGGGCTCCATCAAACTGAGAAAGTGACCCAGACATAGGTTAAACCTCTGGTGGACCTCAGCCAGGAGTGCCAACAGAACGGGCAGCAACCTGACAAGAGACATTGCGCCAGAGAGGCCTGAGCACAGAACGAGGACATCACGTGGACCTCGGAACCCCAGCCCCCCACAGCCACAAGGTCACAAAACCACATACCGCCAGGTGAAATCTGAAAGATCACACATTTTCTTCAAAAGAGAGTAGACATTTACCTCAAGAGATTGTTTACATTTTTTGTCACTGGATCAAATTTTAAAGAAGTGACTGAAGTGGCCGTTTCCTGGCCATCCAGCAGGTGGAGCCGTGCGTTGATCAGATCAGCAGCAGACAGTGAGGTTTTAGACAAATGAAGGAACTACATTTCCTCTATGCTTCTGACTTGCAGAGCCGGGAAATATGTAACCCAACATAAAAGTACAACTTTTCTTCTAATTAGTCAATGTATGGTATTTGATTATGTCAAGCCACTGTTTCTAACCACATGCAGAGAAATAAATAAAAAATATTCTCCAGGAACTTTCCTTGATCTCTCCAACCAGAAGCAACCCCTTCCCCTTCTGAATGTTCCTAGCACACAGGCTCTCAAAGTGTGGTTCCTGGACCATCATCAGAGCGTCAGCTGGGAATATGTTAGAAATGCAAATTATCAGATCCCATCCCAGAACTACTGTAGCAGAAACTCTGAGGGGTGAGGCCCAGCAATACATATTTTAACAAACCATTTAACAAGTATTCTGAGAGCACTTTGTACTATTCTATGAGATCTATTACATTCTAGCATTATTTTTTTTTTTTAGTTTTACTGCCCTGTGGCTCCCAGGTTTGAATATTTGATGTAATCAGACTATAAATATACATTGTTCATCCTTGCCACAGTTACCTATGGACCCCTGAATCATCCTCAATTCCTTGCAGATTTAGCTCCTAGCTAACTGTTACTCTTGCCAACACGTTTCTGGTCACAACTCATAATACTTTCAATATCTATATAAATGACCTACCTGGTCTTTCGCTTAATCCCAATTCCTCCTCTCTGCTTTAGCCCGTCACTCTATAAGCATGTGGTTGATCCATCATTACCAATTACCAATAGTTACAACCCATAATATATATTTTCCCCTCTCTTCTTTCTTTCTCTTTCTTTCTTTTCTTCTCTTTTCTTTCTTTCTTTCTTTTCTTTTTCCTTCCTTCCTTCCCTCCCTTCCTTCCTTCCTTTCTTTTTGTGAGACAGGGGCTCACTCTCTCATCCAGGCTGGAGTACAGTGGCACTATCACAGCTCACTGCAGCCTCCTCTTTCTGAGTTCAGGTGATCCTCTCACCTCAGACTCCCAAGTAGCTGGGACCACAGGTGCACTCCACCATGCCTGGCTAATTTTTTTCTAATTTTTTGTAGAGATGAAGTGTACATGTATTGCCCAGGTGGTCTTGAGTTCCCAGGTTCAAGCCATCCACCCACCTCAGCTTCCCAAAGTGCCAGAATTACAGGCATGAGCCATTGCACCTGGCCCAATATCATTTTCAAGCAGCTTACTCCCTTACTAGCATCTACATCCTATCTTTCTACTTGCACCCCCTAAATACCCTAACTCCAGCAGCCTTCAACCCCATAATCCCATTGATTCACCACTATTACGTGGTAACCAGCCTCTCACATGCCCTATTTTCCCTTCTAACTCAGTTGGATTACAGTTAATTATTACAATCATTCCCATGCACTATCTTCAACTCTCTTTGTCCTTTTCTTCTTTGTATTATTCACCTGATAAACTCCAACCCTGGTTAAATCCAATGTTCAGCCTACTCTATTCCTGCACCCCCAACTCATATGACTAGAGAAAAATGTGAAACCACACTGGCCAGTCTCATTCTGAATTCATAACTACTGAACCTCAAGTGAGTGTGGGAGTCATAATACATTCTCTTAATCCATTCTTTCTGTTAGATGACTACTTCATGCCTTCTCCCTCCCCTCCTCAAATGCCAACACCTTCTCCCCAATCCTTACTCTCAACCTGCTGATAGTCTTGCTTCCTGTTTCAAGGAAAAAATAGAAGCAATCAAAACGGAATTTCCACAAGCACCTGCCAATGCATCTGTGCCATTTTCTATGCCTCTCATCCTGCTGTTATGAACTCACCCCAACCCCAGCTAATCCCCTTACAGAAAATCTCTCACAAAGAACTGTGTATATTTACTGTCTCTAGTTTTTCCCCTCCCATTTTCTTTTAAACTCTGTGGCTCTGCCCCATTAATCCACTGAAGCTGCTCTTGTCAAGGTCACCTGTGACTTTCATGATGCTAAAGGAATGATCAGTTATTTATGTGTCTTCATCTTACTTGACCTACTGGCAGCATTTTGTACAGCTGATGGCTCCCTCCTCTTTGATACATTTTCTTGGCTTCCACGGACACCACACTTACTGGTTTTCCTTGTACTGCACTACTTCTCAGTCTCTTTTGCTAGTTCTTTTTTTATATTTTCAACATTTAAACAATAGAGTGCCCCAGGGCTCAGACATTGGACCTCTCTCTTCTCAGTCTACCTTCACTCACAAATTTTCCACTCCAACTTGAACCCCAAAGTCTATATCCAACTGCCTAGACATCTGTACTTGTTTGTCTAATGGACACCTTGCAGGCCTACTGCTCAGCAACATATGACACAAGATTGCTTTGTCTGCTGTGTGAAGAAGGGACCCCAAAAGAACAAGAATTAATGTAGGTGCACAAGTGAGAAGGCTAATGTAGTAGTCTAGGCAAGAAATAATATTGGTATGAATGCCTGTGGTGGTAGAAAAAGAAGTTGACTTGCTTAAAATTAGGTGGAATCAAAAGATTTAATGATGGATTGGATGGAGGTGGGAAGGAAGAGAAAAAATCAAAGATGGCTTCCAGCATATGGGTTGGACAATGGGGAAAATGATAGGGCTACTAAATGAGGTGTGGAAAACAGGAGGGAAATAGGTTTGGCTCTTCTCGGAAGAGTCGGAAGATAAAAGTCCAGTTTTGAACGACTGAAGTTCCAGATGCTTGACACATCCAATTGGTAATGTTTGTAAATTAACTGGGATATATAGAACTGAAACTCACTAGACAGGATGAGATTAAAAATATAAAACTGTATCAAATGCTACTGAGCAATAAATTAAGATAAGAACTGAAAAGTGTCCTTTGAATTAGGCAATTTGGAGGTCACTAATGAGCTTGCCAAGAACAGTTTTGGTGAAGTCCTTGGAAATGGAAGAGGATCCAGAGAGCAAATGATGGGACTGACCCTTCAAGAAGGAGGGACACTTCTTTCATTAAAATAGAAGGAGCAGGAAGATGATAGGTGCAGAAGTGGGAATGTTCACAGGATTGCTGTGGAAAATATCTGAGCGCTCAGTCTAATGCCTTTTGTTCGCAATGAACTAGGACAAAGCAAAGGGAACAGTAAGAGAAAGTGGTAGGGTTAAGAAAGAGAGGGAAATGTGCAAAATAACCAAAAAGAGTGAGAGGAAAATTCTTATTTGTAAAATAGAAAGTGAGTAGATTGACAACTTCCTCGGAAAGTAACACTTGCTATGAGAAGGTG
This sequence comes from Homo sapiens, assembly GCF_000001405.40. Classification (NCBI taxonomy): domain Eukaryota; kingdom Metazoa; phylum Chordata; class Mammalia; order Primates; family Hominidae; genus Homo; species Homo sapiens. The sequence continues at coordinate 26,857,230 of NC_000012.12, forward strand.
TTAAGATGTTTTTGGAATAATAACGTTCATATTTCTGTATTCAAAATAAAAGAATTCACATAAAGTTTAGGCATGAAGGAAATCACAGACTGTGTAAATAAAATTAATGTGAACTTTTATCTTGAAATCATAAGACTTTAGATTTAGTGCCCTGAAACAAATAGCTACCTATTGCCTGTGATAAAGACAATAAGGAAAAAAAATTAATCAGCAGGAATTCTGTTAGTTTGTCACTTAAGCAAAACCATTTCCTTTCTTTGAAATCCATCTGGAAATGTTCACAGGGCAAGGAGTTTGCTGCAAACTCAAGGTACAAACACTCATTATAGGACAAACAGAGGAAGTTATTCCATCGTAAAACTGTCAGTCGTCAAAACAGCCCATTCAGCCCATTACAAAGGCCTTATCTGCTGCCTGGCTCTGCTGCTCTGGTTGTTTCTCTTGCCTTCCCTGAAGCAGGAACATTTAGTCATTAGAATCACAAAACCTGAAATGTGGGAGGGGTATTGACCTTGATCTGGCTTAGTACTCTCCATGTGTTTTCACTTTTTAAAAATAAATCACAAGGAGTCTGTGCAGAGTCTCCAGTGACAGAGAACTCAATAGCTGTCAAGAGAACCCATTGCAGGTTGGACGGCACTTTCTTCCATTCCGCTGAAATCATCTGCCTGCTGTTTCCAGCAATTCCGGATTTACCCCCATCAAAATTTGTCACAACAAAGCTAATGTTTATTCCATATGCTCACCCTTCAAAGAAAGAAGGTAGCTATCATACACTTACGCAACTTTTTTCTCCAGTGCACATCTCAACTTCCTTTCTTTTCACCTTCTTATGTCCTTTTATAATATTTCTCTGATTGTATCTCAGTATGATTATAATTTAAAGTGTAGTGCCCAGAGCTGAAGATAATTATCTCAGTATTCTCTGATAAGGAAGGGTAGAGTGAAATTATAATCTCTTATTTGAGTATTATATTTATATATATATATAATTTGAGTACTGTATTTGTATATGTAATATTTATTACATATAATATATACTATATGTTATAAAAATATTATGTTATATAAATATGTTGTATTTATTATAAATATATGTTATATAAATATATTTATTGTTTGCTATATTATTTATTACATATTATCAAAATAATATTTCATTGAAAATATCAATGCATTTAATGATTCCACAACTTTCATGGCAATCACACTATTGACTCACTATAGTAGGCTGAATAATGGTTCCCCAAAGGACCATTATTAAGGTCCACGTCTTAATCCCTAGAGCCTGTGAATATGTTGACTTACATGGCAAAAAAAGACCTCGCAGATGTGGTTAAATCAAGTATCTTGAGAAGGGGAAATTATCCTGGATTATCTAGGTGGGTCAATATAATCACAAGGATTCTTACAAGAAGGAGGCAAGAAGGTCAGAGTCAGAGAAGGACATGTGACCATCGAAGTGGTCACTGAAGTAATGCAGGACCATGGGCCAAGGAATGTGAGCAGTCTCTAGAATTTGGAAAAGGCAAGGAAACCAGTTCTCCCCAGAGCCTCCAGAGGGAACGCAGCCCTGCTGGCCCATTTAGCCTCTGACCTCCAGGACTGTCAGAGAATAAATTTATGTTCCTTTAAGCCACTAAGGGTGTGGTTATTTGTTACAGCAGAAATAAGAAGCTAATACACTCATATTTAGCTAAAGTTGCAAAGTCTTACTTACATATATTGTAGTTAAACTACATATTACATGTATATAGTTGATTTTCTGGACATAAGAACAAAATCTTAATGATTATTCTCATTAATTTTATTTTGCTTGCTTCATCTCACCCTTCAGTTACGAAGAATTAATTTAAAACTGCTTCTGATATCCAACTGTGCACAGTCCTTTGGTCTTCATGGAATCTTCCGATATTTTTATAAGCGTGTCTTCCTGTGTAATTAATTAAATCATCAAATTGTTGAATAGGGGAGGACAAAGGGAAAAACCAAGAAACCCTCTTGGTTTGGGGAACCATCATTTATTCGTGATCTTATATTTCATTTAGTCTATATTTTTCAATTTTTCTTTTTTTTTTTTTTTTGGAGACAGAGTCTGGCTCTGTTGTCCAGGCTGGAGTGCAGTGATGTGGTCTCAGCTCACTGAAACCTCCGCTTCCCAGGCTCAAGCAATTTTCCTACCTCAGCCTCCTGAGTAGCTGGGACTTACAGGCACATGGCACCATGCCTGGCTAATTTTTGTATTTTTAGTAGAGATGAGGTTTCACCATGTTGGTCAGGCTGGTCTCAAACTCCTGACCTCAGGTGATCCTCTCGTCTTGCCCTCCCAAAGTGCTGGGATTACAGGCGTAAGCCACCGCACCAGCCTATATTTTTCAATTATATCCAAAAGAATATCATAAGACTTTCACAAAATGCCTTGAACTAGTCCACACTTTCCAGGTAGTAACTCCCTCAAAGAAGGGAATGAAATTAATACAATGAACTTGCTCTTTGTTAATCTGTGCTGGTTTCTGATGATCACAGCTTTCTTTTCTAGTCATTCATAAACCATTACTTTACTAATCTGATCTAGAAACTTGCACAGGACCAATAATGGATTCATAGGCTTCAGTTTGATGAGTATAAATAATTTTTTTCTTATAAAAAACAGAATGATTACATAATATTCAGGAGCTATTAGAATATGTGTATATTGTTTATCCTTGTTAAAAATTATGTTAAGGCAGGGCATGGTGGCTCATGCCTGTAATCTCAGAACTTTGGGTAGCTGAGGCAGGTGGATCACTTGAGCCCAGGAGTTTAATACCAGCCTGGGCTACACGGCAAAACCCATCTCTACAAAGAATGCAAAAATTAGCCAGGCGTGGTGGCAAGTGCCTGTGGCCCCAGTTACCCAGGAGGCTGAGGTTGGATGTGCCTAAACCTGGGAGGCAGAGGTTGCAGGGAGCCAAGATTGTGCCACTGCATTCTAGCTTGGGTGACAGAGCAAGATTTCATCTCAAAAATTACTTAATGAATTAATTAAAATTATATTAAAACTAATTTTAATCTACCTTCTCTTCTCTTGAAGATTTTCTAGAATACTAGCGTACTAATAATGATCTTAGAAAACAACAATTCCCAACGTAGTATCCAAGTACTTTCTTAATCAACTTTTCCTTTTTCTGAGACTGGAAGGAAATCAAGTAAAGAATTTCTATAATAGTGGAAAAACAGTGATGTTCTATGTCATATTTGACTTATGTTCTAGAATAAGAATCAGACAGACTTTTATTAAATCTGTCAAAGAATTAATGTTTAAACCTCCAATCTATATCAACAGTTGAAGATAATAAAACAATAACGGATAACATGTATCAGTACCTACTATATGTATGTAGTAACTATTTAGTCACTCAATCCTTACAAAAGCCATAAGAGGTAGATACTATTGCTATCCCCATTTGACAGACTCAGAAACTGAGGTCTTAGATGGTTTACTAACTTGCTAGTATAACTAGTTAGGTGCAGAGGCAGAACTTAAACCTAAATAATAAAAAAATCGAAGCTGTCTGATGTGTCACGCTGTGCTGTAAACTACTATTCTGACTAAACTTTTTAAAATTAACTTTTCATTTTGAAAAATTTCAAACATACAGAAAAGTAGAGGCAGGAGTACAATGAATATTCTTTTACCCATTTTCTATATTTAAAAATTGTTAACATTTTAGCAATTTTGACTCATCTTTTAAAACTTTGATTTTTCAATCAACATACAATAAAACTCATATTTTTGGTATACAGTTCCATGAATTTTAATACATGTATAGATTCATGTAACCACCATCACAATCAGGATACAATAGTTCCATTGCCCCTAAAAAATTTTCTCACAGAATCCCTGTGTAATCACACTCTCCTCGCACCTGTAACTCCTGGAAACCACTGAATTGGTCTCTGTCACTATAAGTTTGTCTTTTTGAGAATGTGCTATAAATGCAATCATATAATATGTAGCCTATTAAGACTGGCATCTTTTTTTTCTTTTTTTCTTTTTTTTTGAGATGGAGTCTTGCTGTGTCATCCAGGCTGTAGTGCAGTGGCACAATCTCGGCTCACTACAACCTCTGCCTCCCGAGTTCAAGCGGTTCTCCCACCTCAGCCTCCCGAGTAGCTGGGATTTCAGGCACCCACCAACATGCCCGGCTAATTTTTGTATTTTTGTAGAGACGAGGTTTAACCATGTTGGTCAGGCTGGTCTTGAACTCCTGACCTCAGGTGATCCACCCTCCTCAGCCTCCCAAAGTGCTGGGATTACAGGTGTGAGCCACTATGCCCAGCCAAGACTGGTATCTTTTACACAGAGTAATGCCTTTGAGATCTCTCCAAGGTATCGCAGAACTGGTATTCCAAAATACAAACGCCACACAGTTTTTCCATTCACCCACTGAAAGATAGTTGGCCTGTTTCCAGTTTGGGGCAATTATAAATGGAACAGATATAAACATTCATGTGTAAGTTTTTATGTGAACATAGTTGTATTCTTCTAGGGTATATACCCATATACCCATTAGCAGTGTTTCCGTGTCATATGGTAACTGCTTAACTGTATAAGAAACTGAAAACCCAGAGTGGGGATACTATGTTACATTCTCACTAGCAATGTTTGAGAGTTTTAATTGCCCCACCTCTTTGCCAGCACTTGGTATTATTACTATTTTTTTTTATTTCAGCCATTCTCATATGTGTATAGTCATACCTCATTGTGGTTCTAATTTGCATTTCCCTAAGGGCTAAAGATGGACATTTTTCATGTGCTTATTTGTCTTCTGCATATCCTCTTAAGTAGATCTGTTCAAGTCTTTTGCTCATGGTTTGTTGTTGTTGTTATTAGAGTCTCTCTCCGTCACCCAGGCTGGAGTGCAGTGGCACGATCTAGGCTCACTGCAGCATCCGCGTGCTGGGTTCAAGCGATTCTCCTGCCTCTTCCTCTTAAATAGCTGGGATTACACGCGCATACCACCACACCTGGCTAATTTTTGTATTTTTAGTAGAGACGGGGTTTCGCCATGTTGGCCAGGCTGGTCTCGAACTCCATACCTCAAGTGATCTGCCCGCCTCAGCCTCCCGAAGTGCTGGGATTACAGGTGTGAGCCACTGCGCCCGGCCTTGCTCGTGTTTTGGAATTGGGTTATTTGTTTTTACAATTTTCTGAATATAAAGCCTTTGTTGAATGTGTGATTTATAAAATTTTTCACTGTTTGAACTTTGTCTTTCCATTCTCTTAGTAATGTCTTTACAGAGCAAAAGTTTTAAGTGTAATGGAGTCTAATTGACGAATGTTTTCTTTTACAGATTCTGCCTTTGTCTAACCTGTTTCCTGCTCATCAAACTTGAATTAGAGGCTTCTCGTGGAGCTCTCTCTCTCTCTGGCCACACTGATGTTCAATTCCAGATTGCAGGCAGCCTTGAATCTAGGCTGGGTAATATTAAAATTTTTTCTTTTAAAAAAAGGTAAACTCATCCAAGTGCCGTGGCTCACGACTATAATCCCAGCACTTTGGAAGGCTGAGGTGGGTGGATCACTTGAGGCCGGGAGTTCGAGACCAGCCTGGCCAACGTGACAAAACCTTGTCTCTACTAAAAATATAACAACAACAACAATTAGCTGGGCATGGTGGTGCACACCTGTAATCTCAGCTGCTTGGGAGGCTGAGGCTGAGACATGAGAATTACTTGAACCTGGGAGGCAGAGGTTGCAATGAGCTGAGATGGTGCCATTGCACTCCAGCCTGGGCAACAGAGTGAGACTCTGTCTCAAAAACAAAAAAAAAGTAAACTCACTGCCAGTCTCATGTTACTTCAAATTCTAGTCTTTGTTCCCAACCTGCCTGATTCTATTTACTTTTCAGAGTCCTCAGAGAGCTAGTTCCAGTGTTCTTTTCAGATTTTATAGCTGCACACCATAGGAGAGACAGGGAGCAGTGCGCTTACTCCATCTATCCTGGAACCAGAACCGTTGACACCAGCTTTTTGGACATCTAACTCTCAGTGAGTCAGTGGAAGTTTCTCCCCTCCCCTGTCTTACCCATCCCCAGAAACTGGAGTTTTAGTTAAGAGCGGACTGGTGAAGCAGGAGAGGGATGACACGGCATCTGCAGCAGCCACCACTTGCTAAGCTATTGTGCTGCTTCTCTACCTGCCTGTCCTCATCTTTAAGTTAAATTACAGACATCATTAAATATCACCCATAACCACAATACTATTATAATACCTAACCCAATAAACACCAATTCTCCAAAACCCAGACCATATGCAAATTGTTCCTATTGACCCCAAGATGTAAGGAACCAAATCTTCATGTTTTAAAGGATTATAGCAGTACTGTAGGGGTAACCTTAGCTGACATGTAAGTAAAGGTCATAATCACGTGTTCACATAAGAACACAACCTCAGCCTTTATGTCTAATCTTAATTAACATCTTTCCCACGTGCTGCTCCCCCTGATGGCCATGCTGATCTCTAGCAAGTACATGGAACAGAGGAAAGCACTAATCATTTGAAAAAGCTTTTCAAATGTAATAAATGAATTCATATTTTGCGCTAAATCTATTATTCATGAAAAACCATCATACGTTGAGTTAGAAATAATTATTTATGGCTGTGTTTTTTGGGTTTCTTTTTTTTTTTTTTTTTTGGTTTGTTTGAGACAGAGTCTCACTCTGTTGCCTAGGCTGGAGTGCAGTGGCACAGTCTTGGCTCACTGCAACCTTCCCCACCCAGGTTCAAGTGATTCTGCTGCCTCAGCCTCCCGAGTAGCTGGGATTACAGGCATGTGCCACTACACCTGGCTAATTTTTGTATTTTTTGTAGAGATGGGGTTTCACCATGTTGGCCAGGCTGGTCTCGAACTCCTGACCTCAGGTGATCCTCCTGCCTTGGCCTCCCAAAGTACTGGGATTACAGGCATGAACCACCGCACCTGGCCTATGATGGTGTTTTTAAGCTGCCAATCATGACTCATCAGTGAATTGTGAAGTCAATTTACTGGATTTCGACCAGTATTTTTTTTAAAGAAAGAATAGAACAGAATAGAAACTTTCAGAGCACATTCTACATAGTAAGTAAGTGTTGTTTTATGACATGTTATTTTCAATTCTCTGTATGTAAATATATGTGTTGTAAGTTGCAACAGAAATCTATTTCTTACGGTAGTGTTCAAGAATTTTGAGGGCCACAGCTTCATAAGAAATCCAAAGTGGCTCTTCTTAGAAGGCTAGTCCCTTTTCCAGTATCTACAGGGAATAATCAGATCCAGGAGACCCAGTCTTCCCATTTTCCTCTATCTCTGGTTGACATGAGATTTCCTAAAGATTCAGATATCTAGACAGGGAGGATGATCAGCAGTGCATCCACCAACCAGCTGAGAAGTAAGCTTCCCTGGACATAGTGCTCAGAGTACTATGGCATCACATGAGAGGACCTCAAGGAGAACATAAGGAACACAGATGACAGGAAATTAGGACACAGGGCAGGAGTGAAGAGGACATGTGTATGAAGCCTTAGGTTGCCAGCCATGTTTATAAGCAGCATGAATCAGAACAAAGATGAGAAGTAGGCTGACCATTTCTGCAGTGTAACTCATCAAAAATCTGCAGAGACAGTTGAAGTTAGTGGTTGGGTGTTTGGGCCCAGCAGCATAACCCTCTGGGATCTAATCCCTGTTCTCCTCTTACTAGTTTGTCTATTATTGGGAATGTTAACATCTCTGAGCCTTATTTCCATCATCTCTCTCTATATATATTTATATATAATATATAACTATACCACACATATATATAAATATATATATATATATATATATATATATATTTTTTTTTTTTTTTTTGACAGAGTCTTACTCTGTCACCTAGGCTGGAGTGCAGCAGGGCAATCACAGCTCACTGCAGCCTCAAACTCCTGGGTTCAAATGACCCTCCCACCTCAGCCTCCTGGGTAGCTGGGACTATAGGTGTGCACCACCACGTCTGGCTAATTTTTAAAACATTTTTTTTTGTAGAGACAGGGTCTCACTATTTTGCCCAGGCTGGTCTCAAACTCCTGAGCTCAAGTGATCCTCCCACCTCGGACTCCCAAAGTGCTGGGATTACAGGTGTGAGCCACCACACCCAGCCTCTATCATCCATAAATTGGAAAGAAAAGGGTTATTATCTCATAGGATTTTTATGATTATTTAATGAGTCAATGCATGTGAAGAAGTTACATTGCTTCTGGCATATAGTAATGATTCAATGAAAGTACTTGTTATTTTTTGAGAGATTTTGGAGATGAGAGGGAGAGTAAGAGCAATAAGATTATGAAATGAGATAAAATACAATGACTCTCACAATATAATTACAATATTTTTGTTAAAAAGATATGACTCGGTATATGACAGCCCTGAAACTACTTTCAACATTTTCTTCTCTGGTAAAGATGTCAGTTTCTCATCACACTGGCTTGGTTGAAGTTACCTTCATGCATTTCATGATTTGCAGAGATCAAGGAGAAATTAATATTAAATCAAAAAATTCAAATATTAATTTTAAAAAATACTTGTTTTTTAAAAATCTAATCTAAACCTCCCTTACTTTAAAATTGTCTGCCTAGGTGTGTTTCTTACATTTGGAGACACTCTAAGAGACACCAGTTATCTAGGGCAGGGAGGGTCCAGGCAATTAGATCAAGAAAAGTACAGGAAAGAGTGTGGGCTGCAGGGGTGGGAGGGTAGCTACCTGTTGAGGATGAATTGATGCCAGGAGACATGTAGTTCCCAAAGGTGGGCCCCAGATTCCAGAGAAGGGCAATTGGGTGAATACCTCACGGAAGCCCTACTTTTCTGGCAGGCACATGAGTCTACAGGGGAGAACTGTTGTAAAATTACAGCCTGCAATTTAGAAGTAATCCCCCCATTAAGGATAACTTTGCCTTTCCACCAGAACTCAGGGACAACTAAAATGTAAATGGTGATAATGTATTGTCAGACCCCAACAGACATGTTTTTTTTCCTTACCTCCCAAGGTAAGAGAGTAGAGACAATGCATACTTTTAATCTCTTTTTTCTATCTCCTCTATCCTACTCTCCTTCCCAAGTTCACCCTTTTTCTTTTTATTTTTTTAAAGACAAGGTCTCACTCTGTTGCCCAGGCTGGAGTGCAGTGGCACTATCATAGCTCACTGCAACCTCAAATTCCTGGACTCCAGCAACCCTCCCACTTCAGCCTCCCCAGTAGCTGGGATTACAGGCATGAGCCACCACATGCAGCTCTCTCACCCTTTTTCTTCATAGAAACTGTTGTCTGCCTAACATTAAAGGTGTACTTTAGCTGGGTGTGGTGGCTGATATCTGTAATTCCAACACTTTGGTAGGCTGAGGTGGTAGGACTGCTTGAGCCCAGGAGTTTGAAACCAGCCTGGGCAACTTAGTGAGGCTCCTGTCTCTATATAAAAAAAAAAAAAAATTTTAATTAGCCAGGTGGGGTGGCACACGCCTATGGTCCCAGCTACTCAGGAGGCCGGAGTGGGAGGATTGTTTGAGCCTGGGAGGTTGAGGCTGCAGTGAGCTATGTTCATACCATTGCACTCCAGCTTGGGAAACTGAGCAAGACCCTGTCTCAAAAAGGAGGAAAAAAAGTGTACTTTAGTAAGCTTGCTAAGCATTAATTTCTAATTAAGATTTTATTTAGAAATAAAGTTTTATTACAATAAAACTTAATTAGAAATAAAATAATAAACCATAAAAGACTATCTTAAGACTTTACTTCTTTAATATAAGAAGAGCTTATTCCAATGGTTTTATTTATCTTGATTGAAGTTTGTATCTTTTTCACAAAAGAGTGTTTTTTAGTATCTCCTTTCCACACAATGCTTGTATTTTTTATCAGTTGGCTTGCCTCAATTGGATTCAACCCAGGAGGGTACCTTTTTTTTTTTTTTTGCAGAAGTTGCTCAAACTGAGTACTGACTCCTCTCACACGGAAACCACAAGTGTCAGTTTTTCTTAACTTGAAACAAAATTATTCTCCCCGTCTTACCAGCAGTTTTCCAACACTTGCTAGTTTGTGATCTTTCTGTTTCATAAACTTGACCATCTTAGTTATCAACTGACTGAACTGGCCAAGCCCTACCAATGTCACCTGTGTCTATCATGAGTAATTTCTGTTTAGGGCCTACTATTTACAGGGACCTTTTAAACAGATGAATAAAGCCTTTTTCTCTATCACTAGGATCTCTGTCACCGGTGGGAAAAATTTTAAGACACACATGTGTTTTGTTAACTTAAAAAAACATGTAATTTATAATTTAGAAAGGAGACTATTTCTTGTAAAGAATTACAGCCTGCTAATATCCGGAATCTACAAAGAACTTAAACAAATTTACAAGAAAAAAAAAAACAACCCCATCAAAAAGTGGGTGAAGGATGTGAACAGACACTTTTCAAAAGAAGATAATTTATGCAGCCAACAAACATATGAAAAAAAGCTCATCATCACTGGTCATTAGAGAAATGCAAATCAAAACCACAATGAGATACCATCTCATGCCAGTTAGAATGGCAATCATTAAAAGTCAGGAAACAACAGGTGCTGGAGAGGATGTGGAGAAATAGGAACGCTTTTACACTGTTGGTGGGAGTGTAAATTAGTTCAACTTGTGGAAGACAGTGTGGCAATTCCTCAAGGATCTAGAACCAGAAATACCATTTGACCCAGCAATTCCATTACTGGGTATATACCCACAGGATTACAAATCATTCTACTATAAAGACACATGCACACATATGTTCATTGCAGCACTGTTCACAATAGCAAAGACTTGGAACCAACCCAAATGCTCATCAATGATAGACTGGATAAAGAAAATGTGGCACATATACACCATGTAATACTATGCAGCCATAAAAAAGGATGAGTTCATGTCCTTTGCAGGGACATGAATGAAGCTGGAAACCATCATTCTCAGCAAACAAACACAAGAACAGAAAACCAAACACTGTATGTTCTCACTCATAAGTGGGAGCTGAACAATGAGAACACATGGACACAGGGAGGGGAACATCACACACTGGGGCCTGTTGGGGTGTAGGGGACTAGGGGAGGGATAGCATTAGGAGAAATACCTAATGTAGATGACGGGTTGATGGGTACAGCAAACCACCATGGCACATGTATACCTATGTAACAAACCTGCACGTTCCACACATGTACCCCAGAACTTAAAGTATAATTTAAAAAAGAAAAGAAAAGAAAAGAAAGAATTACAGCCTGCAAGGTGGCTGGCCATCCCACAGGCTGGGAAATGTGCCTTAGGCCAAGACCAGAGACAGGCGCTTCAAAGAAGGAGGGGTTGGAGTAGAAGCTTTATGCTGAACCATTGACTAAACACACATATTCAACAGGTCACACGAGGAGCTATGAATATTCATGAAGTTGGTCCTGAGGCATGCCTATTGAACAAACACACATATAACATTCAACTCATGTTTACTTTGGGTGGAGACTTAACATTTAAATGTATATAATCAGGTTCTATATGTCAAAAGGTTATTTCAGGACATGAAGGCATTCAAGTGCACGGTCCCTGTAAACCAACCAGGACCAAGTTCATGGTCAGTGGTCTTCTTATCAGGAGATCACTGACTGAAATCAATCTCTTGTCCAGTCAGAGCTGCAGTGATGGCTGGTGGAACAGTGACCAGGGGTTAGTTAGTCAGCATCTGGTGGAGCTACTGATAGTTTTAATAATGCTTATCTGGAGGCTAGTGCTTGTATAGCTGCTAGAGAAAAAGAAAAAAGCTCTGTGGCAGTTAGAACATAGTCTGTTCTTTAAATGTAGTGGTGTCTGACTTCACCTTTGCCTGGCATGGCCTAAGGTCTTGTTTATAATTTAATATCTTCTTGCCACAGTCTGTTCTGTCAGTCTTACGATCTCTATTTTAACATTAATGCTGGTCAGTTGTTTTGTTTAACCTCCAAAAAAGAGGGGACATAACAAGGCGTGTCTGACCGCCTGTCCCATCATGGCTGGCAACTTTGTTGGTTTGTTTGTTTGTTTGTTGAGAGGGGGTCTGGCTCTGTTGCCCAGTGGAGTGAGTGGCATGATTTCAGCTCACTACAACCTCTGTCTCCCAGGCTCAGGCTATCCTCCCACCTCAGCCTCTCGAGTAGCTAGGACCATAGGCATGTGCTAACACGCCCAACTAATTTTTGTGTTTTTTGTAGAGACGGGGTCTCACTTTGTTGCCTAGGCTGGTGTCGAACTCCTGAGCTCAAGCAATTCGCCTGCCACAGCCTCCTAAAGTGCTGGGATTATAGATGTGAGCCACTGAGCCTGGCCTGGCAACTCAGTTTTTAAGGTTTTTCTGGGGTCCCCTTGGCCAAAACAGTTCCACTCGGTGGGGGACTTATGATATTATTTTTAATTTACAACTTACATAGATTGGACTACATTCATCCCAGTAGTTCTACCTAATAGTGACACCAAAAGTCTGATCCTAGAGTCAGACTAGAATCAATTCGATGGGAATAATACGACTGGGGCACCTTCCAAAGTAGTTTCTCAGGTCTTTTGGCACCAGTATCTCTCTGAAAACTGTAAGACACTACGTAAGTGTGAAAGAAAATGCTAGAGCCAGTGTGGTGGAGTGGTTAAGAGCAGATTTATCAGCCTCAGTTCAGATCCTGGTTCTGCCACTTCCCAGCTCCTTGAATGTGGGCCCATGGCTCAGCCTCTCTGTGCCTCACTTCCTTCATGGGCTGATTATTCTCGGTGTGCCTTTAGGCCCTGTACTGAGCCCTCTGGGGACTGACACATCAAGCCTGTATCACCTGGACTGACCCCTTGACCTCAGGCTTTTGGTTGTTTCAGCCAATGGGAAACGGGAAGGAAACAGGAAAGAGAGAGCAGTCAGCGTTTCCCTCACTCCTCACCTGCCCACACACCACTGGGGCTCTGGCCACATCCCTCTAGACACAGACAGCTCCGCAGAGCTGCCCTTCCTACAGCAGCTCCTCATCAGGCTCCGGTTACACGAGGTCCTTGGCTTGCCCCTTCTGCCCAGGGCTGGGAACAGCTGCCCACTGCTGCTGGTTTCCTGGATGCCTCCCCATCCCTCATGGATTCACTTAAATCTACCTACTCATCTGTAAATAGTCCCTTCCTTAAATTCTCTTCAGAATTCCACCTGTGTGACCCCTGTCTCTTGCCTTGACAAACACACTGCCTGGAGCTGTACTGAGGATTAAATAAACTAATATGTATTATAAAGCACTCAGAACAGCACAGCACACAGATTCAATGCTATCTGCAGATGAGCTGTTGTTATCAGTAAGGTTGCCCTGCCTGCCTTTCCTATCAGTACTGGAAGACACACCTCTGAGATTGCCAAAAATAGATAAAGGCCCTATTTCTAGAGAGCCTCGGATGTCCGGAGAGCCTCTACCAGCCTCCCTACCTAAGGGTATCAGCACAGGCTTGGACAGGAAAGCTAGAGTGAAACTGGCTTCGATATAAATGGGAAAAGCCACCCCAGGCTGGGGCAAGGGAGGGGCAAAAGCAGGGCTCTCAACAAGCCCACAGCTGAAGGACTCAGTTCCTCTGGCAAGACTTGGGCTCCAGGAATTGAAAGGTGAGCAGTCTTTGGTTGATAGGATCTTTAGAGGGTATGGCAACGTGCAGAGGAGGATAAAATGTCCCAGACACACTTCCTTTACTTCACAACTTGGCCCAGGGCCAGCCTGGCTATTTCCCACGTTCTAAAGCCCAGGTGGACCTAAGTGTTTGGAACTAAAATGATCTTATCTAAAAAAGAGCCAGCTGGCAGAATTCACACACACATATTTAATTCTGATGAAAGCTGTTTCAGGCAGGAACCAAGACCATTCTTTATCAACAGGACCGAGGGCATATGCAGAGGATCAAGAGGATGTAGTGGTTGAAAGTAAAGGCTCTCTGGGTAGACTGCCAAGATTCAAAATCGGCTCCACTACTTTCTAGCTGTGCAGCTTTCGCAAGTCACTCAGACTCTCTAAGCCTCACATTTTTAGCCTGTAAAAATGGGCTGGGCGTAGTGACTCACACCTGTAATCCCAGCAGTTTGGGAGGCTGAGGTGGGAGGAATGCTTGAGCCCCGGAGTGCAAGATCAGCCTGGGCAACATGGCGAGACCCCATCTCTACAAAACTAAAAAATTAGCTGGGCATGGTGGGTTCCAGCTACTCGGGAGGCTAAGGTGGGAGAATCACTTGAGCCCAGGAGGTCAAGGTTGCAGTGAGCCATGATTGTGCCACTGCACTCCAGCCTGGGTGACAGAGCAAGACTGTGTCTCAAAAAAAAAAAAAAAAATGTTAGTAACAGACACTACCATTATAGTGATTACGAGAACTAAATAAGGAAATTTAGGTGCAGTGTTTCACACAGCACCTGACACATAGTTAAGTATTAAAAAATGGTTGCTCTCATAAAAGTCATCATTATGATGATCATTATTACTATTACCAGTTCTTAACAGTCAACTAGTAAAAATCTTGCTGGCACAATTTAATGAAAGGGGAACAAGTCTCATAAGTATATTAAATGAAATGGGATTATACTGTGAATATGTATATATATATGTGTATATATATACACATATATATATAAACAACTTATACTTTTTTTCCTTTCTTACAAAATCCAGACCTGGGAAAAATCGCACTCATTATCTAAACCGTGAGGCACCTCTGCTCCTTAGCACAGTAGCATATTGGTTACAAAGTCAAGGTCTGGAATCAGACCAATCTGAGTTCAAATCCCAGCTCTGCTACTGAAGAGCTCATTGACCCGTGAGCAACTTTATCTCATTAAGCTTCAGTTTCCTTATCTGTAAAATGAAGAAATAATAGTTCCTACCTCACAGGATAGTTATGAATATTAAGTGCGATGATGCATGAAATCTCTTCTTAGCAAGTGTTGGCTCTCATTATTAGCCTACTTCCAACAGAAGGCAGTTGTGAGAGTTTCAATGTTAAATAAAATAGAAAGCACCCCTAAGAATATGTGGGAGCTGTCATACTGAAAAATGCTGCCATGCTGGGGGGACAGTTGACTGGAAAGGAGCATAAGGAAATGTCTGGGGTAATGAAAATGTTAAATTTTTGTTTTGGATAGCAGTTACATGGCTGTGTGGAATTGTCAAAACTCACTAAATTGAACACTTAAGACCTGTGCACTTTATTGTGTGAAAATTGTACCTCAATTTTAAAAAGAAAAATAGCAGTTATGAATTCCACTCTAGATCTAAGATTTTATCTCCTCCAATGCTGTATGTGAAGCCTAGAAAACATCACTGATAATGTTCACTTAAAGAGATGCGGAGGCAGGTGCTGTGCATGCTTAAAGGCTGTCATTAAAGATAATGTTTCTACTCAAAACTCATTCATTAGGAACCACTAAGGGCCATGGGGAGGTCTTAGTCATAAGCATTTGTTTCATCAGCTCTATAGGAATAGTGAACCCAAGGCTTACCTTTATGGATTTTACTTAGGGTGTACATTTGTAACGGATGAGATAAGTGGGTAGGATGGAGCCACACCCACCCAACCACCTATTATACATATTACACAAGGTTCATTAACAGTGGCTGTGGTCTTGCTATGGAGAAGTAGGGTGTGCATATCTGATGAGAAAAGATAAACATGTGAATGGATGAAAGAGCAAAAGGACAAACAAGCATTTGCTAAATGGCTATCATGCATCTCCTTGATGATTTAATTGAATTTAATTCTCACAAAAATCTTGTGAAGTCAGGGTTATTATCACCACTTAACAAATGAGAAAGCCGGTACTTAGAAGGAGAAGCAAGGAGCCTCAGGTTCTACAGCCAAGTCACAGTAGAGAGAGAGGGACCTCCATATAATCTAGCGCATATCCTAAATAATTTCTATTTGTTACAAATAATATTTTTTCTTAAGATCTCCCATGTGTTATATTACAGCTTCTATATGCCATTTAGCACATATCAAAAGGTTTCGTCTTTGTTCCAAATGCCATCCCAGCCACTTCTCTTAGGGAATTAATCAATAATTATGGGGTAGGACATACTTTTGAAGCATTAGTCACTGTTTTCCTGTAATATTTTCTCTGATCTCGTTCTTACCATCTTTCAAGTCTCTCAGATAGACTATTCTGAGTTCCACTACCCCCAGGCAGTGTAAGTTAACAGAAAGTAGAGAAACAAATGAGATTCTTTTGACTTTTGAGTCTCCAAAACTCAAGTCCCCATGGGGAATGGGAAAGATACAGGCGTACGTAAGATTTAGAAGCCTATTTGTTAAGCGAGAGAAAGAAATCTCATGCAAGATTACACAGAGATTTCCCAGCTGTGGGGGAAGGAAGGGGTTAGAAGTCAGGAGCACAGGGATGTGAAGGTGACCACTGAGAAGGGCCCTTCCCTTCCTCCCTCACCCATTCAAGTGTCAGATGAGAAGGGGGGATTACTCAAGCTTCAGACAGGTCTGTGGATTCCCAGATCAAAGAGATAAAGCAAGAATATCCCGGAAGAGAAATGATTTTGAGGTGCATCCAGAGATTAATATTGAGGGGGTGGGCCCCGTGGGAGCTGGAGTGTTGGGGGATTTTTTTGTGACTCTAGTGTTGGCCGTCACAGTGAATGCCCTAGACCGGAAAATGACCAGAGACCAGACTCAAACCCTATACCCCCATGTGCCACTTTTTGTCACTGGGACAAAAATTCTGCATCCTCCAGAAGTTAGGTGCAACCTGGGAAGGGTGGGGGACCTCCCCAAATTGACAGAGGTGCATTTCTGCTACATTGAAGGGATGGAGGCTCAAACAAAAATTAGATTGCGTTATAGGAAAATAAACATAGATTTTTTATACAGTTACATATGTGACCTGGTGTTCATATCACTACAGTTGTACCTGCAGTAGACAGTCCTACTTCAGATAGAATAGTCCAAGGAAGGAACAGTATGTGAGGCTTACAAATGGAAATCCAGAGGAAAAAAGAAACTCATTACGGACAATATGTCCCTTTCGGTTTGTCCCCTGCTTTTAAAGCCATCATATTCACTGAGGTCATCCTATTTGGAGAACCCCAAATTTACCTTTGATTGAAAATGCCTGCACCTTATTCCTGGTGAGTTAATGGGACTTCCCTGCTTATACTCTTCAGAGTCTCTGATCATAAACTTTCACCCTGGGATTTGTTTAGTTTGAAGCAGAAGTTTTTTCGATGAGCGTCATTTATTGGTTGAATCCTTTGCAAGAGTCCTCCTGTCCAACACAAGTTATAGTATGTGTATGGCTCTTCTCTGTGCAGCACACTCCACAGCAGCTCTTTCAGTCTTACTTAATAGTTTCCAGTTCCCCATATATCACCTCTGCAGGAATGACCCAGAGATGACCCTCGCCGAAGAGACAAAAACAAATTGACCACACAGCCAATTTCTTTGAGGAAATGTTGTCACTTGAACCACTAGAGACTCAGCGGCCTAACAACAGCTGTTGTTCCACCTCTTTGACTTATGTTGTCAGGCAAAAGGAGAAAGGGACCAAGGACAAGTTTTGCTGACACAAGCAGGGAAAACCAGTCTCAGAAATGGGGAGTGGATTGGGAGAGGAGTGTGAATAGCGCCAATTCCTAGAAGAAGAATTTCCTATACTATGAGTATAAGTGGAAGACAATTGCACGTAGGACAGACCAGGTTCCACCTCATCTACAATTGGCCAAGGACAGCTATCGCTGCAAGAAATATTATCACCATGCCATAACATGGTCAGAGAAGTTGGGAACACCAAGGCCTAAAATTCCTCATGCAAACTCAAAATTATTTTGGCATGTTAAAGGATCAAAGAAGGTCTGCAACAAATAAACTGACACAACTTGGTTTAAGCCAGAGTTTCCAAGCTTTGAATACAAAACAGTTTCCTGCCTGCTTACTGCTGCCCAGCAAAACAAATTTCACTGCACACCCATTTGGGAACTGCAGATACATACTTTTCCGCTTTCATCCTTCTTTTCTTAAATTTAGTAACTTTCTGATGTTTGGTTTCATTTTTTCATTTTTACCCTCATGTGTTTACTTCAATATAGTTCCTAAAGACTACAAATATTTTTCTAAAGTCAAGAGTTTTTTGGGGGTGTCTGAAAAGGGAATGAAGAGATGTGAAGAGAAGTTGAAGAGCTGAATTCAGTTCAGCAGAAGGCCCAAGAGAAAATAGGCCCAGGTGGAAGAATAGAAGACAGCTGATATGATCCCTGGGCCCAAAGGAGGGAAAGATAGAGGTGTGTGACTTGGGGAAAGGAGAGTCTTAGATGATTTTCTTTTTTTATTTTTTGGTGATGGAGTCTTGCTTCGTCCCCCAGACTGGAATGCAGTGGTGCAATCCCAGCTCACTGCAACCTCCTGGGTTCAAGCAATTCTTGTGCCTCAGCTTCCCAAGTAGCTGGGACTGCAGGTACCTGCCACCACACCCAGCTAGTTTTGTATTTTTAGTAGAGATGGGGTTTCACCTTGTTGGCCAGGCTGGTCTTGAGCTCCTGACCTCAGGTGATCTGCCCGCCTCGGCCTCCCAAAGTGCTGGGATTACAGGCATGAGCCACTGCACTGGCCATGTTAGATGATTTTCTAACTTAGGTTAAGGCAGTCAGGAGCAAATACGTTGTACAGGTGTACCTACTTCTATTGTCACCTCTCTTTATTACACTTCACAGATACTGTGTTTTAAAAAAAATTGAAGGTTTATGGCAAACTCAATCAAGCAAATCTATCTGCACCATTTTTCTGACAGCATGTGCTCACTTTCTATCTCTGTTTGACATTTTAGTAAGTCTCATAATATTTCAAACTAAAAAATATATATTTTTAGAGCTGTCTCACTACATAGCCCAGTCTGGTTTCGAACTCCTGGGCTCAAGCAGCCCTCTTCCCTAGGCCTCCCAGAGTGCTGGGATGACAGGCATGAGCCACTGAACTGGCCCAAACTTTAAAATTATTGTATCTGTTGTGGTGATGTGTGATCAGTGATCTTTGATGGTTACTATTGGAATTGCTTTGTGGTGCCATGAACGAGACCCCTATACGACGGTGAGCTTAATCAGTGAATGTTGTGTGTATTCTGACTGCTCCATTGATCAGCCATTCTCTCATTTCTCTCCCTCTCCTCTAGCTTCCCTGTTTCCTGAGGCATAGCAATATTGACATTAGGCCAATTAATAACCCTACAATGGCCTATCAGTGTTCAAAGGAAAGGAAGAGTCTCAAGTCTCTCACTTTAAATCAAAAGCTAAAAATGATTAAGCTTAGTGAGGAAGGCATGTGGAAAGCTAAGATAGATTTAAAAATAATAATAATAACCCAGGACTCTTGTGCTAGACAGTTAGCCAAGGTGTGAATGCAAAGAATAAGTTCTTGATGGAAATTAAACGTTCTACTCCAGTGAACACACCGATGATAAGAAAGCAATACAGCCGCCTCATTGCTGATATGAAGAAAGTTTTAGTGGTCTGGATAGAAGATCAAACCAACCAACACATTTCCTTAAGCCAAAGCCTAATTCAGGTGAAGGTCTTAATTCTTTTCAATTCTATAAAGGCTGAGAGAGGTGAAGAAGCTGCAGAAGAAAAGTCTGAAGCTGGCAGCTGTTGATTTATGAGGTTTACGGAAAGAAGCTGTCTCCATAACGTAAAAGTGCGAGCTGAAGCAGCAAGTGCTGATGGAGAGGCTGTAGCAATTTATCCAGAAGATCTAGTTAAGCCAGGCACGGTGGCTCACGCCTGTAATCCCAGCACTTTGGGAGGCCGAGGCAGGTGGATCACCTGAGGTCAGGAGTTCCAGACCACCCTGGCCAACATGGCGAAACCCCTTCTCTACTAAAAATACAAAAATTAGCTGGGCATAGTGGCTGGCATCTGTAATTCCAGCTACTCAGGAGGCTGAGGCAGGAGAATCGCTTGAACTTGGTTAGCAGAGGTTGCAGCGAGCCAAGATCGTGCCACTGCACTCCAGCCTGGGCGACAGAGCAAGACCCTGTCTCAAAAAAAAAAAAAAAAAAGTCTAGTTAAGATCATTGTTGGAAGATGGCTACACTAAATAACACATTTTCAATGTAGATTAAACAGCCTTCTATTGGAAGAAGATGCCATCCCGGGACTTTCAGAGCTAGAGAGGAGAAGTCAATGCCTGGCTTCAAAGTTTCAAAGCTTCAAAGGACAGGCAGATTGTCTTGTTAGATGCTAATGCAGCTAGTGACTTTAAATTGAAGCCAATGCTCATTTACCATTTTGAACATGCTAGGGCCCTTAAGAAGTATGCTAAATGTATTCTGCCTGTGATTTCTGAATAATGGAACAAGAAAGCCTGGATAACAGCACATCTTCTGCAGCATGGTTTATGGAATATTTTAAGCCCACTATTGAGACCTACTGCTCAGAAAAAAATAAGATTACTCTCAAAATATTACTGCTTATTGACAATGCACCTGGTCACCCAAGAACTGTGTTGGAGGTGCACAAGCAGATTAATGTTATTTTCTTGCCTGCTGACGCAACATTCACTCTGCGGCCCTTGGATTAAGAAGGCATTTTGAATTTCAAGTCTTATTATTTAAGAAATGCATTTTGTACGGCGATTGCTGCCACAGATAGTGATTTCTCTGATGGATCTGGACAAAGCAAATTGAAATCCTTCTGGAAAGGATTCACCATTCCAGATGCCACTAAGAACATATTTTTTTTTTTTTTTTTTTGAGACAGAGTCTCACTCTGCTGCTCAGGCTGAGTGCAGCAGTATGATCTCAGCTCACTGCAGCCTTTGTTTCCCAGGTTCAAGCGATTCTCCTGCCTCAGTCTCCCAAAAAAAAAAAAAATGCAATCACCTGACTATAGTCAGCCAGGTCCCCCTTCTGGTGATTAGGAAAATTACTTCTGGATGAATCTGCTATGGTACTGATTATGCCCTAAGCAAAATGAATAAGGTAGGGCAAGTTAACCTTCTTTTCTGTTCTATCCCTCCTCCCTCCGGATGCCTAACTCACTCCCACCAATACTAACAGTCACTGGCGCTCAGGGTTCCCACACAGCATCCCACCCACAGACTATGTCCCAGGAGATGGCATTTCATTTTCCTGGAACGCATCAAAACACAGTCTTTAATGTCCCATTCACTAAGACAACTTCTCTTTGTGACCTGTCAATGTGAGGCAAAGAGCCCAGTACTGAAAACTTAGCCCTCTAAAATAATGGAATGTTTTTAACTGAATCAAGATGTTTTTCTCAAAAAGAGGGAATAAGTATAAACATTCCAGGTAGAACTAGTACTGACAAAGACATACTGCACAGAAGAATATCATTGAAGATATCAAACAACTGAAATAAAATTTTCTTTTCACACCAAGCTGTCCTGGGAAGCCTTGTGTCTCCCATTATTCCCTACTTAAAATAGGCTTTCCACTCCCACACCCTCCCTCGCAGCTGCCTCTCAGAAGGGAGTGGTTGCCCAGATCTCCTGATGTGGAGAAAACAATCCCTGGCAAGTGGGCCAGATGGCCAGGGCCCAAGGGGAAGGATGCCAGCTGCAGCTTCTCCAGGCAAGGTGCAGAAGAAGGCTCAGGGCCTGGAGCCGGGCTCCCAATACATAAAATAGAGTCAGGTCAAAGCTCATTTCCTGGCCCAGTCACCATGGAGACAGTTGCTAAAATACTTAACTATCAAACTCCACTTTTGTGCCCAGAGCTCAAGCAAAGAAGCATAGAGAAGCACAGGTGCTGACAAGCAGGAACTACCAAACCGTGAAGTGTCTGTGGGCCAGGGTGCTGGCGCCGTGTGCCACTGACAGAGTCGAGCTTTATTTAACTCTTATTCCTGAGAAAACACCAACACATTCTGGTGCTCGTGCCATTCCTGTTCATTGACAAGCCTGTGTGTTGATGAACTTTTTGGTCCATTAATGTCTGATTCGCTTACGTGGCTGCATTAGAAAAGGGATATGTTCAGAGCTCACAATGAAGATGTCAAATATTCTCTACATAAGGATTTTAATTTTAAAAATAAGACTTTCGTGGCCATGAAAAAATACTAAAATTTGATTTCTTAGTTCCAAATGAAAAATGTTCTTTATTTCCTTTCCCTACTCTTTTCTATGTGTTCTGCATGCCAGGAAAATGTACCAATGTATCATTTATTAAACAACTTCTCTTGATATAATGTGTTTGAAAACCCTCTGAAAGGTTAAAAAAAAGTCAAATAATTATAATTTTCCAACATCATTTCTTGCCACCCTCCCCCATCCTCCAAATCTCCTCTTTTATGTATGGCGGTTCATTTCCAGCATACCATATTATATGTGCTGTTATGATGTGTATTATAATTTTGACTAAAAAGCTCAGTGGACAGCCAGTAATCCTTTCAGTAAAGTAGACACAGAGATGGTTTAGGTAGCAGCATCTACCACCCCTATCCTGGCACTCGCCAAACTCTAACAGAATCGCCTCTTTTCTTGTCTACGTCCTCCACTAGAGGATTATGAGCTGCGCAAGTGGGGAGGGGATTGGTCTCGTCCACTGTTTTATCTCTAACACTCAACACAAAACCAGACCATAGTAGGCACTCAAGAAATTTTGTTTGTTTGGTTGGTTGGTTAGTTTGTTGGTTGGTTTTGAGATGGAGTCATGCTCTGTGGCGCAGGCTGGAGTGCAATGGCGTGATCTCAGCTCACTGCAACATCTGCCTCCCAGATTCGAGCGATTTTCCTGCCTCAGCCTCCTGAGTAGCTGGGATTACAAGCGTGCACCACCACACCCGGCTAATTTTGTATTTTTAGTAGAGACAGGGTTTCTCCATCTTAGTCAGGCTGGTCTCGAGCTCCCGACCTCAGTTGATCCATCCGCCTCTCAGTCTCCCAAAGTGTTGGGATTACAGGCGTGAGCCACTGTACCCGGCCAAGAAGTGTTTATAAAATTGTTGAAAAATCTGCTGTTTGTGGGAGCTTTTACTCAGGCATTCTAAACTGCTTACCGGTGTCTTTTTGGCCAGTATCGTGGATTGCCTACTTGAACAAGACTTGTAGGGGAAGCAGATGGTCTTGTCACTGGCCATGAGCTGCTTACCATATATTGAGAAGCCACATTCACCTAACTGCTTTCCGAGCGATCATGGAAGTTTCTATTAGCAGCCTGCAGTACATCAGAGAAATGATAGCTTTTTTTTTTTTTTTTAACTTTAAGTTCTGGGATACACGTGCTGAACATGCAGGTTTGTTACACAGGTATACATATGCCATGGCAGTTTGTTTGTTGTACCTATCAACCCACCATCTAGGTTTTAAGCCCTGCATACATTAGGCAGTTGTCCTAATGCTCTCCCTCCCTTTTCCCCCCTACCCCCCAACAGGTCCCGGAGTGTGACGTTCCCCTCCCTGTGGCTATGTGTTCTCATTGTTCAACTCACTTATGAGTGAGAACATGCAGTGCTGGGTTTTCTGTTCCTGTGTTAGTTTGCTGCAGATGATGGTTTCCAGCTTCATCCATGTCCCTGCAAAGGACATCAACTCATCCTTTTTTATGGCTGCATAGTATTCCATGGTGTATATGTGCCACATTTTCTTTAAAATGGTAGCATTTTTAAGCTGGAAGAAATCTTGGGTCAATGTGGGCTCCAGGCAGCAGAAGCAGAGCATGGAGTGTGCCTCATTTTGTTGGTTTGCTCCAGGAACTCTCACTACACCAGGCTTCATTGTCCCTAGAGTGGAAGAAAGAGGAAGATAGTCATTTGCCTTTTTCTGAGAACACAGCGTTTATCATCTTGCTATTGCCGTTGAGAGTAGTTTGCTCAAATGAATTTAAAAAGTAAACTATTTTTCAGAAATGTTCTCAGAAAACAGTATCTGTACTGATCTCAAGACAACTGAGCAAGTCAAAAGAAAAAAGGTAAGGCAAGGAGAACTGTTTTCTCTGGGTGTTAGTACAGCACACCTGGCTACACCTATCAGTGGAGTTTACATTATCCTATCTAGTATCAAGTACTCACCACTCCCAGAGTGGATCTCTCACTTAACTCCATATAACTTGTTTATAAACAGTAAGTTACTAGGGGGAGTTTCATCCAAATCTCTTTCAAAACTCACATTTCACATTTCAGTGTCAATGATACAGATCTGGAGTAGTCAATTCTGAAAGCCAGCAAATAATCAGGTTCCAGGTGCCCTGGCAGCCACAAAGACCTAAAGAAAATAGCTAGAACTACAGTCCCTCTACCTTGTAATAGATTCTCCTCTGCTCTCTCTGCTAAACTGAATCCAAATTGGGAGGCTTTCTAGTCACTGGGTTCTTTGTGTCAAAAAAGAAACCCTATTGATAAAAATAATTGCATTCAAGTTGGAATTTTACCAGACTTCTCCATTTTCAGTAGTAATGCAGATTAGATACCCTAAATGACTTTCCCAATAGAAACAAATAAAACGCTGGATAAAAGTATCTTTTTAAACTCTTGAGACAGCAGAAAGCAAGAATACTTAGCTCTCCAAACCCAGCAAAGGCAGGCACCTTAAGAGGTAAGCAAGCTTTGTCCTTGAGACTTCCTGAGTGACCTTGAAGACTGCATCCCTACTTAAATGGCTGCATGGTACACGGGGGACAAGAAACAAAGCCTAAGGTCCCCACAAAAGGGAAGAATCTAAACTGGGGTCCCAAAAGGCTACGTCATCAGTGTAAGAATAAAAGATATAATAATTCCGCTGGGCGTGGTGGCACGTGCCTGTAATCCCAGCTACTCAGGAGGCTGAGGCAGGAGAATCGCTTGAACATGGGGGGTGGAGGTTACAGTGAGCTGAGATCATGCCACTGCACTCCAGCCTGGGCAACGGAGTCAGAACCTGTTTCAAAAACAAAACAAAACAAAACAAACAAAACTTCTGTTGTTAATAAGCCAATTAGTCTATGGTAATTTGTTATAGCAGCCCCAATGTACTAAAACAGTTTCCCTCTTGAAAGCCAAGCAAGCAAGGGTAGTTACTTCTGTTAATTCTCCTGCAATTGCCACCAGGAAGAATGGTTCAATTGACTCATGTTTCTGACACCTATAACCAATACCAGTGATTCTCAACAGGGTGTGGAGAAGAAGGAAGGAACTCCATAGAGGGAAGGACACCCTCTATGGAGACATACCAGAATCACTGGAGCAATTCTTTGAAACTATACATGCTCTCCATGCCTAAGTGCTGAGATTCTGGTAAAAAATCTCCCTTTATTCATTGAGAATCAATGCATATGGAGCCACTGTTACAAAAGAACATGTGTTGGCTGGGCGTGGTGGCTCACACCTGTAATCCCAGCACTTTGGGAGGCTGAGGTGGGTGGATCACGAGGTCAGGAGATCGAGACCGTCCTGGCTAACACAGTGAAGCCCCGTCTCTACTAAAAATACAAAAAAATTAGCTGGGCGTGGTGGCAGGTGCCTGTAGTCCCAGCTACTTGGGAGGCTGAGGCAGGAGAATGGCGTGAACCCGGAAGGTGAAGCTTGCAGTGAGCCGAGATCGTGCCACTGCACTCCAGCCTGGGCGACGGAGCGAGACTCAGTCTCAAAAAAAAAAAGAACATGTGTTATCTCTCAGATATGTTGCTACTGGAAATAGTTGTGAATCACTGCTGTAAGAAGTGCTTTGGAGTTTTCTACTGAGGATTCATGGATGGATATAAACTAGGTCTTGGAAAACACACAGGGTTTGGGTAGACAGAGGGGCTGGATGTCACTGCAGGTGGGATAATTGGTAGAAAGGCAGAAAAATAACATTGAGACATTCACTTTCCCCTGGAGCACAAGTTAATGTAGAGAGAGAAGTCTGGAAGATCAGAGTAGGGTTAAATTGTGGAATGTAAACTCCGTAAGAGCAGGGGCTTTGCCTGTCTTGTTCAGTCCTTTGTGCTCAGCACCTACAACTGTGTCTTGCCCATGATAGGCCCTCATGTGTGTTGAATGAATAAAGTTTGACCGTAAAGTTAAAAATGTAGGTCCTTATCTTCCAGCATGAAGACCATGGAGAATAAGTGATGACAGTAGGAGAGACGGGGGCAGGGTGGAGTAGGGGGAGAGTTCAAGCAAGAGATTAGGATGAAGCAATAGATTGGGAAAGCCAAGGTACAGAGAGAAGGCAAAAGCCAAGCACCAACCTCCTGGGAATGTTTAGAGAGAGGATGGGATGGAAGAAAATCCAGCAAAGATAAGGAAGTGTTGTTCGGGAATATATACAGCAAACATAAAATATCACCCTATAATTTACAAACTCTCCCATATATGCAGCATTGGGTAAGACAGGCATTGTTTCTCCCATTTTGCACACTTCAGAGATATGATGATGATGATGATGATGATGATGATGATGATGATGATGATATAAAAGTAAGACAAAAATCAAGCTGGTCACAGAAACTAGGAGTCAAGAAATGGTAAGAATAAGGGTTAATCTGTCTGGGTCCAATCAGGAGACAGAAACCACTCAGTAATTTGAACAGAAGAAGTTGAATATAAATTGCTAAACTAGGACAGAGGAGTAACTAAAAAAGATGGAAAGAGGACTGGTGGCTGGGCATAGTGGCTCACACCTATAATCCCAGCGTTTTGGGAGGCCAAGGTGGGAGAATCACTTGAGCCCAGGAGTTCAAGACCAGTCTGGGCAACATGGCAAGACCCTGTCTCTACAAAAATTAAAAAATTAGCCAAGTGTGGTGGCTGTGGTCCCAGCTACTCAAGAGGCTGTGGTCGGAGGATCTCTTGGGCCTGGGATCTCCTGGGCCAGCTACTCAGGAGGCTGAGGTGGGAGGATCTCTTGGGCCTGGGATGTGGAGGTTCCAGTGAGCCATGATCACAGTCACTGCATTCAACCCTGGGTGACAGAGTGAGACCCGGTGAAAGAGAAGAAAGGAAGAAAGAAAGAGAGAAAGAAAGAAGAAAGAAAGAAAGAAAGAAAGAAAGAAAGAAAGAAAGAAAGAAAGAAGGAAGGAAGGAAAGAAAGAACGAGAGAGGGAAGGAAGGGGAAAGAGAAAGAGAAAAAGGGAAAGGGAGAAAGAAAGAAAGAGAGAGAGAGAGAAAGAGAGAAAGAAAGGAAGGAAAGAAACTGGAAAGCGTGTCTTAGGGGTAATAGAGAGTACCCAAGGAGGCCGGGCTCAGTGGCTCACGCCTGTAATCCCAGCACTTTGGGAGGCCAAGGCGGGCGGATCACGAGG
The DNA here is from genome assembly GCF_000001405.40 of Homo sapiens. Lineage (NCBI taxonomy): Eukaryota > Metazoa > Chordata > Mammalia > Primates > Hominidae > Homo > Homo sapiens. The sequence continues at coordinate 26,884,466 of NC_000012.12, forward strand.
TCAGGACATCGAGAGTATCCTGGCTAACATGGTGAAACCCCGTCTCTGCTAAAAATACAAAAAATTAGCCGGGCGTGGTGGCGGGCGCCTGTAGTCCCAGCTACTCGGGAGGCTGAGCCAGGAGAATGGCGTGAACCTGGGAGGCGGAGCTTGCAGTGAGCCGAGATGGCGCCACTGCACTCTAGCCTGGGAGACAGAGCAAGACTCCGTCTCAAAAAAAAAAAAGAAAGAAAAAAAGAGAGAAAGAGAGTACCCAAGGAAAGGAAAACCTGGAGGTAAGTCCACCCACACGGGTGAGGTTTAGACTTCATTAGAGAAAGTATGGATGCAGCCCACTTTATGCAGAGAAGTCAGCTGGGCTGCCTGCGCCAGAGCTGGTCCACAGCCACCAGGCAGCAGGAAACAGCCCTCCAGGGCACAGATGAGCCAAGGCCGGTGGGCAGGTGCACAGAGAGAGTTGGGGTGTCACTGCCAACGTGAGGTCTGGAACATGCCAGTGTCCTTGTCAGGAGCGTCATGATGAAGTGGTTCACTAGGCCTGGGCTGGGCTGCATACAAATCACCAAGGGAGCGGAGTGGCTGCAGCGGAGTGCCACTGGATATACCGGTTCACACAACGTGGGCTGAAACCAAGAGCGCCTCTTTCCTCCCGCAGTGTCTCTTTATCGCCCTCTGCTGGCAAGTCTGAAAATTGTGCTCACTACGAGGGACAAATGCTTTTAGCCTATTGATAGAGGATACAGGAGCTAAGAGGAAATAAATTGACAATTGAAACAAGTGGTTATTCGACATTTTCAAGGGTACCTGTGTATCGCTGAGCTTTTTCAGAGCAAGTAACAGAAATCAGCGAAGCTGGACTTGGTGGACTGAGAGAGGGCTAGGAAAGAGTGGACAGAGGAAATAAAGAGAGGTACTGACAGTAGTGATAGTCATCATTGTAGTAATAGTAGTAGTGATGGTGTAGGTTAACATGGCAACATCAGAGCAACCAGAGAGAAAGTGAGAGATTTTGTGCCCCAGCGTCTCCATATAAAATCACAGAAAACAGTAAAAGACTCTGGTGAGCTGAGCCCAGGTCTCCTACTCAAATGGGTCTTTTCCCCTAGCAAGAGATGCTGAGTATTATGATTGAGCAGGCCTGAATCATTTGCTTACTCCTTTGACCAAAGAGATGGGTGACTGATTGGCAGCTATCAGCTCATCATGAGGTAGGAGAGGGAAATTTTCCCAAAGAAAGGCTGTTACTACTGAAAAGGGAACATAGATGAAAAGGTTCTAGGCCAGGTGTGGTGGCTCACACCTGTAATCCCAGCACTTTGGGAGGCCAAGGCAGGTGGATCACCTGAGGTCAGGAGTCCAAGACCAGCCTGACCAATATGGTGAAATGCCATCTCTACTAAAAATACAAAAATTAGCTGGGCGTGGTGGCGTGTGCCTGTAGTCCCAGCTACTCGGGAGGCTAAGACAGGAGAATTGCTTGAACCTGGGAGGCGGTGGTTGCAGTGAGCCGAGATCACACCACTGCACTCCAGCCTGGGCAACAAAGTGAGACTCCATCTCAAAAAAAAAAAAAAAAAAGCTTCTGAAAGGCAGAAACCTCTAATGTCTATCACAGGGTCACAGAGGAAAAATGGGAATAAGGCCAATGCTGAGAAGGCTTTTGTTTGTTGTTGTTTGTTTTACATTTTCAATGTACTATTACATTAATTAATTTGTCCTCTTAAGAGTCAATATTAAACTCCAAGTAGAGCTGGATACAGGAGCAGTGCAAGGCAGACACAAGGTCAAAATGCATCTATGGTTTCTCTTACTCGTTTCATAGTCACCACAGAGCAGTGATGTTGGCAGGTAGTAGGGGTTTTCATTTTAACTCTCCATTAGTTGATGCAAATGATATATGAAAACAAAAGAATTCTAAACTTTAAATATTGCTCCAAAGATAGATAAAATCTATTTCCTCCTCCCAAGAAGTGCTAATTGAGCTCAAATGTTTTTGCTTTTGTTTTTAAACAGTGTAAGGTTCAGTAAAGTGATATCCAGTTACCCAGGCAGAGCTAACTATACTGAGGCAATGGATACTGGTAGGAAAAGCATGGGGGCAGACATCACTGGCACCCATTTGCCCCTGAAATGGATCAGAAGAGTTTCAGCAATACCATACCTTGTGCTGGTGCTGACATCTTTCTTTGTGAATATGCTAGCTGTGACTACCCACTACTCATGTGAAGAGATCCAAGTTCATCATGGTGTGCCAGACACGGTTGCTATTATTGGAAAATTATTCTCTTATCCAATATCTCCCTATGCCTTCCATGGGAAAATAAGTCAGTTTCAGGCAAGCATCTATGTATCTCTAACCTATCTGTTCAGCATTGTGTTCTTATAGATATTAAAATAAATAGAACCCAAATTTTCCAAGTGACTCCCATAATAATTTTTATGTTGGTGTCTCAGAGCATTAACTGAGAAAATAAAAGTATTTTTAAAGGCTCATAAATAATAATTGATTACGGGGAACCCAGTTTGGGAAGAGCAACTTAATACTTTAATAGAATATAGCATTTTTAAGACAGACCTTAATCGTCAGTTATATTAGGTAGTTGTTAGGTTTTGGTAAAAAAAATTTTTAGAGAAATACTTAGCCAAATATTTTAATGAGCCTAATGATATTTTCTGGTTTCTAGTAAAAGTTTGTATTTTTTTTATAAGGACTTTATAAACCTGAGACGAAAAAAGATATCTGTTTCTAGGGATTTAAAAAACAAACAACAGCAACAAAAAAAAACGGGTTTGTGAGGAAACTTGACATTCGTACCTCAGCAGAGGTCTTTAACGCTTAGGTTTTTTTGTTTGTTTTTGTTTTCTTGTTGTTGTTTGTTTGTTTTGAGATGGAGTCTTGCTCTGTCGCCCAGGCTGGAGTGTAGTGGCATGATCTCGGCTCACTGCAACCTCCGCCTCCCGGGTTCAAGCAATTTTCCTGCCTCAGCCTCCTGAGTAGCTGGGATTACAGGCGCATGCCACCACACCCAGCTAATTTTTGTATTTTTAGTAGAGACAGGGTTTCACCATGTTGGTCAGGCTGGTCTCAAACTCCTGACCTTGTGATCTGCCTGCCTCGGCCTCCCAAACTGCTGGGATTAGAGGCGTGAGCCACCATGCCCTGGCTAACTCTTAGTATTAATGCGCTGCCACAGAGACAGAGCAAGCAAGTTTCAAACCTCTTCCTAAAGGCAAGTTCAGACTTTATGTTTCGTGTATACCTGAACAGGTTACCCTAGTTCATGATGTCAAACTGCCAAGATGGCTGGAATATCATTCTCCCACCAAGACCTTGCAAGGACTGCCCTTAGAAGATGAGGGAGGAAATTACCAAATCATGGTGCTTGTATCTGGGGTTCTCTGTTTTCAGCAAACACAAACAGCTTTCATCTTTACCCTTCATGTGCTGGCTGGGAATGAGGTGAGGGGAAGCTTGGTTCCTTCTCCCAATGGGTAAGTACCAGAGTAGCTGTGTGTAGTGCTCAGTTTATGAGTGTAGTCAAAAAGCAAGGATAGGATTTGAAGAAATAAAATCTTGTATTTAAAAAAGAATGAGGAACAGAAGACATAGAGATGTTTTCACAATGTTGCTAAACAATAAAACCTTAAAACAAAGCTTATTACAATAATCCCTTGAATGGGAAAACAACTCCCAAGTAAATGAAAATTGGAGAACTAAGTTTTTATTTCTCATATCATTTTATTTTATACTCATCGACCACGTACTAGCTGAAAACAGTCCTTTCTCTTTTTCTCTTTTGAAAGGCAGCTTCTTGTATACATATTCGTCTATAAAAACATAGAACGTATCTGAATATTCTGGTAACGTAAGTGAAAGAAACTAGGAGATTGGGCAATGAATCTCCTATTTTACCTTTTGAATTTTTATATTGTGTTCATGTATTATCTATTTTTAAAAGGTTAAAAGGCAGTTCTACATAGCCTAACAATTCACATTCAAGTATTTTTATCTTCCTCAAATTATTTTCAAATGTAGACATAACCATGTCATTTACTCTCTCTTTCAACCTAAACTTTGAAGTTTTCTCTCTAGAAAGTTACCTCTATCTTCTAAAAGAATTTTTATGCAAAATTGTGAAAATTATAGATCAGGCCAATAATAACTAACTCCCACACAGCAATTCACAATTTATAAAGTACTTTCATATATGTCATTCCATCTGTTTTCGTTCTTTTGTTCATTGACTCACTCATTCATTCAATAAGAATTTGGTGAGTGCCTAAGCGTCTTATACAAGACTCCTGAGATAGGAGTTGAAGATAATATGAATAAGCTGCTGTCAAGCAACTCATAGTGTAGTATTCCAGTAGGGTACACAGAAATGTAAAATATAAAAATTAAGAAAGGATTTTATTTTTATAAATTTTTGTAACAAATTTTAAATTTTTACTATTCCTTTTTATTTTATTATATTTTATCATTTATAATAACATTTTAAATATTTTTAATAAATTTATTTTATAAATAAAAATTTTAAAAAATATGAAAAATATTTAAAAGTATGACTGCAATAACAGAACCATATATAACATATAGAGACTAAATTAGTAGCTTTAACTAATTTAGTTGTTTTAATTTGGATGGAGGATGTTGGCAAAAACTGGATGAAGTAATGTCCATAATAGATTTCTTTCTTTTTTTTTTGAGAGGGAGCCTAGCTTTGTCACCCAGGCTGGAGTGCAGTAGCGTGATCTCGGCTCACTGCTACCTCCACCTCCCAGGTTCAAGTGATTCTCCTGCCTCAGCCTCCCAAGTAGCTGGGATTACAGGCGCCTGCCACCATGCCCGGCTAATTTGTTTGTATTTTTAGTAGAGACAGGGTTTCACCATGTTGGTCAGGCTTGCCTTGAACTCCTGACCTCAAGCGACCCACCCGCCTTGGCCTCCCAAAGTGCTGGGATTACAGGTGTGAGCCACTGCACCCAGCCCATAATGGATTTCTAAAGTTGAAAAAGTTAGCTAGCCAGAAATGCATTATAGGTTGAAATGACTGCTCATTTCAACCGGGCTGTCCCACCCTCAGAGCCTTTCTGGTCCTGTGAGAATTACTACTTTGGTTTCCATTCAGCAAACCACACTCTTCTAGAGCCGCTGGCTTCCAACGCCAGCTCTGAACTGCAGCCTCACCATGGGCTGTTACTGAAAAGAGCACATTCAATAACTGCAGGGGCCACTGACCAGTACTTGTATCTGAGAGGGGACCCGCTGTTGGTCTAGCTGCAAAAAAGATGAGAGATAAAGAAATGTAACAAAGCAGTGGCTCGTGCCTGTAATCCCAGCACTTTGGGAGGCCAAGGTGGGTGGATCACCTGAGGTCAGGAGTTCAAGACCAGCCTGACCAATATGGTGAAACCCCATCTCTACTAAAATTACAAAAATTAGCTGGGCGTTGTGATGCGTGCCTGTAGTCCCAGCTACTCCAGAGGCTGAGGCAGGAGAATCGCTTGAACCTGGGAGGTGGAGATTGCAGTGAGCCGAGATCGCACCACTTATTGCACTCCAGCCTTGAGACAGAGCCAGACTCTGGAAAAAAAAAAAAAAAAAGGAAATATAACAAGCAAAGCAGAGGGAGAGATAAAGAAAATTGAAAGGAAGGGAAGGATATGGGATATGGAGAAGGAAAGGACAAAAGGAATAATGAAGGGAAGGACAGAGGGAGGAACATGAGGAAAGGAAGGATAGAGAAGGCCAGAGGGAGGGAAAGAGAAGGGAAAGAAAGGAACAGTAAAGGCCCAGGGTAGTGAAAGGCTCATCAGTGTGCCAGCTCACTCGCAAAGTGTCTTACCTCAATTAAGATTCAGAACATCCCTGCAAGTTAAGTGCTATTCCTCTTTTTTATTTGAAGAAACCGAGACTCAGATCAGTTAAATACCTCAAAATAATGTAGCCAGTCTAACCGACAAATTGGAGTTTAAACTTTTAAACTCCAAAACCCACAGCTGTTCCATTGAAATCCCCTACTTTCCCATCTGAAGTTAGAATAACTGGATTTAGATCAGGTGCTTACTCTACGTCTTTGGGTACTTAGCTACTTTGAAACTTAGCTTCTTCAACTATAAACTAAGAAAAATAATAGTTGCCCTCTCTTCCCTCCTAGTTGTTGGATGTAGCAATGAGAGGATGTATGTGAGAATACCACATAAACTCTGAAGGAATACATAAAAATAAGGGATTGCTAGTCAAGCAGTAATCCATGCTGTGTTTTTGTTTTAAATCTTCAGCATTAGGGCCGAAGGAGGTTCAAAGGAATTTTCTGCCATTATAGCTGAAATTACTCTTAAAGCAGCTGCTGAAGCTCTTGGTGTCCAAGAGCGTCTCTTTTTGGTATACACGCTGGCCGACTATTTCCACTTAGATCCTTCTTCAGTGACGATGAGCCCATTCAGAAGCAAGATAAACAAGCATCTGTGGAATCTTCCAGTGATGGCTGAAGATCCTAGGCATGTCATCACTTTACAAGGTGACCTTGTACAATTCCACTGGCCTATGGGATATAAGGTTTCCACAGTACTGCCAGAGCTAATGCAAGTGTTTCAACAGCAAGCTTCCTCTAAGTATCTTGCCCAAGTTTTAGGATATACAATTGAAGGTTGGAGATTACTTCAAAAATCTCAAACAAGAAGACCCAGGCAGTTAAGCTCAATCCCCACTTCAACGATGGGGCCAACTGAACTCATTACAAAGCTAAGCAAACCTTTCTCTGTTTTGTTACCCACCTCAGTGACTCACTGGATGCCCAAAGATGAGGCATCGCCAATTCCCAGCTTATGTGCTGCCTTGAGACAGATCACTCCTATCCCTGATCCCAACTTTATTCCAAATACTGCAAGGAGTTTATTCCAAAAGTGCACAAAGACTAAAAGGCCACAGCATACAGCAGTGTCACAGAATTCGCTACAGGAAATGTCCTTGACTACAAACCTTGAATATTCTGCTGCTTTTGCTGAAGTCACTCCTTCGATGGTACTAATGGCTACTGCATTCACAGATTTTGACTTCCTTCAGGGTAGAACTTCTACAGTGTCAATGTCAGTAGAAAATCTAGACTCTCCAGAGTGGGAACTAAAAGGACACACCCTAATCCACGGGACAGAAATACAAAAGCACACTATTTTACCCGACCTTGTCTCAGAATCAATTAGTCAAGCCGGGTATTCACAAGCTCTCCTTTCATTATCCAAGTACTCTCATTTTCTTAAGCCCTCAGTAATGCAGGATATAGCCATGCCTTCAGAAGTACTGTCTTCAATGACAACATTTCTCAGCAAATGGAGTGGCTCTGTTCCAGTCGACTGGGAAAAATCTGTACATTCACCTGACAGTCTCTTGACACCTACAGCATCAGCAAGGGAGACACTGGCAGCCTCCCATTTTCCCCTTGAGTTCAGTCAAGTACTCCTGTCAAATCAGCTAAGTCAACAGCACCTTCATGAGCATAATCACACATCTGACACTCCTGAAGTTTCTCAACAGATTCATTCATTCATCATTCCTACAGAAATAATTTCAGCTCCTGGCATGAGCATAAATACAAAATTTGTATGGAATAGTACATCTGACTCAACTCTTTTGCCCATGGAAACTGATTGTTTCATCAGCAAACTCGTAGATGAAGGCTCATTGTGTGATGGTGATGTGATTATCAAAACTCAGTCATATTCTAAGGAGACCCCATCATTTACTCAATTACATGACTTATCTGAACTGTCCCTTTCTGAGGTGTCTAAATTTTCAAATGCATTTGAGTTACCTGAAAATATGGGCTCAAAAACTATGATGCATATTCTTAGTGACTGGTTCTGAGGCACAGAACATTTAGCTTTCAGTGGATTCTCAAGAACTAGCCAGATTTTGCCAGGCAATACAGTACTTAACTTGGATTCTACTGACATGTTTATAAGTTACCCACATACCTCCAAAAACGTATTAACAGCAAGATACAGGACTATCTCTGACTTTAATAAGGTACAAGGTAAGATTGTGGGAGTTGTTGAGCTTTCTCTTTGCCATATTTTTCAGAGAATATTTATACTAACAAGCAGCAACCAACTAAATAATTAAAACAGAGTAACCTAGTGGTAACCGTGTGATGAAATTACATGTGCTTGATTTTCTTCTCTACATTTGTCTATATTTTCCAACTTTTTCAAGGAATAGAGTTGTTTTTAGGAAGAAAAAACTTTAAGAATATATCATGTAAGAAAAGTCAACAACAGGCCGGGTGTGGTGTTTCATACCTGTAATCCCAGCACTCTGGGAGGCCAAGGCAGGAGGATCACCTGAGGTCAGGAGTTTGAGACCAGCCCGGCCAACATGGTGAAACCCCGTCTCTACTAAAAGTACAAAAAATTAGCCAGGCGTGGTGGCAGGTGCCTGTAATCCCAGCTACTCCGGAGGATCAGGCAAGAGAATCGCTTGAACCCGGGAGGCAGAGGTTGCAGTGAGCTGAGATCGCGCCATTGCACTCTAACCTGGGCAACAAGTGCGAAACTCCATCTCAAAAAAAAAAAAAAGAAAAGTCAATAACAAAATACAGTACCCATCTTATGCCTTATACACATTATTTAATGTGTATTGTGTTTACAATAGATTGATCAAAGACTCACAAACCTGGAAGGAGCTTCAAGCCATTACTCTGTCCAGTTATTATTATTCCTAAATCATTCATCTGTTGCAGTCTTTATTTTATTTTTGAGACGGAGTTTCGCTCTTGTTGCCCAGGCTGGAGTGCAATGGTGTGATCTTGGCTCACTGCAACCTCTGCCTCCCGGGTTCAAACAATTCTCCTGCCTCAGCTTCCCGAGTAGCTGGAATTACAGGCATCCACCACCAAGCCTGGCTAATTTTTTTTGTATTATTAGTAGAGATGGGGTTTCACCATGTTGGCCAGGGTGGTCTCAAACTCCTGACCTCAGGTGATCCATCTGCCTCGGCCTCCCAGAGTGCTGGGATTATGGCGTGAGCCACCGTGCCTGGCCCTGTTGCAGTCTTACAGACCACCAGAGTTAGAAAAATGCTTGCTAACAGATTCAAACTCTATAACTAAAGTTAAAACCATCCTCTTTCATTTAGTTTATTTATCTCATGATATACTGCAAACAGGCAGTATGATGATTAATAACTCAGTATCTATAGTGAAACGGGTTTGAAATCTAGCTGTATAATTTACTATATGTGTAATATTAGGTATTCACATTAGTATATTACTTCTATCATTTATAAACTGAGGATAATTATTCCAATATATTTGTTGTGAAGATAAAATGAAGTATGTACTTAGCACAGTGCCTGGCACATGGTTCATTAAATGCAAGCTATCATCTCTGCTCATCTTCTCTTCTCTGAACTAGCTAACTCATATCAGAGTGATTGCTTTAGAATTTGTTTCAAATCAAAACATACTTGTATGGTAATTTCCATGGAAATTTTCATTGATCTTTAATTTGGGGGAGATTTCCTTGTTTAAATTAAATGTCTAAATTAAGGGCCAGGTGTGGTGGCACACACCTGAATCCTAGCACTTTGGGAGGCTGAGGCAGGAAGATTGCTTGAGCCCATGAAACTGCGACCAGCCTGGGCAACATAGTGAGAGCCTGTCTCTACAAAAACAAACAAAAATTTAAAAATTAAAAAAAATAGCAGGCGTAGTGGCGCATGACTGTAGTCCCAACTACTCAGGAGGCTGAGGGGGAGGATCACTTGAGCCTGGGAGGTTGAGGCTGCAGTGAGCCATGACTGTGCCACTGCACTCCAGCCTGGGCAACAGAGTGAGACCCTGTCTCAAAAAACAAAAACAAAACAACAACAACAACAAAGGGGTTCCTTTGGAGTAACTACAAAGTTTACAGAAATATTAGACAAGGTACAACCAGTTTGCCTGTCACTAAATATGACTGGCTTCAAGTAACATAGATGCTGAGAACATGTGCTCTGCATTCTGAATCTCAGAAACCTGAGACCACGTCACACCCAGGTAAGCAATTCTATCATCATGGAATGGTAAGGCTGATGGACCTTGATGCTGTTTGAAATTCAGTAGAAACAGATCTCCCTAGTAGTTACGACTTACATTGTTAATCAATCCCATTAAATATGCAACAGTACTTAGATGTCACTTTCAAATAGTCTATTTATCAAGTGACTGCACTACTCTATCTTCTTGATTCATTGAGTTTTTTTCAGTAGCGTGATACTCTTCTTTCCAACTTAATGCTCCCCACAATATCTAAAGCCACCTGCCTTTGTTATATTGCACCATAGCCCCATTTTTGTGATGTTATCTCATCTTCCTCAGAAAACACCAAAATGTATCTATGCAGAGCTTGAAATGTTTTGTAGTTTGAGATTTAAATGTTAATTGAAATTGGAGTACTAGTTTGTTGCTATGATTCTGTTCAATTATGTAACTTACGTGTACCATTATCTAACTTATATGTACTGATCTTAAAACTTTTCCTGGGCCGGGTGCGGTGGCTCACGCCTGTAATCCCAGCACTTTGGGAGGCCGAGGTGGGCAGATCACGAGGTCAGGAGATCGAGACCATCCTGGCTAACACGGTGAAACCCCGTCTCTACTAAAAATACAAAAAAAAAAAAAAAAAATTAGCTGGGCGTGGTGGCGGGCACCTGTAGTCCCAACTACTCGGGAGGCTGAGGCAGGAGAATGGCGTGAACTCGGGAGGCAGAGCTTGCAGTGACCGAGATCATGCCACTGCACTCCAGCCTGGGTGACAGAGCGAGACTCCATCTCAAAAAAAAAAACAAAAAACTTTTCCTGTTCAACTTTCAACCAAAAAACAAAAAAATCAGTTTAAGAATTTAGGCTGTTTGCCAAAATATTGTTTTTCTGAAGTCCCCTAAACCAGATTTGATTAGTTAGTAATACTAATATCTTTGTGTATATGTGTGTGTATATATACATCTTTGTGTGTATATATATATCTTTGTATATATATATATTTGTGTGTGTGTATATATATATAGAGAGAGAGAGACAGAGAGAGGGAGACAGAGAGGAGATCAATAGAAGTGTTCCTACTGCCCTATGCAAAACTAAGGGAGGAAACAAGTTAACCATCAAGACAACCTTAAGCATTTAAATAAAGAGTAGTATTTGTTGAAATTTATTTCTTGTTTGCTTCTTCTAGGTCAACCCAACACATTTCCAACAGTTGTTAATTCAATCCAATTGATAACAGCAACTGTTGGGCACACATTTCATTTCCCGATCCCTCCTGACACATTTTATGACCAGGAAGATGGCAACTCAACTCACTTGACACTTGAAATAAAATCAGTAAATGAGTATCCTTCGGGCCCAGAAAGCTGGCTGCAATTTAACATGACTCATCAAATATTGTATGGGTATCCCCTAGAACTGGATTTCCAATATTCCCCTCAGGAATTTATTCTCTGTGCCACTGATTCCGGGGGTCTGGTTGCTCAGATGCCTTTGACCATTGAACTGAAGCTACCCAGAAGTAGTCCCTGCCACACTTACACTCTGCGCACAAAAAACAGTTTCTACTCATTCATTAAAAGGAGAGAGAGAATTGGTTTATTTTTTGCTAAACTCACTGACTATCTAAACTCTAGTAACCCTGAACAGATCGTATTAATTACCCTGAGACCAGGGTCTACTATCATATCCTGGTATAATAGGGCCTTATGTTTAGTCAACAGCAGTTCTCTGAAATGGTGTCCTAACAAAGAAATCCAGGAAATAATGTTTAAACTAAGGAGGCCTGACGGAAATGTCCATCCAAACTTTGTATATGCTATGCTGCCGGAATACAAAATTGGCACAGTTGAGAACATCACATATAGTGGAATCTGTCTTACTCTGGAGCTAGACAATGGGTTAATTGGAAACAGCATTCTAACCTCATCGAACACAGAAAATAGTCCCTGGATTAGAAATGTTATTCCGGCCTTGCTGGCAAGTACGTGTCTACTAGTTGTGGTAGCAGCAGCAGCAAGTGTAGCTTAGCATTTCTGTAAGAGTCGTCAGACTTTCCTTGTTCCTCAGTCCCTGGTGTTTCAAGGAAGAACCCTAACAAGTAACACTGACCAAGAAATGGATGTGCTAAGGCCCTGAAAGCCACCCATCCTGGAATGTGAAGTTCCACCTTCCCCTCAGTTATGGAGAGGGTTACCACTGTCTTCTCAACATCAAGCTTACAGAGAAAATGTGATCCCTGGCATGGAAACAAGAGCAGATATTTTTCCTACCTCCAAAATATCAACCCCTATTTCATTATGAAATGGATCTCATTAGTCAGAGGAAGAGTAAATAATGTCATCAGAAATCTAAATGCATCAACTACTGTTCAAGAAATAGGACTAATCAATATGGAAATTAGGTAAAATCAACCATCAGATTGTCAAAAGATTAGCGATAATTTGTCCTCTGTGTTAATTGTATTAATATACTCCCAGTGAATTCTAATCAGTTATTTCCCCTTGAAAGCCTAGATAATCAATTACATCAGTTATTTCCCCTTGAAAGCCTGGATAGTCAATTATAAATTTGTCAACCAGGCCACCACTACCATAAACAATTCATGTAATGATTCATCCATTACAGTCAGCAATTCCACCACTGACAAGCCCATCTCCAAATGTGAGAAGTGCTATAAACCACCAATTCAAGGCATTCATTACAACCCTCCACATAAAGGCATGATTAATTTAACAATAATAAATACACAAATAGGTTGATGTTCTACTATGTATGGGCAAAGAATTATGGAATCTTTACCTCTTCGTTGTATTTTACCTTTCACTTACAAACAAGCTCATGCCACTGTTCTAAAAATCCACACACTGGATGATATAAAAAGACTACCAAAAAATAACAAAACTTCTCTCATTTCTCTTCTACCAAGCTATAAGCAAGAGCATTTTTTGTTACCATATTTCTGAAACAGCTGACAACATTCACCATCCTCTACTTTTAACTTCATTCATGTAACATTTTAATTGCTGCAGTTGTTTCTATTCCCACCATTCCATGGAAATGGCTTTTTGGAAGTCATTACCAGCATCTTGGTTGGCATATCCAAATGCATTGTTTTAATTCTGCTTCTGAACATCTCTGCAGCTCCCGTGGCACTTTATGCCTACCTCTTTGACCTTTTTTTTTCTCTTCTGTCCCTTTAAACTTGATCCTCAAGGCCTGTTCTTGAACTTGGTAAGTACATAAACTTAAGGTGATTATCTATTTTAAAATAAGACACTACTTTCTTTTTAATCTTCTAAAGAGTTTATTGTTTACTCCCCTATTTCTTACTAAGAAATTATAGGGGCACTTAATATCGCCTTTTCTCCTTTGGGCCTTTTCACTTTCAACTGATTCAAAACAGCTGTGGAATTCATTTAAAATGTTACAAATAAGAAAATTTCTAACTAAACACTAAATTAAATTTGTACCTTTCTCTAGGGGGAACTTGTTTCAATATACACCAGCTGCTAAATGTAGTTTCTATTGAATATTCAGACAGGATATAAAGACAAACATACATATTGTACCATAACAAATTGCAAATATTCAATATACTTTGCATATAAAAATGGTAATTTCATGATTCAATCTAAGATGTTCATTTTAATCACTGAAATAGAGATCTCAATGAAATCAAACTTCTTAAGAATAAATTCAGATCCTGGAATTTCCTAAGTCTAATGCTTCCCATCTTTATGATATGGAAATTTTTAGATTTGCTCACATCTAGCAGCACCTCTGTAACAAAATTACCATTTGGAAGCTTTTGTTCTCCACATACGTGAAATTACACTAATGATTTTAATTGAAATGTGCCAGAAATAACAAAGCAAATAACTCACTGCTTCATAAAACAATCTTAAAGTACTGTAAATTGTTTTGCTCTCAGATAAGAGCACCTTAGTTCACGGTAAATGCCAGTACTGAAGAATTCAAATGATTGATAGTCCTCCAAAACCAAGCTGTGTATTGTTCAAGCTGATTCTTAATTATTACCCAAAGCATTAATGTCAATGTATGTATTAATAATTCTGTGCAAGTTGTAATGATGGCTACACATGTCCATATGGTGATTTTGAACAATATTCCAATACACTGGAACTTTCTGGAGTAAAATCTCATTGTATTTATGATTGTGTGTAATCGTTTGTCACACATACCATGTGATAATAAGCGTGCTGTAAAAATTTTGCCTTACATTATAAAAATAACTTTTAGTCAGTAGAATGTTTTAATATAATTGAAAGTACATATATTCTCTGTTAGTGTAACTTTGATTCCCACAATCATTAAGTCTGGACTTAAGATTCCAGTATAGATGAGTGCTATGGTTTCCATGTTCTTATCAAAACTCATGTGGAAACTTCATGGCCACTGTAACAGTATGAAGAGGTGGGATCTTTAAGAGATGATTAGTCAATGAGAGCCCCCATTCATGGATACATGAATGCCATTATCACAGGACTGGGTTAATTGTTGCAGGGGTGGGTTCCTGATAAAAGAATGGAGTTTGGCCCAATTTCCTCTGTCTCTCATGCTCACCTGCCCATCTGCCATGTTATGATACAGCACAAGTGACTTGACCAGGAGTGGCCCCATGATATTGGACTTCCCAGCCTCTAGAACTTTTAGCTAAATAAATTTATTTCCTTTATAATTTACCCAGTCTGTGATATTGTTATAGCAGCAAAAAATGGAATAAAACCATGAGTGATAAATATTTTTTAATTTACATTTCGTCCACGTCTCTTGATTAGTTAAATCCTCAATATGAACCATCTCTGGAGGGTGAAGTGGGTGCCCAAAGAACATCTAGTTAAGCCTGTAGAATTGTTAGCTGGAGAGGCCAGATGTGGTGGCTCACGCCTGTAATCCCAGCACTTTGGGAGGCCGAGGCGGGCGGATCACGAGGTCAGGAGATCGGGACCATCCTGGCTAACACAGTGAAACCCTGTCTCTACTAAAAATACAAAAAATTAGCCGGGCACGGTGGTGGGTGCCTCTAGTCCCAGCTACTCGGGAGGCTGAGGCAAGAGAATGGCGTGAACCTGGGAGGTGGAGCTTGCAGTGAGCTAAGATTGCGCCACTGCAATCCAGCCTGGGCGACAAAGCAAGACTCCATCACAAAAAAAAAAAAAAAAAAAAAAAAAAATTGTTAGTTGGAGAGCCTAACAATCAACAACATGGAGTAATATAGAAAGCTACTGGCACAGTTCAAAATCCAGCCATAGAAATTGTCTCCCAGTTGGTAGAGCACGCCTGCCTTACAAGAGATCCTGAAGGAAGCACTAAATATGGAAAGGAAAAACCAGTACCAGCCACTGTAAAAACAAACCAAATTGTAAAGACCATGAACATTATGAAGAAACTGCATCAACTAATGGGCAAAATAACCAGCTAGCATCATAAAGACAAGATCAAATTCACATATAACAATATTAACCTTAAAAGTAAATGGGCTAACTGTCCCAATTAAAAGGCAAAGACTGGCAAATTGGACAAACAGTCAGGACCCATCAGTGTGCTGTATTCAGGAGACCTATCTCACATGCAAAGACACACATAGGCTCAAAATAAAGGGATGGAGGAAGATTTACCAAGCAAATGGAAAGCAAAAAAAGAGCAGGGGTTGCAATCCTAGTCTCTGATAAAATAGACTTCAAACCAACAAAGATCAAAGAAAAAGAAGGGCACTACATAATGGTGGTAAAGGGATCAATGCAACAAGAAGGGCTAACTATCCTAAATATATATGCACCTAATACAGGAGCACTCAGATTTATAAAGCAAGTTCTTAGAGACCTACAAAGAGACTTAGACTCCCACACAATAATAGTTGGAGACTTTAACATCCCACTGTCAATATTAGACAGATCAACAAGACAGAAAATTAACAAGGATATTCAGGACTTGAACTCAGCTCTGGACCAAGTGGACCTAATGGACATCTACAGGACTCTCCACCTCAAATCAACAGAATATACATTATTCTCAGCACCACATCACACTTATTCTAAAACTGACCACATAATTGGAAGTAAAACACTCCTCAGCAAATGCAAAAGAATGGAAATCATAACAGTCTCTCAGACCACAGTGCAAGCAAATTAGAACTCAGGATTAAGAAACTCACTCAAAACCACACAGCTACATGGAAACTGAACAACTTGCTCCTGAATGACTACTGGGTACATAACAAAATTAAGGCAGAAATAAATAAGTTCTTTGAAACCAATGAGAATGAAGACACAATGTACCAGAATCTCCGGGACACAGCTAAAGCAGTGTTCGGAAGGAAATTTAAAGCACTAAATGCCCACAAGAGAAAGCGGGAAAGATCTAAAATTGACACCCTAACATCACAATTAAAAGAACTATAGAAGCAAGAGCAAACAAATTCAAAAGCTAGCAGAAGACAAGAAGTAACTAAGATCAGAGCAGAACTGAAGGAGATAGAGACACGAAAAACCCTTCAAAAAAATCAGTGAATCCAGGAGGTGGTTTTTGGAAAAGATTAACAAAATAAACCGCTAGCCAGACTAATAAAGAAGAAAAGAGAGAAGAATCCAATAGACACAATAAAAAATGATAAAGAAGAACCACTGATCCTACAGAAATACAAACTACCATCAGAGAATACTATAAACACCTCTACCCAAATAAACTAGAAAATCTAGAAAAACTGGAAAAATTCCTAGACACATACACCCTCCCAAGACTAAACCAGGAAGAAGTCGAATCCCTGAATAGACCAATAATAAGTTCTGAAATTAAGGCAGTAATGAATAGCCTACCAACCAAAAAAAGCCCAGGACCAGATGGATTCACAGCTGAATCCTACCAGAGGTACAGAGAGGAGCTGGTACCATTCCTTCTGAAACTATTCCAAACAACAGTAAAAGAGGGAATCCTCCCTAACTCATTTTATGAGGCCAGCATCATCCTGATTCCAAAACCCAGCAGGGACACAACAAAAAAAGAAAATTTCAGGCCAATATCCCTGATAAGCATCGATGTGAAAATCCTCAATAAAACACTGGCAAACTGAATCCAGCAGCACATTAAAAAGCTTATTCACCATAATCAAGTCGGCTTCATCCCTGGGATGCAAGGCTGGTTCAACATACGCATATCAATAAATGTAATCCATCACATGAACAGAACCAATGACAAAAACCACATGATTATTTCAACAGATGCAGAGAAGGCCTTTGATAAAATTTAGCACCCCTTCATGCTAAAAACACTCAATAAAGTAGGTATTGATGGAACCTATCTCAAAGTAATAACAGCTATTTATGACAAACCCACAGCCCATGTCATACTGAATGGGCAAAAGCTGAAAGCATTCCCTTTGAAATCCGGCACAAGACAAGGATGCCCTCTCTCACCACTCCTATTCAACAAAGTATTAGAAGTTCTGGCAGGGCAATCAGGCAAGAGAAAGAAATAAAGCGTATTCAAATAGGAAGAGAGAAAGTCAAATTATCTCTGTTTGCAGATGACATCATTGTATATTTAAAAAACCCCATCGTCTCAGCCCAAAAACTCCTTAAGCTGATAGGCAACTTCAGCAAACTCTCAGGATACAAAATAAATGTTGCGAAAATCACAAACATTCCTATACACCAATAACAGACAAATAGAAAGCCAAATCATGAGCAAACTCCCATTCACAATTTCTACAAAGAGAATAAATTACCTATGAATACAACTTACAAGGGACATGAAGGACCTCTTCAAGAAGAACTACAAACTACTGCTCAAGGAAATAAGAGAGGACACAAACAAATGGAAAAACATTACATGCTCATGGATAGGAAGAATCAATATCGTGAAAATGGCCATACTGCCCAAAGTAATTTATAGATTCAATGCTATTCCCATCAAGCTACGATTGATTTTCTTCACAGAATTAGAAAAAAAACTACTTTAAATTTCATATGGAACCAAAAAAGAGCCCGTATAGCCAAGACAATCCTAAGTAAAAGGAACAAAGCTGGAGGCATCATGCTATGTGACTTCAAACTATATTACAAGGCTACAGTAACCAAAACAGCATGGTACTGGTACCGAAACAGATATATAGACAAACAAAATAGAACAGAGGCCTCCAAAATAACACCACACATCTACAACCATCTGATCATTGACAAACCTGACACAAACAAACAATGAGGAAAGGATTCCCTATTTAATAAATGATGTTGGGAAAACCAGCAAGCCATATGCAGAAAACTGAAACTGGATCCCTTCCTTACACCTTAAAAAAAAATGAACTCAAGATGGATTAAAGATTTAAATGTAAGAACTAAAACCATAAAAACCCAAGAGGAAAACCAAGGCAATACTATTCAGGACACAGGCATGGGCAAAGACTTCATGACTAAAACATCAAAAGCAATGGAAACAAAAGTCAAAATTGACAAATGGGATCTAGTTAAACTAAAGAGCTTCTGCACAGCAAAAGAAACTATCATCAGAGTGAACAGGCAACCTACAGAATGGGAGAAAGTTTTTGCAATCTATCCATCGAACAAAGGGCTAATATACAGAATCTACAAGGAACTTAAAACAAATTTACAAGAAAAAAACAACCCCATCAAAAAGTGGGCGAAGAATATGAATAGACACTTCACAAAAGAAGACATTTGTGGCCAACAAACATACGAAAAAAAGCTCATCATCACTGGTCATTAGAGAAATGCAAATCAAAACCACAATGAGATCACATCTCATGCCAGTTAGAATGGCAATCATTAAAAAGTCAGGAAACAACAGATGTTGGAGAGGATGTGAAGAAATAGGAACGCTTTTACACTGTTGGTGGGAGGGTAAATTAGTTCAACCATTGTGGAAGACGGTGTGGCAATTCCTCAAGGATCTAGAACCAGAAATACCATTTGACTCAGCAATCCCATTACTGGGTATATACCCAAAGGATTACATATCATTCTACCATAAAGACACATGCACACGTATGTTCGTTGCAGCACTGTTCACAATAGCAAAGACTTGGAACCAATACAAATGCTCATCAATGTTAGACTGGATAAAGAAAATGTGGCACATATACACCATGGAATACTATGCAGCCATAAAAAAGGATGAGTTCATGTCCTTTGCAGGGACATGGATGAAGCCGGAAACCATCATTCTCAGTAAACTAACACAGGAACAGAAAACCAAATACTGCATGTTCTCACTCATAAGTAGGAGCTGAACAATGAGAACATATGGGCACAGAAAGGGGAACATCACACACTGGGGCCTGTCGGGGGGGTGGGGGAACAAGGGGAAGGATAAGATAAGGAGAAATACCTAATGTAGATGATGAGTTGATGGGTGCAGCAAACCACCATGGCACACGTATAGCTATGTAACAAACCTGCACGTTCTGTACATGTATCCCAGAACTTAAAGTATAATTTAAAAATAAATAAATAAAAGGTCAGAGCCCACTGAAAAGTAAATATGATCTATTAATTAGCTATTGGGTTATGGTTCCTTAAACCCCGAAAGTCTAAGATGTTAATTAGGCCTGGCCCTGCCTGTGTATGGTTTGTGTCAATGTATATCTAAACACAGTGGAATGGAGTAAAAGTAGCTCTATCTGAGGGAAGAGGACTGAGAATGAGACAGGAGTTGATAAAGGAGAGCAATGTCAATTTCACCAGGCTGACCTGGAAGGCTGCTGAACCCCTGTGTAAAGACCAGTTGTTTTTTTTTTTTTTTCAATAGAAAATACTGAGGGCCGGGTGCAGTGGCTCAGGCCTGTAATCCCAGCACTTTGGGAGGCCGAGGCAGGCAGATCATGAGGTCAGGAGATTGAGACTATCCTGGCTAACACGGTGAAACCCTGTCTCTACTAAAAATACAAAAAATTAGCCAGGCGTGGTGGTGGGCGCCTGTGGTCCCAGCTACTTGGGAGGCTGAGGCAGGAGAATGGTGTGAACCCGGGAGGCAGAAGTTGCAGTGAGCCAATATCGCGCCACTGCACTCCAGCCTGGGCGACAGTGCGAGACTTCGTCTCAAAAAAAAAAAAAAAAGAAAATACTGAGTCTGTATAAAGAGCTTCCTTTCTCTAATAAACACTCAAGGAAAAAAATGGCAAACTTACAATTAGCATTTAACATTGAAATAACCTACCTTTTGTAACATGTTATAAACTTCTAGATGAAGCAGCACAGGAAAAAGGCCCAAGAAACATATAACATGTAACCATGACATCTCTGAGAAATGAGACTAAGATTCTATCCAGAGATAAAATCAACCTAGTAACTTTTCTTTCTTCTAAATCTGTGAAGTAATTTCCTTTACGCTTCTCTTTCAATAAGAAAAGCAAATGGATGGAAAATATTTTGCAGAAAAATATAAAGAGTAAAACTACCCAATACTAGTAAATATAAAATTATACAACCTACCTGAAAGCTCTACTTTTAAATGGGTAAGAACACATATGCAAAATAACTTAAAACAAGATAAAAACAATGTTCTTTTTTAGAAAAGCACAATATATGATGCAGCTTAATAGGCAAAATTTTATATTAAGTATTGCAAATCTTAAACTCTCATCAAATTTTTAAAAATTCCTATAGGTTGTTTTCAGTCATTAAGTAACTAAAGTATCTTCTAAAGTAATTCTCCAATGTTTTGCATTTCAAATATTTTAATAGTTTTATTTCGCAAAGAGAAGCCTAAGAATTTTTTTAAAAACATTTCCAGAGAGAACACTTTATACCATAAAATAAACTTGTATAATTTGGGAGGACAAATCATCTCAAATGTATATTTTTGAATTATGTGCCAATTTTATAATTAGTACAAAAATGACAGCTGAAATATTTTAAAAATGTAAAAACCAGTCCAGGCAACATAACTATACCATCTTGCTGTAAAAGTACTTATATCGAATTCCGCACAAAATATTTTTGCAATATGCTAAATTTAGTTCTTCAAGTCACTCTTCACTGCCGGCTGGCTTTTCCATTTTCTGTTGTCTCCATCCTGAAATAGGAAGAAAAAAACGAGTTGATAAAATAAATATTCATTAACATTTTGTCTCCTTATCTACCTTTCACATGAAAATTAAAATAATATATTCACAGAACAGAACATCAGCATTTTAGGAAAGGACTAACATCAGGGTTCCTCTAGCTAGGCCAATTTCTTCATTTTACAGTGAAAATTGAGGCCTTGAGAGACTAAGTGACTTTCCCAAGGTTACAAGTCAAAGGCCACTGTTTTTTGTTTGTTTGTTTGACTATACCACACTCTCCCTTTCCAAGCAAAACTAAGGAAAAAATCTCTACAATTTCATCAAGAATTTATTTCCTTCCCCACTAAATAAATGTATTTCCACCAACAAATTAAGAGGATTTCTTCTAAAAAAATCAAAATAATCAGATCTGAGATTTATTTTACTATAATCAATATTCTTAATATTGTATTCCTTAATAGGAAAACATTTTCCTCTGTTATTTTACAGAGACTGGCATTATATCCTAAGTGGTATGATTTTTCCCTCTGTAATGTTTATTAAGCATTAAAAAGAAATGCTCTAAGGAGTAAATACTTTCAGGGTTACAATCAATATAACTAAGCCTTTTAGAAGCAAGAATCAAAGAGGTTAATTTTTTCTGCTTATGGGGAACATGTATTAGTTCATAATATTAGTAATAAAAAACTGCTGATTATTACAAATAAGCAATGATTGTTAAGGTACTATACAGGCAATTGACAAAACCAATTTTGACAATAAGTAACACAAACCCATTTTCCTCTTTAAGATGTTGATATAGTTCAGCTCTGTTATTAACAGAGTTCAAACGTCCAGCAAATTCCTGATGTTTTCTGGAATTGGCAGTATTGATTCTATTACTCCACAAGGATAATAACGACACTGGCCCTAGTGTTATATTTAAAAGGAGAGAGAAAAAAAAGATAGAATAATTTATTATTTCCAAATTTCCAAATTTCCAAACTTACCTTTAATTCTGTTGTTCATTTTACACAATTAAGGCAGTTAATTCTGTAGTTCATTTTACACGATTAAGGCAATCATTTTCCTCTTACTCTAAAATTTATGTGTTTCAGGGTCCCCAAGAGCAACCACTAGTTCAGTGACTGATGGAAGGACTCAAATGACTAAATGTAAAGTTACACTCCTGGTTAAGAATGATTACAGCATTACAGTAAGGAGACACAGCCAGATCGGTAAGCAGAAGGAACACATGAGGTGGAGACTGGCAGAATCCATTTGCAGGCTTCCCATGCTCACTCTCTCCAATGAGGTTTATGCAGAGTGCATACTACCTCCATAGGCAAACATGCAGCCACATGTGCACAATATTTCTGCCAGTAAAGCCTGTTTGAGTAGAGTCCAGGGTTTTTACTGGGGGCTGATCAGGTAGGTATTCTCTGCCTAACCACAATGACCAAAGTTCCAGACTTTCAGAAGGGAAGCAGGTGTTCAGTTCATTATCTAGGCAATATCTCAAAAGCCAAGTTCCCAGATGCCAGCCAACAGCCAAACCTGCAAGCAGGCTTTTCTAATTATAATAGTCTCAGGCCTGCTATGTTAACTCTTTCCTGCACAATATGATAAGGCAAAAGAATTACAATAGCCAAAACAATTTTGAAAAAGAAGACAAAAGTTAGAAGATTCTTACTTCCTCATTACAAGACTTAATTTGAAGTGACTGTGACAGTACTGGATTGGTGAAAGGACGGCCACATAAACCAACAGAATATAAAAGAGAATCCAGAAGCAGATCCCACATACATAGTCAACTAATTTCTGATAAATGTACAATATTTCAATGAAGAAAGGATAGTCTTTTCAATAAATGCTGCTGGAACATTAGGACATCGTAGGCAAAAGGATTAATATTGACCCATACTTTGTACCTTATAGAAAATAACTCAAAAATTGATCATGACCTAAATGTAAATCTAAAATTACAGAACTCCTAAAAGAAAATCAGCCTTTGTGACCCTGGGTTAGATTTCTAACATGTAACACCTAAAGCATAATCATAAAAGCAAAAATGGATGTACTTGACTTCATCAAAATAAAAAGCTTCTGTTGTGCAAAAGTCATTTATAAGAGAAGAACAACCCACAGACTGGGTGAAAATACTTGCAAATCACCTGTCCAACACAGAACTTGTATCCAGATAAATAAACAACTCTCAAAATCCACTAATAAGAAACAATCCAATTTTATAATGTACAAAATATTTTAATGGACCTTTCACCCAAGAAGACAGACAACAAATAAGCAAAGGAAAAGAGTTTTACCATCATTAATCATGAGAGAAATGTAAATTAAAACACCAATGAAATACCACTACATACCTTATAGGATGAAAAACAAAAACAAAACAAACAGTAACCCTGACAACAGCAACTGGACAAGGATGCAGAACACCCAGAACTCTCACATACTGGTGGTGGGAATGCAAAATGGTGCCACCACTTTGGAAAAATAAGCTGGCAGTTTCTTATAAAATTAGTCATTATAATACTATGTGAAAAAAGCCAATCTCAAAAGGTGGCATGACATTTTCTTTCATTTATAAGACATTCCGAAAAATTACAGGGAGCACAATTATAGGAAGAGAAAACATATCAGTAGTTACCAGGGATTGAGGAGGAGAGTGAAGGATGACTACAGGGATTGAGGAGGAGAGTGAAAGATGACTACAAAGGGTCAATATGAGGAAATCTTTTGGGGTGACAGACTGTTGTGTACCCTGATTGTGATGGCGGTATGCATTGTCTAAACTCACAGAACTGTACATCAAAAAGAGCTAATATTGTCATATATATTTTAAAATTCTTAGTTTTCTTATTATAAAACTAATGCATGTTCATGAGAACAAATTTAGAAAACAATAAAACACATAAAGGAGGAAATAAAATCATCCTAATGCCACTGCTCTAACAACTAAAAATTTTAGTCTTTTTTTCAGTGCCAATCTATATCAACAAATGGTTATTTTGGTTTTTTTTTTTTGTTACTGCATCATACAAAGAGAGTTGAATAGACGTTTGCCAAATCTAGATGGCACATTTGGAATAGCCTAGCCTTAAGTACAGTGTATACAGCAGGCACAAAATTCACTTTGGGGAGGCCTGGAAAGTCATTTTCCAAAGCAGATAAAACTGAGGTATAATAAAAGGCCCAGATCAGTTGCTGATCAGAAGAGACATGCAATTTAGGTCATAAAATAGAATGAAGGAAAAAACAAACACTTTTCAAATATCAGCCTCAAATAGAAAGTTACAAGGAAAGGCAGTAATATGCAATCAAGTTGCTTCTCATATGAGCTATTTCATATAATATTTCCAGGGCGAAAAACATCAGGGATCCATTTAATTTAATGATAGCTGATATTTCATCTAAGTGACAAGCTAGTACATATGTGTATGAAAACTTAAAATTGAGATCACAGTACATATGTTTATGTAACCTGCTTTAAAAAAACTTATTTACACATTCATTCAATAATTATTCTTGGGTTATATAAATACCACCCTGTGGGGGCTGGGCGCAGGGACTCATGCCTGTAATCCCAGCACTTTGGGAGGCTAAGGCAGGCGAATCACCTGAGGTCAGGAGTTCGAGACCAGCCTGACCAACATGGTGAAACCCTGTCTCTACTAAAAATATAAAAATTAGCTGGGTGTGGTGGCAGGCACCTATAATCCCAGCTACTCGGGATGCTGAGGCAGGAGAATCACTTGAACCCAAGAGGCAGAGGCTGCACTGGGCTGAGATCGTGCCATTGCACTCCACCCTGGGCAACAAGAGTGGACTCCATCTCAATAAATAAATAAATACATACATACCACCCTATGGACACACCATTATTCAGTCATTTTCCTACTAATATGGCTTTTAGGTGCTTGCAATTTTTGCCAGTATAGATAATACTCTTTTTTTTTTTTTTTTTTTTTAGAGATGGAGTCTTACTCTGTCGCCTGGGCTGGAGTGCAGTGGCATCTTGGCTCACTGCAATCTCTGCCTCAGTAATACTCCTTAGAGTTCTATTTACCAAGCAATGCTGAAACACTGTTTAGAGTAGACCTAAATTTCTCATCCTAATGAAGAGTGGTATATTTTGTCATATGAGAAATAATTTATCAAAAAACATCTATTTAAATCCTATTATTTTCTGGGCCCTCTAGCAAATGCCTGAAAGGCAAATATAATAAGATCACCTCAAGGGTGATCTCTGGCTTCAAAGAAACTAGTGAACTGAAGAATATAACATGTATCACTATATACATACACTATAACAAGCATATAAAAAGCAAACAAGCCTACCTTCTCCCTAGGATGAGCTGCCAATATTCATAAGCTGGTTCTACTGCCTTAGGAGAGGCATAGTGGCAGGACATCAGGTAGTCTAATGACGGCATACCATTACACATGTATCCTAAAAAGACTAAATCTAGTTTGCCTTCAAGATAACTAAAGCCTAGAACGATTTCAGGAGCTGCCAATCCCAAATCATATCCTTGGTGCCTAGAATTCCTTCAAGAGGAAACTAAACTTTTTAGCCTATAAGAGATTAAGAGGCTTTACAGTGAAAATATTGTTTATAATAATAACTACACTGAAACTCAAACACATTTTAATATAGCAATAAATGAGTGATATTACATATTTCTAGGTTTCGTAAGAGTTTAGGGTCAAAAGAGTTTGTATTCAATATCTCAGCTCTTACTATAGTATCAGGAACATAAACAGATTCAAGTTTACATATTTAAAATTTCTTAAAACACAAACTTTATATGCTTATTTTCCAAAGGCTTCATTAATGAAAGTATAACACTACTTGTTTTTGTTTTTAACACTGACAAATATATTTACTGCCTGTATTCTCTAAGGCTGTGATACGGTTTGGCTGTGTCCCCACCCAAATTTCCATGCTGTTCTCGTGATAGTGAGTGAGTTCTCACTAGATCTGATAGTTTTATAAGGGGCTTCCTCTCCCTTTGCTCTGCCCTTCCCCTGGCTGCTGCCATGTGAAGAAGGACATGTTTGCTTCTCCTTCTGCCATGCCTGTAAGTTTCCTGAGGCCTCCCAGCCATGCTGGAACTGTGAGTCAATTAAACCTCTTTCCTTTAAAAATTACCCAGTCTTGGGTATTTTTATCTTTATTAGCAGCATAAGACTGGACTAATACAGGTTGTAAACAGAGAATGTCCTAAACAACACCCACAAATACTTAAGAACTCTTCCTCACATACACAACAATATTAAATAACACTGTACAAAACAGAGCTTCATTGGAAAATTTTTTTTTTTTCTGAAACAGAGTCTTGCTCTGTCGCCCAGGCTGAAGTGCAATGGTGCGATCTTGGCTCACTGCAACCTCCGCCTCCCAGGTGCAAGCGACTCTCTAGCCTCAGCCTCCCAAGTAGCTGGGATTACAGGTGTGTGTCACCATGCCCGCCTAATTTTGTATTTTTATTAGAGGTGGGGTTTCACCATGCTGGCCAGGCTGGTCTTGAATTCCTGACCTCAGGTGATCTGCTTGCCTCAGCCTCCCAAAGTGCTGGGATTACAGGGGTAAGCCACCACACCCGGCCTGGAAAACTTTTTATAAACCTAGTTACCACAGCTGTACCTTACCTTTTGATTTTTCCACTTGTGGAGTTTCATCCATTTCAACAAGGGGTTTTTTGTTTGGAGGTTCTGGGGAATCAGGCGAATCTTTTATAATCTCAGCTTCAGCCAATTCTTCTTTTCCACGCTCTAAGATTCCTTTTAATCTTTTAGAGGGACAAATAATGAAATGTAAAGTTCAAATTTTTAGAAGTCTAATGGTCTAATAATTAAACTAACTTTGCATATCAACCTTTATAAAAGATGGCTAATCTCATAAAATAAACCTAGGGACTAATCAAAAATCTCAATCTAAAACCAGGTAACAGAAATTAATGAATTAAATACAAGTTTCCCTTTTCCTTCATAATAATAATGCAATGATTCAGGAATTAGCTGTAAAATATAAAAAAAAAGAAGATACTTAAATTAAAATTTAAAAGGTAGGAAATGATGTGATCTTCAGAAGAAATTGCACAATTCTGATTTTTAAAGATAGGAACAAAATAACACTGAATTTCAAATTACAAATAAGATTAATAAGTTTATTCCCATTTATTCTCTAGTCTATGTATTGTGTAGATGTATTTATGTTCTGCAAATCAGAAACTTAACTCTAAACTTTTAGAGTTTCATCAGAGAACAAAAACACTTGCAAAATATACAAGAGTGTACTTGAAGCTCAGTGGGACCTAAATGATAGTACTTTTTCCCTCTTACAGTGAGCCAGTAGTGTTTCAGAAGCTCAGCAGCCCTAAGGAAAACATGAGCTTCTAAAGTCAAAGAGAATAAAAGTATTCTATTATTAATGGATACAATTACAGGATTTCCAGAATTAGCTTCAAAATATTCCTATGGGTGTAGTGGTAAAGGTAGTGGATGAAGATATATATGAAATGAGATCTGCCATGAATTGTTAATCATTGAAGGTAGATGATGAGTAACTATCTGTTCTTTTGCTACATATGTTTGAAATTTTCCATCATAAAAAGATGTGTTTTTCGTCAGTCGCAGTGGCTCATGCCTGTAATCCCAAGCACTTTGGGAGACCAAGATGGGCAGATCGCCTGAGGTCAGGAGATCGAGACCAGCCTGGGCAACATGGTGAAACTCCATCTCTACTACAAATACAAAAAATTGGCCAGGCATGGTGGCACATACCTATAATCCCAGCTACCTGAGAGGCTAAGGCATGAGAATCACTTGAACCCAGGAGGCAGAGGCTGCAGTGAGTCGAGATCATGCCACTGCATTCCAGCCTGGGTGATAGAGCGAGACTCTGTCTCAAAAAAATAAATAAAAATTAATTAATTTTAAAAAAAGTGACCTGGTGTTGGTCTGATTTCTGGCAAGTGGATAGAGGATATAGCCAGAGGATACGCTATTTCTATTTATAAGCCTTTATTACTTTTATGTTTTTCAGATTTAACGCTGACATCATAATATAAATCACAAACTAAAGGAAAAGAGTATACTATTAAGAAACATTTTCAGAATAGACTGTATGCCCTTCTTCTGTGCTTCCAAGGACATCCTATGCCTATTTTTATAATAGCACCTTCCACACTTTGCTGCAATCACTTTTTTTTTTTTTTGAGACAAAGTCTTACTCTATTGCCCAGGCTGGAGTGCAGTGGAGGAATCTCGGCTCACAGCAACCTCTGCCTCCCAGGTTCACGTGATTCTCGTGCCTCAGCCCCTTGAGTAGCTGAGATTACAGGCATGCACCCCCATACCCAGCTGATTTTTGTATTTTTTTAAGTAGAGACAGGATTTTGCCATGTTGGCCAGGCTGGTCTCAAACTCCTGACCTCAAGTGATCCACCCGCCTCGGCCTCCCAAAGTGCTGGGATTACAGGTGTGAACCACTGCACCCAGCCTGCAATCACTAATTTGTCTGTCTCTAGCATCACACTGTATGTTCTTCAAGGGTAGGGATCTTGTGCCAAATGCCTGGCACATCATAAGCATTCAGTAAATATTTAGTGAACAGAGGAATAAAATTATGTCTGTGAAGTTCACAACACATAAAGCACATACTGATACCAAACATCATGCATTATGATTTTCAGAAGTTAATTAGGAAAAACTAACACTAACTTTGCCCCAACAGTAAAAATTCATACTTTTTTGTGCCCAAGAAAGATCCTCTAGATTTTAAGAATGATAAAATTACAGTAATGAAAATGAATAAACATGTATTAAATGAACTACTATTAAATCAGGTTTGAATGTATGAAAGTGTTCTATGCAGAATGTGATATAACAAAAGGCACCATGGTGCTATATCAATGCCAGGAAGTCACCTCTCTGAGTCTTGCCAAGACTTTTCCTGTTCATAATCTTTCACTGCTTTCTCTGACTTGTCCTCTTTGTCTTCCCTCTTTCTTCCTCGTTTCTTTCGTTCTTCCTCTTCTGGGGGTTTGCTCCTGCATGCCATCAGACATTCCAAGACTCTTTGATGTTTCTCTGAGTTGTTGATATGGGCTCTGACAAGGGTTTCTAATTCATTCCACATGATACGGTATTGTTCATCTCTGCAGCAAAGATTTGGAAATACTCTTTAAATAATATTGAAGTGTCACTTTCTAGTGGTAAAGTAAAAACAAATAATGAAATGTGGACTTCCTTCCTCTTACTTGGTACTTAATAGTGAAATTCTAGGCTACAATATATCCATTTCTATGATTTTGTATTATTTCATCTCAAATATATATATAAACATGTCCTCAAATAGAATTTACATATGGAATAAGTTATCTTGAGAAACAATATGTATCAAGTAAATGTGATCTATAAAGTAAGAAAGAAAAAAAAATGTACCTTTTAGGGCCCTTTCCTCTTGTACCAACTGTGGAAATAGGTAGAGGATCATTTTTTCTTTCCATATCAACTAAGTTGTATATTGTTTTTTGACAGTTTAACACATCTTCTTCTGTCAGAGATTCTTTCACAATAACACTGGCTAATGGAACTACCTGTTAGATTTTTTTTAAAGAAAAAAGAAAATCTGTCTTGAAAAATAAATATCAAAACATCTAGGCAGAACTTGATTTTCGAAAGGATTTTAAAGATTATCATGGTGAAGGAATCTATAACTATCACTTCAATTTTTAATTATTAATTCTTTAACTTTAGCAAGCTCATATATTTCATTCTTTGCTTAAGAAATGGTATAAATTACAAATTGTCTAATTGATTTCTATAAAGAATATATAACTAATCTATAAGAAAAGTTGAAGCTACTTAACACTTACCGCTTGCATGTTAAAAATGGTGGTTTGTGAAATGATCATAGGCCAGTAACGGGTATGTTTTTCTAACTGATCTTTTGCTCGTTCCAAAGGGACCTCAAGACTTCCATCGATTTTATATCTGGGGTCTAGAAAAGGAGTTAATCTGTTTTCCCTCATAAATTCACCAAAATCCTAATGATAACCAAATAAGATAAAATTAGAAACTATGTCTAATGTTTCAGTATGGATTACATGTACTAGTCTGTTTCCCTGATGTCTTCTGTCCTGTGATGTGCAACAAAACATTTTTTCTAACAGTATCCCTTAACTCCACTACTTTTTTATCCTTTCTGAACTTGAAACCTATCAGCCTTTATATGATGAAAATGAAGAAAGCCTCAAACATAAATGCATTCATGGTATGTTTTCCCCACCTTTTGTAAAAACCAAGGAACACTTTTTTTCCCCTTCTGTAATTTAACTTTTCTATCACACACAGATAAAAGAGTCAGTTAATCACATTAGAAGACCCATTTGCTTATTTAAAAACTACCTTGAGGTTGGGCACGGTGGCTCACACCTGTAATCCCAACACTTCAGGAGGCCAAGACAGGTGGATCACCTGAGGTCAGGAGTTCGAGACCAGCCTGGCCAACATGGTGAAACCCCATCTTTACTAAAATACAAAAATTAGCTGGGCATGGTGGCAGGCGCCTATAATCTTAGCTACTCGGGAAGCTGAGGCAGGAGAATCGCCTAAACCCAGGAGGCAGAGGTTGCAGTGAGCCAAGATTGCGCCACTGCACTCTAACCTGGGCAACAAGAGCGAAACTCTGTCTCAAAACAAACAAACAAACAAAAAAACTACCTTGACATAACATAAACATGTCAACAATAGTTATCTGTGAATGATGAAATTATAGGTAATTTACAGGTGTGGGTGTTTTTTTACGATATCTATATTCTCTAAATTTTCTACAATAAATATTGATTAGGCTTCTCCTTATTTAAATATTATGTTTTTTAAAAAAATCCTAATTAAAAAGTTACTTACAGTATATAACAGTTTGTGGTTTACAAAGCATATTCATATATATAAATCACACTTAGTTTTTACAACCACCTCAAGAAGTAAATAGCTATGAAATACCAAATAGGAAAGAGAGGAGGGAGAATGAAAAATCAAGATTAGAACAGAATTTCTACCAAAAATGGACATAAATTTCCTTTTATGTTCCTCCCAATAATACAAAAGTTTATGTTATTTCTAAGTAGCAGCAATCCAAATATTCCAGGTTTCTGTTTGCCATTTAAATTACTAGAAATTAAGTTTCACCTAAAATATTAGTTCAAATCAATTTATTATTTCCTACAATTCCAGCGTGTCATTGCAATTCAGATACATCTCAGTATATACTGAATATACAATAAGATTAAACAATGATAAATAGAATTTTTGAGCAAATATTGCAGGAAATTCACCTAATTAAAATAATAATCAACTTCTTCCAGTCTCTTTTTTTCCACAGACCTTAGCATTTAACGAGCACTCGATAACTACTTGCTGAATGATGACAGATTCAAAACTTAAAATTTATAGATATTAGAGTCTTACTGTAATCCGGTAGTCTGTAACTCTTCCTCCACATCCTTCACTAATTGAAGGTGGATCTTCTAGAATGGATCGAGAACTGCTAAGGACGTGCAAAAAAATCTCTCCTCCATGGCTACTAAGCATATGACTAATGACTTTAGAACCTGACTTTCGTGGTTGTTCCAATAAAACAGAACGACCTGTCAAAAACAAGATTACACTATCAGTAATGAAACTCAAATGGGCTCTCATTTATTTCCTTGAGATTTATGTCTAGATTTTTTCATTTTATTTATTGATCCCCGTATTTTAACCAGCATTGCTAATTTAGTGTATCTACTCTTCCATGCCTAAAAATCTGAATTCTAGCCTTAACTTTATCTCAGTTACTCCAAGGTTACATAGTTAATACAGTTTCTCACAACAACTATAGTGGTCTCTGGCATAATACGTTTGGCTATATGGTTCATCCAATTACATGTACATATTGAATTTTTCTCCTGGACCTCAAGAAGAAAAGTGAGACAACTGCTCCATAATCCTCAGGTTATTAATGCTACAGAACATTTGGGGAGAAGGCACAGTCTCAGTTCACTTACACAACAGTTCCTCATCCACACTGTAATCATAACTACTTTCTATTCTACATGTCCAAATGTTAATCTGAATTTCACCTAGTCTGATAATCAAATTATGCTTAACTAAGAATGACATAACCTTATGATAAAGACAGACTGACTCTTTAGATCACTAGTTCCAAAACCTGAGATGATCATAAGAATTACCAGAGAAGCTTTTAATTTGGAATCAAATAATTAAGACTTGTAAAAAATTTTCACACAATGAAACCAGAGATTTAAGGTCACAGGTAAGAATCATATGGTATAATACTAAAAACATAATATTTATTTATGATAAAGGTATCATGTTCAAATATAAGTAAGTCCACCTTTGATTTGATTTAAAATTCAATGGGCCAAGATAAATGGTCTATATTATTCTAGCTTCTATTTAATTCTTCAAATCTATTTTCTAATTATAGCTTCTAAAACAAATCAATTTAGACTCTGAAGGTCAAATTTTTTAAATAAAAATACTCACAATTTTATTAAATAAAACCTGCTTAGATGCAATAGCCTGAAAGCCAAACCTAAAGTCATCTTTTAAATGTTAGTAAAAACTGTTAAAGGGTATTTCAAATTACATAAGTTTAAAACAGCTTTGGCAAATAAATGGCAAAGCTACAGTGATGAATATAGCTTTCCAGAGTTCATATTCTTAATAATAATTTCACTCAAATAATAATTTAATAATAAATAATTCAAATAATATAAATAATTTCAGTCAAAACCATTAAATAATTAAAGTTACCATTTAGAAGAAAATTAGTAAGGCAGGAGGAAGGTCTACTATTTACATCTACAGGTGAAATCCGATAAGCTCCAGTACAATAGTGTAATTCTGAAATAGAAGAAAACACTGATTTGAAAGAATATAAAGAAATATTCCCACAATTAAAAGAAAGAAAAAAAAACTTCTTCACTGAGTTCATTGAGTCCTGAAACAATGAAAAACGAAAATGCAAAACAGAATAAATTGACCCCCATATAATACCTTAAGAACCTTTTGATTTCGTCTTTTTCAGTTATTCTTAAATACCTACCAATGTTATTTGTCCTTGGTGTACACCACTTTAATGTTATTGTTTCTTTAAACGAGCCTTCTCGACTGCCGCCACCTAGATGCGAATCACCTTTAAAAATATGTCAGAGACATTACACATTGTATACATGTATCAAAACATCACACTGTATCCCATAAATATGTACAATTATGTTTTAATTTAAAAAATAATAAAAGCGGCCGGGTGCAGTGGCTCATGCCTGTAATCCCAGCACTTTGGGAGGCTGAGGCAGGTGGATCACGAGGTCAGGAGTTCAAGACCAGCCTGACCAAGATGGCGAAACCCTGTCCCTACTAAAACTACAGAAATGTGCCAGGCGCAGTGGCAGGTGCCTGTAATCCCAGCTATTCGGGAGGCTGAGACAGAAGAATCGCTTGAACCTGGGCGGCAGAGGTTGCGGTGAGCTGCGATCACGACACTGCACTCCAGCCTAGGCAACAGAGTGAGACTCTGTATCAAAAAAATAAATAAAATAATAATAATAATAAAAGCAAAAAATAATAATAGAGCAAACTGGGTATGGAGTAACCGGAACTCTGTACTGTCTTCACAATTTTTCTGTAAATCTGAAACTACTCTAAAATTAAAAGTTCACTTAAAAACAACAATGAAAAAAATGTCAGAGAAACACTAACATTATCAAGTAGATCACAAGCTTCAAATTATTTACCAAGATTTCCAAATGAGTTTAAACTCTCCAAGGGAAAATATCTCTGAGACAACATCTTTTTATCAGGTCCCCTGGACAAATACCAAAGATATTATCTATGATTAAAATAAATAGTAATTTTCCTCCACATTCATCATTAATCAATCATTTAGGTCATTGCACTGAAAGTCAATAGCAAGAATTTAAAAAATCTCAAGCATCTACAACTGCTCTTCCCTGCCCACACTATTAAATGATAAAATGACATGGTTAAGTACTCAGAAAAAGCTTAAGGAATCTAAAATGCACAACCATACTGAATTCTAATAAGTTTAGTTAGAAGAAACACAAACCAAGGGATCTGGAAAGTAAATACGTAAGAAGATATTAATCTAATAATAATGAACAAATGTGCAACCATAAAGCTGACAAGGCTTTGAAGGAAAATCTACAGTGCTATGAGTGCCTGTAGAGGGAGATCTGTCCTATTCCAAAACACCAGGAGAAGTTTCCTTGAGAAGTGAAGACTGGTCTGAGTTATAAGGGTATGAGTAGAAATTAAGTAAAGAAATGGAACAGATGCAGTGTCTCACATCTAAAATCTCAGTGCTTTGTGAGTCCTAAGTGGGAGGATTGCTAGGAGGTCAGGAAACTAGCCTGGGCAACATAGTGAGACCCTGTCTCTATGGAAAAAATACAAAAATTAGCCAGGCTTCGTGGTATGCACCTGCAGTCCCAGCTACTCCGGAGGCTGAGGTGGAAGGACTGCTTGTAGCCCGAGGGGTCGATGCTGCAGTGAGCTATGATCACACTACTGTACTCCAGTCTGAGTCACAAAGTGAGACTCTGTCTCAGATTAAAAAAAGAAAAAAAGAAAAAAAAAAAGAAGAAGAAATAGAGGAAAGACTATTCAGGCAAAAGAACAATGGATACCAAGATACTGTGGCAGGAGGAAGCATGAAAAATATTAGATCTGTGTGGCTGAAACAGAGAAGATTAGTATGCTTTGAGATGAGAATAAAAAGGGGGAGGGGGCCAGACAATGAAGGGCCTTGTAAGACATTTAAACAGCTCTGTTGTTTCCTAAGGGCAACAGAAAAGCATAGGCACGGGGCGGGTTTAAGGTCATGAGAACATGGTCAGGATTAGCATTCTGAAAGTTACTGTAGCTAGAGGGTAAAGAGTAGATAGGGACAGGCCATTTAGTAGGCTACTGTGAGATACTAGGTAAGGAAATAAAAGGCTGGATTAGGGAAATGTTATTGGTAGCTAAGATGGAGATTTTGA
The DNA here is from genome assembly GCF_000001405.40 of Homo sapiens. Lineage (NCBI taxonomy): Eukaryota > Metazoa > Chordata > Mammalia > Primates > Hominidae > Homo > Homo sapiens. Next base: position 26,919,601 of record NC_000012.12, read on the forward strand.
TGTACGAGAGAAAAATTAGTAGACAAAATCAAGAAAATGTGATGATGGATTAGATGTCTCAAAAACGATTCTGAGGTTTTCTGCCTTACATAAATGAACAGACAACAGGGCCATTCACTGAAAAAGGAAACAGACTAGTTCAGGTGGCAAAGCTCCTAAGTTGTTTTGGGCATGTTGAAGTGTAGGTGACTGAGAGACATCTAAGAGATACAATTAGGAAGTAGAATATAAAGATCTGGAATTTAGGGGCCGGGCACGGTGACTCACACCTGTAATCCCAGCACTTTGGGAGGCTGAGGGGGCGGATCACGAGGTCAGGAGATCAAGACCATCCTGGCTAACACGGTGAAACCCCGTCTCTATTAAAAACACAAAATATTAGCCAGGCATGGTGGTGGACACCTGTAGTCCCAACTACTCGGGAGGCTGAGGCAGGAAAATGGCGTGAACCCAGGAGGCAGAGCTTGCAGTGAGCCAAGATCGCGTCACTGCACTCCAGCCTGGGCGACAGAGCGAGACTCTGTCTCAAAAAAAAAAAAAGATCTGGAACTTAGGGAAGGTATCTGGGCTAAAGTATAAGCCTACTCACCAAGACCTAGCTACACTGTTACCACCTCAGTAAAACCTGCCTAACTCTTACTGGCACAACCACAGGCAGCCTCCTCCGTGCTCCCACAGCACTCTGTTCCTATTGTTAAAATAACTTTTGACACATAGTGTCCACATGTAATGCATATAACTACAGGCCAAGTCAACAACTATTTTAAAGAACTATTTTGTGTTACAAAGGATATTTTTGACACTTTTTTTTTTTTTTGAGACAGAGTCTCGCTCTGTCGCCAGGCTGGAGTGCAGTGGCATGATCTCAGCTCACTGCAACTTCTGCCTCCCGGGTTCAAGCGATTCCCCTGCCTCAGCATCCCGAGTAGCTGGGACTACAGGCGCACGCCACCATGCCCGGCTAATTTTTTGTATTTTCTAGTAGAGACGGGGTTTCACCATGTTGGCCAGGATAATCTCTTGACCTCGTCATCCACCTGCCTTAGCCTCCCAAAGTGCTGGGATTACAGGTGTGAGCCACTGCGCCTGGCCCATTTTTGTAAGTTTTTAAAATAACATTTTAAAAATTGATATCACATCACAGGTTCGTAGCAATTTCCATGTAATATATTTTCAAAAACAAGTTCTCTATATTCCTTTGGTAAACGTTTATATATCCCTGCATCATAATAGTTTCTTTCATGTTAGCAGTTCATTAGGTTTATTCTAAGATTCCTCAGACATGTAACAAATGTCACAATTGGCTCATGATTATGCTTCAGAAGATGCATACAACATAATCAAAGTCAACCGTTTCTCTGGCAGCATCAATTTACTAGAAAACATTCTAAAGAATTTAACCAAATGTCAAAGCTTAAAGGCTTTTAAAATGACCTTCAACATCTTAAAATTTTCATTGTATTTTAGAATTGAATGGAATACTACAGCTCATCTAATCCAGCATCTTTCATTCATAAGCATGCAAACATACATCTAGAAACATATGGGTCTTGCCAGTTGGTGGCAAAGCTTTAGCTAAAACTTATCTCCTAACTCCAGAGTCTTCTCCCCTAAACCAAGCCAATACAGTTGCAGAAATCAGTTTGGGAGATGAGATCTATGGATTGAAATAATTTTTAGAGGAAAAAAAACTAACTTAAATTTCAAAATTTAATTTCTAGGCCAAGTTGAAAGTCTATCACTCTTTCGAGTTTGCTCCTATTCTTTTCCCTTCCTCAAGGTTGTTTGCCTGCAAATGAAACTGTAATGAGTTTGAGAAAGCCATGGCTATCTTTCTCAGTATTTGTTCTATTAGCCCAGTCTTTTCCGAAGTAAATTCCACAGGACACTAGTTCCATTGCCATTAATAGGTGATACTGACAGATAAGTTTGCACAGGGATGAACTAGTCAGTCTGGTTTGTACTGAAGAACTTCTCAAAGCTGTTACAGTAGTCCCCCGACTTTGCTGTGTCGCTTTCCGTGGTTTCAGTACCTGTGGTCAACTGCAGCCCCAAGATATATATGTATTTTTTGAGATGGAGTCTCACCCTGTTGCCCAGGTTGGGGTGTAGTGGCATGATCTCAGCTCACTGCAACCTCCGCCTCCCAGGTTCAAGAGATTCTCCTGCTTGAGCCTCACACGTAACCAGGACTACAGGTACACGCCACCACACCTGGCTAATTTTTTAATTTTTAGTAGAGACGGGCCTTCGCCATGTTGGCCACGCTTGTCTCGAACTCCTGACCTCAAGTGATCTGCCCACCTTGGCCTCCCAAAGTGCTAGGATTACTGGTGTGAGCCACTACCCCCGGCCTGCAGCCCAAAAACATTAAATACAAAATTCCAGAAATAAACAATTCATAAGTTTTACACTGCATGCTGTTCTGAGTAGCATGATGAAGTCTCACACTATGCCACTGTGTCCTGCCTGGGATGTGAATCATTCCTTTGTCCAGCATATATATGCTATAAACACTACAAGTCCATTAGCAGCCTTCTTGGTTATCAGATCCACTGTCGAGGTATCATAGTGCTTGTGTTTAAGGTCCATAGTAGCCTAATGCTATGTCACAATACCTGTATCATTCATCTCAGTTTATCTCATCATGTAGGTATTTTATCATCTCACATCATCCCAAAAACGATGAGTACAGTACAATAAGATATTTTGAGAAAGAGGGAGAGAGACCAAGAGACTACATTCATATAACTTTCATTATAATATATTGTTATAATTGTTCAATTTCATTCTTATTGTTATTGATCTCCTGCTTTGCCTAATTTATATATTAAACTTTATCATAGGTATGTACGTATAGGAGAAAACAGTGTATACAGTATAGGGTTCGAGACCATCTGAGATTTCAGGCATCCACTGGGGGTCTTGGAATGTCTTCCCTGAGGATGTGGGGGCTACTGTAATATGCTTTCATATGTTAGATCATACAAAATAATACTTTCAAATGTCTCTTACCACTTTTCAGGAAATCTACATGTGCATCTTTGTGATGAAGTAGCTCCACATCATAATTGGCAGATGTGTTAGCATGCTGTTCTTCCTTGAAGTAAAATTTCAAACATTTTAAAAAACTTGGTTTTGCTTTCAAAATAATAAAATTATTAATTATTCATTTGCTTTTTGTTTAAAATGAGGGCAAATACATTCAATAATAATTAGCTAAAATAATGGGATAATCTATTTAAAGATGCAAGTGTTCCATGCAACATAAACTCCATTAAAAAACAACTGGCAATATACAGGTAATAAAGTATTTAATGATTTTTTTACATTATGTCAGAATTAACAAAGATGACTAACTCAGAAATTTTGAATTTTTTTTACTCCAAATGCAGTCTTGCCAATATTTTTAATATACAAATATAATGTAATTGAAATAATTTACATAAATTTAAAGCGAAATCATTGTTAAAAAGAGGAAATAGCATCTTTAAATACCTACAGTGAATTACCAAATATCAATTATATAAAATATAAACTAATAAACAAGTTTAGTAACTTGTTTTCAGTAATAGGAAATAGGAATTTCAACATTATCTGTTTACCAAAAAACACAAAGATTGAAGAGTCACACCAGTAGCACACAAATATGATCAAAATTAACAGGCAAGCTATCAGAGTATTTTTCTTATAACACATGACATTATATATATTAAAGTGTACCTATTATGTTATTTACTTCTGCATCCAAAAGGTTCTACAGGGTAAGCCTAACATTTGTAGTGAAAAACCGGCCAATGGCATTAAGAAATTAACAATGAAAAGATTATAATTCTCATGCAATTTATTGTTCATAATATAGTGGCAGAAAATAGAAACTGGAATGTAAGAAAAATTTGAATTTTGAGATATAGTGGCTACCTTATATTTGTAAACATAATCAATACAATTAAATTCCATTCCACTCAGTAAAAACCCATTTGAAGCTTACTATGGGCCGGGCACTGTGCTAGCCCTAAAACAACTTAATGATAATGTTAATATAATGAAAATGAACAGCTAGCAATAGATTCCTTAAAAAATCCACCAGTAAAATCACAGAGCTCACATCTATGGTCTTTCAGTTAGAGAGTAATAAACTGATTTAAAACTATGAGCTATTTTCCCCTAGTTAGACCTATTAGCTATAAACACCTTTATACTGGGTGGGCAACAACAAAAACATAGAGAATAAAAGATCCACTAGAATACACAAAGTAAGCAAAATCTAATAACACAGCTGTCAAGAAAAGAATCACAGAATAATAATTTAAAATAGAAATTATATTTTGATGAAAACAATGACAGCATTTTTTTTTAAGAGAGCTCACATAACGTGTTCTTATTAGAAAACAAAAATATAGCATTTTATTCTGTGATCCTTTCTGGTTGCTTTTCAGTATTTACTGACCTGGTCAAAGACATTGAATGTGGGCTAGCAAAACAGAAAATACGATATGGGGAGAAAAGGTAAAGGTTCAATTAAAATAAATAATACATGTCCAACAATTATTTATTTATTTATTTTTTTAATATTGAGATGGGATCGTACTATGTTGACCAGACTGGTCTCAAACTCCTGGCCTCAAGTGATCCTCCCATCTCAGCCTCCCAAAGTGCTGGGATTACAGGCATGAGCTACCACGCCTGGCCTCAAACAAATATTTAAAAAGCAAAGCAGTGCTTTCAAAATAGCAGGAAAAAGAACTGCCTACCTTCATTGGAATATTTGTAATAGTAGTTGAAGCCAAGTCAAAATGTTGCTGTACTAAAATATTCAATTTGGTAGCAAGATGCCGTCCTGCACGAACACTATGAACTTCACTGGTTAAAACCGGGGACAACTACAGAAAAACATACAAGAAAAATAATCCACAAAATATTAATTCATTGTGACCTACTGCTAAATATTTTAGTATAAATCCATTAAAATTAAGTATTTTTAACTTTTTAGAAGTTGGAAAAAAAGGATCCATAAATTAACCATGACAATTATTTTAGCAATACATTTTCATGCATTCATTCACTCACCACATATGTATTAATCAGTTTGCTAGATACCAGAAACTGTGAGTATACAGAACACAGCAGTGAACAGACATAATCCCTGTCCTCCTGAAATTTAGAGTGAAATATTTAAATATATTTCTTTACAATTTTTACGTCTTTTTATCTATATGCAAAAATGATTTGAAGTACACTGCAGAAAAAATAATTTATTTTGTTGAGAGGACAAAACCCTGCAGATAAAACTAAAAGAATGAATGTGGAAATCGCCACAAAAATTTCATTCTGTCACCAATAAATAAGGCAGCTAGAAGTAGTGTACAACAAGATAACACAAAATCTTACTCATTCCAGGGCAATAATATTAATTACAAATAAGTTTTCATTATCATAAAATAAAACTAACATTGCCACATTATCAAAAGAGGCAGAAAAAAGTTAATAAAAAAGAGGCTTATGCTGGAAACCACTTAAAAACACAATGATGGCAATAATGACTAAAAATACCACTTAACTACAAAAATTCATGGACAAAAGTAATACTAGCGATGTTTATATTAAATAATGCAAAATGAAAAACCAGGACATATATCTATATTTCTAAACATAAATTACTGATAGAGAATATTATGATGTGGATCTATTTGACAATCAACAGGATCATCTATTCCTTTAAAATTATTCAAATTTATTTAAAAAGTAAAACCAAGGTTGGAAAATAAGATTTTTCCCTCTGAATGTGTAAAATTAATTTTTTATTGGAATATTTTTTGTTAAAGAGTGTATTGCTTTTCTAATAAGGAAAAAGATTTTTACAGAATAAAAATAATCACTAAAATAAAATTTTAGGAACAATACAAACTATGTATGGTTTGTAACACATTTTGATAAAATAAACAAACATGAAAAGGCAGGCAGAATAGGAAACACTTTAAAATCCACAATTATACCATAAAGAACCAACCTAGATGTCTTGACATAGAGGTTTACTTTGAAAACTCAAAATATTTTCTTGGCAGAAAATATTGGCAATGGATCATTTTAATGATAACCCTTCTCAGTATTTATTATTATTAACCACAATAGTCTTTTCTTTCATTATTTCAACACTCACCTCTTTTTTAGAACGATCAGATACAAGGCTGTCTTCACCAACTGGGTAGGTGTGGATCAAGACCAACTCACATTTTTGAATCTGCATGAGACTTAAAGAGAAATTTTTGACTTAAAATTTAAGAATACATAGTATGTAAAGAATTCAAGCAGGTAAACTACTAAAACCTTAACATATTAAAACATCATATTGCTACAATTAGATATTACTGTTAACCCAAAAGCTAAATATTAGAAAGGCAGTATATGTAATTGCTATACCTGTATGAACACTTAATGAGTATACAAATTTAATTTAAATGCAAAAAATAATAATTGTGAGTGTCTGAAGGATAAAGAGAAAACTCTTATAATTAAGTCTAATTTTCAATAGATAACTGCAACAGCGAAAATGAATATATTGTGTATTAATTTCCCTTATACTAATATTTCTTAAGGATAAAATCAGGCAATACTAACCATTAGCTATAATTAGTTATTTCCAAGTTATAGGATTGGTAATGCTAAAAATTTCCCCCAACTTTTTATTTTGAAATTTCCAGACCCACAGGAAAGTTGAAAGAAAAGTACTATTCAATGAACAACGTATGTCCTTCACCTAGAGTCACTGTTAGCTATATTTGCTTTCTCTATATACTATACTTAGGTAGATGTACACTTTTTAATTAAACCATTTGAGAGTAAGTTGCAGAGGGCTTGACGTGTAGTCCTGAACACTTCAGCCTGCTTCGCCTAGTGAGAACAATCCTACTCATAACAATAACACTATGACCGCACCTAAGAAAACTAATAATCACTCTAAAAAAGTCCACATTGCAATAGTTCCAAACATGTCTTTACTAGCTGTGACACAATCACAAATATACATATTGGTCTCTGCTCATGCTTCCTGGCACAGAGCTCCCAAAATCCTTGTAACTTCCTAAATGACAGGGGTGCTAGGAGCATCTTTTGCTCTAATATTTGGTTTCTGACCCCAGTTCTTGACACATAGCTCTTAAGTTCATTGGAATTTCCTGGATGACAGGAGCATCTTTTCTTCTACTGAGGCAACTTTAGTGGGATCCTGGACAGCTCCCCAATGGGGTCTGGTCACCAGAAAGAACAAGCAATGATTAGAAGCTCAGCAGCATTCAGCCCCACTCTGCTATCCTCCAGAGAGGGGACAGAAGCTAGATACTGAGTTAATAATCAATCACACCTACATGAAGCCTCCATAAAAATCCCTAAAGTATGGGGCTCAGAGAGCTTCTAGGTTGGTAAACACATCCATGTGCTGGGAGGGTGGTACACCCCAACTCCACAGGGACAGAACCTGATGCACTTGGGATCCTTCCAACCTCACCCACTTCATGTGTCTGTGCATCTGTATCCTTCATAATAAATCAGAAAACTGAAGTGTTTCCCTGAGTTCTGTGAGCCCATCAGAACAAAGTATTGAACATGAGGAGGGGGTTGTGGAAACACCTAACTTGTAGCCAAGTCAGACGAAAGTGTGGGGAACCACTAGTCGAGATTTGTGTCTAAGTGGGTTACAGTCTTGTGGAACTGAGTCTGCAATAACTAATCTGTGGGGTCTGTATTAACTCCAAGGATTGTCATAATTGAATTGTAGGACACACAGTTGGTATTCACAGAGTTGGAGAATTGGTGCGGAAGAAAAACCCACACATTTGATCAAAAGTACTAGTGTGAGTATAGAGGAAAAAAAACTGTTTTCCTTTTCAGAAACAGAAAAAGTTTTTTTAAAAAGTCACACAATGCAACTACTTATGTTTAGATGTGGTACATACTGAATAACGCCACTAACAACTTGCACATTTAACAATTTTTTAAAAATTTAAATTTAAATTAAATTAAATTAAATTTTTTTTGAGACATGGTCTTGCTCTGTCGCCCAGGCTGGAGTGTAGTGGCACAGTCTCGGTTCAATGCAACCTCTGCCTCCCAGGCTCAAGCAATTTTCCTGCCTCAGCTGCCTGAGTAGCTGGGACTACAGGCACATGCCACCAGGCCCGGCTAATTTTTATATTTTTTGTAGAGACGGGGTTTTGCCATGTTGCCCAGGCTGGTCTTGAACTCCTGAGCTCAGGTTATCTCTCCACTTCGGCCCCGCAAAGTGCTGGGATAACAGGCATAAGCCACTACACCCAACACATTTTACAAATTCGAAACACAACTATGAGAAAAAAACCATCAAAACAAATACACATTATAAATTTATGTATTATTTTATCCTTTTGATCACCTTTCTTGTGGGAGAAAAGTAAATTAAAGTGAAAGGGAAAATGGAAAAAAAAGTTTCTGATCAAACATACATTTTTTGACTAATTTGTTGAGTCAATAGAGAATTCAGGGAAACGCTACCAGTCAAGTTATTGGAAATAATTATAACATATATCTATCCACATGAACATATTTATTTCATTTATGAATTATACTCACTGATCTGAATTTGCAGCAAGCTTGTTATGTTCATGAATCGTTTCCTGGACACAGTCTTCAAGCATTCGCACATGACTATCACTATGGCATAAAAAAGATATAGCAAATTTAAAGGAATAAACAGTAACAGAAAAAATTCAAAACACTCTTCCGCTTTAATATGGTGTTATAGACATTTAAAGTTACTTCACTAAGGACTATCTTTAGTGTGCTAAGTCATACCACTAAACAACTAGCTGAAAAACCAGTGAGAAAAAATGTTAAATTTACCTACATGATGGCAATCTAAACAGTTTTCAATGAGATAAGTCTTTATTTTAGAATGGAACACAGCCTCAATATTAAAAGGCAAAAAAAAAAAAAAGAAAAAAATCAGAAAGGCCACTTGTAATATGCTTAAACGTAAACATGTAAACATGCTGTCTCTACTATTCTGAAAAACTACAACAGGATTTTAAAATTCCCACAGTGAAAGAATTGCTATAATCAACACCTCACCTTTTTGCATTAGTAATACAGATTATTCGTCCTCTATTTCCAACACGTTCTGCATTCTCCATGAGTAGAGTACGAGCCTCATGTTGGTATTCAGTAATTTTGCAGAGAGTTTCCACTGCTGCAACAAGGCCATGCAGAATACTGCAGCACTCTGGATCTGCCCGAGGATTAGGAGGCCCAACAGCGGCTAATGCTGCCATTAGCTAAGTAAAAGGGAAAACAATTATGTTGACAAGAGTATGTGCAATTCAGATAAAAATATCACAAGAAAGAAAACTACACACCAATGTATCTTACATATATGGACATGAACATTCTTAAAAAAATAGTAGCAAACCAAATCCAGTAACACACAAAGAATTATACACCATGAACAAGTGGGATTTATTCTAGGAATGCAAAGTTTATTTAATATGCAAATATCAATTATTACAATACATCATATATCAATAAAATAAAAATCACATGATCATCTCAATAAACACAGAAACAGCACTTGACAAGATCCAAAACCTTTTCATAATTAAAAAAATTAGCAACAGAAGGGAATTTCCTCAAGAAGATAAAGGACACCTATGAAAAACCTACTGATAACATCATACTTAATGGTGAAAGATTGGATGAATTCTCCCTACTTATCAGTAACAAAGATGTTTACTCTCATCACTTCCATTCAACACTGTACTGGAAGTTCTAGCCAAGGTGATAGGAAAGAAAAAGAAATAAAAGAAATTCATGCCAAGCCCAGCGGCTCATGCCTGTAATCCCAGTACTTTGGGAAGCCAAGGCAGGACAATTGCTCGAGGCCAAGAGTTCAAGACCAGGCTGGGCAACAAAGCAAGACACCGTTTCTATAAAAAGAAAAAAAAAAAAAAACTAAAAAATCAGCTAGGTGGGGTGATGTACACCCATAGTCCTAGCTACTTAGAAGACTGAGGCAGAAGGATCGCTTGAGCCCAGGAGTTCAGCCACTGAACTCTGGCCTAGGTGATAAACAGAGACAAGAAAGACAGAAAGACAGAAAGGAAGAAAGGAAGGAAGGAAAGAAGAAAGAAAGGAAGGAAGGAGAGAGAAAGGGAAGAAAGAAAGGAAGAAAGAGAAAGGAAGAAAGAAGGAAAAAGGGAAGGAAGGAAGAGAGAGAGAGAGGATGGACAGAATCCAGATTGGAAAGAAAGAGGTAAAACTCTATGTTGCAGATGACATGATCCTGAATTTACGAAATCCCAAGGTATCCACTAAAAAACTATTATAACTAATATACAAGTTCAGCAAACCTGTAGTATACAAGATTAATACACAAAAATCAATTGTATTTCTATATACTTACAATAATCTGAAGACTAAATTTTTTAAAATCCCACTTAAAACAGCATCAAAAATAAAATACTTAGAAATAAATTTAACAAGAACTATAAAACTTATACTCTGAAAACAACAAAACATTGTTGAAGAAATTAAAGATCTAAAAAATGAAAAAACATACCATGCTCATGGATTGGAAGAGTTAATATTGTTAAGATGGCCATATTATCCAAACTGACCTACAGTGTCAACATAATCCCCAACTTCTTTGTAGTAATTGATAACGTGATTCTAAAATTCATATGGAATTGCAAGGGACCCAGACTGGCCAAAACAATCTTCAAAAAGAACAAGGTAAGAAGAGTCACACTTCCTATTTTTAAAACTTACTACAAAACAATGGTAACCAAGATAGTACGGTACTGGCACAAGATAGACATAGAGACACAGAAAGGTTTAACATAGGGAAAAGGTGTGACATGGATAACCAAAGCTAAACATTAAATATAGACAAGATTATACACAATTTATACAAAATGTACATTCTTTTATACATTCTTGAACACCAGTGATTTGCTATATAGTTGCTTTCACAACTGGAGATTCCCCCTCCATTCAAAATTTAAAAGCAATGAATGGGATATCGTGTACCTTCACCTTGGGAAAGCAAAAGAAGTAATAATTCCTTTATGACTAGCATACCTATCCATCAAATGCACACTTTTACTGCACTGCAGAGGTGCAGTCAGTAGGTACAAATCTACACAGATATGTACTTATTTTTATTCATACACTACTAGAAAGCCTTCACACTTCTTTCACAGTACCTCTTGAAAAAGGTAAACACTTCTTTCACAGTATTTAAAAAAGTAAGGTGGAAACGTATGGAATTCTTAAAATTGTTTTTTCAGGTAATAGTATATTAAGAACATTCTGGAATGATATTAGTGCAAAGCCAAGCCAATCAAAGCCTACTGAGTGAATTACCTCAAAAGAATGAAAGGTTAGCTTTGTTTACATATATTATAATACTAATCACAAACATTTTAAGACCAAACAGTATGATAAAACACATTTTCTTTAAAAGCATTCTATTTAAAACTAACCTCGGAGAACAATAAAATAAAATTAAATTAAAAAAAAAAACAGAAAAAGAAGCCGGGCACGGTGGCTCATGCCTGTAATCCCAGCCCTTTGGGAGGCCGAGGCAGGCAGATCGCTTGAGGTTAGGAGATCAAGACCATCCTGGCTAACACAGTGAAACCCCATCTCTACGAAAAATACAAAAAATTAGCCAGGCATGGTGGCACACACCTGTAGTCCCAGTTACTTGGGAGACTGAGACAGGAGAATCACTTGAACCCGGGAGGCAGAGGTTGCAGTGAGCCAAGATTGCGCCACTGCACTCCAGCCTGGGCAACAGAGCGAGACTCTGTCTCAAAATAAATAAAAGAAAAAGAAAACAAACAAAAAATAATAAAAACACCTTGGATGGGATTGTTACCACTGCATAGCACCCGTTAACAAAAAAATTTTGGCATTAAATAATTCAAATAATGTATTCAATTATTTCACTAAAGCCTTGTTTCTCATGTTGTTCACATTCATCAGGGAAGGACCTTGTAGACTGAAGTCTTCTATCCAACTAAATGATGGCAAAGAACATAAGCTACTAGTAACTCAGTATCTTTAGACAAATAATGTTAAAACATAAACCTAACTAGTTGAGCATGAGTTGATTTCTGCTTCCTCCACTAAAATCGAAGTAAAAGATTTTACTTACTAAAAAACATAAACCCGGGCTGTGCGTGGTGGCTCACACCTGTAATCCCAGCACTTTGGGTGGCTGAGGCGGGTGGATCACCTGACGTCAGGAGTTCAAGACCAGCCTGGCCAACATGGTGAAACCTCATCTGTACTAAAAATACAAAAATCAGCCGGACGTGGTGGCAGGCGCCTGTAATTCCAGCTGCTTGGGAAGCTGAGGCCGGAGAATTGCTTGAACCTGGGAGGTGGAGGTTGCAGTGAGCCAAGATCGTGCCACTGCACTCCAGCCTGGGCAACAAGAGTGAAACTCAGTCTCAAAAAAAAAAAAAAAAAACACTCATAAACCAAAAAAGAAAGCATAAACCCACAAGCGTGAAGTGAGTGGAAGAAGAGACAACAATGAACAAGATAGACATCAACAAGAATATATAAAAATGGATGAAGGAGTGGTGATGAACTTAATAGGACTGAATATGCAGAAATCTAAGTGCCCATGGAAACTAAAAGGCAAAATAATCCAGGAGAAGTTCAGAACTGGAGAATCCAGGAGAAGTTCAAGAACTAGAGGCACCAATTACCAAACACAGTGGGGAAAGGCAAGATACTAAAAACGTCAATAGCTTGAAGTCAGTTTAAGGAACAACTTGACTCCCAGATCTTACTTACACCCTACCCGTGTAAGTGACTACATCTCCCCTACCCCACAAGATACAGAATCACATTCTTTGGAAGAACTGAAACTGAAAGGTATCAAATATGGATACCAAAAGCACATAAGAGAGTAAAGGTAAGATACTAAATCACTACTGCGCAATAGAACTTACTGCGATGATGGAAATGTTCTCTATCTGTGCTGTCCAATACAGTAGCCACTATCTATGTGAGGCTTACTGTGCATCTGAAATATGGCTACTGCTACAGAGGAAATGGTATAAACTTACCCTCTCCCGTCTCCCAGAGAGCTGACAACCAAGTTGTCATACAGATAAAAGAGTAGAAGAACAGTCCCAGAGAGACCATCTGTCAACTCCAATATTTGGAGGTTCCCTAGTGCAAACAATCAGCTAAAACTACAATGAAGTATATAGTCAGCAATACCTACTCCATAACATGTAGATTTTCTAATCTGCCATTTAGTGCCTTGCTTTTAAATAAGACTGTCTAGCTAACTATCAGCAGGCATTTAAGAAAAGCCTCAACATAAAAAAAGAACTGTGAGAACACAGAAGGCACAAAAGAAAACATCAAATAAACTAATGTTAATACCTGCAGGTAAAATTACACCCATAAAACAAGAAAAGGATATGACAAAAACAGACATAGTTAAGAGTATAAGTCAAAGTTCTTGGAAATTAAAAGTACAATCAAATAGAGAGTTCTATACAAGGGTTAAAAGCGTCAAAAAAGCAGAATGACTGACAATGAGATGATCAGTGAGAAAAACAGTAAGGAATTTAATGCAGGAGGTCTAACATCCCAGGAATGGATATTCCTGAAAGACACAGAACACAGAGACAAGAACATTATCAATGAAACAATGCAGGGGAAATTTCCCTGTACTGGAAAATACAAAGCCTAGCACAATGGATGAGAACAGACCAACACCAAGGCACACCACTGAGATTCTAACAGCTTTCAGTGCGAAATTATAAAGAAAAATGGTGTTAGGCTTCTCAGCATTGGAGGCTATAAAACACATAATTTTGTGGAGTATATAATGCCCTCAAAATTTTGAGGAAAAAGTTATTTCCAACACGGAATTTCTACACCCAAAGTATCAGCAAGGGGCAAGGTAAACTACAGGCAACCCGGAGGTTATGTTCTACCAAAACAAAAGATTACACAAAGAAAAAGAGAGGAAAAAAAATGGGATCTGAAAAATAGGGAGAGAAGGATGATAGGAGTGCAGTGGGCCTAGAAAGCAGCCAGTTCAAACTGGAGCAGAAGACTGTGCTCCAAGAAGTTCCTCAGGGGACAAAATCAAACTGCTGAATTATCTAACACATTTATGATCAAAATATTGGGCAGTTTTGTAGAAGCATGAGAAAAAGCAGCAATGGATATTATGAAAACAAAACACATGAAGGGGAGAAAAAGGAGATAATAAATAATTCCAGGAATAAACAAAAAGCTATATAAGGAACTAACCATATATATTACTTGGCTTAACAGTGAATAATACTTTACGTAGATGTTATAATGCCAACATGAAACTTTGAAATAACCAACAATTCTGACATATTAATATTGAGAACACAAGGGAAGGGGACAGGCATTAGACATATGAAGGTCAGAAGTTCAAGACCAGCCTGGCCAACATGGCTAAACCCTATTTCTACTAAAAAATACAAAAATTAGCCAGGCATGGTGGCACACACCTGTAGTCTCAGCTACTCGGGAGGCTTAGGCAGGTGAATCTATTGAACCTGGGAGAGGTTGCAGTGAGCCGAGATGGCGCAATGCACCCCAGTCTGGGTGACAGCAAGACTCCGTCTCAAAATAAATAAATAAGTAGATAAATAAACAGAGAACTCAATAAACAGGAATAAAAACATGTTATTTAGAAATCTGGAAGTAAATATGACAACTACTAAAAAATGGAAGTTTGCTTGGGGGTGCTGGGTGTAGGGAAAGCCTAGAATGGGGATAGCTGTTTTCATATGACTTGGCATTTTAACACTATATGCAAATCCTAGAGTGATTTAAAAAATTAGTCATTTTTTTAAAAAGTATTACCACATTTAGATAATTTACAAATGGCCACAGCTCAAAATCTAACCATACCTCCTGTAAATTTTGGTCTTCTTGAGTCCAAGAATTTAAAACATGTGCTCCAGAGTCACTCACAATAAAATTCACCTAATAGATTCCAAAGAAACAATTAGTATTCAACTCTAATTTCACTCAATCACCAACATATTTTCAAGTAATATGCAATTTGTAACACTGTTTCACTGATTCATTCATTCTTCTTTTTATAGTTACAGAATGTGTAGTATATGCCAGGTGCTATTGCTGGCACTGAGTACATGGGAATAGAGTGATGAATAAAAAAGTTCTGTCACTCACAATGTGGGGAAAGTCAGGGGAGGGGAGTCTACTAGGACAGAAGGCACTGCGGGAAGAATACAAACAAATAAATGAACAAGATAATTTCAGAGAGTGATAAACGCTATGAAAAATAAGTTAATTAGCTACTTTAGATTAGGTGGTTACAGAAGGACTCTCCATAGAAGTGGCAACTGAAGGCAATCCAAAACCAGCCACCGTAAAGTCAGGGATAGACAATCTGGGTACGGCAAATAACAAATGCAAAGGCATCTAAGCATATACCCTGGAAAGGGTGAAAGTCAGAGCAGGCAGTGGGAGAGGAGACAAACTCAGAGAAAGAGGCAGGAGCTGGATCATATAGGGCACCGAAAGCCAAAATAATGGATATGGTCTTTACGCTAAGTTTTAAAGTAAAATGCAAATTTGAAAATTTAAAATTACCTGCTATCAGGTAAGATAATGACAAAGAACATTTTGGAAAACTTATCAAATGATGATTCTGACCCATGTTCCTTTTTGGCTAGAGGGTTAGATTTCTTTCTTTACTCTGGACAACACGATCTAATCTATGATCTTTTTCCCTATATATCGATGAAATACCAGTTTTCCTTCCTCCCCCAAGAAGTTTGATAATTGGTCTTCTCTTCCAAGGCTTATCTGACAGGGATATATTTTACAAGTCACTTTACGTAGATTTATCTCTTTTAAAGCTTACATCGAGGAAGTAAGTGTTATACTTACACGGGAGGAAACTGAGGCTTGGAGAGATTAAGAAATATGATCAAAGTCACACAGCTAGTAGTTAACCACGCCAAGGTCTGAACCGAAGCCTGCGCTCCAAATCAGTTACATTCCCTCTCATTATATATTTTTATCACACACAGAATGCACACAAATTTTAAGAAGGGCTTATATTTTAATTTGGAATATATGTGAATGTATAATATCAGACTATGTTCACCTTTACTCTACTGCCCTACCTTCCTCAGTCTAAGAATTGGCTAGGTCCCAGCGCTTCGAGTAAGACAGAAAGCAAGTCTTCCACTTGTGGCTAAACAAATGACTTTCCCAAAATAAGACATTTAAGATACTGAAATCTAAGATTAAACTTTAATACCTGTAATTTCTGTCAATCATCCATTTCTCTTCTTACTGATAAACCATATCCACTTAGCATTCTTAAAAGTATTTCTTTCTAATATGGCCAAACAATACAGCAGTTTAGTATATATTTGCTAAAATTGCAAGCAGCTAGCCAGCTTAGGTTCAAATTCTGGCTCTGCCTCTACGTAACTATGTGACTCAGGACAAGTTTCTTCTCTTTACCTCAGTTTCCGGATCTGCAACAGGGAAGCAACAAACAAGACTGACAGTCAGCTGCTACATGCCAGCACAGTTTGACAGCAGCTCTCAATGGTCAGTCTGTGTTCTATACTGGTTGTTACATACTTTGAATATTGCTTCAATAACTACAGTTCCTACCTAACATGACTGTTATGAGAATTACGGAAATTAATAAATATGAAGCACTTTGAAATATGTCTGGCACATGTAAAGTGCTCAATAATTGTTAGCTGTTATTATTACTGGCCCCAATTAAATATCCATTATATATTAATCCCAAAGGGCAGCGTTATGTACCACATTTTTAAGTAATAAACACACAGTCATTATCTATAGCAAATTCATATAAAAATTCATTTATGCAGTTAAGTACATCCCCAAAATCATGATTTTGTTTGTACTTCACACTCACCAGCTTTTTGAAAGGAAATATATCATACATTATTCTACAATATTCCATGGAAGATTCTACTGAGCAAGTCCACAATGATTTAGATATGGGGGCCAAAGGAATGATTCCTTGGGTTCTATTCTTCACCAGCATATCAAACTCGACATGCTGCCTGCAAGATTCTGCCATATAAGGGCAGTGATCCACAACAAACACTGTTTTATGAGATTCAGAAAAAATCTTCATTTTGTTTTAACCTGTAAGGGGAAAAACATATTAGCCAAATATTTGTACATAACATCTTACATTTTTTCTAATTTTCTCAAGAAGATTGTCTTTCCCTCAAGAAGACTTGGTAGGGAACATGAATAATATGTTCAAAGAAATCTGTCCGACAAAGGACAGTTTAATGAGGTCATGACCAGAAAGCAAGGGTATCAATACACCATATTAGGCTGTCACTCTACCAGGCCCAGACAAAAATACCAGTGCATGCATTTTTGGTTTTGCTTTTAAAATGAACTTAAAATTGTCAGAGGGAAACATTTTGACATTTAATTGTATTTGATTCCCTTACATATACGAAACATAAGTGACAAAGACTCTTGAAATACAACTTTATGATCCTTGCTAATTGACATTAGTCACATATAAACCCCAAGCCAGCATTTTTGCACTTCCCTCCAAGAAAAACGTTTGAAGGGGGACTGGCGGGTAGGGGTGCGGAATTAACAGGAAAGAGGAGTGACAGCAAAAGAAAAGGCCAAAACAAAGATAAACATCTCCTAAGATAACCGCACATCAGGTCTTCGCCTTAGGATAAGGACCCCAACTTCACACTCTCCCCTTAGCTTTTGAAACATCACAGTAATTTACCAGGTAGAGCAGAAAAACTTAGTTGTTACCATCACACTGGTGTGTAGAAGGAAATTTAAAACTTTTAAAACTTTTTCTTATTAAAACAGAGCATACGGTACTCCCCTGCTTCGCTAACAAAATCTTATACTGAATAGACAATCCACATTCGAAAAGCACATGGCAAGCAAAGCCAAAGTGTTAAATCAAAACGAACTGATTTCTTACGATCCAGCTATTTTCACCTCTTGCTTTCAAGACGCATCTCCCCTTCATGCAAAACTCTCTTTGAGAAACCTTCTAGACCCACTTTGCTGGAGGGTGGGGGGTGGAAAATACAAGGTGAGTGGATAGGGAAGACCTCAGGATCGAGGTTCGCTTACTTTCGTGCCTGGTCCTGCAGTGAAAACGAACAGAGGCTATGGACCACAGCCTCTCTGGAAAAGGCTGCTGGCTGGGCGGGGAGAGTCAGCGCACAGTCGGGAGTGTCTGGTGCCACAGACAGGGGACTATGCTTTCCCCGATCATCTCCTAGCACACCGGTCCTTCCCAGGCTTCCTAAGAGCAGGAGCGCGCGTGCGCGTGCACACACACACACGCACTCGGGCTCGCGCGTGCGCACAGCGCTCTCCGATAGCCCGGCCAAGCCTCCCTTCCCCCTCGTAGGGCCAGGCGTCCCAGTCGCCGAACAGGAAGAGGGCGGGGCCAAGGAGGAAAAAAAAAGCCTCCACCCCTCGAGATTTTCCACCCGCTAATTTTCCCAGTCACCCATTGGGAAGCAGGATCTGGGCGACCTGAAAGCCTCCCCAACAGCGAAGTACCAACCACGGCCCCCTAAGCGTACGACCCACCCACCCGGTCTCCCCTTCTCTGTCTCTCCACCCAGGCCGGTTTCCCCTGGAAAAACTCGCGAGACTTTGCGAGAGGCCGAGCGAAAGCCTGGGAAGGGAGGAATAGGGAGGGACATAGAAGGGCCCCGCCCTGCCTTCTGGGGCAAAGCGGAGAGTGGTCGGTTCTGCCCCACAGTAACGCGAGGAAAGAAATCTCGCGAGGCTGGAGTTCTCCGGGAGCGCCGGTCGGAGGCGGTCGGCGGAGGTGTCTACCCCGCCGGTGATGGCGTTGAACGCCACTGGCTTCCCGGCCTTCCGTCCGCTGCCTCCGTCCGATTCTGCGTCTGCTTGCTGAGGAGGCGGATTAGGGGGGCGCGGAGTCTCTTCCCTTGAGTGCATAGGTCCCGGTTGGTAGAGGGTTTGAGTCCGCATCGCCACAGCTGAAGGCTGCGAGGGACTAAGAGCAGAGTAAGTGGACTAAATCCAGGGACGGGAGCAGGGGTGGGCGAGTCGGAGGCGTCCTTTGCCGGGGCAGTCCTTCGCCGGGGCCGGTGCCTTGCGCCTCTTGAACCACCGGCGCCCGGCCCTGTCCGCTTCCCGCCGCGGGCTCCCTGCTCCTGGGAGCCGGACTTCCTCTCCGCGCCCCCCGACTCCGAGCTCCTCTTAATGGAGATGCGGTGCGGAAAGTTCAATGAAAAGCCTTGGCTCTAACCCTGTGGACACACCTTCCGTATCTGCTTTCATCCTGCCTTACCCACCTGCGAGTTCACCACCGGACGGGGGACCCTTTCAGTCACCTGTTTGCAGCGTTTAATGAAGATAACTTGTTTCTTGAAACTGCTCTCCAAGGGGTATTACTCTTTTCTGGTTCTCTTCCTGCCTTTCTTCTCTATCCCATCTCTGATAATGGTTCCAGTATCTGTCCTGCTATCCGAACTAGAAAACCAGGAATCATCATTGGTTCTTCATTTCCACTTAACACTGCACTGTATTATTTTTTTTTTCGCCAGAATTAGTGCGGTTGCCCCCTCTGCCCCCCGCCCTCCACTGGTTTCCCTACTATAATCCTTCCATAGAGTTATTCTGAAATACATATTTATCTCTGTCCTTTCCTTAAACTTTTTAGTAACCGTATTGCTGACAGCATCAAATCCTAATTGTTAAGCACATCATCATTCAGGATCTTTTACAGTCTGCCCCAATCCATTTTACCTTTTAGTCCTGCTTTAATATCCTACCATACAAGACTATACTGGCTATTTCCCCAAACATGCCATGCGCTTTGACAGCTCTGTACTTTTGTACGTGCGGATGTCTAGGATGTTTACTGTTCCTCTATTTTACCACCTGTCAAAACCCAATTCATAAATCATTGTCTTCTCAGACTCCCCCAGGTGACATTGATACCGCTGTGCTCCCAACGCATTTGAAACTTTTCTTCTGCAGTATTTATTAGGTTGTATTATTTGTTTCTGTCTCTCCTGCCAATTTGAACCTGGGTCTGTCTGGAATCATGTCTTACTCATCTCTGAGAAAAAGTCCAGTACTTGGCACATAGCAAGCATTATTTATATATACATATGTATGTTTATTGAAATGGAATAGTTCTAAGGAATTCACCGTAAGAGTTCTTCATCCTTTAAAATCATAGAATTTTGGGCCAGAAGGAACTCTGTACATTAGCTTAAAGGTCCCGACCTATTTTGATTATGAGAAACCCTGTACTTCTAATACACATGCAATTGGACTTTTAGTAATTGTTGGTTGAAATTATGTATAATGACAGAAAACTACTATGCTTTTAAATGATTTTGTATTTTATTTTTACAGTATCTATTTATATTTGAGAAATGGAGCAGAAATGTTTTAGACTACAGACAGTGCTTGGAGTATGTGCATTCAGGCAACTCTTCTACTGACTCCTTAGCCTGTAGGTTAGAAATAACTGGTTTAGATTAGGTTAGTTCCTTCTTGAACTGTCACAACTCTTTGAACATATGTATGTGAAACTTATATTCAGCCACAATTCTAAGGGAACGTGTAATTTTAAAAAAATCCTCCAGTGTCATTACTTCCAAAATCTTTCTTCCAAGTTTAAAAATTAATTTTCTTCAGAAAGTGTCTTTATACAGTTCCAAACATGTATTCATTCCACTATTTTCAAGGACAGTGAAAATTTTCTTTGCTTTCACATACAGCGATGTGCCTTTATAAATGCTTATTTTTATATGTAATTTATATGCGTTCTTTCTTGCATTCATAAGATTATAAGTTTATATGAAAACCATAACTATACCTTTTGGTTTTTTTATTTCCATATGGGTCAGTTCATATTATGTACTAATTAATATTAGAGACACATACCTGAACATGAAAAAATTTAAACTAGATTGTTGACATTTAAAGACAGATCTGTGGTGTATCAGTAGCCACAATATTTCTGTGTAGATGTAGTGGTAGGAGTAGTGGATTTGCAGATAAGGGAAACAGAAGTGTCCAATCAGTAAACATTCATTGATCTTACAATTAATGTGATGCCTAATTAAAATGGTTGCTAGGCTTTTATTAATTACCTAGAAAATATTTGAAATTTTTTTCGTCTTTAATTTCTCTTACATTTCATTTATATTCCTATTTATTTTCTGAGGTTGGCTTGAAAATTTTGACTTGAATTTCCTTAAATTTTTCTTAACCAAAATCTAAAAGTAAACAGCTGGCAGTTGCTGTCTTGGGTGGGTGGTGGTTTCTCTTTTATCAGCAGCAGAATGTTCTAAGCCTTCTGCCAGGAGTCTGACTGCAAAAGTCTTTGGGTGGTAAAGTGGGCGAGAATGTGACTAATGCAGAAAAGAAAAAAAAATTTTTTAACTTGCTAAAAAAAAAAAGAGATTCACCTGTAATTTGGACCCGCCTATAGAAAATAATGTAAGTAAGTGTATTATGGCCAGTTAAGGTAGGCACTATAAAAATAGGCCGAAAAGTTTAGAATATTCCTTTTTTACTGTAGTCTGTTTTTTAAAATTTGAAACTTGTTAGAGAGTTTGGAAAACAGTCTTCTTCCTCCCACTCCACTTCCTGGCCAAAAAAGAGGGGAAGCACAATGGTCTTCAAAAAAGGTGATAAAGTAAATGCATATTATAAAATATTTTAAACTTTTGTGTGTGTGGTTTCACGTACAGGAAATGAACATGCAAATTCTTAGAAACTGTTGTCACTGTGTTTCTGAAATGCTAAAAAAAATTATGCTTTGAGCTACCTGCTGCTTATAATTCCTTTCCCTGAATAGGTAGGTTTTTATAGTTAACAAATTTTAAATGTAGTTGATTTTGATAGTAGTATTTCATTATGCAATCTGGAGAGGAGAGAGTGTTTTTCATAAAGTGGATATTAATTACAACTTTAAAAAGCCAATCAGTAAACATTCATTGATCTTGTAATTAACTGTGACACCTAATTAAAATGGTTGCTAGGCTGTTATGTCTGGAAAATATTTGAAATTTTTTTATTCTTTAAAATCTGTCTTCATATACATTCCCATTTCTTTTCTATGGCTGGCTTGAAAATTTTAAAAAATATCTTGGATGTTCCATGTGTTGGGTAGGGTCAGAGAACTTACTTTTTTTCGTTTTCCACCTGATGAGATTGAGATTATTTCTATACAGGTAAAAAGCAAACAGGACCCTGGGAATCCAGTGTGGCTTAGGAATAGGACACTAGACTGGGGATCAGAAATTCTATTTTTGGTACTAGTTTGGCTCTTTCCTTGCTTTGTGGTGCTGTCATTCAGCTTTGTTGGTTTGTTTGTTTGTTTGTGATGGAATCTTGCTCTGTCGCCCAGGCTGGAGTGCAATGGTGCGATCTCGGCTCACTGCATCCTCCACCTTCCGGGCTCAAGCAGTTCTCCTGCCTCAGCCTCCAGAGTAGCTGGGATTACAGGCGTGCGCCACCACACCCAGCTAGTTTTTGCATTTTTAGTACAGACAGGGTTTCACCATGTTGGTCAGGCTGGTCTCGATCTCCTGACCTCGTGATCCACCCGCCTTGGCCTCCCAAAGTGCTGGGATTACAGGCGTGAGCCACTCAGCTTTTTAGATTTGGAATTCCTGGGTCTATTTTCTCATTGGTAAAGTGGGAATAACACTTGTCCTCTTGCCCAAATGACAGTATAAGGTAGTTAGTTATTGCTCAGATTCAGAAAGCTACCAACAGTTTGAATTAATTAAAATTATTACGTAACAGTTTGATTTTCCTCTAGGGTACTCTAGAGATCCATTTGGATAGAATTAGGTTAGAGAGAAGGCAAATAGGTGAAGCAATTTTAAAGAAGAAAACAGTGACTTATACATATTAGATAGGGAGAGTTTATTTTACAGCTGTTACATTTGAGGCAATGTGGTATTGATGCAGAAATAGATAGTCATTTTAAGAGGACAGGTTTCATGATGGTTCTAATTGCATTTCTCTAATGGCTAATGATGTTGAACATCTTTTCATGTTTCTTATTTGTCCATATCTTTTTGGTTCACTAGTAAAGTCTTTTATTCATTTTTATTTGGGTTATTTTCTTATTGTTTTGAGAGACTTTTTTGTATTCTAGATACAAGTCCTTAGTTGGATAAGTGATTTGAAATATTTTCTCCCAGCCTGTAGCTTGTCTTTTCAAACTCTCTAAACAGTGTCTTTCCCAGAGCAAAAGTTTGTGATTTTGATGAGGTCCAGTTTATCAAATTTTTCTTTTATGAATCATGCTTTTAGTATCATGTTTACAAAAACCTTTGCCTAACCCCAGGTCACAAAGATTTTCTCTTATTTTTTTCCTGAAAGTGTTATTGTTTTTAATTTTATATTTAGACTTATGGTCCATTTTGAGTTAATTTTTGTATTAAGTGTAGGAATTATGTTGGGATTAAACTTTTGGCATATAGATGTCCAGTTCTTCCAACACCATTTGTTGAAAAAAGCCAACCTTTCTCCTTTGACTTGCCTTTGCACCTTTTTCAAAAATCCATTGGCCATTTTTGTATGGCCCTGTCTCTAAACCTTTTCTGTTTCTATCAGCTCTATGCCACCTTGATTGAAGTAGCTTTATAGTAAGTCTTAAACTTTGGTAGTGTGAAAAAAACTGAAAACAAATAGTTTCTTCAACTTTTTTTGTTTTCATAGTTGTTTTGTTGTTATCTAGTTTCTTTGCATTTCCAAGCTAATTTTAGAATTAGCTTGTCAATTTCTCTAAAAAAATCTTGCTGGGACTTTGACTGGAAATTGCACTGTTTGTACAACAGTTACAGAAAACTTGACATTTCGGCTGGGTGCAGTGGCTCACACCTGTAATCCCAGCACTTTGGGAAGTCAAGGCAGGAGGATCACTTGAGGTCAGGAGTTCGAGTCCATCCTGGCCAACATGACGAAACCCCATCTCTACTAAAAATACAAAAATTAGCTGGGCGTGGTGGCGCACGCTTGTAATCTCAGCTACTCTGGAGGCTGAGGCAAGAGAATCGCTTGAACCCAGGAGGCGGAGGTTCCAGTGAGCCAAGATCGTACCGCTGCACTCCAGCAGCCTGGGCGACAGACTAAGACTCTGTCTCAAAAAAAAGAAAAAGAAAACTTCCCTACTATGTTGAGTCTTCCAGTCCATGAACACAGTATGTTTCTCCATTCTTTTAGATCCTCTTTAGTTTCTTTCATTAGCATTTTGTAGTTATCAGCAAACAAATTTTGCATATGTTTTAATTTGTGCCCAGGAATCTCAGGGTTTGTTTTTTGTGTTTTTTTGTTGTTGTTGTTTTGTTTTGTTTTGCTATTGTAAATGTGTGTTTTAAAAAAAAAAGTTTTGGTTTCCATTTGTTTGTTGCCAGTATATAGAAAAACAGTTGATTCTTATGCTTGTATCCTGTGACATTGCTAAAATCATGTAGTAGTTTTAGGAGTTCTTTTTTGGATTCTTTGGGGTTTTCTACATAGACAACAATGTTGGTTGTGAAAAGGGGCCGTTTTATTTCTTCTTTTCCAGCCTGTATGGTTTTTCCCCCCTTCCTAGCCTTATTACACCAATGTATTGAACAGGACTGGTGACTGCAGACATCCTTCCCTTGTTCCTAATTTTATTGGGAAAGCAGTCAGTCATTCATTATGAAGTATGACGTTTGCTGTAAGTTTTCTGAAAATGCCCTTTCTCAGTTTAAAAAAATCCTCTTCTAGCTTGCAGAAAATTTTTATTATGAAAGTATGCGGAATTTTTTAATAATATGCCAGTTGGTATGCATAAGTGATTTTCTTCTTCAGTGGATTACATTGGAGACAGCCTTGAATCTGGGATAAACTCCCATTGGTCAGGGTATATTACTCTCATTATGAGTTGCTGAATTTGAGTTACTAATATTTCCTTAAGGATTTTTTATTTATGTTAATGAAGGATATTAGTCTGTGGTTTTCTTGTATTCTCTTTGGTTTTGGTATCAGTAATACTGACATCAGTTTATGAGATTAAAATTACAAGTATTTCCTTTTCTATTATTTTTTTAAGAGATTGTATAATAATTGGTGTTATTTCTTCTTTAAATGTGTGATAGAATTTGTCCTTGAAGCCATCCAGGTCTGGAGATTTTTTGCAGAAGATTTCTAATTACAAATTCAGTTTCTTAAAATAATTATAATAGGATTATTCATAGTTGTCTGTTTCATCTTGTGTGACTTTATGTAGTTTGTGTTTTTTGAGGAATTAGTCCATTTCATTTAAATTATCCAATTCATGTGTATGGAATTTATTATTGTGTTCACTTATCCTTTTAAGGAATTAGAGGTCTGTAGTGATGTCTCATCTTTCCTGATATCCCTTCTTTCCATTAGTAATTTATGTCTGCTGACTTTTTTTCTTGGTTAATTTTTCAGGAGGTTTTTCAATTTTTATTTTTTTCCAAGGACTGGCTTTTTATTTCATTAGGTTTTCTCTGTTGCTTTCTTGTTCTCAATTTCGTTGATTTCTACTCTTTATTATTTCTTTCTATTTACTTTAGGTTTATTTTGCTCTTCTTCTCCAGGTTCCTAAAGGTTGAGGCTTACATAATTGATTTGAGATCTTTCTAATTTTCTAATATAAACATTTAATGCTATAAATTTGCTTCAAAGTAGAGTTTTACATACATGCCAAAATTTTTGATATTTTGTATTTTCATGTTTATTTAGATCAAAGTATCTTCTAATTTCCAGAAACTTCCTTTTTGACTTATTATATAGAAGTACATTGTTTAACTTCCAGATGTTTGGAGATTTTTCTTGTTATCTCTTAATTACTTACTTTAGTTTAATTTCATTATAATCAGAGAGCATAATTTGTACTGGCTAGGCGTGGTGGCTCACGCCTGTAATACCAGCACTTTGGGAGGCCTAGGCGGGCAGATCACCTGAGGTCAGGCGTTCAGGACCAGCCTGGCCAACGTGGTGAAACCGCATCTCTACTAAAAATACAAAAATTAGCCGGACATGGTGGCATGAGCCTGTAATCCCAGCCACTCGGGAGGCTGAGGCAGGAGAACCGCTTGAACCCAGGAGGCAGAGGTTGCAGTGAGCCGAGAATGTGCCATCGCACTCCAGCCTGGGCAACAAGAGTGAAACTCCGTCTCAAAAAAAAAAAAAAAAAAGCATAATTTGTATGATTACAGTTCTCTTAAATTTGTTAAGGTTTGTTTTGTGATCCAGGATGTGATCTATCCTCATGAATATCTTGAGCACTTAAAAAGAATGTGTACTCTGCTGTTGTTGGTTGTAGCATTTCATAAATATCAATTCAAGCCAGTTAGTGGATGCTGTTCATTTTGCCTATATTGCTGATTTTTGTGTACAAAGTCTGCCAGTTACTGAGAAAGGAATGTTTAATTTTTCAGCAGTAAGGGTGGATATGCCTATATATCCCTTCAGTTGTTTGAGTTAGTGCATTTGTATTTTGAAGCTCTTTAATTATAGTTGTATATACATTTAGGATGCTTATGTCTTCTTGGTGATTGGGCATTTTATCATCATGTAATGTTCCTCTGTCCCTGGTAATTTTCTTTTCTCTGAAGTTTACTTTGTCTGATATTTATTTATTTTTTGAGGCAAGTCTCACTTTGTTGCCCAGGCTAAAGTTTAGTGGCGTGATTGTGGCTCACTGCAGCCTCAACCTCCTGGGCTTAGGTGATCCTCCTACCTCCACCTCCCAGCTAGCTGCGACTGCAGGTGTGTACCACCACGCCCGGTTAATTTTTTGTATTTTTAGTAGAGGTGGGGTTTGGCCATGTTTCCCAGGCTGTTCTGGAACCCCTGGCTTCATGATCTGCCAGCCTTGGCCTCCCAAAGTGCTGGGATTATATGGGCGTGGGCCACTGCGCCTGACCTTGTCTGATATTATATAGCCACTCTAGCTCTTTTCTTAAATATAACACCTTTATTGAGATATGTAATTCACATACCATACTATTCACCTATTTAAAGTGTACACTTTTAGGGTTTTCAGTATATTCAGAGTTGTGTAACCATCAACAAAATTGATTTTAGAACATTTTTCCCGCGCAAAAAGAAACCGTATGTTCATTAACAGTCACTTCCCATTCCTCCTTCCTTTTCCTAATCCCTCAGTCCTAGACATCCACTAATCTACTTTCAGCCTCTGTGGATTTGCCTCTTTTGGACACTATATAAATGGCGTGATACATTGTCTTTGTGACTGACTTCTTTCACTGAGCATAATTTTTTCAGTTTTCATCCATGTTGTAGCCTGTTTCAGGGCATCATTCCCCCCTACTTTTTTTTTTTTGCCAGATATTCCACTGTATGAACACATCATATTTACTCATTTATCAGTTGAATAATATTGCTGTGAACATTCATGTACAGTTTTTTGCATTGACATACTTTCATTTTCCTGGTATGTACCTAGGAGTGGAATTGTTGGATCACATGTTTAACCTTTTGAAGAACTGTCAGACTTTTCCAAAGTGGCTATACCATTTCACATTCTTTATATCCTAGCCAACACTTACTATCTTTTCTATTATAGCCATCCTAGTAGGTATATCTCATTGTGGTTTTGAATTGCATTTCAGTGATGGCTAGTTATGTTGAGCATGTTTTCATGTTCTTATTAGCCCTCTGGTTTTCTTTTGACTAATATTTGTACAGTATATCCTCTTTTCCATCCTTTTAACTTTTTTTTTGGAGGCAGGGTCACACTTTGTCACCCAGGCAGGAGTGCAGTGGCACAGCCAGGGTTGACTGCGCCCTCACCGTTCCGAGTAGCTGGGACTACAGGCATGTGCCACCACACCCAGCTAATTTTTAAATTTTTTGTAGAGACAGGGTTTTGCCATGTTGCCCAGGCTGGTCTTGAATTCCTGGGCTCAAGCAATCCTCCGATTTTGGCCTCTTAAGGTGCTGGGATTACAGGTGTGAGCCACTATGCCCGGCCTGTCCTTTTACTTTTAACCTACCCATATCATATTTAAAGTGAATTTTATATAAACAATGCATAGTTGGGTCCTCTTTTAAAATTCTGATCATCTGTCTTAATCTTATCTAAATATAAATGTCGAGGACATTTATATTTAGTGAAATTATTAACATGTTTGGATTTAGTTCTGCCATCTTATCATTTGTTTTCTTTTTGTTCCTTTGATATTCCTTTGTTTTGCCTTTTCTCTGTCTTTTGGGTTATTGAACACTTTTTAATTCATTTCAATTAATCTATTGTAGTTTTGACTATTATCTCTGTGCAGTTATTTTAGGGATTTATTAGGAATTACAATATATGTAAATTTTTAAGTCTACTTAAAATTGATATTTTTACAACTTCAAGTGAAATGTAGAAATCTGATCAATGTATAGGCCTTTTTAGCCTCCTCCCTTTTTCTTGTAGTTATATATTTGCCTGCATAAATTAAAAATCTCATTAGATAAATGTTATAATTCTTGTTTTTAAACATTAGACATTTAAAAGAACTAAGAGGAAAATAATTACCCAGATATTTACAATTTCAGTTGGTCTTCCTTTGTTCCTGATGTTCTAAGTTTCCTTCTGATAACACTTTGCTTCTAACTGAAGAGTATTCTTTATAATAAGTCTACTGGAAATAAGTTCTTCTTTCTCTTCAGCTGAGAATGACTTTTATTTCACCTTCATATATGAAACATATTTTTGCTGGATATAGAATTTTGGGTTGATAGGTCTGTTCTTTCAGCATTTTGAAAGTGTTGTTCTACTTTTTACTGGCCTTCATTTCTGTTGGGAAGCCTACAGTCATTCAAATTGTTCTCTATGAGTAATATGTCATTTTTCTCTGGCTGCTTTCAAGATTTTCTCTTTGTCTTTAGTTTTTGGAAATGTGACTACAACGTGTCTGGAGTTAGATCTTGTTGGAAACTCCTGCCTGGGGTTTCCTGAGGACTGGGAATGATGAAGACAAGGTTTCTTAGAAGGAAGCAAAGTGTTACATCATCGAAATGTATAAGTTTCAACTATTGAAGTTAAATATGTTTTTATATTATTGGATGACAAGTTAGAATGCGCTTGGGAGAATACACAAAATACAGTATTTTAGTCATTGTGAATATTGTGTCTTTTCGGTAGGGGACTCTTCTAAGGTATTCATAACGTAAACATACTAGAATATTTAAGAATATTGCCTGGCATGGTGGCATGCACCTATATAGTCTCAGCTACTCAGGAGACTGAAGTGGAGGGTCTTTGGAGTCCAGGAGTTCCAGCCTGGGTGATGGCAAGACCTCGCCTCTAAAAATAACTAAACTTAAAAAAATAATAATAAATATTTCTAAACCATGGAGAGAGGCAACTCCATAAAATCTTCTTAGAGATGTTCAGAAAGTTGTTCAGGAATGGTTTTAGTCGTTGATTCACCATTACAGTTTTTCTTTTTCATTTTGAGATGGAGTTTCGCTTTTGTTGCCCAGGCTAGAGTGCAATGGCGCGATCTCAGCTCACTGCAACCTCCACCTCCCAGGTACAAGCGATTCTCCTGTCTTGGCCTCCCAAGTAGCTCAGATTACAGGCTTGCACCACCACGCCCTGCTAATTTTTTTGTATTTAGTAGAGATGGGGTTTCATCATGTTAGGCTGGTCGCGAACTCCTGACCTCAGGTGATCCACCCACCTCAGCCTCCCAAAGTGCTGGGATTACAGGTGTGCACCACCACACCTGGCCTACAGTTTTTCCAGATTAATTTATTTACAAATGAAGCATGAATTAACCAGTATCCTATGCTATCCAAGGTAAGTTTTCCCATTCGTGTTTAATATTGTGGCCATTTTTTTCTACTTAAATGAAATGTTTCATGGAGTAGTATCTGTTTGAGGTTTTTTTTGTTTGAGACAGAGTTTTGCTCTTGTTGCCCAGGCTGGAGTGCAATGATGCGATCTTGGCTCGCTGCAACCTCTGCCTCCCGGGTTCAAGCGATTCTCCTGTCTCAGCTTCCCGAGTAGCTGGGATTACAGGCGCATGCCACCACACCCAGCTAATTTTTGTATTTTTAGTAGAGATGAGGTTTCATCATTATTGGTCAGGCTGGTCTCGAACTCCTGACCTCAGGTGATCCACCTGCCTCAGCCTCCCAAAGTACTGGGATTACAGGAGTGAGCCACCGTGCCTGGCCCTGTTTGAGGTGTTATGTGGTACTATCAAGTAGCCATTCTGATTATGTCAGTTTTTATCTTCATGGATCTTACAACTTGATGGTCACAATGGTTCTTTTGAAATTTGACAGGCCAAATTTTGTGTATCTATCATGGAGTCTTTTAACTTCTTCATGGGTTTATTTTACAGTTTCATATGAGGCTTTTGCATAAGGACATTTAGTCAAAGCATCCCGCTTATAGTAACGAACTTTAAGGTATTTCTATGGTATCTACAATATTGTTTCTACCTTTATGATAGCAGTTATATTAGGCAGCTACCATCAAGCCATCAAGTAGTTAATGTATTCGTTGTTTTTTTTTTTTTTTTTTTTTTTTTTGAGACAGAGTCCCGTTCTGTCACCCAGGCTGGAGGTGCAGTGGCACAATCTCGGCTCACTGCAAGCTCCGCCTCCCGGGTTCACGCTATTCTCCTGCCTCAGCCTCCTGCGTAGCTGAGACTACAGGCGCATGCCACTACGCCCGGCTAATTTTTTTTTTGTATTTTTAGTAGAGACGGAGTTTCACTGTGTTAGCCAGGATGGTCTCGATCTCCTGACCTCGTGATCCACCCGCCTCGGCCTCCCAAAGTGCTGGGATTACAGGCGTGAGCCACCGCACCTGCCCTGTATTCATTGTTTTTAAAAGGATATCTGAGAAACCTCTTTTCTTTGCAGCATTTCAGAGAAGTGGATTATTCTAAAAGCATATCACCTATTCATGTATATATTTACTTTCAGTAAGTTGCTCCATCTTAGTGGAGCACAGTTAAGTCATTTGATCAGTCTGGCTTCTGGTAAGAAATTGAATTTTATCACAGTGACTGATGTACCTGTTGCATATCAAGCCTGATACTGCTGATTTTTGTTTTTAAGATAAAACCCATTAACAAACAGTAAAGTCAGGATTTGGTACTAGAAAATTCAAAAGTTTTGTTTTGGACTTGAATACTTCTTGAGTTATGGAATCACAATCATGAGATTTTCCTTGCAGTAGGTAAAGGTTGCTGGATTAATACTGTTACACAGTGAATGGTAATATGAAAAAGAGAGAGTAGCAATATTTCATGATTACTCAAATGATAGAAATTTTGGATGGTTTCCTTTAGCAATAGGGATTTACTATGCATGGTAACATGAGGTTTAAAGACCTAGAATAACCTCTGAAGATGCTTTGATTAATTCAGTTGAGGTTTATAATTGCTCGGAGGCAGGGAAGCTAAACCTTAGCTGCTGAATTAAGGTATACGATTTTTTTTTTTTCTTTTTTTGAGATGCAGCCTCACTCTGAGGCCCAGGCTGGAGTGCAGTGGTGCTATGGCTCACTGCAACCTCTGCCTACTGGGTTTAAGTGATTCTCCTGCCTCAGCCTCCCAAATAGCTGGGATTACAGGCACCCCCCGACCAGGCCCGGCTAATTTTTGTATTTATTTATTTAGTTAGTTATTGAGACAGCCTGTTGCCCAGGCTGTAGTGCAGTGGTGCAATTTTGGCTCACTACAACCTCTGCCTCCCAAGTTCAAGCAATTCTCTTGCCTCAGCTTCCTGAGTAGCTGGTATCACAGGTGTGTGCCACCACGCCCAGCTAATTTTTGTATTTTTAGTAGAGACGGTGTTTCACCATGTTGGGCAGGCTGGTCTTGAACTCCTGAATTCAAGTGATCTGCCCTCCTCGACCTCCCAAAGTGCTGGGATTACAGGTGTGAGCCACTGCGCCCAGCCCAAGGTATACAATATAATAGACAGTGGGGTTTTGATGTCGTGTTGTTAATACTCCCAGGACACAGGGTACTATTTTTGTACTCAAAAAGATTTATGATTATGTAGGAAGACTATCTAGACTGAGGGCTATTTAGCTATCTGATCATATATAGGACCTTATTGCGTTTTATTTGGAAACAGATCCTGTCTATTGCATTTGTAGATGTTATGTTTTAGTGTGTAAAGAAGGGTTCTTCTTATAGTAGTCCCAACAATATCATTTACAGATTAGGACTGTTAGAGAGTTCTATTACTTGAGTTCTATTAAACCAAGGTAAACTTTATTTTCTCTCAAATCTTTTACAATTTGTTGTAGAGTTTCAAATTTGTCTTTTATTACTTTCACCATCTGTTATAAACTATTATTTTTACTATAAAACCAATTTTTTTGGTTATTTCATTTTTCTTAGTACAAGTCAGTGCCCGTCCTTTTTTTTTTTTTTTTTTTTAATTTTGCTTTACAGACAGCTTTAAAAGTTTACTCAGAAGGATCCGATGTTCTATAGTAATGGGATTAATGGGAGTTATAGTGATGTCCATTTAACCTATTTATGTTAACTTTCTTAACAAATAAGAAAGTTGTCTGTCTACAGTTTTAGATAATTTCCTTTGGAAATTTAGAGGAAGTACAGGGTATTGTTGGGCACTAATGCCTCTCTCAGAACGGCATCTTCGGATAGATTTTGGGTAGTTGTCCTTTTGGGTATTAGCCAGTATCAGACAATATTGGTTCCTTTAATGGCCCTTTTACTCCTCATATTTTCAAGCATCCTTATCTAAACCTCCTGAATCTTACAAGACAAATCTTGTGGTGGTTTTCTCTAGAGAGCCAGAAGTTATATTAATTTCCAGCTTGTTTACTTCTTAAGGCTCTCTGGAAATGTCTGATCATATATTGGACATTTTCTAAATTGGCGATTTAAATAACAGGAGAAAGTCTTCTGAAATTGCCTGATGTGTTTTATGAAATATTTTATACTGTTGAGTTATTTAAATTTTCTCTTTGCTACTTGTTGCTTTTTTTTTTTTTTTGTATTGGAGGGGATAATCATTAATTGGACTAGTTGGTACAGATCTGTAGTCCAGGGCAGTGGTATATAACAAAGTCCTGAATTCTGTGGCAAATTGCTGTTTTAATAAAGTTGATGAAAGTCTTTGTTTATAACCCTTCACTTGGATCTACACCAAATTTTAATTTAACTTCTGTAGACGTGGCTTCTGGCCTGGTAATTTAGTGTGATTTTATTTTTTGAGGAAACCCTGAAGAAAGGATGACTTATATTGAACGTTAGGTAAAACTTAGTAGAAAGATAAAAGATTTCAGCTGGGCACGGTGGCTCACACGTGTAATCCCAGCGCTTTGGGAGGCCAAGGCGGGCGGATCATGAGGTCAGGAGATCGAGACCATCCTGGCTAACACAGTGAAACCCCCGACTCTACTAAAAATACAAAAAAATGAGCCAGGCGTGGTGGCAGGTGCCTGTAGTCCCAGCTACTCGGGAGGCTGAGGCAGGAAAATGGCGTGAACCTGGGAGGTGGAGCTTGCAGTGAGCCGAGATCACGCCGCTGCACTCCAGCCAGCCTGGGCGACAGAGCGAGACTGTGTCTCCAAAAAAAAAAAAAAAAAAAAAGGAAGATAAAAGATTTCAAGGAGGGTAAGTGTAAGTTTCAGGAGAAACTTAAAGTTTTGGAAAGAGACTTTAAAATTATTAAAATTTTGTTTGAGGTTTCTACATACCAGTTGAAGAAGCTGACAATTGACTGTTTCATGTTTTGTCTCATATTTCTTTCAGCTACTCTTAAACATATTGCTTACTGATTTTAGCATATCAGAAGTTTCCTGTAATTACCAGTTTTGTCCTAAGTCAAAACTTTTTTTTGCACTTTAAGGAAGATGCAAGAGTTAGAATTATAATGCAACTTTATGTAAGAAGCAGAAGTTCTTCCAAGAAGAGGTTGAGACTTTAATGTAGCATGACACATTGAGGCCACTTCGGCTGGTCAGCAGTGTTTGTGAACAGTGTGTCAAGTCACCTGACCAAGCAGAGGTTAGGAAGCATTCTTACAGTCAAAGTTTTCAGACAGTCATTGACCCCAGAATACTGACCAGTAAACCAAATGATCTTCCTCAAAAGTGACAAGATAGGGAATGCCCTCATAAAGGGCAAATTTCTATATAACATTATATTCCTTGGACATGTACTTTTTTCCCCACTGTAAATTTAGAGTGTTTTAAATGCGTTCTAGTTCTGTCTGCAAATCTTTTAACTGTGTTCTAATTTTTTTGTAATAGTATAAATTTACTTTCAAGTTTGTAGTATCCTAACAGAAGCAAAACCACAGTGTTCTTAGGTGTTTTTTCCTCCCTGGACAGTGAACAATACTGTAACAAATGTGGCTTAAGAAGCATATCTGTGTTGACATGAAGCTAAAATAAAGAGATATGTTGACTTTATTTTGAGTCTTGATTTTAATTTTAATTATAGATATATCTTTAGAAATGAGTTGCACAATTGAGAAGGCACTTGCCGACGCTAAAGCTCTTGTTGAAAGATTAAGAGATCATGACGATGCAGCAGAATCTCTGATTGAGCAAACCACAGCTCTCAACAAGCGAGTAGAAGCCATGAAACAGGTTTGATTTTTCTTTCTTGTTCATTCCATTTATCAAAAGCAGTCATTGACATTTATGTATTGCTGGCTAATTAGTATCTAATTTTTTTCAACATTCTCTAAAATTTTAAAGTAGCTTGACTTGTGTGTTTCAGGTTTACTTTAATTTTGTCGTGTTCAGGTGATATACCTAGACATATATTTCTAAACCCTAGATTTGATCACTTATTTTGCTGACAGAGTTGCACATTTGAGTTTAGAAAATAAATGAATTTGTTAGGTCTAGAAACATTTGACAAAGACCAGATAATACCTTTTACTAATGTTGGTACACATTTTGTTCTGTCTTGTATAATGTAGAAATGTTCATATTTTTCTTTATAAAAGTACTTAGGTGATGCTGTTTAACAACAAAATAGCTTTTGAAAATGATGCAAGGTAATATGTGATTTATACTCTGTGCAGTTATTGTACCCATACTTGCTACCTTATTTTTCATTCAGTGCTACCAATTAAAGAATACATAAGGGCTTTCTTCTTGCTATTTTTACTATTGTATAACAGAATATTCCCATGGGCCACGGAGTTTAGACACTATTTTAACCTTCTTCTGATAAAAATTTTCAAGTCATTTAAGAAAATTATAAAATCTCTGACATTATGATGGAAATCAGAGGGGGAAAATGTATATTCACAGCCAAATCTCCTCATCTATTTTGTAAAAGGAAGCAATTCTGGGATAGTATTTTTAACAAAGCTACTGGAAATAGTGGAGCAAGTTTAGTTATTTGGTTTTACAACTGTGTTGCCCTAAACAGATTTACCTGCATCCCTAACCAACTGTCCAGCTAGACTCAGGCACTTCAGTGAACATATATCTGGTATTGAGTTGTTAAAAAAGGAGTTTGACATCTGAAGTTAAGAACCAGGAGTGTTATAATGAATATGTTACTAAGTGTCTCATGAGAATGCCTTGAAAATAAATAAGTGCAATTTTAAAATAAGATTCTCATTTTCTTAATGGAAAATCTTTTTGCATTTCTTTTGTACATGTTCTATTAAGATATTCACATACCATAAAATTTACTTTTTTGAAGGGTACAGTTCATTGGATTTTAGTACACATTTGCAGGTTATGCAGTATAACCACTACCTGATTCCAGAACATTTTCATCACCACAAAACCTTACATCCATCAGTGGTCTCTCTCTAGTTTCCCCTTTCCTCAGTCTCTGGCAACCACTAATATTTCTATCTCTTTGAATTTGCCTATTCTGGACATTTCATATAAATGGAATGATAAAATATGCGGCTTTTTGTGATTGGCTTCTTAACATAATGTTTTTAAGGTTCATCTATGTTATAGCATGTATCAGTACTTCATTCCTGTTTATTGCCAAATAATATTGCATTGTAAGGATACAGCACATTGTGCTTATCCATTCATCAGCTGATAGGCATTTGGATTATTTTACTTTTTTGGCTGGTAAGAATATGCTGCTATGAATATTTGTGTACAAGTTTCTGTGTGGACATATGTTTTCAGTTTTCTTGGGTATATATGTAGAAGTAGAATGGATGGGTCATATAATAACTCTGTTAAAATTTTTTGAGGATCTGCCACATTGTTTCCCAAAGCAGCTATGCCAAGCTTGTCCGACCTGTGACTTGCTGGCTGCATATGGCCCAGGATGGCTTTGATTGCGGCCCAGCACAAATTCACAAACTTTCTTAAAACATTATGAGATTTTTTTTTTTTAAAAAAAAGCTCATCAGCTATCGTTAGCATTAGTGTATTTTATGTGCAGCGTGATAATTCTTCTTCCGATGTGCCCAGGGAAGCCAAAAGATTGGACACCCCTGAACTACATCATTTTACATTCCATCAACAATGTATGGAAGGTTGCAGTTTCTTCACATCCTCTCCAACAATTGTTATTGTCTTTTTCATTACAGTCATCCTCGTGGGATATATTGAATTGCATTCTCCTAATGACTAGTTAGGTTAATTAAGTATCTTTTCATGTGCTTATTGGCCATTTGTATATCTTCTTTAGATAAATGTTTATTCAAATCCTTTGCCACTTTTAAAAATGGGGTTATTTTCATTTTATTGTTGAGTTGTAAGTGTTCTTTATATATTCTGGATACTAAGCTCTTATCAGATTTTTTATATGTATATTTCAGATATATTTATATTTATATATCATATATATATATATATATATATTTGCAGGTATTTTCATCCCACATGTTTTTCTCCCCCATTAGTATCAGGAAGAAATTCAAGAACTTAATGAAGTCGCGAGACATCGGCCACGGTCCACGTTAGTTATGGGAATCCAGCAAGAAAACAGACAAATCAGAGAGTTGCAACAAGAAAACAAAGGTAAGATACGTTACTTTTTGACATTAATCCCATTTCTAGTCTATATTCCTAAATCGTATTTATTGCTCTTTATCCTGTCCCACATATGAACATCTGCCTGGTTGACATCCTCTTAGATTCTCACCCTTAATATCCAGTTAGCACTGCTGTTGTTAGCTATGAAATAACCCAGCTTCATTCTCTGCAGTCCCACTGCATTGGCCCCCAGATTAGATGCTCAGTCTCTTGCCTGAAATGTCCAAACTGATCTCCCTGATTCCAGTCTCTCTTCCCCCTTCCAATCTGTCTTCAACATAACCATCAGATTGATATTTCAAAAATCAGTCTGATCATGTAATTCTTTTGCCTAAGAACTTTCATTATATACTTATTACCTTTTACAGGGTCCCTAAAAATCATTTCCCAGCCTTTTTTTTAAATCTTCTTCCCACAGCTTTCTTCACTGTGAACTCTTTGCTCTTGCCAACACCAATCACTTCCTAAACACGTCATCTGTTTTCATGCCTACCTGCTTAGAAGGTCCATTCCTTCACTTTTCAACTGAGGGAACTCACACTGTACTTCTACAAAGCTTCCACCAGTTTCTTCCCATAGACATCTCTTAAATCTATTTGACTTAACACTCCACTCTGCCACCTACCACATGCTTGTTTTCTCTACTAGACTCTTGAGGTCTGTGGCCCTTAATATAGAGGGAGCCTTGGCCGATATTAATTGCTGTTTAGTACATCTTTGTTGAAATGATTCTCAAGAAACAAGCTTAAAATATTCAAAAAACTAATACGGGACTTCATTTGGTGTCTCTTATTGTTATATGGCTAGATTTTTGTGCATTGTGTTTTCTTTTTAAAATGTCCCGTTCATAAGTTGCTTAGTGGAAGAGAATATTTTGTGTACTTTTAACTCAAGTTGGAATAAAATACAATATTATTCTTGATAGAATTACGTACATCTCTGGAAGAACATCAGTCGGCCTTGGAACTTATAATGAGCAAGTACCGAGAACAAATGTTTAGATTGCTAATGGCTAGCAAAAAAGATGATCCGGGTATAATAATGAAGTTAAAAGAGCAGCACTCCAAGGTAATCCATTCTATAAATGTGACCTGAAATGGAAAAGAGAGACGATTGATTATTCTGTGTTCAGATTTTTTTTGAAAAAAATCACAGGTATCTAGTAATGGCATTTTAACATGATGTTGAATGTTTCATCTTTTTAATTGACATTTTCTCCTTTTTCTTATTTTTCCATTTCTTGTTATATATCATTTTCTGTTTGATTTATAAACTCTCACTGTTTCTTAGAAACTTTAATTTGTACGTTGAAAAATAAATTTTATTTTGGATATAAAGGTAAGTCTGGTCTCTTCAACATTATTTTTGTAGGGCTATATACTTTTAAGAAATATTTCTTAAAGGGCTGGGCATGGTGGCTTACGCCTATAATCCCAGCACTTTGGGAGGCCAAGGCAGGAGGATCACTTGAGGCCAGAAGTTCAAGACCAGCCTGGGCAACATAGCATGACTCCATCTCTTCAAAAAGTAAAAAAATTAGCCGGGTGTGGTAGCACATGCCTGCAGTCCTAGCTTCTCAGGAGGCTGAGGTGGATAGACCACTTCAGCTCAGGAGTTTGAGGTTACATTGAGCTACGATCATGCCATTGCACTCCCATCTAGACAACCGAGTGAGACCCTGTCTCTTAAAAAACAGAAATTTTTTTAAGAAACATTTTTTCTAATAAATTTGTGTATTGACTTCTCTTGCAAAAACAAAAAATAATGGAAACCTTTTTTAAAATCTGAAAGCAGTTTAATGTAGATTTTTCTTAAGACTGTTTTCTGAATAAGGCTAATTCATCCAGACTATAAATGATCTTGTTTATTATAATGGAAAAAACATGGGGTTCAGGAGAAGAACCAACATAGTAAAATTTTGCTCCCTTGCCCCAGTATTGTATACCAGTTGACATCATTTTTTAGAAACAAAGCTGAAGTAGTTAGAAATTAGTGTTTTACCTGCTGTTCATCCCTTTGTCATCCCTGTGTCTATTCCCTTTGGTATGTCCCCATATTTTATGGCATATTTTATGGCAACTGCTATGAAGACAAGTAGAATAATCCTTTCTCACATATTTATTTTAAACTGAGTTTTAGTTGCTGATATGAAATAAAAATAATAAACTAGATTGTGGAAACTAGACTGTTACCTGTATTAGATAATGGTGAGCTGACTATTATTATTACCAATATTATTTAAGAAACAGTGATTATGAGCCTTCTTTTCCCCATTTGTTACAACAGAAATAGGAAAGGACATATTTTCATATTTATCTATTATTGAAACACATTTTAGATTCTTTAAAATACTTCTTCCATTTTGGTGCTTGTACGTGTTTTTAACTTATTAGTAATTAATTCTATTAGAATTAAATACCTATCAAATAGCTCTTTATATGCCTTTATTATATTAGAAAACCTAATGATAGGTACCTCTTGTGTCAACCAGTAAAATAATAAATTAAATTAAAAATTTGTGTTTAATGTTTTCTAATTATGCTATTCATCTCCTAATCAAATGGCAATCCAGGGATGTTTAAGTGGTGATCTTTTGAATACAAAATTTAACTATTGTTAATGAGACCATTCTAAAATCATTTAAATTTAAAGGTATAATAATAACTATAGTAACTAAGACTTTTTAAAGGCACTAAAAGGAGTTGACTTAATATTATTTGTAAGATAAATATAATCTTGAGAATTTCTAAAAGGTTTGTATGTTTTATAACCTAAAAATAAAATGTTAAAGATCTAAAGCGAAGAATACCATTACAAAAAAAGTGCTTAGAATAGGATAACTATAGCTTGCAGGTCCCATCTGGTAGCAACTATGACAGAAGCAAATGTTTCCTAAAATATATTAGATTTTACTATTCACCAGAGCTGGTTTATTAATTAGTAAGGTTAAACATTTCCTAAGATAGCTGTAAGCCATCCTTTTTTATTATGTAGATTGAATTCTTCATCTAAGTTCAGATGATCCTTGCCTCCCATAAAATGACTATTCAGTTATTTGTTATTAATTTTCACTAATACATATTAATGTTTGTGATTTTGATTTTTCCCAAAAAGGAGACACTTCGACTTAATTAAACAAACATTAATACTGGCACTGGGTTAGTTATGGGAAATAATAAGATGAATGTACAAGCTTGCAGTATAGTGGGAGATACAGACACAAACATAACAATCTACTATAAGGTAGGGCGTGATGAATCCCAAAGTAGATGAATTGTTACTGGAACGCTAGAGGGAACAATATTAACTGTCATAAGGAAAATCTGGAAAGGTAACAAGGAAGGGAAGAAAGTCTGTCTCAGTCCAGCCTTGAATTAATTATGGGCAGGTAGGTAAACAAGCAGAAGTGGGTGGGTGGGCAGAGAAACTTGTATAATAAAAGCACAAAAAGTATGGTATTGTAGGGTGTGTTTAGGTACTAGTGCTCTGATATGCCTAAACACAAAAGTAATTTTACAACACATTTAGAGCTAAGAAACAGAGTTACACATAACAGCATTTTGGATTGGAGTAAGAGATCCTTTTGAGACTGTTATAATACAGAACTTTGCCCTTAACTAGAAGTTTTTGAGCACATACTTAAAAAATCAGTAGAAAGTTTGAGAGCTCATTTTTACCCAAATACTAATTTTCATGTTATTTTTGAACAGATGCCTTTTTGGAAATCTTAAAAAAGCAAACATTTCAAACAGTTGGCTAACACGCATGAACTAACACTCATTCAGTTTTTAAATTACGGATGATATCCGTATTAACATTATAATGACTCTATACTACAGATTGACATGGTACATCGTAACAAGTCCGAAGGATTCTTCCTTGATGCATCTCGACACATCCTTGAAGCACCTCAACATGGACTGGAGAGAAGGCACTTGGAAGCAAATCAGAATGTACACTAAATAAACAGTCAACTTTTGGGGTGTGGATGGAAGGGGGGTCCATTTTAAAAGTGCTTTTACATTGAATTTCCCTCCCAGATTAGATCAGCAAATAAATGAAATTTATTAAAAGAATGTTGTGTCTTTAATAGCCATGCTGTTCAGTGTAGAAACTTTAAATCTCTCATTAATTTTCTGTGTATTGTATCATGTACAGCCTGTTAGATATTTGCAGGTTTTATAGGTTATTCAGTCCAACGCTTTATTTATTTGCTCTTGTTAGTTGTTGCTGTGAAACAGTCATTTCCTTTCTGGACATCAAAGATATTTTCTTGGCATTAATTTTAAACTGATTTCATAAGGTCAAAGTATTAAATGTTTTAATTCAGATTGTGGATAGTTTGTAGTCCTTTGATTTTGCAAATGAAATTAAAATGCCTTTGTTTAGATGTTAGGATTAAGTATAGTAGTGCTCTCTCCATTGTGTCTTAATTTTTTTTTAACTCACTTGTGGCAGGTCTTTATTGAATAAAGGAGGAATAAACCTAGACAGGGAGTTAGAAATGAAAGACATTTCAAGACAGTTCAAGGGTTATGTTGGTGACACTTCTTGTCTTCCAGACAGTTTTGAAAGCACAGATCTTGCCTCTTGTGCTTGTTAAAAAATCTGTGATACTTCTCTGAAGATTTTATAATTAAATAAGTGAACCATTACCATGACCTTTTATAAAAGTGCTGCCCTATTTGAAGTATTGGGTTTTTTCTCATGATGAGCTTTGTTAGACTTGGTACTGAAAAAATCAGTAGTTTTTTTCCTTCTATTTTAAAGGCAAAGAAATGCTTGCTTCAGCTAGGCATGGTGGCTCATGCCTGTAATTGGGAGGCTGAGGTGGGTGGATCACCTGACGTCAGGAATTGGAGACCAGCCTGGCCAACATGGTGAAACCCCATCTCTACTAAAAATACAAAAAGTTAGCCAGGCGTGATAGCGGGTGCCTGTAATCCCAGCTGCTCGGGAGGCTAAAGCAAGAGAATTGTTTGAACCTGGGAGTGGGAGGTTGCAGTGAGCCGAGGTCGTGCCATTGCACTCCAGCCTGGCCAACAAGAGCGAGACTCTGTCTAAAAAAAAAGAAATGCTTGCTTTCTGTGTAGTTTTTTAACTTAGGTCAGTGCCATAGGACTGACCAAATCATAAATTGAGGATGCTGTTGGTATTCAAAGTTTTTACTCATTACCCTTACTCAGTTTGCAGCTGCAATGATCTGTACTTAACCTGCTTTTACATATTATGCTTCCTTGACAATGGGAGGAATTTTAATGGTTAACTTGCAGAATATGACAGATACTTGTCTTAATATCATTCTTCCTACCATAATCTAATTCAAAACTATCCAGTAGAACTTTCTGAAATGATTGGAATGTTTTTTATCTGTGCTGTCCAGTGTGGAAGCCAGTAGCCACATGTGGCTGTTGAGCACTTGCAGTGTCACTAATGCGTTTGAGGGACTGAATTGTTAATTTTTAAAAATGTATTGATTTTAATTAAGTTTAACATTGTTTTGGACAGCACAGATTAGCCTTTTAGAGTACCTTCTTGCTGAGTACTAGCAGTGTATAGGTTTCCCCATGAAAAGGACCTACATTTTTGTTGGTTAAGAGGTTATTAAATGTGCTTTGCCAAAGATACTACCTTGTCATTTCTTCCAGCTTATTAGTTCCGTGGGTTTCTTGGAGTACTGTTAAATCCTTTTTACAAATATATATATACACAACTACTGAAGAGACTGTTTATTTGGGGAGTTATTCACTTTTATATTTAAGTCTTAGGCTTAATATGATAAAATACCTCTCAGTTGCTGTGAATAATGGTCTATAGAAGCTGTTCATTGAGAAAATGATTATTCTCGAGTTTCTGTTGATTTTAAACCTTTTTTGTCTGTCTCTTTCACTAGACTGTAAGCTTCTTCAGATCAGGGGACATGTCTTGACAGTCTTTGTATTCCTGTTGTTTAGCATAGTACTGGCACATCATAGGTGTGCAAGATAAGAAAATGAGATTGGAAGAATTTATGCTACTTGCTGCGCCTAACAAATGTGGATGTCTGTATTATACTGATACTATATTTTCAATAGTTAGCAAAGAAGGCCATTTAATATTTTAATACTGAAAAGCAGAATTGTGCTCATTTTATTCAATACTTACCATATACCATACACTAGATAGTAGGTGGATGTAAAGATGCAGTTCCTGCTCTCAAAGAGGATTATGACCTAGAAAAGGTTACAGATTGGATTGAGATAACTTTATAGGCCTGAACAATACAGAAAAGATTTCTAAATCATTGAAGACTTCAGGGAGGAAAAGAGATTGAATGCGTCGGCAATTTTTATCATTCCCGTTACTTTGAACAATAGTGTATGTAAGTGCAAAAAAAAAGAAAAAGTTGCTGATCATTGTGGTGAGAGGAATGTAAAATATGAGTATTTTTCTTGCTGCTAGGTTTAGTTATATTGTGCTGCTTATTCTTAATTCTAGTCCTAACAAATTTGATTTCAAAAGCACATCTGTGGTCAACCAACTTCATTGTTAATATTTGTTTTATTCATATTAAGTGACAATGT
This sequence comes from Homo sapiens, assembly GCF_000001405.40. Taxonomy (NCBI): domain Eukaryota; kingdom Metazoa; phylum Chordata; class Mammalia; order Primates; family Hominidae; genus Homo; species Homo sapiens. The sequence continues at coordinate 26,963,239 of NC_000012.12, forward strand.
AAGAATATTCATGTTAAGTGGTACTGCAGATTTTATAAAAAGGAGAGGATCCAAAAATAAAAAAGTATTTTGCTGATTTCCAACTCCCATCCCTCTTTTTCAGGAACTGCAAGCACATGTTGACCAGATAACTGAAATGGCAGCAGTAATGAGGAAAGCCATTGAAATTGACGAGCAACAGGGTTGCAAGGAACAAGAACGAATATTTCAACTTGAAGTAAGTTTTACATTGCAAATGTAGATGAAAACTGTCCATATAAAGATTTATGCCAGAAAATATATCCCATTTTTAAATATATATTTACTCTTCTTGGGTACTGGTAATGTTCTCCTGGATGCTGTCTATGTGGGCATATTATGCAAGACCATTTATGTGGTGATGCAAGAATCTAGGATTATTAGTAACTTACAATATACCAGTAATGTAGAAAATTGATGTTTCATTCTATATTGCTTATCTTATGAAGTGAATGTACTTCTTCAATTGAGTCATTTTTAAAATTTTGTTTATTCTATTAGAGATCATAGTGATACAGGGAAATTTTTTTTAATCCACAAATATTTAGGGGCACTCTTATTTTTCTGGGGATTCTAAAAACCTTTGTCATCTGTCCTTTATTTTATGACAGTGAAAGTACCAGTCTCTGAATAACTGAAATCAGTACAATAGACTTTTATGCCTTAAGAGCTTCATTTTGAAATCACGGCGGGGAACCTGCTTTAGACTACTAAAATTTAGAAAGTGAGACTGAAGATAAAGTGATAGAGAACAAATTATGAAAGGTTATTGTTAAATGTCTACAAATTTTTTTACAGTAACTAACCAAAAGGAGGCCAGAAAGCAAAGTTATTTACCAGTGCCAGATTTGGTCACTTACTTTCCTTCTTGAAAAATATCATCAGCTACCCCTACCCTGCTGCTCTCAAATGCCAATGAGCTAAACTTGTCCTACATTCCATGCTATCATGGAAAGTAATAAAAATACTAAAAATTACTAGGAGATTCTAGCCTATTCACTGGCTTTACGAGTTTATATAAAAATAAATCTAGATGTTATTTTCTTCATCTCTAATGTGATTGTAAAATAAGGCAATTTCTGAGCTTCTGTTTACAATTATAGCTGCTTAAGTAAGAAGGCTTTGCAGTGGTGGAAGATGTTGAACACGATTCCTAGCTGCATAAGTGTTCTTTAGATTCAAGTTGCCAACTGCATATATCATTGAGTAGATTAATGCCAATTACAGACCTTGCTTGTTTGTTATACCTTCATATGTTCAGTTTTTCCTAACATATGTTTGTGATGTTGTAGCTACCTTGTAGATAGTGACTGCATCTTTGTTTTTGCTTGCCTTTTAGCAAGAAAACAAAGGCTTGAGAGAGATCCTTCAAATAACTCGAGAATCATTTTTGAACCTAAGGAAAGATGATGCGTCGGAAAGTACTTCTTTGTCAGCATTAGTGACCAACAGTGATTTGAGTCTGAGGAAGAGCTGAAGAGTTTCTGAGTCTGTGAGCTTCTTACATGGCTCCAAATGGTCAAATAAGTGAATGAATGAATGGACAGAAAATTCAATCCTTTATTTTTTTCTCTGTAAATATGTACAGTGCACGGGCTATGAGATAGCAACAAAAAATGCATAGTTAATGGTCATAGACTTTATTCCAAAACATAATTGGAAAATAGAAACTGAGCCATTGCCAAATGGTAAAGAAATGAAAAGTTTTCACAGTGACTACTGAATATACCAAGAGCTTTTGGCAGTACTGCTGGCTTTCTGGGTGATTAATTAGGTAAACTTGAATATTCCCAGTAAATGTTTGAGAATGCATAAAATTATACCAATTTAAAAATATAAATTTTTGCCACTGTTTTGTGAACGGAGGATTTGTACGCTAAATTTCATCCTTATTTGGCGTCAAAGTTGATGCAAAGTTTATGTACCATGAGACTTCTAGTGATTGCCTACTTTCACATTTATTTAAATTTTTGTGAAAGAAAATACAGTTTTAAAGGCTATAGGAATGTGTTATATGTACCTTAAACAGATAATTTAATTTTAGCAATTTATCATAACTGATACTTAGCTAACAATTGTCCATAACTTGTTTAAGTGTAAGAAATACCATTTCAGGAATGAAAAAGAAGGAATACTACTTTCTAAGAAAGAAGATCTTATAATAGACATATTTAGTAGGTTAAACTACTCCTTTGAAAGAATAAGTTTTGGTTCAAAGTCAATAATGAAGACGAGATTTGTTTTTCTCTTCTCTGGCTGATTTTTAAGGATATTATGTAGTTCATTTAGTTAACAGAATTGAAATGTTTGATATGGCAAGATAGGTATGGTAATTTCAAAGTGAATTGGGAATTCCTCTGGCTCATAGAACCCTTTTTTTTTTCCTTTAAGTATTCTTGAGATACAAAAAAAAAAAGTAAATACAATTTCAAAAAAAAAGTTCCGGATCTGTTTTTAAGCTCCATCTGGTCCTCATAACCTGCAAGATTTTTCTTAAAACCTTTCAGCTGAAAGTGGGGGTAAAGGTGGAGTAATCTGTGGATTTGTTTCTGTTGTCTTTTAAAATGTCAAATATATAATATGTAATTTTTTTAAAAACCACCAGATACAGAAATGTGCTTTAACATCAGTTGAAACCTAAATTTTCTTATGTTGTGGTGATTGTATTAAAAAGGGATAAAAGAAGAGTGTCAAACATGGTTAAATATATTGTACTCATTTATGTTGAATACGTATTAAAATTAAGACAAATGGAAAATTATACTTTGAGTATATAATTTGTTAAATATTACTTTATATGGTAATTTTATGTATAATTTCATATATTGGTAAAATTCAAAACTACACTTGAGAATTTTTTTATCTTAAGTTTGGGGTGAATGGGGTGGATGAGACTGATTGAATAGAAAAGGGCTAATGGCCCAAACATTATATAGATTTCTTTTTTTCAGTCAGAGGCCTTATTTGATATTTTATAAATAAATGACAGTTTTTATTTTTAAACTTTTTATTGTTTTTGGGAAAGTATTCCTTAATTTAATGACACATTCATTCAGATACTTCTTATCCCTGCTAATAAAGGAAATCTATTTCAAGCTACACCATTGAGATTAAGTCTGAGGCAGTTCATTGAGGCAGCTCTACTATAAAAGCTTACTTGATAAATAATTATTTTTGTAAACAAGTTGGGTTAACTTATTCTTCGTCTTTTTGCTTGGATATGAATTTAAGGTCTTCATGTTTAAAGACATTTACTTTGTTATTTAGTGACACATTTCCATCCTATTTTTTTTTTTTTTTTGGTTGTTGTTAAACAGAACCTTAAGTTTATGTTTGAGGTATGTACTGCATAGGAACCTATTTTATTATTAAAGATGAATGATTAAAATTGGTATGGTCTCCAATTTAATTTGAAAAGTGCTTACCCTTATTCTTATATATGGTTTAATTTTAAGGTTTTTTGTCTCTTCTTAGTGCAAAACTACTTAGCAGTGACCTCTATCTGTATTCCTTAGGAATTAGCAGCTTCTTAGTGTGGATCCTGCAGAACTTCTTACCATTTGTAGTAGGTTGAATCATGTCCCCTAGAAGGTAAGTCTAAGTCCTAACTTGATACACCTGGGAAGGTGACCATATTTGGAAATAGTCTTTACAGATGTGATTAGGGGATCTCAGGATATAATTACCCTGGATTTTGGGTGGGCTCCAAACCCAGTGACTAGTGTCGTTACAATAAGAGAGGAGGAGATATGAAACACAGATATAGCAGCATGAGGACAGAGGCAATGAGTTACGCAAGGACTGCTAGCCACCACCAGAAGCTGCAAGAGAGGCATGGAATGGGTTCTTCACGGGCTCCAGAAAGGACCAAGCCTGCTTGATTTCAGACTTCTGGCCTCCAGAACTGTGAGGAAATAAATTTCTGTTGTTTTCATTCACCCAGCCTGTGGTAATTTGTTAGAGTAACCCTAGGAAACTAAGACATCTATTGTTTTTCATCTATCAACTATATTTTTATTTTATATAAGAAAGTTCTTAAAAACCAATTTATAACCTCACAATTTCTGCTCTAATTTTATATTCTTTAATATCAAGGTGACTTCTAAAATTTTATAGAAATAAATTGCTTCCCTGTAATCCCAGCACTTTGGGAGGCCGAAACAGGTGGATCAGTTGAGGTCAGGAGTTCAAGACCAGCCTAGCCAACATGGTAAACCCTGTCTCTACTAAAAATACAAAAAGTTAGCCAGGGATGGTGGTGGGTGCCTGTAATCTCAGCTACTTGGGAGGCCGAGGCAGGAGAATCGCTTGAACCTGGGAAGCAGAGGTTGCAGTGAGCCGAGATCTCACCATTGCACTCCAGCCTGGGCAATAATAGTGAAACTCCATCTCAAAAAAAAAAAAAAAATTGCTTCAATGAAAAATGGACAATCGTAGATCCATAATTTTGGTGGTCACTACCTTTTTTCATTGTCAGAGTGAAATAGGAGAACATTTTTTAGTAAAATACTGATGAAGATGATAATTTCTAATTGGAATTTGAGGAGACACTTTTTCCTTTAACCTCTCTGGCTGCTCCTCAGTCTCCTTTGTTTCTTCTCGCTGACCTCTTAACATTAGAGAGCCACTGGGCTTAGTCCTTATACCTATTCTGTGCAGTGTCTCTACTCACTGGTGATCTCACCCAGTCTCATGACTAAATACCACCTCTATGCTTGATGGCTCCTAAATTCACAGTTCCAGCATAGACCTCTCACCCCGGATTCATGCAGCTGTGACTGTCAAAGAGAAATTTTATGCTTAAGATGTCCAAAGCCAAACTCCAAACCTCCCAGAACGCCTCCATACTCTTTCCCATCCTGCTTGATGACAACTCCATCCTTGCAGTTGCTAAGGCCAAAAACCTTGGTGGCAACTTTGACTCCACTTTCTCATATCGTGCATCCTATTCATCAGCAAATCCTGTTGTTGGCTCTTCCTTCCAAATAAATCAGAATCCTACCATTTCTCTCCTCCACTGCTACCCCTGGTCAAAGCTACATTATGGTAGTGTTAAAGTATACAAATTGGATTCAACCTAAATATCCTACAGTAGGGGAATAGTTAAATGTCAATATTCACTCAATACAGTTGATTACAGTCTATGGCTTGAAGATGCTAGCAACAAGAAGAAAAAAGTACCTAAATATGCATTAAAAAGCTTAACATAAATTACCCATATAATTACAAATATGTAAAAATCAGATGCATACGGGGAAATGTCCTGAAGCAAACAGCATCAGTATTCTTCCAGCTAATTGTACTGTTTGCATTAGCCAGTCAGTTTCTGATGCCTGTAAATCAAGCATTTTTGTAGCTACCATTATGGAGTTGTAATTTATTCATCAGTTCCCCCAACTGATGGATAGTTTGCAAAGTTTAATACAAAATAATGCAGTAAACATCCATATACATAACTTTATTTATTGTAATTTCTAGCGTGCAAATTCCCAGAAGTTTGTTAGGTCATGTTTTGTTATTTTTTAAATGAAAAAATAAATGTACACTGTTAAAAATCTTAGCATACTAAAAAATTTACAATTCAGAGTAAACCTCTTCCTACAACCTCTGTCTTTCCAGAGGTCATTATAAGTTTCTTGTGAATCAGAAAACCTGTTAACCAAAAAAAGTGACTGAGGCAAGTGTCTTAAATCAGTAGAGGTTTATTGGGCCAAAGTTTAAAGACATGCCAGAGAAAAAACGCAAGCCACATGAGCATCTGTGACCTGAGCTTTCTAAAGAGGGTTTTGGAAACTCATTATTTAGGGGAGAGAGTGAGGAGGGAAAAGGGAGAGGGGTTAGGCAGTGAGGCAAATGATTACATTCTTGTGAGGCTCTGATTAACGCTCAGTAAATCTATGTTTCATATAAGATAAACTGAAAAAAGGGAGTAAAGACTCAGTTATTCATCTGTTTCAGGGTAGGCAGAAGAGTGGTTGATTTTGTCTCATCCTTATTCTGTACCTGGGAAGATAAGCTTGTTATCAGCATTGTCAGTGTGAGATTTAACAAAACTTGGTTTTAAGAGTTAAACTTAGGTTGCAGACCCAAGGTTACAATTGGCATGTGTTGGTTTTACAGCTCTCTACAATGAGAAGGGGAGGCCTTGAGGCTTCTGTTAATAATACTCCCCTTCCTACACATGACATACTTGGTTTTGGCTACTCCTACTCAACCTCCAAGTTTCAGCTGGAATGTCACTTCCTCAAGGACTCCTTCCTTGGCATCCCACTTTCTAGCCCTATCCCATTATACATTTTCATTGCATATTACACATCTTGTGTAACTATTTTAGTATCTGTCTCACACTCCAGTCCCAGACAGCAAAGACCATGCCTGTGTTTTCCATCTTCCTAGTGCTCAAGGCAATGCCTGGCCAGGAACTCAACAAATATTTAATGAGTGAATGTGAGATCTAAGTCAAAGCCTCACTATCATATATATATAATTTTTATTTTTTTGAGACAGTGTCTTGCTTTGTCGCCTAGGCTGGAGTGCAATAGTGCGATCTCAGTTCACTGCAGCCTCCGCCCCCCGGGTTCAAGTGATTCTTCCTCCTCAGCCTCCCAAGTAGCTGACAGGTATGTGCCATCATGCCCGGCTCGTTATTTTTATTTTTTAGTAGAGACGGGGTTTCACCATGTTGGCCAGGCTGGTCTTGAACTCCTGACTTCAAGTGATCTGCCCACCTTGGCCTCTCAAAGTGCTGGGATTACAGGCGTGAGCCACCACGCCACTCCTGTATAACAATTTTTTAAAAAATCTTAAGCTTGATCCAGACCTGCCAACCTCTCCAGTGTAATGATTACATGGTAGTCCCTGGGTAAGTCCAGAGTTCCCACTAACTTAAGCCCCTCTTTGTGTCAATTTCATAAAGAGTGGTCCTTGCAAATACAATGGCCAAATTGCCAAGAGGCATTTCAATCAACAGTCAGGGTAATGTGTATTCTTTTGACATAACAGAATACCACTGACTGAATGGCTTAAACAACAGAAATAATTTCTCACAGTTCTGGAGGCTGAAGTCCATGATCAAGGTGCAGCAGGGATGGTTTCCTCTGCTTGCAGATGCTCCCCTCTTACTGCTCTTCACACGGTCTTTCCCCTGTGAGCACATGCACCTGGTGTTTCTGTGTCCTAATCTCCCCTTCTTACAAAGACACTGGTCAGACTGGATTAGGACCCACCCTAATAGTCTCAATTTAATTTGAAACCTCTTTAAAGGCCCCGTCTCCAAATAAGGTCACATTCTGAGGTACCGGGTGTTAGGGCTTCAACATATAAATTTGTTTGGGGGGCACAGTTTAGTCTATCAGCAAACCATAGGTAGCTGCCCTCCCAACAAGGGCTGGGATGCAATGAGGGGCTGTGCCCTAGGGCAAGGCCCTGTTCTCAGGAAATTAGAACCAAGAACTCTGGGTTTGAATGAATGTTACTAACAGGTATTAAGTACATCACCTAGGAGTGAACTTCGGACCAAGTTTCTATTGTGGAGATATGGATATTGGAAATGTTAAATATTATGTACCAATCATTTGAAATAAATGGTCCATTACTTCAGATAATTAACTTGGAAAAACATGCTTTCACTGTGTAAAATTAATAATTTTCAAAAAGAACGATCGTAGCAATACTTATATTAGAAACATCCTATCAATTCGTTAGCAGAAGAAAATAGAAAATACCTGGTTTTACATCTGTATCATGATGAGTGTAAAGCACATTTGGATAGGGAGTCAGGCATCCCAGTTTTGGTCTGAGCACTGTTAGTTGATAACTCTCTGACTTCATATCATTAACTTAAGAATTTCCTCAGGTATTAAAGAGGTCAGTGAACATGACCTCTGAAGTCCTTTGAAGGTTTAATATTCTAGCAATTTCTTTGTTGGAATCAGTTTTCTATTTCACCTGCTACAGAAAACTCAACTGGCCTGTGGTACAATATACCTAGTATGGTTTGGCAACCTGGTAGCTAACCTATAACAGATTAATCAGAACTTTCTGAAAACATTTTAAAGAACAGTTCAACAGAGTTTCCTGTTAACTACTACTTTTCTTTAGTCTGACACACCTGAAGTGCTAATAACACCAAATTAGTCTTTTAACACATTGCCCCAGATTTCATTTCCTGTTATTATCTTTGTGATTTTTTAAAAATGAAGAACTATATTGTTTGCCCATATTAAATAACTTTTATAGCTATGAAACTCGTCATGTCTTGTTGCTGTGGTACAAATATAATCTGAAAAATTTTATGAAAATATTTAATGAGGCTTTTTAGCATTTTTTTCAAAATAGGGATTTATTATAAAAACTATACAAACTTTTTATCACTCACAAATGATGAAAAATTTTAAACAATTAGTATCCTCCCTCCAAAATAGTGTGTTCTGTCTTTACAGTCTTCACTGGCAGTGCATTCAGATAGTATAGAAAATAACAAACATTCCATATAACTTTGTCCCTACAGTAAATAATTTTTTAAAACTTTTCATCAAGTTTCAGTGTTACTGAAGTTAATTATAGACAGTAAGGATTACAGAATAAGCAGTAAATGGTCACCTGCACTGTATTTTTCAAAGCAAAAATTGTTTTATATTTTCTATGTTGTTTTATCCTGCCCCAAACACTTAAAGCAAAAGTTAAATATTTTTCCAGTTACCTGAAACTTCAAAAATCTATTGTACTTTGAAAAAACTTTAAAAAGCAGCATCATTTAAATAGTGGTTAACTCATAAACGTGTATGCAACAACATTCCACAACCCTAATACCACTCAGGCCTGCAGAGTCACCAGCTCACAATAATTCAGTGCTCTGAAAGCTGGGGGGAAAGCCCCTGAGTAGTAAGTATGCAACCCAGGGTGTCGGGTGCTTTCTTGTGGTGAAACAAGGGTGTCAAAACTGAGGGGACTCTCCAAGGTCCTAATGAAAAGCAGCTCCTCTAAACACCTGAATCCTTTTTGACTCCATTCTCATCACTTTAAGGATGAAGCCTTTCTGTACAAAGGCTTTGTACAGAAATTATTAAAAACTATATTTTACACTAATGCTAACAGCTAATTGAGCAGAAAGAACTATGAAGTACAAATTTTTCTAAGGTTTTCTTATTAATGGCAATACAGACTTTTTTTTTTTTTGAGACGGAGTCTCGCTCTGTTGCCCAGGGTGGAGTGCAGTGGCGTGATCTTGGCTCACTGCAACCTCTGCCTCCTGGGTTCAAGCGATTCTCCTGCCTCAGCCTCCCGAGTAGCTGGGATTACAGGCACCTGCCACAATACCCAGCTAATTTTTGTATTTTTAGTAGAGACAGGGTGTAGTAGTATATATTCTACTATACTATAGTAGAGACCACTATGTTGGCCAGGCTGGTCTCGAACTCCTGACCCCAGGTGATCCACCCGCCTCGACCTCCCAAAATGCTGGGATTACAGGTTTGAGCCACCGCACCTGGTCGGCAATATAGATTAAGGTGGGGGTTATTTCCTAAAAACAAAAGTAATCCATATGTCATCTAATGCAGTTAAATTAAAGATCACCTGTTGACACTATTTGAAAAGGCCTTGAAAAAAAAAAGGGGGCCATTATTTGGAATATAAATCACCCTTATAAAATTCTATTATCTATATAAATTGGCCTATTTTCAAATAATAATTTAGCTATTTCAATTACCATTTTAAGCAATAAAAGGCAAAAACAAAGGGAACCTACTGAATTGTACACTTAAACATGAATAAGAAGGTAAATTTCATGTGTATTTTATCACAACTTAAAAATTTTAAAAAATACTGAAAAAAAAACAAAGGGTAACTTTTGGATAATGTATGATACTAAGAAGGGCATGCAACTAAGTAATCAGACTGCTTTTAGTAAGAAAATAAGTTTTTTTTTTTTTTAATTTCTCGAGACAGGGTCTCTGTCACCCAAGCTGGAGTGCAGTGACACAATCAAGGCTCACTGTAGCCTCAATCTTCAGGGCTCCAGGGATCCTCCCATCTCAGTCTCCTTGGGAGCTGGGAGTAGGCATGTGCCACCATGCCTGGCTAATTTTTTAATTTTTTTGTAGAGATGGGGTCTTGTCATGTTGCCCATGTCGGTCTCAAACTCCTGGGCTCAAGCGATACTCCCACCTTGGCTTCCCAGTATTGGGATTACAGGTGTGAGCCACCATGTCTGGCTTGCTTCTCTTTTTGTATTCTAAAATTCAAAGGCCTAAGTATCAAATCCCTAAATCTCCAAATACTGTCACAGATAAAGACTCAATAATAAACTCCCTCCGAAAGTTTAGACAGGCTCAGGTGAGAGACTTGTTTCAAGGGGTTATAAAAAGAAACACCAGTGCTCTGCAGAAGAATCAGTTTTTAATTTTTTTAATGTATCTATTTAATGGAATAAGTTGATCATAGATTTGTAAACCAAAAGGTAATTTCTCAAGTATTTGGAAATAAGAAAAAGCCTCCCTACCACCAACCTTTTGGTCATCTTTCTCATTCTCTTACAATCATCCTAATCCCCTAGTACACCCTTACCATATATCAATAAGGGCACCATAATATTATGCAAAGAACAGATATATATGCCTGATCTCTTATTAGACTTGCACCAGAGACTGTTGAACCACTCCAGGCATGAACTCCAAAGCTGAGGCACACTGACCAAGCCCCTGGGCATCTACAGAAGCAAAGGCGTTCTCTCTCCAGCTGGCTGCTCCTTCTGGAAGAGCCCTTTAATCTGGGTTAATCGGCCATAGAGCCTCTCTCTCAATGGAGGAATGTGGTAGCTAGGGTCCAGAATGTTTGTCACTCGGCGCTCTCTCTCTTGCTTCCATAACTTGTATGGGTGGGGAGGGAAGAACGGTCGTCCTCTCTCTCTTCGAATCTGTAACGTAATTCCACTTACAGCCAGCATGCCCCATACTGCCAGGATAATGAAGTCTAAAAAACAGTAGAAAAAGTACAGTTTGAACTCTAGTATTTTAAAATCTAACATAATAATACAACCCTTCATGGACTAAATCTGTATATTCCTTTCTAATAGACTTTCTGGTGAGTTAGTCCAAACACATATGTAGTTCCTCAGTTACAAACCAAGGAATCAGTAGGGAAGCCACAGTCTTATTTTTGAAACTAGGAATTTTCTATTACAGGCATTTGAAAGTCCAGACAGGTTGTAAAAAAATCAGTTGTTTGGATCCTTGGCCTTCCAACATTATGTAACAAGTACCCACAGTTGTTTGTGTGTTTTTTCAGAGGGGGTTCGGGGAGGAAGGCAGTGATCTAGTTACACTTCACATATGTACATCATGGAACATCAGATTCCACCACGCTCATTTCTTTCCCATTCCACTCTACATGGGGCCCTACTGCACTCACAGTGTAGGTATAGGAATGCATGAAAAGATTCAACCAATCGTACTCAGCTTCTAGTAAAGCTTCTAGCTTGGCAAAACACTGTCTGGTACTTAAAACTTGCAAGAGTTTTAAGGTTTTCAAGGATTTCAAGGTCTCTACCATCAACCTCTTATCCAAAGGGAAAGCTCTGGATAGTAAAGGGAAAGATTTGCCCTAAAATAAAATCACAACAATCACAATTGTGCTTATGCAATATATCTTCAATTCTAGGACATGCTTTTTCACTCTCCACATGTCAACATTTCTGAAGTCAACATATCTTACAATCTGAACAATTCATGTGGTAGTCATTTTTTTCTTCAAAAAATTTATAGAAAATCTGTAATGGATAGAATCTTACAAGTGAGGGAAACTATATGCTTACTAATTAAAAACTCTTTCAACTAGCAAACTGCATGCTTCATTAAAGGAGGGAAACAAGGGAATAACTTAACATTAAATCAGGTTGTCATTCTCATCCCTTATTCCATCCCCACCCATAAGTCTCAAACATCTTTACTGTCAGTATTTTTCTCCCCTCTGAGAATGACCAGGTAAACCTAAATAATCTTGGAAATTTCTTAATGAAATTCATTTAGTAGATTTTTATCTTCATCTTAAAATTTTAAATGCTTTACTCCCATGATCCTGAGTTATCATAACAGAGGGTTCTCACAGCATTGTATGCTGTGTTCCCTCCTTTTGTCCCAGTTGACTTTCTTTAAATTTAGTTTCCAAGTGCTCTGGTTAGCATAGGTGGGTCAAGACTCCTACTGTGCTGTCACACTGGTTTTTGGATTTAAGAGTCTTACCATTAGTTTGAAAAGGCACATTTGTGAAAGCTCTGTGGAAATCCTTGTTGAGCGCTCTCTTGAGTACGTTCAAAGTGATGTAGGAAAGGCTTGTGGACCAGTAACTGTCAATGGCTAAAACCACCGAATAGGAGCCAATGACTCCACAAGTCAGTATGTTCAGCTGTGGAAGAGTGGAAGAGTTTAGGCATCATCCATGTTAGAACAAAAATAGTTTATAACTCTCCACTGGCTTCAATCACAGGCAATCACATCTGCTCCCTCAGGCATGAAAAAGGACCAGACCCACTCAGAGCTGAACAGAAGTTCCCTGGAAAGATAAACTGAAAACAACCTTCAACATCCATATGAGTTCTTAAAACACAGTTCAGCTTATCCAAATACTATGGAAAATATCTTCCATATGAAGGAACTTCAACAATAAAATCTAATTAGAGGAAGAATCACTCTTCTGAAGCCAGTTGAAACTAATGACCCATCAGGTTGGTGTACTAGAGTAAGCACTACCTTCTCTGCTCCCACTGTTAAAAGCATATTGACTGTGATGCTCCATTTGGTGGAAAAAAAAGAAAAAAACAAACACCATGTGGTAATCATAAATAGAACTTCGTTTTCACAGTAACAAGGCTATTTAGAATCAGTCATCTGATACAGGTAACACAGCCCTCCCCAGTGAATAAAACATGCAAAATGATGAAATAAGTGATCAGCTGAACACACAGGATAACATAATCAATAAATCTAACTTTTGATGAAACACTTACTATTCTTAGGCAGCCCATGAAAACTACTGGAATGAGGATAGCTATGCAAGAGAAAGTGACCCAGAATACACCATCATCATGAAAAATCTTTAGGTTTCCTGAAAAAGCAAAAAGAAACTAAGAGTAAACAACAGCTTTACCAAGTTAGAGTTGGTTTCTTGGAACATCTGAACACAGATATACATCAAAGCCTTAAAGTAACAACCAGGGAATATGTTGGCAACTAGAAATGAATTCTAATTTTCTTCATTTAACTGTCAATACAATCTTCTTTGAAGGATGTGTTCTAGAAGGTGGGTGGGAGGAACCAAGCAGGTCAACGCTCTGCACTTATTAACAAAATCATTTAGAAGACACTGGAATAGTCCAAGCTCTTCCATTCACTAGCTCTGTGAACTTGAGCCTCAGTTTCCTAACCCTCAAAATGACATTGAATTATATCTCCAAGCTCTAAATCACCTGTTAGCTCTACATTGCTGACTTCATGATTTCATACTGCAAAATAAAAAATACAAGTAAAAGGCATTCAAAGTTAAGCCATGAACCCAATGTAAACAGTGAGTCCACTTAACAGATTTTTACCGTCAAAGCATGTCCTGTCATGCCACTGCACACTGTGACATGTGATTTCCTCATGTATCAGGAAAGAGGAACCAACCAACTATCTGCTCTTCCCAAACCCTTCTCCTGCTGCTGGACTCTAAAATGCTGCACAACTTAGGCCGACCCAGAACAAATATATGAGAACTCCTCTTTATAAATTAAGTTTAAAAAGCAAGAATAGGCTGACTGCTGTTTAATACTGACACTGGCACCACCATTCAGTCCATCTGTAAATGGCCCCATACCTCAAGACCTACATATCCAGGTCAGAGTGGAAGACTGGGAGTCCCTAGGCTACAGGACTGGACCTTGAGACTCCATATTCTCTGAAGCCAACAGCAATATGCCATTGAGGTGAACTTATAGATTCTATTCTCTAGTTTAACTATATTAACCTTCACAAAATACATATGTGGCTTTCTTGTAAAAGGCTTTCAAGAAATCTAAGTATTGAAAATAGTTACGATGCATGCATGTGAAGAACGGACCCTTTCAGAGAATAAGCTCATTGCTTCCCACATAAGGTGAAAACTAGCAATCTAATCAGATTGTAGTGGTCAGCCAAATATTTTTTAAATGCTAATGCTTAAAAATATGGGTAGGCCTCTTGGCCGGGCATGGTGGCTCACGCCTGTAATCCCAACACTTTGGGAGGCCGAGGTGAACAGATCACTTGAGGTCAGGAGTTTGAGACCAGCCTGGCCAATATGGAGAAACCCCATCTCTACTAAAAATATAAAAATGAGCTGAGCATGGTAGTGTGTGCCTATAATCCCAGCTACTCAGGAGGCTGAGGCAGGAAAATCACTTGAACTCGGGAGGTGGAGGTTGCAGTGAACTGAGACTGCGCGACTGCACTCTAGCCTGGGAGACAGAGTGAGACTCCGTCTCAGGAAAAAAATAATGTGTGTGTGTGTGTGTGTGTGTGTATGTGTGTGTGTGTATACATATATAGGTAGGCCAGGTGCAGTGGCTCAAGCCTGTAATCCCAACACTTTGGGAGGCCGAGGTGGGAGGACTGCCTGAGCCCAGTTTAAGACCACCCTAGGCAACAGTGAGACTCTGTCTCTACTAAAAATAAAAGCTTACCAGGCATGGCAGCACACACCTGTAGTCCCAGCTACTTGGGAGGCTGATGTAAGAGGATGGCTTGAGCCTTAGAGTTTGAGGTTGCAGTGAGCTATGATAGTGTCACTGCAGTCCAGCATGGGTGACAGAAAGAGATCCTGTCTCTAAAAAATAAAAATATGGGTTTGCACCCACTAGCATTGAGGAGATGATCACTCTAACGGTCCTTGAGCTATGAGATAGTTCATAAACAAACATATATAAAGGGTATATGCTAAAATTATTTTTACCAATAGGAATAGTTATGTCAAAAAGTTTAGAGACAACTGCTCTAGACTACTTTATAAAGTTGAAAATTAAGAGACCTCTTTATTTCTGTTTTCTCATTCCTCACATCTATCCTATGAGATAGTTTCACAGATGATGGAACAAAGTTTCAATACATCGTCCAAGGTTATAAGCTAGAAAGGGAACTAGTGACAGAGCCAGAATGCATATAGAAGGTTTTTTCCTGACTTTATAATTTATGCTCATTCTCCTCATGAAAAGTACATTAAATTACTAGAAATTATAACCTATCATCCCTCCATCCTCTAAGCATTAACAAAAGAGGGGAAGCCCATTAAGTAGTAGTTGGTTTTTGTGGTCTTTTTGTTTTGTTTTTGAGACAGGGTCTTGTTCAGTCGCCCAGGCTGGAGTGCAATGGCACCATCATAGCTCACTGCAGCCTCAACCTCCCGGGTTCAAGCAATCCTCTAGCCTCAGCCTCCCAGAGTAGCTGAGACCACAGGTGTGCACTACAACACCTGGCTAATTTTTTTTTTTTTTTTTTCAGTAGAGATGGGGAATCACTATGTTGCCCAGGCTGGTCTCAAACTTGAGCTCAAGCAATCCTCCCACTTGGTCTCCCAAAGTGCTGGGATTATAGGCATGAGCCACCATGCTCAGCCATTAGGAAGTATTTTATTTAGCACATGTAGGGTAGAGCCTTGAATCTGTATTTCAAAAACATCCCCATGTGAATCTGTCATTTCGCCAAGCCTACACAACACTGCTTTTCATCAGACTATCCAGTAGTCTTAGAAAAAAAAAGTCTTCAGAGAGACAAGGGACACATGACTTGTACTCTATTATATCCTGCATTCTCTATAGAGTTGACAGCCTCATGAAATGGCTATTTTTATGTCTAACAGTCCCATCAACTTTATTCTAGTATTTTAAGAACATTGTCACAGAAAGGAAACAACCAAATAGAATACTTTTGAGTACAGATGCTGTTTTTGTTTGTTTTTGACAATAATCAGGAAATGTAAGTTATTAAACAATGGCAAAGAAAGTTAACTTATAAGTTAACCAGATTTTAAAAACTGATAGCAATTGAATTACTTTTTAAAAACACCAAAAAAACCCCAGAACCAGCCCTGTGCTACTGCCCCAGGGTGATTAAGTACCTGAGGGACACCTGGGGTTTGGCAGCGGATGGGAGTGGAGGTTGAGGGTACAACAGAAGACCAGAAACAAAGTACCAGGTTCCCCGACTCAGCTGCCATCAGAGCCTTTACCTCCTTATTTCCTTTACCTCCATTATTTCTAATAAACACATACCACTTATCACAACAAATAGATACAAAGCTACCTCTAAAGACATTCTATATTTCATCTACTGTGCCTTTGAGGAAGGAGGGACTTTTACTAGTCCTGGTGCTGTCTGAAAGTGTCACACCATCAATGCAGATTTCCAGAACTCCACAGGAGAAGCACTGACATGCAACACCACTCCAGGATGCAAATCCAATTAGGCAGTATTCAAACAGTCACTCGAACACACAAAACATCTGTTACATATCGCCTACCCAGTGGAGTAAAGAAAGTCACTGACGAGATGAGGAACCCCAGCACTAGTCCAACACAGAGCATGCAGATCGAGAGGATTCCAAATCGCCACCACACAGCTACCAAGAACATTCCACCGACGCTTCCAGTGACAGCTGTCAGAATCAGATTCACTGTACAAAGAGAGAGGATGAACTGCTGGATAACCGGCAGTACTTCCAACCGCGTGCCTTAGACATACAATACCGTTACCAGTGCCAGCTTCAGCTTTCTGTAGGTCAGGCACTGAGGGCTCTTCAGTGGTGCCATGAAGCCAGCATAGAGCAACCCTCTCTAGGGAGGGGTCTGGGCTGAGACAAGGAAATTAGCTAGGGAGCTAAACCTCACAGGGCCAGTGACAGGCTTGGCTTGTCAATAAATTGGGATTGAGAAGGAAAAGTTGACAAGCATTCTGTTAAACATAATGGGGTAGGGAGGTATCTGTTTTCAGGTAAAGAAAACCTCAACATTTTGCTTGTTGTACATCTCATATCTTCAACATATCACATAGCCAGAACACAGGTCTATAATCAATATGGCCCCTCCTTTCCCTAAGTACCAAGGAATTCACCATACAGATTAAAAACCCAGAAGGTCTGAATGAGTAGTTCAGAAAAGGTGTTCAGAGACTAGATGGACCATTATTTTACATAAGTAATAGGCTGTCACACACAATATAGGCCAAACTGTAGAAGGAAAGGTGAAGTAAAACACAGCACCTGCCTTCTTGAATACCCAGTTAAACTATATAATTTTCACTTACCATCATACTTGATAGGTGTCAGTCTTGTAATCAGTATATAAAAGAAGAATCCCATGATGATAAAGCCTATGAAGAATAATTCTAAGTGGCAAACCACCAGGAAAGGAAAAAAGCAAAACAACAAAAGCTATGGTTAAGCACCCTTTTTACAGTGCAATTTAAATATTTAATCTACAAATACATGCTTAAGCTCCTGGAATTTACATGTTACAGCATTCAGAAGAAAAAAAAAATCTAAAAGGCAGAAGAAATTCAGCAGCCATGGGAGTAATTATTATTAAACAGATACAATATTAAAGTACCAACTACAGGATACACTTTCTTGTATATAGGTCAGTTTCCATTGTTAAATTGTTATTTGTTCATTTCATAGCTCATTTTAATATATTTATGTTTTCTGCTTAAAATAAGAATAGCACTTTGTCACGTGTATGTGATACGAAATTACACATTAAATTTTAATAGTTTTGTAAGCAGAAATAAAATGTAAAAGGTAAAAGAAACCCAAACTGTCCCAAAGCAAAATATAACTTTTATATCTTCTTTTAATTCATCCTATCCTGTTTAGAATGATCAATCATTACCTTCATCCATTAAAACACCTGGTAATGCAAGTATACAGATAACTTTGTTCCCACAAATAAGCCTAATCCTGATCATGGAGGCCATAGCTCTACCTATTTTCTTAAATTCTTCACAGCTGTTCTTGGTAATACTTGTACTGTATCTCAATTTCAATAAATATAAAATGATACATATCAACACACCAAAAAAACCCAGAGTGAGGCATGGTGGCTTGTGCCTGTAGTCTCAGCTACTTGGGAGGCTGAGGTGGGAGGATCACTTGAGGCTAGGAATGTGAGGCTGTAGTGCACTATAATTGTACCTGTGAACAGCCACTACACTGCACTCCAGCCTAGGAGACACAGTGAGACTCCATCTCTTTAAAAAGAAAAAAAAAAAGCTAGTGATAACTTTGAGACCACAGCTTAGCAACTAAGTTCTTTGTTACAGAATCATTCTACATGTTGAGATATTATATATTCTTTACAATACTCTCTTCCCAATTAATAAAAAAAGTGTCATAATAGCAGGAAAGGAGTTGCTATTTCAAACAATTTAACATAAGTTTAAAGAGCTTTATTAGATCAGGATTACATTTGAGCTACCTTGATGCTCAGTTATACAACTTGTTGATTAAATAAGGATTTTTTAATAATCGAAAACATCACTTATATAAAAAGCAGCCCAAATAATTCAAACCAATTCAGTGAGCATGATTTACATCCCAGTTCTTCAGTGTGTTTCACTGATGTTGATGCTGGCATTCCCTTTGGCATCTGAATCTCTCAGGACTGAGCAGACATTTCAAACTCACTGTACACTGCAGCCCCATAGCCTGATTCATGTGAAACCAAGTCAATCGCCATCACCAATATCCACACATATTTTTACAAAGACAACCAACTTCTTTTTTTTTTTTCTTGAGACAGGATCTTACTCTGTCATCCAGGCTGGAGTGCAGTGGCACAATCTTGGCTCACTGCAACCTCTGCCTCCCGGGCTCAAGCAATCCTCCCACCTCAGCCTCCCCATGTAGCTGGGACTACAGGCACACACCATCAAGCCTGGCTAATTTTTTGTATTTTTTGGAGAAACAGGGTCTCACCGAGTTACCCAGGTTGGTCTCAAACTCCTGAGCTCAAGCAGTCTGCCTGCCTCAGCCTCCCAAAGTGCTGGGATTACAGGTGTGAGCCACCACACACAGCCCCAATTTGTCTTTAATTTTTTGGTAGAGAAGGGATCTCACTATGTTGCCTAGACTTGTTTCAAACTCCTGGCCTCACACAGTCCTCTCACCTCAGCTTCCCAAAGTGCTGGGATTACAGGCATGAGCCACTGAGCCCGGCCCTGACAACCAATGTCTAATCTCGGTTATCTTTAGTCAACTAACAGATCTAGCAGCTGATAAAATTCACTGCATAATTGTATTCCCCTGTTAATAAGAGAAGGTTATACTCCGCTGTAGGGAGAATAGAAAAAAATAAAAATGCATTGCAACTCAGTAGACTCACGACTACAAGACCCCAGCTACAAATCTATGAAGATAGTAGAGATAAGTAAGTGCTTACTCTCCTCACAGGTCATTCCCCAGCAACACTGAAAAGACTGCAAAATGGAAATAGCAACTACATTGGACATAATACCTGTTTTCCAGAATCTGTGTCCAAAGAAACAAATGAAGAAACCAAGCAGGGCAAAAAGAGTGAAGAACACTTTGGAAGACACTCTTCCTAAAAAATAATGAAAATTTAGTGGATAATACATCCAATTTGATACTTTGTATTAATATTTATAGAACGAACCTTCATCAAAAAAGCTAAGTGAACTGACATAATTTATCCCATACATGTATATTACAAATTTATCTTTAAAATACTCTTGCCACCCCTAATGAATGAACCTATGTAGACAATCAATATCAACAACTGCTGCTATAACAAAAAGAGAATCCAGACAATATATGCTTGCTGATAGCGGTATGGAACACTTCCTATGACATATTCCTGGGTAAAGTGGAGAGAAACAGAGAGAGAGTGTTCCTAAAACAAATAATCCTGTTTCTTCAACAAATAAACTGCATGGACAAAAGGTGGCAGGGAGTGGGGGGGAGGTGGTGGGGGTGGGTGGAGGGAGAATACAGGTTAAAAGAGATTTAAAAGACACATCAACTAAATACTGTGTATAGATCTCATCTGCAACCTGATTCAAACAAACTGTGGAAAACAATTGAGATGACTCCAGAAGCAAACTCTGGCTGTTAATTTGATGCTATTAAAGAAATATTTTCAATATTTTAAAATGAAAATTATGTTAATGACACGGTGGTTCTATTTTTTAAGTGCTTATCTTTAAGGTATACATACTGAAATATTTGTGAGTAACATGATGACCAGGGATTTGCTTTAAAATAATCCAGTGATAAAGGAGGGTGATGAGGTGGAGAGGCAGAGAAGCAGGTACAGCACAGCTGAAACAAGATAATGGCCATAAATCAAAATTGTTAAGGCTGGATAATTGGTGTATGGAGGCTCGCTGAAGTTTTTCACAATAAAAAATTTAAACCGAAACTCACAATTTAAAAACATGTATTACACTTATAAGTTATTTATTATAATATTTATTACACATACACAAATTACTACCAGTCTTATCAATTATACATATTGCCTTGGAGAAAAATGTTGCATTACAACCAATGATGAAGCACGGTATCATTTAGTTTACTGAAGAGAAAAATATGCTCACTAAATTCATCACCCACCATCATGAGATAAACCCAAGAAAATAATCCCTGAACTAAAACCCAAAACAAGACATCTATACAATCTCATGCTAAAATAAAACAAGGCTGCCACAAATCAAAATACATAAAATGCCTAAGAGTGCTCAGAATGGAGAAACCATGAAGACATACAGTAAAATAAGAAACACAGACAGAAGAGCAGAATTCACAGGGGATATAATACCTAAATATCAGCTTTTCTGAGAATAAGGAGCCCATAAGAAAGATTAAACAACAGCCGGGTGCAGTGGCTCACGCCTATAATCCCAGCACTTTGGGAGGCCGAGGTGGGCGGATCACTTGAGGTCAGGAGTTTGAGATGAGCCTGGCCAACATGGTGAGAACCCCGTCTACTAAAAATACAAAAATTAGCCAGGCCTGGTGGCACATGCCTGTAGTCCCAGCTACTCCAGAGGCTGAGGCAGGAGAATTGCTTGAACCCAGGAAGCAGAGGTTGCAGTGAGCCAAGGATCAGGCCATTGCACTCCAGCCTGGATGTCGCAGCCAGACTCCATCTCAAAAACAAAAAACGAAAAACAAAAAAAAAAAACCCAGAAAGATTAAACGAAAGATAAAAACACCACATTGTTTATTTCAGACCTGTGGTTGACTATCATTCTAGAATTTAATTTTTACACCAAAACCATTAAATTTGCTGGGATGATTTTCTCAAATGAAAATCCCGTGAACTTTTCAGCAAGTATAATCACCAAGACAGCAAGGTCTTCCAACCCAATAAAAACTAAGACACAGTTAGATACTCTTCCATAACATTAGAGGGGAACTAAATCCCCTATCACAATACCAGGAAGGAGGGAGAGAAACAATTATACAAGTAAAATGAGAGGGTATGGAAGGTTCCATCAAAAGCAGAATCTACGATAAAACAAGACATAAAACAGGCATTCACTCTGGGGGAATGAAAGGAGTGAATAGACTAGGACAGGAGCAAGTTGAAGGTTAAAGTGTCTTTAACTATGACAGTATTGCTAAGGGTTATGAACCACAGGGCAAGGTTTTAGTTAGGAGGCAATATGGATATAGTCTCCCTACTCCAAGCTCAGGAAAAGCACTCTAATACTCATCAATCTTGAAAATGAGAGTAACAATAGAACTAACATCACTAGGAAGGTTCAACTTTGGGCGGGAAGAACAACTGGATCAGAGCTCTCTGTCTCCTAAGCCTAACAGAGAGAGACAGGCCTGGGGGCCTTTCTATTTAGAAGGGGCTTTTGCATGAAGGGTTCAAGGGAAAGAAATGGAGGAACCCAGACATACTTCAGTCCATCGGTTAAAAATATATGGCCAGGCGCAGTGGCTCACGCCTGTAATCCCAGCACTTTGGGAGGCTGAGGCGGGTGGATCACTTGAGGCCAGGAGTTCAAGACCAGCCTGGCCAATATGGTGAAACCCCATCTCAACTAAAAATACAAAAATTAGTCAGGCAAGGTGGCGCACACCTGTAGGACTTTGGGAGGCCGAGGCGGGCATATCACCTGAGGTCAGGAGTTCAAGACCAACCTGGCCAACATGGTTGGTCAGGTCTCTACTAAAAATACAAAAATTAGCAGGGTGTGGTGGTACACGCCTATAATCCCAGATACTCTGGAGGCTGAGGTACGTGAATTACTTGAACCTGAGAGGCAGTGGTTGCAGTGAGCTGAGATCATGCCACTGCACTCCAGCCTGGGTGACAAGAGTGAGACTGTCAAAAAAAAAAAAAAAAAAAAAAAAAAAAAAAATATATATATATATATATATATATATACACACACACAAACATATCTGCCAAGGTCTCTTGCATTGTATCCCTCAAGGATCTTGAGTGGAAGATTGTCTTGAGTGGAAGACTGAGTGGTGACAAAGAGCCTTTGCTTGGCCAAATTTCTTTTTCGTTTTTTTTTTTTTTTTTTTTTTTTTGAGACAGAGTCTCGCTCTGCCGCCCAGGCTAGAGTGCAGTGGCGCGATCTTGGCTCACTGCCAGCTCCGCCTCCCGGGTTCACACCATTCTCCTGCCTCTGCCTCAGCCTCCCTAGTAGCTGGGACTACAGGCGCCCACCACCATGCCCGGCTAATGTTTTGTATTGTTTTTTTTTTTAGTAGAGACGGGGTTTCACTGTGTTAGCCAGGATGGTCTCGATCTCCTGACCTCGTGATCCGCCCGCCTTGGCCTCCCAAAGTGCTGGGATTACAGGCGTGAGCCACCGCACCCGGCCTGCTTGGCCAAATTTCAGTCTCCTGAACCCCCTCCTAGGCCCATCTGCGCACATCTTTGTAAAATCCAGCTTCAGCAAGAACTCTGATAAGTCAGCTTAGCAAGAATCCCCTATGCTTGATATCAAATCACCCTCGATATCTAATCGAGTTCTTCATCCTCCACCATCCATCCCCCAGGTGATGTCTGACCACCCTGGTCTGTCTTCAGTAAGAATCCCCTTAGGTCAGTGCAGACAGAATGCCCCCTTGCCCCTCATGTTTCCTCTTAGAAATTTTCCATCCACTGACTCCCACCCTACTGCTTGGCTACAAATTCCCAGTAGCCCATGTTGTACTCAAGAGTTGGGCCCAATCTCTCTTCCCCACTGCAAAATTCCATCACAGTGGTCCCTATGCCTATTGTAATACTACCCCCCACCTTGAATAAAATCTTCCTCACTGTGCTTTAACTAGTGTCACTGATTTTTTTTTTCTTTAACAGCGGGATACGGCTCTAGCAGAGGTAGAGAACCATAATCTCTCGCTTGAACACAACTAATAGACTTTCTTCTTTAGAGCAAAGCTCCTTGAAAGAGCTACTTGAACTTTCTCCAGTTTCTGTGCTCCCAGCTCCTATTTGTTCTTGAATATGCTCCAGTCAGGCGCCTACCCCACCTCTCCACTGCAACAGCTCTCACTGGTACCAATGGCCTCCATGTTGCTAAATCCAAGGGTCATTTTCAGTCTCTTTCTTAGCTGACCTATCAGCAGCATCTGCCAAAGTTGATTACTCTCTCTTCCATGCAATACTGTCTCCCCTTGGCTTCAACATACATCACTTTCCTTTTACCAATCTGGCTGCAGCTTCTCAGCCCATTGGTAGGATCTTCAATTTCCTAAGCTCTAAACATTGGAGCACCCAGGGCTCAGTCCTCAGACCCCTCCCTTTTCTCTAAGTCACACTGAGTGTGCCTGCCTCTCCCACCTCCCCTTCCACCTCTGCCTCCCCTTTATAGATAACACCATTTAGCATGAGGCCTTAAATGCCATATATTCAGTCTGAAGATTTCCAAGATGCTCTCCAGCTAAGACTTTCCTCTGAATTCCAGGCTTATATATATAATCAACCATCAGTTAAACATCTGCACATAAATGCTCAATAGGGTTCTCAAACTGAACTTGTCCAAAACTGAACTCTTAATGTATCCTCCCAACCTTCTCCTCCAACAGTGCTTCCCACCTCAGCGAATGGTCGCTCTCTCTCTCCAGTTGCTCAGGCCAAAAACTACAAAGTCCTTTACACCTCTTTCTCTCAAACCCCTCATCCAATCCATCAGTACACTGTACTCCAAACATATCCAGCCACTCATGAGCCAAATCTGGAACAATTTGAACATGAAAATAAATGATAGTAAAGGATTTCATCCAGAGAATAAAATAGGAATCTACAGGTCCAGGTTTAAAATAAATACATGGATAAATAAATGGCAGGGGAGGGAAAACCCTTCCTCAGAGCAGGATGGCAACAAATAAACATAGAAGGAGTGATACATTAGAGAAACACCATTTGGCAACCACCTAGTAATAAATGTTTCAGGCAAAGATCACTGGATGCCAAAACTAGCAAGTGAGAGTTTGAGAATGGGATATTTACTGACACTCGAAGTACCTCCCCTAAAGACACTTAAAAAAAGGAACAGTTACTTCAGTGGAGAAACTTGGCAAGACACCAATAACCAAGTCATCAAGGATGTCACCACCAGTAAAGAGACAAATAAATAAAGAGACAAGTGTCTCCTGAGAAGGACACATCACTTCCTTTGTATTCCTGCCAAAAAAGCATAATCAAAATTTAATTATGAGGAAATATCAAAGTAACCCAAATTGAAGACATTCTAAAAAAAATAAATATTCTGTACTTCTCAAAAAAGTCAAGGTCTTAAAAGATTAAAATTAAAAAAAAAAAAAAAGACTTGTTCCAGATTATACAACTATAAAGAGACACATCGGTTAAATGCAATGTGGGATCCTAAACTGAACCCTGGACAGGGGAAAAAAAAATTTGTTGACGGGGAGACGGGGTCTCACTCTGTTGCCCAGGCTGGAGTGCAGAAGCACAATCACGGCTCACTGCAGCCTCAACCTTCCTGGGCTCAGGTGATCTTCCCACCTTAGACTACCAAGTAGCTGGAACGACAGGCATGTGCCACCGCACCCAGCTAATTTTTGTATTTTTTGTAGAGACGGAGTTTCGCCATGTTGCCCAGGCTGGTCTTGAACTCTGGAGCTCAAGCAATCCGCCCATCTTGACCTCCCAATGTGCTGGGATTACAGGCGTGAGACACTGCACCCAGCCAAAAATAATTTTTTTTTACTTATAAAGGACACTATTGGAACAACTAGTAAATGTGCTAACGTGTGAATTAAATAACTACTGTATCAGTGTTAGCTTCGTAATTTTGATAATTTTACTATGGTTATGTAAGGAAATAAATACAGAAGTATTTAATGGCAAAAAGGTCTTTATGTCTGCAACTTACTCTCATATGGTTCAGAGAAGAAAATTGTGTGTGTGTGTGTGTGTGTGTGTGTGTGTGTGTGTACGTATCTATACATACACAGTCGGCCCCTGAACAACACGGGTTTGAACTGCATGGGTCCACTTACATACAGACTTTTTTTCAGTAAAAGTCACACTGAGTGTGCCTGCCTCTCCTACCTCCCCTTCCACCTCTGCCACCCCTGAGACAGCAACAACAACCCCTCCTCTTCCTCCTCCTGTTCCTATTCAATGTGAAGACGATGAAGATGAAGGCCTTTATGATGATCCACTCTCACTTAATGAATAGTAAATATACTTTCTCTTCCTTATGATTTCCTTAATGACATTTACTTTTCTCTAGCTCATTTTATTGTAAGACTATAGTCTATGATAAATATAACATACAAAATATGTGTTAATCAAGTATTTATGTAATCAATAAGGCTTCTCTGGTCAACACTAGGCTAATAGTAGTTAATTTTGGGGAAGTCAAAGTTATACACGGGTGGGGTATGGTGGCTTATGCCTGTAATCCCAGCACTTTGGGAGGCCAAGGCGGGTGGATCACTTGAGGCCAGGAGTTTGAGACCAGCCTGGCCAACATGGTGAAACCCCGACTCTACTAAAAATACAAAAATTAGCCAGGGATGGTGGTGTGTGCTTGTTAATCCCAGCTACTCAGGAGGCTGAGGCAGGAGAATCACTTGAACCTGGGAGGCAGAGGTTGCAGTGGGCCAAGATCATGCCACTGCACTCCAGATTGGGCAACAGGAGTGAAACTATGTCTCAGAAAAAAAGAAAAGAGTTATACACAGGTTTTCAACTGCACAGGAGTCGGCTCCCCCACAACCCCTACACTGTTCAAAGGTCAATTGCATATAGAGAGAGAAGAAGAGAGAATGAAAAGCAAATAGCCTAATACATTAAGCTTTGAGGAATCTGGATGAAGATTATACAGAAATTCTTTATACTATTTTTGCATATTTTCTGAGAAACCATTTCAAGATAAACTGCTAAATACACACACACACACACACACCCCTCACAACACCTTCACTGCCCCCATTCTACCTAACCTAGTTATCTCTCCCCTGGATTACTTCAGTGGCCTCCTAACCAATCTGCATTTCTGCTCTTGCCTCCGTCTTTTCTCAAAAAGCAGCCAGTGATCTCATTAAAATATCTTAGATCATGGCACCATTTGCTCAAAACCTTCCAATGCCTTTCCCTTTCATTCAGAATAGAAGCAAAATCCCATACTACAGTCTACAAGGCCACACACAGGCTGCCTGCCCCTGCACCTCTCACCTCACCTCTACTTCCTTTGCCCTCCTCGTTCTCCTGCAACCCCTGTCATCACTGCAGTTCTTCACACCCTCAGACAGGCTCCCAGGTGCAGGCCCTCATCCTGGCTGCTCCCTCTGCCTGGTACATGCCACACCCAGGTACGTGCGTGGTGCATCAAGGACTGCCCTGGCCATGCTATCTATCTCAAATTTTCCTCTTACTGGCATGTGTTATCTCCCTTTCCTACTTTATTTATCTTCTTAGCACTCACCATTTTCTCACGTATTACATATTTTATAAATTTATCTTGTCTGTCTCATCTCCCTCACTATAATATAAGCTCCAGAACAAGTATTTTTGCTGTTTTGTTTACTGCTATGTCCCAGTGCCTAGAACAGAGAGTGGAATAACGTAGGGGCTCAAAAGGTATGTGTTGAATGAATGAGAACTAGACAAAAGCATTATCTGCAAGGCCAAAGGAGAATTTGTAAAAGTTTAAAGCCACATACTCACCTAGGGAAGCACAACTACCCTCTCCTGCCTCAAAGCTGCAAGCGTATGTGTGAGCAGGAATGTAGGCAGCAGATGTATTTAGAAACGGGTCCCAAACAATGACATTGTATATGACACCTTGTCCCGGGAGGGAGGAGAAGGAAACACTTGTCTTATCATTAGCTGTTAGGGTAACCACCTGAAGCCAAAAATAACACATGATTAGTGTTTAGGGGATTTTTTTAAGCTATTCTGTGATAATCCCACCTACGTGTAATATTAAATGGTATATTCATAAATTATAATTCTTGCTTAAAATATACACCAACCCATTTAATATGGTCAAAAGGCCATCTTACATGGTTTGTATGTGCTAATGTAAACAAGCTCTCACACAAAATGCTTCCAAAGGTTTTTTTTAATAGTTTAAGGAAAATGCGATATAAACAATGTATAAATGCTAGTTACGACCATGAAAAAAGTTTTTTCACCTCTGCTAGACTATAAACAAGGATGGGAACTGTATTTCTCTTGTGCACTGCTCTTTCCTCAGTGTACAGCCCAATGCCTAACACAGAGGATGTGTCCAATGTTAGCCACAGACTAACGCAGACAGTCTGTTAACATCTCGCAGACAGTACCCACTTATTTTTGTCTAACAGTCTCTGAAACAAGAAAATATTACATGAGGTTTTGTTATGTAGTAGTAGTTCTTTTTTTTTTTTTTTTTTTTTTGAGACGGAGTCTCGCTCTGTCGCCCAGGCCGGACTGCGGACTGCAGTGGCGCAATCTCGGCTCACTGCAAGCTCCGCTTCCCGGGTTCACGCCATTCTCCTGCCTCAGCCTCCCCAGTAGCTGGGACTACAGGCGCCCGCCACCGCGCCCGGCTAATTTTTTGTATTTTTAGTAGAGACGGGGTTTCACCTTGTTAGCCAGGATGGTCTCGATCTCCTGACCTCATGATCCACCCGCCTCGGCCTCCCAAAGTGCTGGGATTACAGGCGTGAGCCACCGCGCCCGGCCAGTAGTTCTTAACTTCAGAAATTCCATTGTAAACTATAAAATAGAAGAAACAAATGCTTTATAGAACCATAATACCTATGTTCCTACTAATTTGAGAAAAATAAATATTAGGGTTTTAGGAGAAAATTATTATGAGCCCTCCTACATCAGACTACCATTGTTTAAAAATACTGCTTAGCCTTCAATAACTTGCTTCCTGGGCAAAGGTCTGGTAAAGTTCAACAAACTGTTAATATTACTCCCAAGTTACAATGAAAAGTTTAAACCAGACAGAAAAGTTGAATGAATAACACAATAAATAGACTATATACTGCCTAATATCAACAATTGTTAATATTTTACATTTGCTTCTCTATCACTAGTTTCTCCCCAACTCTACTTTTTTCCTGCTGAAAGTAAGTTACAGATATCATGACATTTCACTTCTAAACACTTCACTGTGCATGTCCTACCACAGTGTTTCTCAAATTTAACGTGCTTGTGAATCGCAGGGGGCAGTCTTGTTAAAAGGTAGATCTGATTCTTAGGTCAGCGTGGTACTAGCAATTGTGCCTTTCTAGAAAGCTCTCAGATGATGCCAATGCTATGCAAACACCTACCACACTCTGAGTAACAAGTTACTCAGTACAGATGTAAGTCTAAGTACAGACTTACAAGGGGGTTACATCAGGATAAACCCATCGTAAAGTCAAAATGCATTTAATGTACCTCACCCACCAAACATTATGGCTTTACCCTAGCCTACCTTAAATGTGCTCAGAACACTTACATTAGATTCAGTTGAACAAAATCATCTAACACAAAGGCTATTTTATTTTTTTATTATTATTATTATTATTATTGAGACGGAATGTCGCTCTGTTGCCCAGGCTGGAGTGCAGTGGCACGATCATCTCGGCTCACTGCAAGCTCTGCCTCCCAGGTTCACGCCATTCTCCTGCCTCAGCCTCCTGAGTAGCTGGGACTACAGGCGCCCGCCACCACCACTACGCCCAGCTAATTTTTTGTATTTTTAGTAGAGACAGGGTTTCACCCTGTTAGCCAGGATGGGCTCGATCTCCTGACCTTGTGATCCTCCCGCCTTGGCCTCCCAAAGTGCTGGGATTACAGGCGTGAGCCACCATGTCCGGCCCACAAATGCTATTTTATAATAAAGTGTTTAATTGCTTATGTAATTTATTGAATACAGTACACTGTAAAATGTTAGCTATTACCCGTGTGGTTAAGCAGGAGCGATGGCTCACTGCCACTGCTCAGCGTTGCAAGAGTATCATACTGTATATTGCTAGCTCAGGAAATTATCAAAACTAAAATCAAAAGATCATAAGTCAAACCATCATAAGTCAGGGACCATCTGTATAAGAATATTCTCCTATATAACAATACCTTAGCTCACCTACGAAAATGAATAATTTCTTATTAGCTAATAAATGATCCAGATTTTCCCTAATGTCTTTTTTTTTTTTTTTTTTTTTTGAGACAGGGTCTCACTCTGTCGCCCAGGCTACAGTGCAGTGGCGTGATCTCAGCTTACTGCAACTTCTCCCAGGCTCAAGCGATCCTCCCACCTCAGCCTCCTCAATATCTGGGACTACAGGCACGCACCACCACGCCTGGAACTTTTTGGTTTTTTTAGTGGCTGTGAGGTTTTGCCACGTTGCCCAGGCTGGTCTCAAACTCCTGAGCTCAAGTGATCTGCCCTCCTTAGCCTCCCAAAGTGCTGGGATTACAGGTGTGTGCCACTGTTCCTGGCTCCTAACATCTTTTCTAGCTTTTCTCCTTCTTACCCAAGATCAAACCAAGTTCCATGCATGGTGTTTACGGCCAATCTCAGTAATCCAGAGCAGTCTGTCCCACCTTTCTCTCCCAGCTACCCAATGACTGTAGAAGATGTGAAGTCAGTATTCTCATAAAGTATTCCACAATTTTGTGTCTAACTTATTCTTTTATCCCCCATATTTCCTGTAAATAGGGAATCCAATGGACTAAATTCAGGTTAGACATTTTTTGCTAGAATATACCACAGGTGATGGTGATAATGTCAGACTGCACTACATAAGCACGTAATACAGGCTGATCCATTTTCAGTGAAACTAGCTTTGCCCACCTGGAATAGGTGGAGACTATAAGGTCACTCCATGTTAAAGTGGTTCTCCTTTTACAATGAGAATTAATCTAAGGATGCTACTTAGACACCCTAGAAATATCCTGTTCCCCAAAAACCTTTCACCTGCTGATCCTTGCTGGAATTATTTCATTGAGGGTCACAAAATGGTGATCATCTAATTCTATTATTTCTTCTACATATATTAGCCAGCACTCTTCTGCAAAGAGCTTTCTCTCACCAACTGGGGAAGAATTAGTTCCTCCTTTAAAAAGGCAAGCTAAATTTCTTTATCAATTTTTAGAGTAATTTGCTGTAAGAGTCTCCTCCAGTGGTGGCAACTGAGGAAGGTTTCATTTGTATTTATTCAAGGCTGACAACCACAGTCTTTTTCTTGATTCTTGAACTGCCCCAAATTTGGCAGTGCAAGCCCCTTCAAACAGGCTCCTGAATCTCTTTGACATACCCTCATTAGTCTTTGAGGGTTTCCCCACATTCTGGTACAAAATATTCTTTTAACTAAAAGTTTAAAAGTAACCTACAAAAAGCCTATTATACAAGTTCTTATATTCTTCATAAAAATAATAATAGTATTAAAATGTCATATCTAATAAAGCAACTAATAAACTTTACTAACAGAGCTTCTTATTTTGTGAATAAGCACAATGACGCTGTCTAGAAAAACTCCACCCATCAACCATTAGACTGAAGGATGACCTCATATATTATATTGCTGTTAGGCACTTTTCAAGACATAAAGATAAAATCCTGCCCTCCACAAAAATGATCTATTGCAGTGAGTCTCAAAATTTAATATGCATAAAAATCACCTGAGGGCTGGAGTGCAACAGCACCATCTGGGCTCATTGCAACCTCCACCTCCTGGGTTCAAACAATTCTCCTGCCTCAGCCTCCCAAGTAGCTGGTATTACAGGCATCTACCAACATGCCTGGCTAATTTTTGTATTTTTAGTAGAGACACGGTTTCACCATGTTGGACAGGCTGGTCTCAAACTCCTGACCTCAGGTGATCCACCCGCCTCGGCCTCCCAAAGTGCTGGGATTACAGGCGTGAGCCACTGCACCCAGTCAGAATCACCTGAGGGATATAAAATGCAAATTCTGATTCAGTAGTTCCAGGGTGGAGTTTAAGAATTACAATTCTCACAAACTCCCCAGTGATGCCAATGCCACTGGTCCATGGTCCACACCTGGGGAGCAAGGGTTTACATGGATTCAAAAGCTCAGAGAAGAATTTTACTCCAAGTTAGACTTTGAGTTTGGGTTCAAATATGAATGCCAATGTGTATATCCTTAAGCAGTTTCTCATTATTTTTTTCTCAAAACAATGTAATCTTCATACTTGCCAAAAATGTTTACCCAGTAGTCGTGGGAGTACACAGAAAATTACCACCTCCTTCCATTCACATTTCAGATTACCAAGTCACAGATGTGGCTGCAACTAAAACGTAACATAATTTACATGCATCTCCTCAAAGGCCAACATCATTTTGAGATATCACCAGCAAAGACTCCCAAGATGATAACAAAAGAGAATAAAGTGAGTGTCCCCCAAAAAGGAGAAAAGAGTAAAGAAATAAGATCCTGGTAGCTTCTCCCCTTCTCAACTCTGACAAAGGTGTCACAATCCAGCCACACAAATCATGGGACTCAGATTTACCTTGAGAGCACTGGCCTTCACCTGGGGCACACTGACCATCCTCTGCAGATGCTTCAGCAACATCTCCTCAGTGAGGTCATTCTCAGGCAGAAAATACTGATAGACATCATACTGCAACCTCCACCTGGAGTCCTGGTCTGTCCCAGCGTCACATGGTGGGGGATCTACGCCTCTAAAGTCAACCAACAAAATGAAACATCAGTCTCTTGTGGTGCAAGTCCCATCTATAAAAAGGAACCAAGAGCCCTAATTTCAAACACTTGCAACAATAATTACAATTTAACAGTTCACCTTTTGCAGTGGCAACAATTGGTATTCTGAAGAAAAGTAATGCACTGTTATGGACTGAATGTTTGTGTCTCCCCAAAATTAATATGCTGAGACCCTCACTCCCAGTGTGATGATATTAGGAGGTGGGACCTTTGGAAGGTAATTAGGTCATGAAGGTGAAGCCCTAATGAATCGAATTACTGCCCTCATAAAGGAGATCCCAGAGAGCCCTCTAGCCTTCTTTCTGTCATGTGTGGACACAATGACAACCCAGCAGTCTGTAACCTGGACGAGAACCTTCACCAGAACTCAACTGTGCTGGCATCCTGATCGTGGACTTCTACCCTCTAGAACCATGAGAAAGAAGTTTATAAGCCACCCAGTCTGTGCTACTTTGTTACAGCACCACAAACTAAGACAAACACCAACAGGCAAAGGTGATTACATAACTGGATTCTGATATCAGTCAGGCCTAGAGTAAAATACTACAGCTCTGGGGAGGCAAAAAAATTTTTTTTAAAAAAAAGCTGGGTGCAGTGGCTTATGCCTGTAATCCCAGCACTTTGGGAGGCTGAAGCAGGAGGATTGCTTGAGCTAAGAAGTTCAAGACCAGCCAGGGCAACATAGAAAGACCTCATCTTTGATTTAAAAAAAAAAAAAAGAAGAAGAATATAGCAGATTTGTCATTTGTTAGCAAGTAGGGTAACCTCCATAACCCCTAGGGAAACTTTCTGTAAAATAACAGCAATTGCCCTTCTTCATAAAATTGTTAGGATTAAATGGCAAAGAACATAACAACACTCAGCACCACGGACAATGCACAGGAAGCATTCAAGTGTTCTCAAATGTTAGCTATCATTACTATTAAAGCAGAAACTGAGGCACAGCTTTAATTAAAACAATGAATCTTTATAAAAATAAAAGGATGTTTCAGGGCTACTGAGTGCTATCTATATTTAAAGTGCTTTATAAAAACCAGGATGTATTTTCAAGCTCATAATAGACTCACATCTGGCTCTTCAAATAAAAAGAGTTCACAAGAATGAAGTGGGAAAATATTAACTGTAAATGACAGTCCAAATATTAATAGTGAAGTTTAAATTACATCAATTCCCCCCAAAAATTAACTCAATTTTACTACAGAGAATTAGGGACTTGAGAGAGCTGGTCAAATCTACACAACTGTCGTCATGTATATTCTAAAAGCATTTCTCAGACATGGGAGACAGACGTACCTCGCATAGCCTAGGTTTGCTGGGGCAAACTTGATAGTCGTTTCAAAGAAATTATACTCCAAGTAAATGTTGGGATCAATATCTAAATCGAACTCCAAATTACAGCCTCCAGGGACAGGATCTGGATAAGAAATAGGGAAGTTACTAAACAAACAATTCCTACATATCCAAATCATACTCAGAAAAACAGAACTCTATCTACTCTTACAAAAACTTCCCAAATAGAAGTTAAATATAAACGTAGAGCTTCTAGTCGTATACTATTTCATGAACTGAGGTTAAAGAGGGTAGAGTTAACTGAGGTTCAGGGCCCTAGAGCAGGGCAGAGCCAAAATTTTCTGTAAAAGGCCTAATAGTATTTTAGGCTTTGTCAGTCTGATGGTCTCTGCAGTAACTACCCACCCCAGTCCTTGTGGCAGGAAAGCAGCCACAGGCAATACGTACAGGAAGAGGCATAGCTGTGTTTCAGTAAAACTTTATGTACAAAAACAGGCAGCAAGCTGGATCTGGCTCATGGTCTGTAGTTTGCCAACCTTTCCTCTAGAGTTAAAAAGATCGGCTATTGGTTGACTACTTCTGGCCAGGTTTGGAATGCAGATACACAGTGTGTATATATGTTTCAATATCATGTTGGAATCTTCCTCCAAATTCTATGCTCTTCTTTCATACTCTCCTTTTTCTGCACTTATGGATCTTTACCACACCACAAATGGTATGTATGCCAGCTGAAGCTCCTCTGTTCATAATTTTTCTTTGTACACTGTCCTTGACGCAAGCCTTAATTAAGTCTATGGTTTCTTATCAGGTAATTAGCCTTTTGTTATAGCTAACATTTCCTATCTTCTACTCCAGTAATCTTCTGGATTCTCCCTCCTTTCCTAACTAGCGCTCCCTCTCCTTCCCTTTACCCCCAAGCTTTAAGAGTAGTCTAAATTTATTCACCTCACCTTCACTCCTCCATCCCTGTTGTGCCACTAAAGTGACTCTCATAAAGGGCCACCGCTGACTCCTACTTGCTCTAGCATACGGACACTTTCAGTCAGTTCTCTTGACCTCTCCGTAGACTGTAACTTACCACTTCCTTTTTTTTTTTTTTTTTTTTGAGACGGAGTCTTGCTCTATCACCCAAGCTGGAGTGAAGTGGCGCAATCTCAGCTCACTGCAACCTCTGCCCACCGGGTTCAAGCAATTCTCCTGCCGCAGCCTCCTGAGTACCTGGGATTGTAGGCACCTGCCACCACACCTGACTAATTTTTGTATTTTTAGTAGAGATAGAGTTTCGCCATGTTGGCCAGGCTAGTCTCAAACTCCCGATTATATAAATTATACCTGCAACCTGCTTCGGCCTCCCAAAGTGCTGGGATTACAGGTGTGAGCCACCGTGCCCGGCCTGCTCCCTTTTAAAGGCAGAAACTCCAGGCTTTCTTCCTACCTTCTTGACTACTCCACAGTGTTGTGCTTATTCCTCAGGAGTTATTATCCACCAGAAACAGTGCCTGACACATAGTAGGCACTAGTAAAGTATTTGCTATGATTTTTTTGCCCTAAATATCCAAGTACATGCCTGGATAATCTCACTCACTGCCACAGCTTTTATTAACAGCTATTTAGTTGGGAATCTAATCTCACCCCTCCACTCCAGGCCCTTATTTAAATTATGTACTCTGCATTTCCATCCAAATGTCCTACAAGCATCTCAGACTGTGTCCCAAACTGAAGTCATCACCTACTCCGTCCCACCTCCCAAAACATCCAGCACCACCATAACCCTGTTCCTACACCTATTTTGTATCACTATTTCCCTGCTGCCCAAATAGGAAACCTATGCTTCCCTCTTATACTCCATAACCACCAGTCATTGTGTTGTATCAATTCCACCTTCTGGATATCTCAAATCCTGCTCCTCTTCTCCATCCCGCCTCTCATGGCCTCTGTTCAGATCCTCATTTCTCATTTTGTGCTGAGTCCTGACTCTGCTGCGCCCTCTCCAATCCATCCCCACACTACTTCTAGAGTTAGCTTTCTAAGAGATGAAATGGACTACACCATTCCTCTGCTTAAAAACTCTATGCCTCCTTAGAACCTACCTCGAAATAAAGTACAAACCTCAAATTGTATGCAAGGCCCTCCACACTCCAGCTGCAGCCACACTCACAACGTGCCATTCTCCAAATCATTTTTCTTCATGACGTCGAGCTTACTGCTTCTGCTTAGAACAACTAAACTGTTAAGGACTATGTCTTGCCTTAACTATTACTGCTTCTCCAAGGGCTCCCTAAATGTTTTTCGAATGAATAAACATGTTCTCCTAGTCACTACCTGAGCTTTCAGTCATCGTGCTAATTCTCTTACTATAAAATATTTCTGATTATAGGCTGGGCGCAGTGGCTCATGCCTGCAATCCCAGCACTTTGGGAGGCTGAGGCGGGCGAATCACAAGGTCAGGAGTTCGAGACCAGCCTGGCCAACATGGTGAAACGCCATCTCTACTAAAAATACAAAAAATTAGCTGGGCCTGGTGGCGGGCGCCTGTAATCCCAGCTACTTGGGAGGCTGAGGCAGGAGAATCGCTTGAACCCGGGAGGCAGAGGTTGCAGTGAGCCGAGATCGCGCCACTACACTCCAGCCTGGGTGACAGTGCGAGACTCCATCTCAAAAAAAAAAAATCCGATTATATAAATTATACTTGCAACAAACAATCTCAATAGGATAATTTTCCTTAAAGTTTCATGAACACATTCCATATTCCAAAGAGTAAGAGGGAGGAGAAGACAGAAGGGTTACCTCTTTCTGAGTAGGAGAGTAGGATAGCCATATTCTGGACAGGCTGTATGCCTGAAGTCCCCAAGTACCAAGTGCATGTACTCTGCTCTGGTCTAAGGATGAAAACCAGTCCACTGGCAGTGCCTGTTTCCGAGGAATTGGAAAGGAGAGTCTGCAGTCCAGAAGAAACATTGTCATGAATAGGAAGTCGACCAAAACATAAATTACTGAGCTGATCCAGTGTGCATGTCCTATTCCAAATCTTCCCAAAACAAATAGAAAAAAAAA
Source organism: Homo sapiens (assembly GCF_000001405.40). NCBI lineage: Eukaryota > Metazoa > Chordata > Mammalia > Primates > Hominidae > Homo > Homo sapiens. Next base: position 26,999,793 of record NC_000012.12, read on the forward strand.
ACCTTCCTTAAATAACCAGGGAATTCTTTTCATCTCTATGTTCACATGCCCACACATATACATGGAAAAAGCATTCTTGAAAAATATACGATTGTCTTAGTTAAGGCTGCTATAACAAAGTACCACAGGTAAGGTGGTTATAAACAACAGAAATTTATTTTCGCAATTCTAGAGTCTGGTGGTTCATGATAGCGGTGCCAACACAGTCGGGTTCTGATGAAAGCTGTCTTATAGGCTGAAGACTCCCAACTTCTTGTTGTATCCTCACATGACAGAGAAAGGGCAAGAAACATATCTGGGGTCCCTTTTATAAGGCCACTAATCCCATTCATGAGGGCTCTAAATGGGGGCCCATGACCTAATCACTTCCCAAAGACTCCACTTCCTAATATAACACACTGAGGATGAGTATTTCAACTGTGAATTTTGTGAAGACACAAACATTCTGTCTGTAAAAATAATCTTTGATCAGGAATAGCAGATGCACAGTGAAATTCCCAAGTGTTTCAATTAATTTGAATTAAGATTTACTATGTCAAATAATGTTTTATCTTAGTTTCTAAGACCACTAGGACAAAAACATGAGACCTGGCCCCAAGGAGTTCAGTTTTCGAGGTACCTTTTAAATTGTGTTATAACTGACAAACTATAAACTGTACATAAAGTATAATTTTTCTTTTTTTTTGAGATGGAGTCTCGCTCTGTCACCCAGGCTAGAGTGCAGTGGCGCGATCTCAGCTTACTACAAGCTCCGCCTCCCGGGTTCACGCCATTCTCCTGTCTCAGCCTCCCAAGTAGCTGGGACTACAGGCGCCTGCCACCACACCTGGCTAATTTTTTGTACTTTTAGTAGAGACGAGGTTTCACCATGTTAGCCAGGATGGTCTTGATCTCCTGACCTCGTGATCCGCCAGCATCAGCCTCCCAAAGTGCTGGGATTACAGGCGTGAGCCACCGTGCCCGGCCCATAAAGTATACTTTTAAGTGTTGATATACAGACACCTGTGAAACCATTACCACAATCAAAATAGCAAATGTATGCATCACCCCAAGTTTCCTTGTGCCCCTTCCTAATCCTTCCTCACACACTTCCTCTCTACCATCCCCCACTCCCATCTGCTTGGAAAGTTTTTTGAATAATAAAATGCTAAGCTAAAAGGTAACAGACTCAAGAGGTTCTATCAAAGCTAAGGAAATGGGAAGGAAAAGGTAGCAGAGTAGTTTCAATTTGATAAGCATAAGAAAGAATGACTCAAATATTAATTGATAAATGATCAAGTCAACAGTTTCAAAGAGCCAATTGCCATCACGACTCAAAAAAAACAAAAGTGCCACACTTTATTAGGAAGGGCACAGGAAACAGAAGCACTTCTCTTTACACAGACCACTCACTTCCTGAGCCATGTGCAGTTCTGGCCATCATCTTCTAAGTAATATAACAGTGGGAACTAAAGGCAGTCCAAGAAATAAAATGATAATTAAGGACAACTAAGACCCTTTCTGCATAGAAATCAAGGCCCAAGATGCTGCCAGCTAGGTCTGTTTTATCACTGGTGATGCTGACATCTCTTTATCCAAGTTCTGCTTCCTCAGATGTAGAAATAGGCATCACTACTAATTTGTTGAGCTTTAATGAGAATTAACCATATGGAAACCAAACACAGGGGTTCCTAACTGGGGGCCTGAGAGTCTGAGTTTTTGAAGGGCCCCATGAAATTTTATATTTATATTTGAGTCCATAGACTTGAGCAGTCTATGGCTCCAGGAGCTTAAGAACCACTGGCCTAGGACATAGCAGGCGTTCAACAAATATAAACCCTTATTTCACCCATCCTCTCTCTTTTCCTTCAAATGTTGTCTTGCTGTAATGTCATTAGGAAGAAACACACTGTTTGTCAATTAAAAATTGTTTTAATAGATCTAGTTAAAAAAGAGAAGAAGAAAGAACTCATCTATGTGCCATTTTACTAAGTCTCCTATGTAAGAGTCTGAATAGGAAGCTGTCTTTTGAATTCAGTGCCATAAAAAACTTGGCCTCCCCTGAGGAACTGGCATGCTCCTTCCTTTCTAAGGAAGTTATGAAATTTAACATGCTTTACCTTCTGCTTTAGCTGCAAAGAACTTGGGCAAATTCGACGTATGTGTGACATCGGTATCTCTTGTAATTAATACTATTTATTCCTTTCCTTTTTTCCTAAGCTGAATTCTTCCATTTCTAGTCTATTAACTACCCCCCTACACACATACCCCACAACACACACGCACACACGTGCACAACCACATGCACACAATTTCCAAACCTCTATGGTAGGGGAAAGAAGGCAGGAATAAAAATACACAAAATAGTAAGAAAGATAGTGTGACCAATGCCTCTAATATTATATATGGGCTGGGGCGCAGTGGCTCATGCCTGCAATCCCAGCACTTTGGGATGCCCAGACAGGCGGATCACTTGAGGCCAGGAGTTCAAGACCAGCCTGGGCAACAGAGCAAAACCCCATCTCTACAAAAAAAAAATGTTAAAAATTAGCCAAGTGTGGTGACATGTGCCTGTAGTTCCAGGATCACTTAAGACCAGGAATTTGAGCCATGATCACACGACCACATTCCGGCGTGGGTGATGGAGTGAGATCTTATCTCTAAAAAAAAAAATAAAAATTTTAAAAATTTACATATGAATTAGATTAAGACAGAATTGTTTACCAAATTCCAGAATATTATAATATAGGCTTAGGACAAATAAAAAGAAGTATAACTTCATACAAGGTGAAATGCATGTATTGGTCTAGGGCATCATAGAGACTAAATGCAGATAGATTGTAAAAGATTATATAAATGGCAGACTCTTCATAGCTTAAACTAACCCAGAGAATTTTAAAAACTTTCTAAGGCTGAGGTTGAGGTTAAGGGGTTTAGTGATGACATCTATAATAGAGTCCTTAATACTGCTGGAGGCATAGCACAGGGCTGGATGAACTGAGCACTATAATTTTTTTGTTGTTTGCGTGACAGAGTCCAAAGAATAAAGTTGATATTATAGGGTTCTTGGTAAAGTTCAATACTATAGCTAAACAACAATGAAAACCCATTAAACATATATTCTCAGGTAAAAGTTATTAAGGCCCCACTAAAGTAAGAAAATGAAAAGGTGGGAATTCACGAAGAAAACTTGCCTGCATAGTGGTGACATTTGTCACAGGGTGCCCTTCTCCCCAGCTCAGCTCTCCATTACCCCTTTTTAGGTCAGAGACTGCCACACTCAAGAAAGGCCTGAGATACTCTCAGTCACTAACTTGAAAACATCCTATCTTGATTTTTTAAAATTTAAGACATAAGATCATAAACATAAAAGAGATAGAGATATCAAATTCTAATGCTCATACTAAATACCAGACCCCCAAAATATAGAAATGATTTTTACTAAAATAATTCTTTGCACTTACCGGAGAAAAGGAAACAGTTGTATTCTGATACTGTGAGTGTATTTGGAAAATAAGAAAAGTCACATTGCTTGAAATATCATGCAAAATAGCTTCCTCTGGAAAGGGCCTATTGAGCTCGAAGTATCTAAATTTCCCCACAGAAAATTCAATAAGACCTACAACGAGATAAACTTTTCATTACAACACTTGTACTCTCATATCAATTTGCAGAAATCATATTCATAAATGAATGTGGAATTTAATCCTCAGAAAAACTCCTTGAGGTAAATATGGTTATTGCTCCTATTTCACTGCTAAAGACAATGTGGCTTAAAAAGTGATGCAGCCCATCCAGGGTCATCCAGCCAGTGAATGGTAGAGCTCAGAACTAAAATGCAAGAGGTATTTCAAAAGGTATGCTGAAGACAGGCTCCTGGAACCCAGAGAAACTTCCCCTCTGGTAGCAGCAATAACAATGATCTCTGGAACAGAGTCCCTGAATTTAAAGATGACAATCCTGTGGGGCTACTAACAATCATGAATGTGCTGGTGTTAAAGAACCATAACCGTCTAGTGAATTCTGAAGTCAGCGTAGCCCGAAGAGACACAGGTGGCTGCAATTTAATACCGGTGTTTACCAGCTGTGTGATTTTAGGCACGTTCCTTAAATCCCCTTAAGCCTCAATTTCCTCATCTGTCTAATGGAGACTGCAAAGGAAGGTGAAATCAATACTGACAAAAATGTCCAATGAGCACCCACACCAGGCACTGCACATAAAATTGTGAACCACAGGCATTCTGGAAAAGAGAGCTTTTGTTTGCTTAAGGATCAAACTGAGTCCATAAAAAAGATAGGTTATAACAAGAACAGTTTTTCAACACCTCCTCCAGGCCTGTCCCATCTGTCTACTTGCCTCCATGGTCTGCATCTCACTGACTCTGTCCCCACTTCTCTGTGATGTGTTTCTGCCAGCTGCACACCAGCTCATCTTTTTTCAATCTAACTCTCAAATAATCCTTTAATTAGGTTGCTTTTACTCCTGTGCGGTCCTGGATTCCTACCCCACCCCCCATCCTACAGTCAGTATCTGTCTGCATGAACAGCAGAAAAGATCCCAAGTTTCACATAAGCAGTCTTGGGGGTTCAATTCTAAACAAACAGACAAAAGATTTAGATTAAATATAGATGAAAAGGAATTGATGAAAAAAGATTATAATTCACCCGAGTCCCATAGTGGAACTGTCATGTTTTATTTTAGAAGGTAATTAGAGTCAGTGGGCGGTAAAACATTTCAGATACTAAATAACTTAATAACACATTCTTATATACCATGTCCCAAAAAGGTCAATTTTCAACACTTTTTTTTTTAATACGAAAGCTCCACTGGATGATTTAAAACCAAACAGAACCAAAAAAATCAAGAATGAGTAGCCTGTGGAAGAACAGCCAAAAAAAAGACACAAATAGTGTTAAGACTAGAATAATCTTAACCTCTATATATTTTCCCTAAGCTCTGTGATGCTACATTACATTCATAACTTAATGTTTTTTTAAAAAAATGATAGAATAAAACGTTACAATTTCATTTCTAAAACTCTAGAGAAAATTGTAATAGTTTTAACAATGACAAATGAAGATAGCATATTTCCTATTTATGGTACCAGAAAGACATTTTACATTTTAAATGGACCAAACTCCAGCTGGAACAGAGGTTAAAATATTAAGGAATGGCCAATAGAATCTGGGTAGGGAAGTCTGGAAAAAGTTTGTGTGCACGTGTTTTTTCTTTTTAAAAAGAAACAAGAAAAACATGTTTATATTTTCCAGGCCTTCCCATTATCATGATTATTTTATTAGAAAAGCAAATTATACATAAAACTATATGGATTTCAGTAAATTACACTAAAAATGTTTCATTTATTGCCCTTCAAGTTTGGTCCCATCCATCATGCATCCTCCAAGTCTTAAAAATTCCCACCCGTATTGGCAGTATCAGTCTGCTTTCCTAGAAATTAATCAGATTTCTATCCTTTCACTGTTCACAGCATTCAACTCACTTACTATCCTGCCTTTTCTAGTCTACATCTTCAGTTTTTCCTTTTTGTTCTCATTTTCCCTATTTGGCAATATTTATAAGGTACTCATGGACTAGGCACTCTAGTTGTTGGGCACCATGATCAAAACTGACACAAACAAATTCATAAAGGTTATCCAAGGCTTCTGTAATTATCACTTAAATTTGCCCTTTGATATTATTTTAGAAAATGTTCTAATAATCCTCATGTCTATCTCCCATGACATGAGCCTTCCATCAGAACAGTATACAGAACCTTTAAAAGCCCTGGAAGAGACTGAAGCCATCAACTAGAGAAGCCTTCATGGTAAACTTTTCTTAACCTTCCCTTAACCTATCACCCAGGATGAGGATGAATCACAACTCAAAAATACTTGGAGAAACAAAACTTTGGAAAGACAGTACGGAAACACAGAACCATGGAAACTAAAATACATTGTTAAACAACTGATGACTTGACAAAATAAGTAGGGGGGTATTAAAAGCAGGTATCTCTTGGAGTATATTTTAACTGATTTTTTTTTTTTTTTGAGATGGAGTCTCACTCTGACACCTAGGTGGAGTGCAGTGGCGCAATCTTAGCTCACTGAAATTTCCACCTCCAGGTTCAAGCAATTCTCCTGCCTCAACCTCCTGAGTACCTGGGATTACAGGCATGTGCCACCACGCCTGGCTAATTTTTGTATTTTTAGTAGAGACGGGGTTTCACTATGTTGGCCAGGCTAGTCTCGAACTCCTGACCTCAAGCGATCCGCCCATCTCAGCCTCCCAAAGTGCTGGGATTACAAGCATGAGCTACCCTGCCCGGCTGATTTTTCTTTTTTTTACACTTGTCCTTCTTTTTCTTTTTCTTTTTTTTTTTTTTTTTGAGACAGAGTCTTGCTCTGTCGCCAGGCTGGAGTGCAGTGGCGCAATCTTAGCTCACTGAAATCTCCACCTCCAGGTTCAAGCAATTCTCCTGCCTCAACCTCCTGAGTACCTGGGATTACAGGCATGTGCCACCACGCTCGGCTAATTTTTTGTATTTTTAGTAGGGACTGGGTTTCACTATGTTGGCCAGGCTGGTCTCAATCTCTTGACCTCGTGATCCGCCCACCTGGGCCTCCCAAAGTGTTGGGATTACAAGCATGAGCCACCACGCCAGGCCAACTCTACATTTTAAATGTTTATAAAATAGGAACACACACTAGAAAAAAAAAGGGACAAAATGGGACATTCTCTCAACATTCTGTCACTGTTTTGCTTTCCCTTAAAATGGTAATATTTTTCTAGAAAATATATAATCCTTATAAAAGGTGCTAAATAAACAGAAAGTCAACTCCTCCAGCAAGTACAATGTACAGAAATCACCACTGCTAACAGTTGGGATATATCTTTTAGGGCTTAGGCAGATATAAGCATGCATATTTCCGCATAGATGGAAAAAGATATAAATATGTTTGATATTGCCCATTTAACAGGTCTTATATATCTTTCCATAGCAACACAGATAATGCTAGCTTTACCATTTTAAAAGCTACAGAGTATTCCATTCTGGGTATGTACCATAATTATTCACCCAATCTCCTATTAATGAACATCTAGGCTGTTACCATTATAGCATGAATAATAAATTAATAAGAAATAAAATAGTTCTGATTTTGTGGAAGACTATTCCAGAAAGCGTATGTGTCAGGCAATAAATCTATTTGAGAGAGTTTTTGCTGTGACAGTGTAACAGATGACCTTTGACCTTAAATGGTTAAACTGTACCTAAAAAGTCTTGTTCTAGTCTAAGATATCCAGAAATAAAAACAAATAGACCATGTGAGAATACACAATGATTAGGACCAAAAATTAATCTGCAGTCTTTGCTTCTGAATTCTTCTTCAAGAAATATACCTGAATTTCAGGAATAATTACAACTTTCATCTGTTATTTCCTGGATTTCCCAAAAGCTACAGGAAAATGATGCCTCATCATCTTCCTTTCCTCAAATGCCTACAGTGCGAACCAGGCAGAAGCCAGGAAATAAAAGGGAGGGACACTGTATACATTATGTAAAACCTGGTCACTTGACAAAATAGGTAGGGGTATTAAGAGGAAGTATCTCTGGGGGTGTATTTTAAGTGATTTTTTTTCTTTTCATTACACATTTCTTTATTTCTTAAATTTCTATAGTGACCATAAGGTGTCCTTTTCATAAGAAATTATAATACAGTGATTATACACCCTGGCTATCCATTACAATCATCTGGAGGGGATTAAAAAAAAAACAGAACACTGCTGCCTGGGACCCTCTCCAGATGAGTTAAATCAAAATCCCTGGGGCTAAGGTCCAGGTATCAATTAAAAAACAAATATCCATTAAATACTATGCAGAGAAATACAGAAAGTTTACACACCCATGAATTAACCAGCACCTAAACAGCATTCTAGCATCTTAGTGGTCCCCCTGTGGCCCCTCCCAATCACATCTTCTTTCCTCCCCAGAGGGAAATAGGGTCCTAAGTTCAAACACTAGGAATTTATTTGGACGAATTCAATTGAATAGAATTTACAGCACAATTTTTGTGTGTTTGGCTTCTTTAAAATCAGCATTATGTTTGTGCAATTCATTCCAGCTGCTATAGGTAGCTATAACTCATTACCATAATTGTATACTTCATGAAATAACATGCCACAATTATCTGTTCTACTGTTAATAAACATCTGTATTTCTGGTTTAGAGTTATAAATAACTCTAAACATTTTCTGTGCATGTCTTTTGGTACACGCATATACACATTTTTGTTGGGTGGAACCTGTGAGTAGAATTATCAGGTAATAGGGTATTCTCATCTTCAGTAGATACTGCCAGTCTTCCAACAATGTTTTGCCAATGTATACCGCATCAACTTACTGTAGGAAAGTGTTCCAATTGCCCAGAAGTCTCACCAACACCTGGTATCATTCATTTATCTGCTGAGTATATAGTGGTATCTCATTGTGATTTTAATTCGCACTTCCCTAATTACTCATGGGTGTTAAGAAACCTTTGCTTTGCTTATTTGCTATTTGGATATCCTCTTTGTGAAACAGTCTGTTCGAGTCTTTTACACATATTAAAAATGGAACTGTCCTTCTTCAATTTTAGGAGTTTTTAATACATCATAGATATGAGTATTCTGACAGATACGTTGCGAATATATTCTCCCACTCTTGTTGCTTGTCTTTTCACTCTGTTACCTTTAGATTAACAGTTTTCATTTTAGCAGTCAATTTCAGGTTTTTCCTTTATGATTAGTCCCTTTTGTGTCATTTTAAAGAAATCTTTGTCAACATATACCAAGATCATGAAGATACATTCCCATGTTAACTTCCAGAAGTTTGTTTTATCTTTCACATTTAGAGCTAAAAATCAAGCTGATGCTGATTTTTACACATGGTGTAAGATAGAGGTCACAGTTCATTGTTTCATATGTTCATCTACTTGACAGCAACCTTCACTAAAAATACCACCCTGTAGTACCCCATGTTCTCTCACTTATAAATGGGAGCTATGTAATGTGTACACATGGGCCTACACTGTGGACTGATAGACATTGAAGACTGAGGAAGGTGGGAGGGGGCCTGAAGATGAGAAATTACTTAATGAGTACAATGTACATAATTCCAGTGATGGATACACTAAAAGCCCTGACTTCACTGCACAATATATCCTGTACCTACACTTGTGCTCCATAAGTTTATACAAATAAAATAATTTAAAAATACCACCATCTCCCCACCCTACTGCTTTGCAGTTCCACCTTTCACATAAGTCAAGTGAACATATGTGTTTGCTTCTAGAGTCTCAATTGCATTCTACTGGCTTATTTGTCTAGCTATAGACACCAATCCTAACACAAATATTACAACTCTCTTAACTCCTGCTCCAAATTTGTTCTTCCTCCTCAAATTTATCTTGACTATTTCTGATCCTTTACATTTCCATATAAGTTTTAGAAATCAGCCTGTCAATATCCACACACACACAAAAAAACCTGCTGGGATTTTGATTGGGATGGCCCTGAATATATACATTAATTTAGGAAGAAATGATACCTTTAAAATATCTTTATCTTTAGAATTTTGTAATCTATGAATTTCCGATATTCCTCTATTTCTTTAGTTTCTCAATTTATCTAAAGAATGTTGAGATGTATTATGTTATTTTCTCTGTAGAGGTCTTTACATATCCCATGATTATCATCCCAGAATACGTAATGTTTCTTGAGGCTATTTTAAATGTACTTTTTCTTTTCTTTAATTTTATTTCTTAACGTTTTGTAGAGATGAGGTCTTGCTATATTGATCAGACTGGTCTTGAACTCTTGGCCCCAAGAGATCCTCCCCCACTCAGTCTTCCAAAGTGCTGGGATTACAGACGGAACCACAGCACCCGACCCTGCTTTTTCTTTTAAATGTCTATTTCTAGCTGTCTCTTCACCAATATATCTTTTATAAAAAGTTCTCCATGTAATTCTAATGTTTAGCTGGGTTTGAGAACTCCTAACATAGTGTTTGATAAACAAGCAAAGGATAAATATGTATTTTTTTCCCAGTCTTAGTTATCTCTAACCTAACATCTGTGTGAAAATACTTTGGCAGTGTAACCCTGGCAATCTAACATCCATTGTACAATTTTTTTCAGAAGATTGCTTTAACCAAACCAGTTGTGGTTTGATTCCTGGCTGTGCAGGATTTTGTCATTTTTGATGTTCCAACGTCTAACACAGTATAGTCACCTAACTGGCATACAGTAAATGTTTGTTAAATGATGCCTGAACTATGTGACCTCAGGCAAGTAATGTACTTCCTCTGGGCTTCAGTTCCCTCAAAGTAAAATTGAGGTAACTGTGCTGCCATCAGTTGGCTGCTGAAAGTATCAAACAAATGGGAAACAACTTTTAAACTGCCCAAGGCTACACAATAAAGCATCATTTATTAATTTCCATTAGCTTTCCTGTGCTTCACACATTCATCTCCTTATTGAAAGAAAAGAAAGAAAGAAAGACAATCAGGCACTCAGAGCAGCCCTACGAAAAAATTAGTGGGAAGAAAGGAACTAACATGTACAGGGCATTCACAGAAATTCCAGGCACATCATAAGCATTACGTTGAGAAAGAGACTTCCGAAGAGTGACAACAAAAGATACTGAAAGTCAAGACAACTTAAACAGCTCAGTCTGGTAGAAACTCATTTAATTTCTGCTCATAAAAACAGATTTAGCAAAAGAAGACACATACTCAAAAAATATCCTGAAGAAGCTAACAGGAATTTAACTTCACCTCTAAGGCATATGGAAAAGGATTTATTAGAAGCATTTTATGAGGCATAATTATATCTTATGACTTGCAGAGTAGGAGGAAAAAAGACAGCACATCAAAAGATATTACAAAGCAAATGGCTAACATCAAGTTGGGGCACTTACATTAGCTTTCCTCTAAAAAGAAATGGCTTTTTTTGCCATCTGACCTATAGTAGGGACTTGAAACAATTTTTCACACCCATCTTCCATTCTTACCCAGAATCACTTTTTCTTTCCAATAATTCCACTTTAAAAAGAGCTGCCCAATCCTAATACTTTCCTTTTTCTTTCCGAATCAGATCCTAATCTGGCAACCATAAAAATTTCCAACTCTTCCTTTTTACTATTTTACTAAAATTTACTTCTACTGTTTGTGTTTCAACACAACAACCAAATTCTAAGAGAAATCCATCATAGCCTAGTCTTCATAATTCTCTTCACATTAAAAACAAAAATGGTTCAGCTACTTGAGTTGGTCAGCAGTCAACCGCCCCTCCCAATTTCTCATTGTTATCTTCTTACAAATGTTCAATAGCCCTAAAGGTTGAAAGGGAACACAAAAATGAACATATTAGCTTCACACACTTTTTAGAGAAAGACAGCACTTGCAACTAACCATGAACAGCCTGCTACCTTGGTAAAGCATCATCAATAGCAAGAAGACTGAAAGGCCCAAATGATGCTGTGCTCAAGTCCAATTACTATGAAATTCCACGGGAGTTACTGGATATGAATCTAAACAAATGAAAGATGTTAAAGGCAGCAGTGAACTGGGACTCCAAGAGAAGGGAAAACTGCTTAAAAGTATGATCCATCTCATGTGCCTACTGGTCACAGAAAGCACCCTCCTCAGACATTCTAGGAACTCCATCTGCCACGTTCCAAGATTTATTTAGCATTCAGGCCACTACAGAAGTCATGCAAGTTAGCTCATCCTGCCAAAGATGGGTAAATCCTCCTAAATTACAGCAGATGCTCAATTTCTTCAGTTTGTATGGTTATCAGAATTATCATCATCAAACATCAATCCAGCCATTTTCTAGGAGGATTATGCAAGTCCTGAACTATGTCCTTCTACCTTTCTATACTGATTTTTAGCTGATAGATGTGGAGAATATCAGCTTTTATTATCACTCAGCAGTTAAGTCCCCACATTGTCCCTCTTCTGCACAGAATGACAATACCAATGCAAGGCAAAAAGAATAACATTGAGGAATATCAGTGCTATAATCATAGCAAAGAGGCAAAAAGCAGTGTCTGAAAAAAATTAATTTCTCAATTTATTCATATTTTTTAACTTTTGTATAAAAATTTCTAGGTATTAAATACTAACACCAAGTAGAAAGAAAAAGTTCTGGACGCCTGCTCTCCTGACTCAGGGGCTGGCCTCGATCAACTAAAAACTCTAATATCTCAAATTCTTCACCTGTTAAAATAGAGATAGCATCTCTTCTACCTCCATCATAAGGCTATTTTGAAGAATGAGGATTCACAGAAGGATTAAGTACAAAGCACCATGCCATGTAAGATATTCTTATTGGAAGACAGCTTTACGGAAGTGGAAGGACTATGAAATTTGCAGGGAGACTCACCTGGGTTCAAGTCCTATCTGTAACCCTAGCAGCTGTTCATTTGTTCCTCTGACAAGGGAGGAAGATCATTACATTGTAGGGTGGTGGGGATTAAATAACACTGCACGTGGAAAGCACCTGGCACACACTATACAGAGTGAATGTTAGTGCCCTATTATAAGCAAGGTTTTTCTGCAAAAAAAAAAGTTGCCCTTTTCAGCTTTGGCCTCAGTCCTATATACAAAGATCCTAGAATTCAGTTTGCACAAGGGCTTTTCAAAGATAAGTGCATAGCAACACAATCACATTATTCAGAAAATATTATGTTTCAGAACTGCAACTAGTCTATTAACCTCAAAACAAAACAGAATGTGCTTAGTTTCATGGAAAAGCACATGATGATCTGCCTGGCACAACTAGTGCCTTTTACATTTTATATTAACAAACCATGAGCTGTTGCCCAAACCCATTCACCAAGCACAAGACTTACAATCTAACATCCCATTCTGAGTTCTCACTGAGATGAACAAGAATTACCTGAAATCGGCCGGGCGCGGTGGCTCATGCCTGTAATCCCAGCACTCTGGGAGGCCAAGGCGGGCAGATCACGAGGTCAGGAGTTCGAGACCAGCCTGAACAACATGGTGAAACCCCGCCTGTACTAAAAATACAAAAACTAGCTGGGTGTGGTGGCGGGCGCCTGTAATCCCAGCTACTCTGGAGGCTGAGGCAGGAGAATTGCTTGAACCCGGGTGTCGGAGGTTGCAGTCAGCCAAGATCATGCCACTGCACTCCAGCCTAGGCGACAGAGCGAGACTCCGTCAAAAAAAAAAAAAAAAAAAGTCACCTGAAATCATCAAAAATGGTGTACTCATAGGGAGCCAAGCCCGGGCATGTTGCTTCTTGGCTCCCACAGGTGAATTTGAAGTGGCAATAGAACTTCGTTGATTCTTGTTTTTCTCATTTTAGTTTTACTCTCTATTAAATTGTTATTTTTTACAGTTCATTTATGGATGACAAGTTATTTCCTGTTGGTAGCTGCAATGATTGGGAATTTTGTGATCTCTGTAAACGAATTAATATCTCATAGAGATCTATTTCCTGTTGGATATGAGACAACAGAGAACACAGTTTTTGTCCATTTGTCTTTTTTAAGGTCAAATCGATTAGAAATTTCTTGCCCTCAAGTAAGGAGAACAACTCTGATACCTGGACTGGCAAGCTTTTGTGTTTCTGTGTTTATTTTTCATTTGTGGCTGAACTTGTAGAATTGAGGGTATACACATTCTATCTGTATGTCTATGTATCTGTAATTCAGAAAGTCCTTTATTTCTCATTGTGAGTATGGAATGTTTTCCTGTCTCCAGATGGTATTAATAAATTAGATGGTAAAGGCTCTTTAAAAATAAAGCCTCATTATGGGTTCATTTTCCCTCTCAAACTCTGTAGAACATAACCAGTTTGAAAAGCCTCTAGATTTGGGGGTGTAAAAATTCCATGCAGCTTGAGAGCCATCAGTCATTAAGCCGCTAGTTCCACCCCAAGTCTTGCTGTCCAGAAGCTCAGACAGTCCACTGGGCAGCAAAGAGGCGCTTTAGTAAGTTGAATTAAAGCCACAAACATGGCTGCTCCCTAAGGGAGATAATACTGTGTTAAAAAAAGAGAATTATTTATCTCTTCCCATTTCCTCCGCTAAATGAGGAGGTTAATAGTAAGACCTCCTTAGCCATGAGTGTTTCCGCTGCAGGAAACACCATTCGTGCCGGTTCTGGACTCACCACCCAGCGTGTACCAACGCCCCCAGCACCATCTCCCTGCTAGGCTGACAGACCCCTGGCGGATTTTGACCTCGCAAGAAATGCAAAAGCAACTTTGGGTTGCAGAAGCCAGGCGCCCCGACCTTACCCTCGCTGGAATTCCCGAAGACCTCGGCTGCACCAGCCACCCGGTGTTCGGATGCCAGCACCGCTACGACCAGCAGCTGCAGGAACCCCATTGCTGCCTGGGCCGGGCTGGGCCCACGCCAGGGCTGGGGAGAGGTGCGGGCGTGCGCGCCGGGGCCCCGCAGCCTCGCCCACGCTATCCCGGGGCGCCCGCATCGGGCGCCATCGCCCGCCAGGTGCAGACGCTTCGCACCTGCCAGCTCCGCAGCCGCCGGCGCGCGCCCCGCCGAACTCCTAGCCCCAGCGAGAGGTTTCCTCTTCCGGCACCTGACCCCCAACGCGCGTTCCCGCGCCTCCTCCCGGGCTCTCGCTGCGTCACAGCGGCGGGTCTCTGGGCGCGGGCGGCGCTGGGGCGTTTCCAGGCAGCGCGCGCCTCCTGCCGGCGCGCGGGGAACGCGCAGCCTGCGGTGCTCCCGGGAGCCCCCAGGAAGTCCTGGCTTGAGGCCCGGTCTTGCCCCACTTTTATCTCACCAAGTAGGCAAACCCACTGTGAAAGTACAAAATAACTTTCTGTTGCGGACTAACGTCGCCAGGCTCCTGTTTCCGTGTTTAACGGCCCTTTACAACAGCAAAAAAGAGGAATCAGTTGCTAAAAACACAATTGAAGGTTATTTCCCCCGGTAGCAATTGTCTTCGCTGCTGAGGCTTATGTTAGCATAAAAATGCCAGGAGAATGCTGTTTGTGTAGTGGTTACCGCACTAGTCATAAGCACTACATTTAAAAGTAGTTTCGTTTTCTCTAAGCGAAATATCCTCGAAGACACGGCCTTGGTCTGAACTTCGTCTCAAGTCTCATACCTGAGTGCTGTTTGAGGGACAGTAGTCCATGTGACAGATGGCTCATCGATGATGTGGAATTAGACGCATAGACTTAACGTTATTTGGGGAGGATTGTCTTGCTTTCCTTCCCTGGTTTTAATTTTTTTCACTTATATATTTTGATGAGCAACTTATAGCTTGGAAATTACATGTTCAGTTAGTCCACTACTAAGCTAACAATATATAGCTGTGACCATAATGTGAAGAAGTGTTAAAGACAAAATTATTCAATGATACTTGTTAAAGCACCGAACGAAGACTATTGAGGACTGTCTCAATTGGCATAGGGACCACTGCAACTGGGTCTTGCAGTGGGGAAGAGGGACTGGGCTCAACTCCGAATACAGCGTGGGCAAGAGGGAATTTATAGCCAACCAGCAGTATGGAGTTCAGTGGATGGAAAATTACTAAGAGGAAGCATCAGAGGTAAGGGGCATTTGGTGAAACTGACCTAACAGGACTTCTGAAGACATAACATCACCTGGGGGATGGTGCAGGGTGAGAAAACTGATTAGATATGGAGGAAAGGGGGTTCTTTGCTAAAACTGGATTTTTACAAAGAAGTGCACAGATGGACCTAGCAGAAGATTCAGAAGCCGTACTAGAGTTTGGCCAAGCAAATAATCTTTGTCATAGGCACAATTCTTTCTCTGCTTTCCCACTGCCTGGTCCAAATTTTCACACCTTTGGTAGCACTATCTATTTCTGTAGTGCTTATTCACTCTCCCACATGCCCCTATTCCTATAACCCTCAGTAGATGAAATCCAAGGAAGATGAAAGGGACAATTATGATAAGGGTAGCATCTGAATCAGTGGATGGATTATTCAATAAATTGTGTTCTTAACTGATTAGCTGCACTATGGGCAGAGAGAAGCAGAACTCTATCTCACACTAATTGTGAAAACAAAATCCCAAAGTAATAAAACCATAAAAGAGCTAGCAGAAGAGGGCGCTCTTTTTTTTTTTTAATAAATTGATCTCAAAATG
Organism: Homo sapiens; assembly: GCF_000001405.40. Classification (NCBI taxonomy): domain Eukaryota; kingdom Metazoa; phylum Chordata; class Mammalia; order Primates; family Hominidae; genus Homo; species Homo sapiens. Next base: position 27,015,924 of record NC_000012.12, read on the forward strand.
GGAGGAGCTTTCTAAGAAGCAAAACAGCAAAGGAAACAACCATAAAGGAAAAGATTGGTAGACTTGGCTACGTAAATGCTTTTTACATAAATATTTAAATTTTATTAAAGTAAACACACAAACAATATGAAAAGGCAAGTTGACCAAAAAAAAAAAATTAGCAAAGGACATGAATGGGGAATTTCACCCCAAAAAAGAAATACAAATTACCAGTAAATACATGAAAAAAGTTCAATCTCACTAGTAAACAAATAAAAAAATCAAATTAACAAACTAAGATGTAAACATTTTAAAAGTATAAAACATCCAGTGTGGATAAAAGAGCTAAGAAGGAGGCATTCTTAGGTAGGGATACTGGGAATATACACTTTAATAAAGTAATCGGCATCAAAAATGTTTAAAAATCTTATTTTTGTAGATTTGGTATAATCCACTTTTAGATTTAAGTACATAATTAAATACACATATAAAAATTAGTATAAGCTGGGGGAAGTGGTATGCGCCTGTAGTCCCAGATACTCAGGGGGCTGAGGCAGGAGGATTACTTGAGCCCAGGAGTTCAAGAGGGCAGTGCTGTATGATTGCACCTGTGAATAGCCACTGCCCTCCAGCCTGGGCAACATAGTGAGACCCCATCTCTTAAAAAAAAATAGTGTACAGAACTATTCATAGAGTATTATTTAGAGTAGCAGAAACATCTAAAACAACCTAAATGCCCAACAATTAGGAGTTAAATAACCTATGATAGAGCTTTATAAGAGGATCCTGTGCAGCCCTTCATTTATATTCTGATTGAAGTCTTTATGAAAAGGCAAGTTATGATGCAATAAGTATATATAGTACGTGGCTTTTTTTTTTTTTTAACATACATCTTTTATTGACTCAGAGGAATGGATACTTTTGTTGTTTGTTTGTTTTTTTAAATGGAGTCTTGTTCTGTCCCCCAGGCTAGAGTGCAGTGGTGCAATCTTGGCTCACTGCAACCTCTGCCTCCCGGGTTCAAGCAATTCTCCTGCCTCCGCCTCCCAAGTAGCTGGGATTACAGGCACACACCACCATGCCCGGCTAATTTTTGTATTTTTTTTTAGTAGAGATGGGGTTTCACCACGTTGGCCAGGCTGGTTTGGAAATCCTGACCTTGTGATCTGCCCACCTCGGCCTCCTGAAGTGCTGGGATTACAGGCGTGAGCCACCACACCCGGCCTGTAATTTTTTTTTAAGAGACAAGATCTCACTATGTTACCCAGGCTGGCCTTAAACTCCCAGATGTAAGAATTAAAGAAGAAAGAAACAGGAAAGGTGGCTTAGAAGTCAAGGACAAGTTTATTTTAGAGAAAACAAACCTGAAAGGGGCTTCTGGCCAGTTAGGTTAGAGGCACACTCTCTTACGGACTAATAAGAGTTTTTAAGGATTTAGGGTGGGAGAGTTTATCAGAGGCTTGGACTGCTTCTGTGTCTGTTGTGCTTATCTGGGAGGGAGAGTTGTGTGTCTGTTCCCATACATCTTTTTGCAGCTGCAGGCATACCCCCGAGTCTGCTTTTAGCTTCCCTATCTTAGTGCACCTGAAGGGAAAGGAATGTACTTACTAAGGCCCACTGTTTTACTGGGGCCCATTGTATGAGGGTGAAGTTTGGCAGTTACCCAAGAGAATTTCCCCCCACCTCCCTTTGTGCCTGAGCTGTCTTATCTGTGTTTTACTGTCTGCTCTTTCTGGCTGCTTATAGTTAGAAGAGAAGTGATTTCCTTGAAATGCATGAGGCTAGAAAGGGAGCTGGAACTTAAAGTGGCGGTGTTTGTCCGAGATGACGGTGCTCCTGGTCTGTCACCAGACTCAAGCAATCCTGCCACCTCAGCCTCCAGACTAACTGGGACTACTACAGGCTCACACCACTGTGCCTGCCTTGTTTTCTTTGTAGTATGCATTCCTGGTTATGTACATAGAAAAAAAGGTTGAAAAATATATGCCAAAATGTTTAAAATAGTTATCTTTAGGTGGTTAAATTAAGAATGATTTCCTTTGCACATTTCTGTGTAAAAGTTCTACATTGAAGTGTATCATTTTTAAATAAGAAATTATGATTTTGTAAAAGATACATATAATTTTAAAGGTTTTCTTATAAAAGCATTCAAGATATAAGTCCACCTTCCTGAGTATGACACATAAATGCTTTTTGTGATGCAACTCCTGCTCACCTCCCTAGGTTCTTGCTGCAACTAAAATCAGACCTCTACATGCTGGCCACATTGAATTAATTTCAATTTCCTGAACTGAGCCTATTCTCTCTCCTCCATACCTTTGCATCGCAGTTCCCCAGGCCTGCAGTTGCCTGTGCATGCATGACAGTTGATGACAAATGTGTCAGCAATCAGAACAGGGCCTCATTACCTTGGCTTCTAAGTACAGTATTGTGACAGCTTGGGAGGATGATTGGCTGGGGTTCCATGCTCATGTCAGAGTTCCATTGGAGAGCTGAGAAGCAAACAAGCTTAGCAGCTTTGCAGATTAGTTCATTTTTCCTATGTATTGAAAGGAAATGCAGAAACTGAAAGATTCCCAAATCCAAGATATGCATCATTAGAGGCTTAAAGTCTGTTTAGGCCAGGCGCAGTGGCTCATACCTGTAATCCCAGTACTTTAGCAGACCAAGGCAGGAGGATCTCTGGAGACCAGGAGTTCAAGATCAGCCCAGGCAACATAGTGAGATCCCCATTCTTACACACACACATACACACACACACACACACAACCAGAAAAAAAAATTAGCTGGGCATGGTGGGGCACATCTGTAGTCCTAGATACACAGGTGGCTGAGGCTGGAGAATTGTTCGAGCCTAGGAGTTTGAGTTTGCAGCGAGCCATGATTATGCCACTGTACTCCAGCCTGGGTGACAGAGCAAGACCCTGTATCTAATAAAACAAAAGTCTGTTAAAATTTAGAAGAGGAAGGAAGGGCAGGAGGGAGAGAAGGAGGAAGGGAAAAAACTTACCCTAGCTTTTTAAATAAAACCTAAAATACCTTAAATGGAGCTGGGAGTGGGGATCCAGGGAAAAGGCAGGATTGAACCTCTGTGAAATTTGCCCATTCATTCTTTCCCACTCTAATCTCACCTTCATCCTGTATTTTTTAATTCTTATGCTCTTTTGTGGGTAGTAATTTACATTCTTTGTTCATTAAGTTAAATTCAGTAAATGCTTGTTTAGTAGCTATTATATGGAAATTATTATGCTAGGAAACTCATTCATTTGGTTGATAAATATGTGCCAGGCTAAAAGTTAGGTGCTAGGTACTGGAAATATGGAAACAGAATATGTTTTCTGCCTGCAAGTAGCCCATGGACTGGTGGGTGAATTAGCGTGATGTACAAATAATTACAGCACAGTATGCTAAGTGCAATAACAGAAGTGTAAGGAACAATTGTGTTAAAGATTGGGAGCATTTAACTTTCAGAATTCAGGAAAGGCTTTTATAAAGAGATGTTTAAAATAAGATTTTGTTCACTAGTATAGTGGCAAGTAAAAAAAATAATAATAGGCCGGGCACAGTGGCTGACGCCTGTAATTCTAGCACTTTGGGAGGCCAAGGCGGGTGGATCACCTGAGGTCAGGAGTTCAAGACCAGCCTGGCCAACATAGCAAAACCCCGTCTCTACACAAATACAAAAAACTTACCCAGGTGTGGTGGCGGGCACCTGTAATCCCAGCTACTCTGGAGGCTGAGGTAGGAGAATCACTAGAACCCTGGGGGCAGAGGTTGCAGTGAGCTGAGATCGTGCCACTGCATTCCAGCCTGGGTAACAGAGTGAGATTCTGTCTCAAATAAATAAATAAATAATAAAATAAGGTTTGAGTACTGTGTGGACAATCACCAAGGGAGCAAAGTGGAGATGTGGATGGAAGTGTAGGCATTTCATACAAGGAAGAAATAATTATAGGTGTTTTTATATGGTGTGCATTTTTGTAAAACAGCAGAACATGTTTAGGGAATTTCAAAGAGTGTGGTATAGAAAAATGCTTATTTATAGTTATTCATCCCGGCACTAAGAACAGTTTAGATATTTAATAAATTGCAACTGTGAGTATTAAAGTTATTTAAAAATTGCTAAAGGTGTTTTTCTTAAAAAATAGTTGCTACAGTCATAAAAACCAAAGCATTTACAAGATTGACTGAGTGGCTCACTGCTGAAGCTGTAAAGGGTATGCGAGGGTTCACTATACTGTCTACTTTTCTATATCTTTGAAACTTTTAATAATATAAAGTTTCAAAGAAAGTACTCACCAAAATTGTGTGTTTAAAATATGAGATCTGTAATACTGGGTTCCTGCTCCTAAAACCATATAATCCAGTTGGCGATGCAACAGAAGCAAATGGAAAAGCATATGAGAAAGTGTCCAAATCATGAAAGGAAGAAAGGAGAGGTCCCTATGGACTCTAGCAATTCATAAAATTTATATGAGAAGTGTACAGCTTAAAAAGGTAGGGTAAGGATTAAATAGCAGGAAAGAAATTGCTTTGGGAAAGGTAAAGAATGAGGAAAGAGCTAGACCAGTGGTTCTCAATTGGGGGCAATTTTGCCCCCCAGCAACATTTGGGACTATCTGGAGATACTTTATGTTGGCATAAATGGATTGGGGGGATGCTACCGGCATCTCAGGGGTAAGGGACAGGGATGCTCTAAACATCCTACAGTGCACAGGTCAGCATCCCACAGCAAAGAATAATCTAGCCTGAAAAGTCAAGAGTGCAGCCATTGAGAAATCCTGAGCTAGATGCACAGACTATATTTGGCAGGTGGGTTATTCTTGAAGTCTACAGCTTCAAGAGCTTCCTAAACCCCTTTTCAAATGTAGGCTAAGTTGAGAGTCTGGTCTGGGGAAAGGGTCCACAGCTTTTATCTGATTCTTAAAAAGATCCGTGGCCGAAAGAGGCTGAAGAACCAGGAAAACCAAGGGGTCAGGGACCTTGGCTGAAACAGATTATTTCACTCAGAAAATTATCAGGAGGTGAGGCTGGGTCTGTTTGCTGGAGCCAGATTATAGTAAATCTTGAAAACCAGGCAGAGATAGTTGGACATCAACCTGAGGTCTCTGTGGAGGCACAGAAGACCTATTAGGAAGATAATGGCAGGACAAAAACTGTGTCACAATATGAATGTCTTGAAGTGGCTTCTCTACTTCAACTGCCCAAGTTCCCTTCAATCAGGCTGCAAAACTTAGTATTCTTATGGAGTGGACTAAACTATATCCAATCAGTCACCAATCCATATTAATTTTTTTTCTCAAAAATATATTTTAGTCTTTCTTTCCCCGCTTATCAGGGTCAACACCCTATTCTAGGCCCAGCTCATCTTAATCTTGGACAACTGCAAAACCTTCCTTAGTGAGTCCTTGGCTTATTCATCTTTGCAAATTGAGCACTGGATATACTTCCTGGCATGTGGCAGCCATTCCGTAAGGTACACTCTCAAGTGAGGGTGGGAGGAGAAGGTTGTAGAATCCCCCCAAGTTACAGTGAAAACAAATTACAGAGTGATTTCTCATTAGTCCCATTATGGGGAACATGCCTCATCCACGTTCTTAATGAGGCTCCAGTAAGTCTGTAGACTGTTTGGGGCTGAGGGTGGGGCATTGGTGTGAAGCAGAAGTGGTGCTTCACAGTAAGTGTTGGGATAAATCCAACAAGCTGAGTTCCCCAGGGACTGTGTCTTCCACCTTCCCCGCAGCCACAGGAAGGTAATCACGGATAATCAGCCTGAGAAAGAGGATATGAGAGTTTTTTGAAGTCTACAAACCTGTTATTTGCCGATTCCAAACTCATTTCTTACCAGACTATCCTCAGGCTAAATTTCCTTAAATACCAAGTTTCGATTATCACTTTTCACACTTAAACTCTCAATAAGTCCCAACTCTAAATCTAAATTGTGCAGCTAATTTTTCTTGGCCGAGCACGGTGGCTCACGCCTGTAATCCCAGCACTTTGAGAGGCCGAGGCGGGCGGAGCACGAGGTCGGGAGATCGAGACCATCCTGGCTAACATGGTGAAACCCCGTCTCTACTAAAAGTACAAAAAAAAAAAAAAAATGCCGGGCGTGGTGCGGACGCCTGTAGTCCCAGCTACTCCGGAGGCTGAGGCAGGAGAATGGCGTGAACCCGGGAGGCGGAGCTGGCAGTGAGCCGAGATCGCACCACTGCACTCCAGCCTGGGCGACAGAACGAGACTCCGTCTCAAATAAATAAATAAATAAATAAATAAATAAATAAAAATAAATATATTTACTCTTCAATTTGGTCAATAAATAAACACGAGAGGGTACGAGAAATTACTTAAAAAAAAAAAATCCCCGCAGAATCCAACAATCTCTGAAGCCTTTAACACCTAACAACCCCAAGGGGAGTATTTCGGCTCTTGGACTGTATTTCAAAGCGATTGGACCCCAGACCATTCCCCCAGTTACTCAAAAGATCCAGCCTCTCCTCAGGTGTAGCCCGCTCTAGAAAGGCCGCCTCGGGAGTACCACCCACTCCTGACGGGGCGGGGAGTTCTCTCCGACCCCACCCGTTCCAAGGACGCAGCCCTGTGATTGGCCATGACGCGTGCCAGAGCTGCCCAGTCGCGGAAGAGCAGCTGTTTTGGCGTCTGTTTGCTGCGGTAGGAACATGGCGGATCGGCTCACGCAGCTTCAGGACGCTGTGAATTCGGTGAGGAATTTCATTCGATTAGCCTCTGTCTTTCTCTTTCTTGAGGTAAAGCAAGGGAGGAAAGGGGCCCAAGAGGCAAAACTTGAAAGTGGGGAGCGGACTGAGAGACAGGGCTTCGGCATAAAGCGCTCTCTCGGGAGGCGCCACCGCGAACTCGGAGGTTTGAGGCCGGCTGCCGGGCGGTGCTTGAAGGTGCGGGAGGGAGCAGACTCTTTCGCTTGAGGAGACCGGGAAGATCGTTCTTGTCCGGGTGAGGCCGCCAGGACTTGTGGGCTGCGCGGTCCTGTCGTGTTCCCTGAGGACAGTTTTATTTTCTTGTCAGTGGTGCTTACGGGTTCTCTTTCTTTTGGGGGTTGGGAGGAGAAGCAGGAGCTTTTTTCTTTCCTCATCAATTTTAATCCACCAAGGGAGATCTCATGCTCTGGATGACTGGGTTTTTGTAATGAAATGTCAGCCGAGAGTATTCCTTCACCAGCGCTTTCAGGTTGGTGCGGGAGCGATGCTGAGGTGAGGTGAGAGATTTTCTTTCATCTTAGCTCGTTCCTTTGGGCCCAGAGTATCCTTCCATCTCTTGCCTCTTGGCCATCCCTCAGAATACATCAGTTTGGGGACATCTTTATGATAGGAAATCTTCTAATCCTCGTATGTCTTTCCGCTTATTTGAGTCTTTTTTCTTTTCTTTTTTTTTTTTTTTTTACTTTGGAGACAGTGCCTTTCGCCCAGGCTGGAGTGCAGTGGCGCGATCTCTGCTCACTGCATCCTCCGCCTCCCGGGTTCAAGCGATTCTCCTGTCTGAGCCAAAGTAGCTGGGATTACAGGCGCCCTCCACCACGCCCGGCTAATGTTTGTATTTTTAGTAGAGACGGGGTTTCACCATGTTGTCCAGGCTGGTCTCAAACTCCCGGCCTCAAGCGATCCTCCCGCCTCGGCCTCCCATAGTGCTGGGATTACAGGTGTGAGCCACCGTGCCCGGCCTACAAGTCCTTTTTAATGTCTCCCCCAAATTCTACTCTCTATTAAAGGCCAAGTCTAGTAAGTAGCTCCCCAGCTTTGTTCCTTCTGGTTATTTTTCCTCCACACTATGCCTGAGTGGAAAGTAGAAGCAAAGCCAGAGGATGCGCAGTCATGGGCCCCTAATGAAGGGGTCATGTTCTGAGAAATGCATGGTTTTGGCGATAACTTTTTTTTTTGTTTTAATAAGTAGAAGTACAATGTAAAATAACGATAAAACAGTAATACATAAACCAGTAACAAAGTCATTTAGTATCATTATCAAGTGTCATGGACTGCACATAATTGTATGTGCTATGCTTTCATACACTGGCAGTGTGGTAGGTTGATTTACAGCAGCATCACCACAAGCACTAAGGAACGCATTGCGCTACAGCGTTAGTACTGCTACGATGTCACTAGGCAATAAGAATTTTTCAGCTTTATTATAACCATAGGGGACTGACATAATATGTGCATCCCGTTGACCAAGACGTCAGTGGGTATTCCCATGCGGCAATGGGTGTACTTATTACCATTACGAGTTAGATTGTTTTCTGCTAAATAGTTTTCCATTGATAGTTATGTTTCTCATTGTCTGATTGTGATTTAATGTCCTAGATAAGGGGCTAGAGAGAAAACATGCTGATAGGAAAACCTAAGTACCTGGTTTCCTTGCCAGTTTTTTTTTTCCTCACTGTAAGCTAATAACTTGGCATTTTTCTTAATACATCAGAATTTGTACACTTGAAGAGTGTGAATCTACTTGTGATAAAACTGATCTACCCTGGGTGAATAACACTAGTTTTTAAGCTGAGAGGACCAGCCTCTAAGTGTTGAATTCACCAAGATAAATTCTACCCTGCAGGGACTTGCCTGGGCTGCCAGCCAGCCTTCCTCAGGGAACTACTCCTTTGAGGTTTTACGAAATCAAATTGTAATGATGCTGCTGGATAGAAATCTTATTTTAGGGAAAATTTTGCATATTCATACATGTCTTGTAACTAGAAGGATAATAAGGACAGAGTGAATATGGCCTTAACTCCAGGTTAGGCATAATGATAATTGGATTTTGGAGAAAAGCCTTTAGGATAACTAGTATGAGTGCCTACTGTGTGTAAGCACCATCATGTTTACAAAGAGATACTCCTAAAGGAGGTTAAAAAATGTCAAATACTCAGGAGACATTTAAGTGATGGAAAAACAGTATGTGGTTAGGGAGTTATAATGAATTGAGTATTTTCAGCTTCAGGTTCTGATGTAAATTGGAATATGGAGTGATGTGAACCAAAATAGGGGGAATCTTCTTAGCATTTATCCTAATCAGAATTATTTGTATAACTTTTAACATTTGTTCTACCCTCTGAAAACCGTGAGTGCAGAAGCTATGTCGCATTCACTATGTCTCTGTAGTGTTTATATGCAGTACTTTAGTTATTTTCCATAAATTTTTGTTGACTAAATGGATCTTAAAAGCTTTTGAAGGATGGAAAAGATAGACACTGTGTTGAATATTTTTTTGTGTGTGTTTCCTCTATTACAACAATGCTATAATAGGAGAATGTATCCAATTTAAAAATGAAAAATGCTGCTTGGATTAATAGAGCTAGGATCAGGATCTAGGTTTGTATAGCATCTGAGCACTTATTGCTCCATTACAATTAGCAAAACCTGGGCAAAGCCATTTAGTCATAAGTGACTTTATGACTAGTTAGATAAATATGAAGGAGTAGTGGAAAACGAGTCAGTAGAGTTGACTTAGATTATTGAAAGCTTCAAAACAGCCTGAGTTGGAGATTTATCTTGAAGACAGTGGTGGAGTAAGCTTAAATGTTTTGATCAGGTTAAAATAAATAACCTGGTGAACTGGAAAACAACAAGAAGACTATTGTAATAATTCTGGTGTGAGATAATTGGTTGAACTAAGCAACAGTGATAGAAGGAAAAGAGAAAGATTTGTAGTATTAGCAGAATATGAAGATCAAAGGAAAGTAAGAATCTGAAGTTAGATTGGTTGACTAGGAGACTTTCAATACAAATTAAATATTAAAAAGAGGAAACAGTTGCCTTTGAGTTCTGTCATTGAAACAATGGCAGAGAAACCCAGTGGAAATACTTATTAGAAATAGGAGGTTTGAGAGGTCAAGACTAGGTGAGAGAAATTGGTAGGGAAGATAGGTGTATTTAATTTGGAGATGGTAAGGAATTGCTATTCCCAATCTTTAAAAGTACTTAAGGAATACTTTTAGAGTACAAGAGTTTACAAATTGAGTCTTGAACAAATACATTTCTGCTTACTTAAGGTGCTTTTCTGAGCAGCCTCTTCCTCACTATTTCTTTACACTTGTAACTACTCCAGTCTCAGAAAAGGAATCATATACTTTGTGCATGAGAAATAAATTTTTATTAAACATGGTGCCATAGATATTTACAAGTCAAATTTGCTCTTTTCCATCACTATCCCCAAAAAGTCTTTACTTGTGGCTTACAATAAGTATTGGCCAATATTCTCTTATCATTTTACTATCACAAGAAAAGAAAGATTATTTTGTATTTCAACTGTTTCAACTAGATTTATATCAAATTTAACTTTACCTAGATTGATACCAAACTTAGTTTCTTTGCAGAATTAAAACGTTTAATCAACATTAATAATAACTGGCTTATTTTATCAACAATCACTCCTTTCTGTTTTATTCCCTTGCTCAGAGATTATCATTACAGAAACTTATTGTTGTTGCCATTACCAATAAAGTCCTTAAAACTGATAAGTCCTTTCTAACCTTGATATGTTTTCTTTGGCCTAAGCTTGCAGATCAGTTTTGTAATGCCATTGGAGTATTGCAGCAATGTGGTCCTCCTGCCTCTTTCAATAATATTCAGACAGCAATTAACAAAGACCAGCCAGCTAACCCTACAGAAGGTAAACAGGTTTTCTTAGCTTCTCTTAGTTTGACTCTCACATTTTTTGTAATCCTTTAAAATTAGATTTCTTGAGAAATTCAGCTTATTTTATTTCTAAAATTATTGTTGTTTGAGAATATTACAAGTTTTGTTTGTTGTAAAAAATTTACAGTCAATTCACCTAACATCTCATAATTCTGGTTCATGTCAGATAATAGATTGTTACTCCTTTAGAGGAGAATTTGTATTAATTTAGCTGAGTGAGGGACCTTAACAAGGAAGGCATCCCATTTATAAATTTCTTTATTCAGGTGACCACTATATTGTCATAATAAATGAAATTACATACATTATGCTTAATTCCCAATTTGAGCTAAATGTGTAACAGGATTGGTGTATATTTTAATCATTAGAATCTTCTTTTTTTTTTTGAGACGGAGTCTCGCTCTGTCACCTAGGCTGGAGTGCAGTGATGCAATCTTGGCTCACTGCAACTTTCGCCTCCCGGGTTCAAGGAATTCTCCTGCCTCAGCCTCCTGAGTAGCTGGGATTACAGGCTCATGCCACCACGTCTGGCTAATTTTTGTATTTTTAGTAGAGATGGGGTTTCACCATGTTGGTCAGGCTGGTCTCAAACTCCTGACCTCGTGATCCGCCTGCCTTGGCCTCCCAAAGTGCTGGGATTACAGGCGTGAGCCACCACGCCTGGCCGAATCATTAGAATCTTAGGGCAGAAAAAGCTATATGAAGTTTCTGGTTTCATTAACTTAAAATTTGTTTCTGAAAACTTGAGGTTTTCTAATATCCTAATCTAGCAGTATCTTTCTCTAGAGTATGCCCAGCTTTTTGCAGCACTGATTGCACGAACAGCAAAAGACATTGATGTTTTGATAGATTCCTTACCCAGTGAAGAATCTACAGCTGCTTTACAGGTAAGCCTCTATTCCTTTGAGAATTTTACCAGTAATAGAGAATTTTGAATTAAAGGAGGTAGATTTAGTACCTTTTGTCTGTGTCCATTTGTGCTGCTATAACAACATACCTGAGACAGTAATTTATAAAGAACAGAAATTTATTTTCTCACAGTTCTGGAGTCTGGGAAGTCCAAGATCAAGGCATTTATTACTCACTGTGCATGAGTAATGAATTTTTATTAAACATGGTGCCATGTTTAGGGCCATGTTGAGGGCCTTCTTCCTGTTTCCTCACATGGCTGAAGGCAGAAGGGCAAAAGAGCAAGAGCTCCCTCTTCAACCTCAAGCCATATTTTAAGGGTACTAATTCCATCTATGAGATCTCTGCCTTCATGACTTAATATCCTCTTAAAGGCCCCTTCCCTCTTAATACCATCACATTGGGGATTAGATTTTAATGTATGAATTTTGGAGGGGATGCATTCAAATCATAGCACCTTTTGTTATAATATTCAAATTTCCATTATAAGGAAACCTCTTATTTTCCTCAATTTTGTCTCTTTTCCTAGTGAAGAATGAGAGGAGGGTGGCATTCTACAATTGGAGTAGAATAATGGTGTCTAAACGTAATGTGTAAGGGAGTCACTTAAAGATATCTAGAGATCTCTAATTGAAAAGTCATTCTTTTTAATAATTCACATGGGGAAAATTCTTAAAAGTTGTCTGATTTTTAGAATTTCTTTACTGAAAAACATATCACAATGATTGCAAAGTCATCCAGATTTAAAAATAAGTACATCTGTGACAGCTTCTCTTTCTAAACTCTAAAGATTTTAAAATTTGTGTCTTATAAAGGCTGCTAGCTTGTATAAGCTAGAAGAAGAAAACCATGAAGCTGCTACATGTCTGGAGGATGTTGTTTATCGAGGAGACATGCTTCTGGAGAAGATACAAAGCGCACTTGCTGATATTGCACAGTCACAGCTGAAGACAAGAAGTGGTACCCATAGCCAGTCTCTTCCAGACTCATAGCATCAGTGGATACCATGTGGCTGAGAAAAGAACTGTTTGAGTGCCATTAAGAATTCTGCATCAGACTTAGATACAAGCCTTACCAACAATTACAGAAACATTAAACACTATGACACATTACCTTTTTAGCTATTTTTAATAGTCTTCTATTTTCACTCTTGATAAGCTTATAAAATCATGATTGAATCAGCTTTAAAGCATCATACCATCATTTTTTAACTGAGTGAAATTATTAAGGCATGTAATACATTAATGAACATAATATAAGGAAACATATGTAAAATTCTGTTATGACATAATTTATGTCTCCATTTTGTTGTATTGGCCAGTACTTTTACAAATCAAAACATCTCTCAAGCCAAAGGAGAAGACAGTAAGAACAGACATAAGGGACATTTTAGTTTGGGCTAGTGTCCTGCCTCTTAGAGGTGGCATTGTGTAAATCTGAGCTTTGAGCAAGAAAGTTTTGGAAATTGTGTTGCTTTTAAGAAATAGAGTTAGTGTGGCTGGATAAGAAAGTCACATTTATGCAAATGTTTCTTCTGCTAGAACCTCATACCTGTTCTAGTTCATCTCCACGTTTATTTTACCAAGAGATCCTCTGTCAAGAGAATTTCCTGGCTGTTGTGAAAGAATTTTTCTACATCCTGAACTATTTTTCCTATTTCTTTTCACCTTGCTTTTTTTCATCCTTAATTTGCTTGTCATCACAATGAAGTATGTTTTTTGAATCATCAATTCTTTCTCATTCTCCATTTATCTGAAGGTTCTTTTGCCCTTATTAACCTCTCAACTTTTATTGCTGTATTCTAGTCAGACCAGAACATACTTCCACTACATCAGTTACTTGGCATCATTTCACCTCAGTTTATTATTGCCAAATAATAATTTGTGTCAGCATTTTCAACTATGGTTATTCATCCAACCCTTGGATCTCTTTGAGTCTACTGATAATCTCCACTGGAAAGGTGGAATTGAAATGTGGTCCACATTTTAACTAGCTATTTCCTGGGGCTGTATTTTTCAGAATATGCTGAGCTACATTTGCTGCAATCTGTTGCTATTCAGAGTTTAAGTTTCAGGAGAAAACAGGAACAATAGAACACTCTGCCTGTTATTTTTGTTGTAATCAAGCTTTTCCACAGTTCTTGAAAAGTACTATGTTTCAAATTTCAGGAACACCAGCGTTAGCTGTAAAAGTTGCAGCAATTTATTGGCTAGTCATAGAAAATTTTTGAACTTTTAACTGTATTTTAATTGATGTTTATTAAAAACACTTTGCTATCAGATATTTGGCATAAATCTGTACTCTTCATTATAGTTTTGGGGGGAGAGAAGATTCAGTCAGAAAACTTATTCAAAGTACCTAAGTATTATAAAGGAGTCAAAAAGGTACAAAGAGAAAAGGTCAAGACATTTTTCAAATGAGGGAAAACTAACAGGATTTATCACTAGTAAACCTGCTCTAAAAGAATTCAAGGGAAGCTTTTTAAAAAGAAGGGAAGTTATAGCAGAAGGAAACTTAGAATGGCAGGAATAAAGAAGGCATAATGTATAGGGTAAATATAATAGACTTCTCTTGAGGTTTTAAAAATTACATTTGTTATTTGAAAGAAAAAAATTAACGTTGTTGTATGTGATTCTCTGTAGAGGATATACAGTTTTTTTTTGTTGTTCTTGTTTCTGTTTTTTTAAGGTGAAGTCTCTGTCACCCAAGCTGAAGTGCAGTTCTGTGATCATGGCTCACTGCAGCTTCACCCTGGGTTCAGGTGATCCTCCCACTTCAGCCTCTTCAGTAACTGGGACTACAGGCATGTACTACCACGTCCAGCTAATTTTTTTTTTCTTTTTTTTTTAGAGATGGGGTCTCACTCTGTTGCCCAGGCTAATGCCAAACTGCTAACCTCAAGATATTAATACTATACAGTAGACTATAAGAAATTAAGTATTTGTATCATCCCTAGAGCGACACAGATTTTTCCCTAAAAAACTACAGATTATTTTCAAAAGCATTAATAAATTAAGGTGGAATACTAAAAAAGATTCAGGTAACCCAGGAACGAGAAACAGAATAAAACAATAGTAAACCTAAATTTTATTTTATTTCATTAATACAGCAATAATTAAATGTCAATGATCTAAGCTGATTTAAATCTAAAAACTGGATAAGAAGCTGTGGCTTGTAATTAAAAATAGACCTTTATTCACTAGACCTACAGTTTGCTTTTTTCATATGTTAAGAAAAGTTTAATATCCTGCTTCTCTATTTCAGTTCTAGGGGCACCACTATCAGTTAACCCTAAAGATTTCTGTGGGTGAAACCATTTTGATTACCATCTTGCTCTGCTGCCAGTTATGGTAACCAAACTCTCTTTGTTTCTGGATGCTAAATCTGTCCACTTGTGCCTTAACTACATCCTAACTCCCGTCATCTTCATTGAATTTAAGGAGCCAATTTCTTTTTTTGAGATGGAGTTTCACTCTTGTCCAGGCTGGAGTGCAATGGCACGATCTTGGCTCACCGCAACCTCAGCTTCTCGGGCTTAAGTGATTCTCCTGCCTCAGCCTCCCGAATAGCTGGGATTACAGGCAGGCACCACCATGCCTGGCTAATTTTGTATTTTTAGTAGAGACGGGGTTTCTCCATGTTGGTCAGGCTGGTCTCGAACTCCCAACCTTAGGTGATCCACCCGCCTCAGCCTCCCAAAGTGCTGGGATTACAGGCATGAGCCACTGCACCCGGCCAGGAGCCAATTTCAATGGGAGTATCCTTTACTATCATTCCTGACCTGTGATATTGGCCATTAGAGCCTTTCAAGAATGGTACCTCCTGCCGATGATTTTTTTTAAAGCCTTAATGAAGAGAGTGTCCTCTGGATCCTTCCAGAGAAGATAGGATGTGAGTGAGTAAGTTATGTATAATAATTTCACCCCAAAATTTCTATGTCCTTGATACCATTCCCTGTATACCAAGGAAGGGTATTCTGGCATTTCACTTTGATTTAATATAAGTAAACCCTGTGTCTGGGCATTAGTTAACAAACCAAGTGACTACAAGTGATAAGTAACTTTTACCATAGACTGTCAATTACCTTGGCAATGGAAACATTATTGCTTTTTAATCCAGTCAGATCAGAGAACAAATTCCAGATTTCCATCCTTAAGATTCTGTGTCTCTGCTACCACTTCTGGTAGCAAAACATGTCAGTGTGAGGTAGAGTCAATGGAATGTAGCCATGAAAAAAAAAATGCTACTACAAACATTACAGGAATAAGGAATTTGATCGAAGAATTAGCATTTACACAAAATATGGGAGGAGTTAGGGAAGTGAAAGAATGAAAGGAGAAAGAGGATAAAGAAAACACTAACCACATCACCCTAAAGCCCTTATTGCTAAATGAGGTTATTGTAGTGCCAGTTAAGTCCAGGTCAGCCAAGGCGTGCGTACCCCTTGGCCCCACTTGGAAAGCTGTGTGGATATGACTGTTGGATTAGGGGGTTCTCAAAGCCAAAATGGATTTATCAGCAATGACCTTACTGCCTGGTACCCAGCTTTGAGAGGACCAAAAACGACGGATGTGTCTTGCATTCCCTGGTCCCTCTTTCTTCTTTTACCCATATCTAAGTTGTTTAAAGGAGAAAAATCCTTAGGTTGAAGCCATATTCTCTCTATTCTTGAAGGACCACAGACTCTACGCCCCTGTTGAAATTTTCTGGAAGCCTATGGGAAAGGAGGAATGAAAAGCTTCGTGATGTCTTTGAATACAGGTGCCTAAGTTACTATCGTAACTGGTCCAGTAAGGAGAAGGGGTATCTGAATTTCAACTTGGGGGCTGGGCAAGGTAACCAGTGAGGTGGGGAGATAAATAGAACTTGGTAGCTAAGACCCTTCAGGTTGGCTTGATGATGCATTGTGATCATGGCTTCTACTTCAGATGTGTTGCTGGAATAGATATCCTTATACTTGTAATTCCCCTATACACAAATGCCAGCAAGAATAGTCCCATTGAGGACATGCTAAATGTAGAGAGGTAGTAGTATGACATGGAAAACACTCCCCAACTTGTCTCCCTGTCTCCTGCTTATGTGGTACATGGCCACTGACTACAGTATTAACCTTTACTTGAGCCCTGTGCTTCTGGAAAACAGTGACAGTTAAGAAATCCCTCCTTCTTGTTACATTTCAGGAAATGGCTTATTGCAAAGAACCACTAGAACTGTGAGTAACACCTTCATTTACCTATGATAAAGCCAGACTCAGACCCTCCAAATCCCATTCTTTGCCTCAAAATAATTAGTTGAACTATTTGTACCCATAGACTAATCTGGACAAAATGCCCTTTAACTTGACCCAATTTTATGCTTCTCCCTTCCCCGTAAGCCACTGGACTTTGATCCACCTTCAGCCTGAGCCAGCACTGGACTGTGGAATAGTCCCTCCTTTTCCCCTCCTGAAAATTGACTAGCCACCAGGAAGGACATTCCCTGCTCAGCTGTCCCATTAACGTCACCTGCTCCTCTCCTCCACGTTAGTTTTTTTCTAGCCTGTTTATTCCTCCCTGTAAGAGAAAAAGAGAAAAGCCTATTTCTATCTGATCTTTGAGATGCTTGCAGATCTTACCTTTGAAGCATTCTCCTTATTGCAATAGTCTCCCTGACCCTATTGCAATAGTTCCTCTCTCCCTGTTTGTATTCACCCATTCAGGCTGCTATATATAGCAAAATACCATAAGCTGATAGCTTATAGACAATATAAATTTACTTCCCACAGTTCTGAAGCCCGGGAAGTCAAAGATCAAAGTGCTGGCAGGTCTGGTGTCTGGTGGGGGCACCTTCTCACTGTCCTCACATGGTAGAAGAAGCAAGGGAAACTCTTGGGCCTCTTTAGAGGTACTAATCCCACTCATGAGGCCTTTACCTTCTTGACCTAGTCATTTTTCAAAGGCTCGACCCATCATCATTCGTATGTTAGGATTTCAACGTACAAATTTGTGGGGTTGGGAGGGATACAAGCATTCAGAGCATAGCACTATTTTAATAATCATTTCAAATAGAGTCATTCTATACCTAGTCTGGATTTTTGTTTGTTTTACTTGACCTCATTCACTTGGGTAGGAAAAAAATCTCATGGACTCTCATTGATAGCCCCAGGGGTAAGGTTGGGGCAAAAAGAGCAGAGGCACTCATTTACTGTGAGGTAAGAAATCTGTTTCAGATCACCTTGTGTGCAATTCAGGATAAAATTAATAAAGATGAATAGTAAAAATCCAATACTAAGAGATAAAACTCAGGAGTCAAAAGAAGAAATCAGAAAGATTAGAGCATAATTCAGAATGTAATGAAAACAAACTATGCATAGAAACTTGTGGTATTCGGCCAAGACAGCATGTAGGAGAAAATGCAAGTATTACCTTTCTTGCTTGTATTAGGATAAAAAGTTGAAAATTAACAAGCTAAGTATCTAACTGAAAGAGAAAGAAAGAAATAATAAAGGTAACAGCAGAAATTAAGAAAACAACCATACTGTAGAAAAAACAAAGCCCAAAGTTGAGATTCAAAAAGAGTATGGCTGAAAAAAGAGTTTTGACTATTGATTGAATGTATTTAAAATTTAAATGGTCCTTTAAATCCTTCAAACTTAATCCTTTAAACTTCAAAAAAAGTTTAAATTTGGCTAACGCAGTGACTCACACCTGTAGTCCCAGCACTTTGGGAGGCAAAGGTGGGTGGATCACCTGAGGTCAGGTGTTCAAGACCAGCCTGGCCAACATGGAGAAACCCCGTCTCTACTAAAAATACAAAAAATTAGCCAGGCATGGTGGTGGGCGCCTGTAATCCAATCCCAGCTACTCGGGAGGCTAAGGCAGGAGAATCGGTACAGCCTGGGAGGCGGAGGTTGCAGTGAGCCGAGATCACGCCATTGCACTCCAGCCTGGGCAACAAGGGCAAAACTCCGTCTCAAAAAAAAAGTTTAATACATAATTTAATAAATTTAAATAGATAAACAAGGTCTCACTCTTGTCTTCCAGGCTGCAGTGCAGTGACACAATCACAGTTCATTGCAGTGTTGACCTCCTGGGCTCAAGCTATCCTCCCACCTCAGCCTCCCGAGTAGCTGGGATGGCAGGCTTATTCCACCAGCTAATTTTTGTATTTTTAGTAGAGATGGGGTTTTGCAGTGTTGCCCAGGCTTATCTCAAACTCCTGGGCTCAACCGATCTGCCCATTTCGACCTCCCAAAGTGCTGGGATTACATGCATGAGCCACCACACCCGATTTGACTCAATAGTCAAAACTCTTTTTTGGAAACGGAGTTTCGCGCTTGTCGCCCGGGCTGGAGTGCGGTGGCGTGATCTCGGCTCACTGCAACCTCCGTCTCCCGGGTCCAAGTGCTTCTTATGCCTCAGCCTCCTGAGTAGCTGGGATTACAGGCACCTGTCACCACGCCTGGCTAATTTTTGTATTTTTCGTAGAGACAGGGTTTTACCATGTTTACCAGGCTAGTCTTGAATTCCTGACCTTAGGTGCTCCGCCTGCCCCTGGCCTCCCTAAGTGCTGGGATTACAGGCGTGAGCAACTGCGCCCAGCTGTCAAAACTCTTAATTAGCCCGGTTTGGTAGTGCATGCCTGAAGTTCCAGCTACTCAGTTGGGAGGATCGCTTAAGCCTGGGAGGTACAGGCTGCGGTGAGCCATGATCATGACACCACACACCAGCCTGGTGACAGACTTGTTGACAGACCCTGTCTCAAACAAAATAAAAACAACAGGCAGTAATAAAACCTTCTAGCCACCAAGCCTAGAGAGTTTTATTAATGAGAATAGTGAGTTGTGAGTTTTGCTAAATATGCGGTTTCTTTGAATTCCAGTTTTATACAGAAAGTATAAAGCTCTTGTCAAAATTTTACAGTAACAGTACCAAAATTAAAAATAACTAAATCTCTTTTTTTTTTTTTGGATTAAGGTGATTTGTTATTTCTTTTTTTTTTAATTATACTTTAAGTTTTAGGGTACATGTGCACAATGTGCAGGTTAGTTACATATGTATACATGTGCCATGCTGGTGTGCTGCACCCGTTAACTCGTCATTTAGCATTAGGTATATCTCCTAATGCTATCCCTCCCCCCTCCCCCCACCCCACAACAGTCCCCAGAGTGTGATGTTCCCCTTCCTGTGTCCATGTGTTCTCACTGTTGAATTCCCATCTATGAGTGAGAACATGCGGTGTTTGGTTTTTTGTCCTTGCCATAGTTTGCTGAGAATGATGATTTCCAATTTCATCCATGTCCCTACAAAGGACATGAACTCATCATTGTTTATGGCTGCATAGTATTCCATGGTGTATATGTGCCACATTTTCTTAATCCAGTCTATCATTGTTGGACATTTGGGTTAGTTCCAAGTCTTTGCTATTGTGAATAGTGCCGCAATAGACATACGTGTGCATGTGTCTTTATAGCAGCATGATTTATAGTCCTTTGGGTGTATACCCAGTAGTGGGATGGCTGGGTCAAATGGTATTTGTAGTTCTAGATCCCTGAGGAATCACCACACTGACTTCCACAATGGTTAAACTAGTTTACAGTCCCACCAATAGTGTAAAACTATTCCTATTTCTCAACATCCTCTCCAGCACCTGTTGTTTCCTGACTTCTTAATGATTGCCATTCTAACTGGTGTGAGATGATATCCCATTGTGGTTTTGATTTGCATTTCTCTGATGGCCAGTGATGATGAGCATTTTTTCAGTGTCTTTTGGCTGCATAAATGTCTTCTTTTGAGAAGTGTCTGTTCATATCCTTTGCCCACTTTTTGATGGGGTTGTTTGGTTTTTTCTTGTAAATTTGTTGGAGTTCACTGTAGATTCTGGATATTAGCCCTTTGTCAGATGAGTAGGTTGCGAAAATTTTCTCCCATTCTGTAGGTTGCCTGTTCACCCTGATGGTAGTTTCTTTTGCTGTGCAGAAGCTCTTTAGTTTAATTAGATCCCATTTGTCAATTTTGGCTTTTATTGCCATTGCTTTTGGTGTTTCAGACATGAAGTCCTTGCCCATGCCTATGTCCTGAATGGTAATGTCTAGGTTTTCTTCTAGGGTTTTTATGGTTTTAGGTCTAACGTTTAAGTCTTTAATCCATCTTGAATTAATTTTTGTATAAGCTGTAAAGAAGGGATCCAGTTTCAGCTTTCTACATATGGCTAGCCAGTTTTCCCAGCACCGTTTATTAAATAGGGAATCCTTTCCCCATTGCTTGTTTTTCTCAGGTTTGTCAAAGATCAGATAGTTGTAGATATGTGGCGTTATTTCTGAGGCCTCTGTTCTGTTCCATTGATTTATATCTCTGTTTTGGTACCAGTACCATGCTGTTTTGGTTACTGTAGCCTTGTAGTATAGTTTGAAGTCAGGTAGTGTGATGCCTCCAGCTTTGTTCTTTTGGCTTAGGATTGACTTGGAGATGTGGGTTCCTTTTTGGTTCCATATGAACTTTAAAGTAGTTTTTTTCCAATTCTGTGAAGAAAGGCATTGGTAGCTTGATGGGGATGGCATTGAATCTATAAATTACCTTGGGCAGTATGGCCATTTTCACAATATTGATTCTTCCTACCGATGAGCATGGAATGTTCTTCCATTTGTTTGTATCCTCTTTTATTTCCTTGAGCAGTGGTTTGTAGTTCTTCTTGAAGAGGTCCTTCACGTCCCTTGTAAGTTGGATTCCTAAGTATTTTATTCTCTTTGAAGCAATTGTGAATGGGAGTTCACTCATGATTTGGCTCTCTGTTTGTCTGTTATCGGTGTATAAGAATGCTTGTGATTTTTGTACATTGATTTTGTATCCTGAGACTTTGCTGAAGTTGCTTATCAGCTTAAGGAGATTTTGGGCTGAGACAATGGGGTTTTCTATACATACAGTCATGTCGTCTGCAAACAGGGACAATTTGACTTCCTCTTTTCCTAATTGAATACCCTTTATTTCCTTATCCTGCCTAATTGCCCTGGCCAGAACTTCCAACACTATGTTGAATAGGAGTGGTGAGAGAGGGCATCCCTGTCTTGTGCCAGTTTTCAAAGGGAATGCTTCCAGTTTTTGCCCATTCAGTAAACATGGAAAAATAGCAAATTAGAGACAGTGGGTATTAACAATTGCATATATCACAATAAATGTATGTTTAATCTCAGGAATGCATGGCAGTTCTGTCTTTAGAAAATGTATTTTTTGTATTTTTATCAATTTAGAGATGCCCTTTTAAAAAAACATATTACAAATTGGAATATTCAAAGGGCAGCTGTTTTATTTTCTTCCTTGCTGAAACATAAAATAATGACGTGTTTTAAAATTTATAGAATCTTTGATTTGATCAAATATGGTAATGTAATTTGCCATTCTAACAGATCAAAATCAGAATCAGTATGATCATCTATCTTGATTTGCGAGAAGCATTTGATAATATTCAAAATCCATTTATGAAAAAACTCTTGGCAGAGGAGAAACAGCAAAGAATTTTTAAAATATAAAGGGTATGTACAAAACTGTAGTAACCATCTTACTGAAAGATCAAACTTGTTCCCTTTCAGCTTGGGAATAAGACAGAGCTTCCTATTAAGACCACCACATCTACTCATCTTTAAGCTGGTGATTCTCACCAACACATCTAAGCATGAAAGAAATAAAAATTATAAGATAAAAAGGAAAGAAAACTCTCAGTACTTAAAGATGATATAATTACATAGAAAATCAAGAAGATTCCATGGATAGGCTTCCCAAAAAACAATATGTAACATACCAGCAACAAATGGTAAGAAAAACACGTTGTTTTTTTTTTAAAGTACATTTTCAGTGACATTAAATAATAAGGATTCAGGAATACAACGAATATAACAAAAATGTAAGATATCTAGGGATGCGTATAACAAAAAAATTATAAAGCTTCATTTAAAACATTTTTAAACAAAATAAGTAGAAAGTAATACCATCTTTATGGAACAGAGTCAGTATTATAAATGTGTCAGTTTTCTTCAACTGGTCCATAGACAACACAATTTTAACTAAGATTCCAATTGGGATTTCTGTGGAACTTGATGAGTTAGGGCCAAAAGTAATCAAGATATTCATGAGGAAGGATAACAGAATGGCAAAACTTGCTTTAATAATTTGTGCAGGGATAGACAAATACTGTACACCAGTCTCTCAATAGGGAGATCAAAACCAAATTCACACAGACATGAAAAGTTGATTTATGACAGATGATGTTGCAGTCCCTGGGGAAAGAATGGAAATGGTGCTAGAATAATTGGTTTCTATATGTATTTCTATATATTTATATGCCATTACATTAAAGTCAATGCCTATGGAGTTTGGGAGGAGTGATCAAAATGTTCTGGAATTAGATGTGATGTTTGCACAACTCTGTGAATGTACTAAGAACCACTGAATTGTATATTTTTAAAGCATGGTATGTGAATAATACCTCAATAAAGCTGTTATAAAAAATATTTTAAAAATCCCAGCACTTTGGGAGGCTGAGGCGGGCGGATCATGAGGTCAGGAGTTCAAGACCAGCCTGACCAACATGTTGAAACCCCATCTCTATTAAAAGTACAAAAATTAGCCAGACGTGGTGGCACGTGCCTGTAATCTAAGCTACTCAGGTGGCTGAGGCAGGAAAATCGCTTGATCCCTGGAGGCGGAGGCTGCCGTGAGCCGAGATGATGCGCCTGGCACTCCATCCAGCCTGGGCAACAGAGCGAGATTCCATCTCAAAAAAAAAAAAAAAGTAAAAAATCAATGACGGCCAGGCGCAGTGGCTCACACCTGTAATCCCAGCACTTTGGGAAGCCGAGGTGGCAGATCACCTGAGGTCAGGAGTTCGAGACCAGCCTGACCAACATGGAGAAACCCCGTCTCTACTAAAAGTACAAAATTAGCCGGGTGTGGTGGTGCATGCCTGTAATCCCAGCTACTGGCGAGGCTGAAGCAGGATAATCACTTGAACCCGGGAGGCGGCGGTTGTGGTGAGCCAAGAACGCGCCATTGCCCTCCAGCCTGGGCAACAAGAGCGAAATTCCATCTCAAAAAAAAAAAAAAAAAAATCAATGCCAGACAGACTGAAAACTTAACATGCAAAGGGCAAGTATTGAAGACCAAACAGATAGCAATATTTCACCACAAGAGGGCAGTTTGACCCTGAACTTTGGTGTGTGTTTGTTTTGAGATGGAGTCTTGCTCTGTTGCCCAGGCTGG
The DNA here is from genome assembly GCF_000001405.40 of Homo sapiens. Lineage (NCBI taxonomy): Eukaryota > Metazoa > Chordata > Mammalia > Primates > Hominidae > Homo > Homo sapiens. The sequence continues at coordinate 27,039,700 of NC_000012.12, forward strand.
AGTGCAGTGGCGTGATCTTGGCTCACTGCAACCCTCCACCTCCCGGATTCAAGTGATTACCCTGCCTCAGCCTCCCGAGTAGCTGGGACTACAGGCACGTGCCACCATGAACGACTAATTTTTTGTGTTTTTAGTAGAGACGGGGTTTCACCGTGTTAGCCAGGATGGCCTTGATCTCCTGACCTTGTGATCTGCCCACCTCAGCTTCCCAAAGTGCTGGGATTACAGGCGTGAACTTTGATTTTATACAGGAAGTGGTTGGAGGAAATGGTTGGAAAGGATGTTTCGTGACTCAAAAGACTACTGGGGATTAACTAGCTTGATAGCAGTGGCCACAAGTTAAGATTACCCTGGAATCCAGTCAAAGCTGGTGTTATGATTCTAGTTTGAGCTAGTATCTTCCTGGAGCCAGTAACATGAATATGATGACCAAATGTTTATTTCGTCTGAAAACAAAAGATTATGGACACAACTTCGTGGTATGTGTCCATTTAGGCCCACCGTAAAGAAGTGAAGCACTGGCATCAACCACAAAGAAAGTTATGTGAGCACTTTCTCTGGATGATAAATTATCTTCTATGTGCATGTGCATGTGTTGTGTATGTTGACAGGTCACACATCAGAAACTGCCACTTCATAGCCGAAGGATAGTCCTATATGGAAACGCAATATGAAAGTGTGATTAATAATATAGGCTTTTGTGCCTCCTGGCCCCGGCATTGCCACTGAATTGTGTGACTTTGGGCAAGTTACCTATGTTTCAGTGCAACTGTAAAATGAGGATAATATTAGTAATTACCTCATGGTATTTTTTTTCTTCTTTTTTTTAATTATACTTTAAGTTCTAGGGTACATGTGCACAACGTGCAGGTTTGTTACATATGTATACATATGCCATGTTGGTGTTCTGCACCCATTAACTCGTCATTTACATTAGGTATATCTCTTAATGCTATCCCTCCCCCATCCCCCCACCCCACGACAGGCCCCAGTGTGTGATGTTTCCCTTCCTGTGTCCAAGTGTTCTCCTTGTTCAATTCCCACCTATGAGTGAGAACATGCAGTGTTTGGTTTTCTGTCCTTGCGATAATTTGCTCAGAATGTTGGTTTCCAGCTTCATCCATGTCCCTACAAAGGACATGAACTCATCCTTTTTTATGGCTGCATAGTATTCCATGGTGTATATGTGCCACATTTTCTTAATCCAGTCTATCACTGATGGACATTTGGGTTGGTTCCAAGTCTTTGCTATTGTGAATAGTGCCGCAATAAACATACGTGTGCATGTGTCTTTATAGCAGCATGATTTATAATCCTTTGGGTATATACCCAGTAATGGAATGGCTGGGTCAAATGGTATTTCTAGTTCTAGATCCCTGAGGAATCACCACACTGTCTTCCACAATGGTTGAACTAGTTTACAGTCCCACCAACAGTGTAAAAGTATTCCTGTTTCTCCACTTCCTCTCCAGCACCTGTTGTTTCCTGACTTTTTAATGATTGCCATTCTAACGGGTGTGAGATAAACTTCTCCGAGCTAAAAGAGGAAGTTCGAACCCATCAGAAAGAAGCTAAAAACCTTGAAAAAAGATTAGATGAATGGCTAACTGGAATAACCAGTGTAGAGAAGTCCTTAAATGATCTGATGGAGCTGAAAATGATGGCACGAGAACTACGTGACAAATGCACAAGCTTCAGTAGCCGATTTGATCAACTGGAAGAAAGGGTATCAGTGATTGAAGATCAAACGAATGAAATGAAGTGAGAAGAGAAGTTTAGAGAAAAAAGAGTAAAAAGAAATGAATAAAGCCTCCAAGAAATATGGGAGTATGTGAAAAGACCAAATCTATGTCTGATTAGTGTACCTGAAAGTGATGGGAGGAATGGAACCAAGTTGGAAAACACTCTGCAGGATATTATCCAAGAGAATTTCCCCAACCTAGCAAGGCAGGCCAACATTCAAATTCAGGAAATACAGAGAACACCACAAAAATACTCCTCAAGAAGAGCAACTCCAAGACACATAATTGTGAGATTCACCAAAGTTGAAATGAAGGAAAAAATGTTAAGGGCAGCCAGAGAGAAAGGTCGGGTTACCCACAAAGGGAAGCCCGTCAAACTAACAGCAGATCTCTCGGCAGAAACTCTACAAGCCAGAAGAGAGTGGGGGCCAATATTCAACATTCTTAAACAAAAGAATTTTCAACCCAGAATTTTACATCCAGCCAAACTAAGCTTCATAAGTGAAGGAAAAATAAAATCCTTTACTGACAAGCAAATCTGAGAGACTTTGTCACCACCAGGCCTGCCCTACAAGAGCTCCTGAAGGAAGCACTAAACATAGAAAGGAACAACCAGTACCAGCCACTGCAAAAACATGCCAAAATGTAAAGACCATCAATGCTAGAAAGAAACTGCATTAACTAACGAGCAAAGTAACCAGCTAACATCATAATGACAGGATCAAATTCCCACATAACAGTATTAACCTTAAATGTAAATGGGCTAAATGCTCCAATTAAAAGACACAGACTGGCAAATTGGATAAAGAGTCAAGACCCATCAGTGTGCTGTATTCAGGAGACCCATCTCATGTGCAGAGGCACACATAGGCTCAAAATAAAGGGAGGGAGGAAGATCTACCAAGCAAATGGAAAACAAAAAAAGGTAGGGGTTGCAATCCTATCTCTGATAAAACAGAATATAAACCAACAAAGATGAAAAGAGACAAGGCCATTATATAATGGTAAATGGATCAATTCAACAAGAAGAGCTAACTATCCTAAATATATATGCACCCAATACAGGAGCACCCAGATTCATAAAGCAAGTCCTTGGAGACTTACAAAGAGACTTAGACTCCCACACAATAATAATGGGAGACTTTAACACCCCACTGTCAACATTAGACAGATCAAGGAGACAGAAGGTTAACAAGGATATCCAGGACTTCACCTCTGCACCAAGGGGACCTAATAGACATCTACAGAACTCTCCACCACAAATCAACAGAATATACATTCTTCTCAGCACCACATTGCACTTATTCCAAAATTGAGCACATAGTTGGAAGTAAAGCACTCCTCAGCAAATGCAGAAGAACAGAAATAACAAACTGTCTCTCAGACCACAGTGCAATCAAATTAGAACTCAGGATTAAGAAACTCACTCAAAACCACTCAACTACATGGAAACTGAACAACCTGCTCCTGAATGACTACTGGGTACATAACGAAATGAAGGCAGAAATAAAGGTGTTTTTTGAAACCAATGAGAACAAAGACACAACGTACCAGAATCTCTGGGACACATTTCAAGCAGTGTGTAGAGGGAAATTTATAGCACTAAATGCCCACAAGAGAAAGCAGGAAAGATCTAAAATTGACACCCTAACATCACAATTAAAAGAACTAGAGAAGCAAGAGCAAACACATTCAAAAGCTAGCAGAAGGCAAGAAATAACTAAGATCAGAGCAGAACTGAAGGAAATAGAAACACAAAAAACCCTTCAAAAAATCAATGAATCCAGGAGCTGGTTTTTTGAAAAGATCAACAAAATTGATAGACCACTAGCAAGTCTAATAAAGAAGAAAAGAGAGAAGAATCAAACAGATGCAATAAAAAATGATAAAGGGGATATCACCACCGATCCCACAGAAATACAAACTACCATCAGAGAATACTGTAAATACCTCTGTGCAAATAAACTAGAAAATCTAGAAGAAATGGATAAATTCCTGCACACATACACCCTCCCAAGACTAAATCAGGAAGAAGTTGAATCCCTGAATAGACCAATAACAGGCTCTGAAATTGAGGCAATAATTAATAGCCTACCAATCAAAAAAAGACCTCATGGTATTTTTATGGAATGTAAATCAGTTTATAGATGAGCAGGAGTCTAGTATCATCCTTTAAGACATATCTGGTTTTTATAGGGTCAGACCGGTGAATTAAGTAGGCACTTGATGGGGATCACAGTGCCTGCAACTTTTGGGTCTTTAAGGATGACTTTAACGTCTACCATAGTCCCAGGCAATATTGTTTTTAATTTACAATATAATTTTTTTACATTTTTACAATTATTTATAATATTTGTCTTTTATGTACAATATTGTCAATGCCGTATTCTTTTAAAATTTACTATATTGGCTGAGACAGGATGAGAGGGACAGTTTCAGAGTCTCCACTTGGCTTTCCCCACTTCCGTAGCTCTTACACCATTGGTTAAGAAACCAGTGTGGGGGTTGTGCTAACTACAAAGTCAGTGACCAGGGAAATAATCACTGATGGGTCATGAAACCAGTGAACCTACTGTGAGTGGGATCTTTGCAAGGACCCCATGTATCATCTGGCAACCATAACCCTTTTCCCCAACAAGGTGGCCATGATAATGCCCCTTTGAATTAATTCTGCATTAATTCTTAGGTATTAATGTCAAAACAGACTCTGCCACCAACAAACTCCTCAAAATGCCTTGGCTTGTCTCTTTCCCTTGTATACAGTAACCTGAGTAAATGGCCACAGGTCTCTTTGGGATAGGTATGAGAGAATCATTGTAAACACTTGCATTATAGGGTTTTTCTCACGCAAGATCCTCATTGTTGTTCAGTCATTGGGTTCTGAATCTGAAAAAGGTCTCAAGTTCTGAAACAGGGAAGACATCATGACTTTTTGTTGGGAAGTGCTCTCAGGATTTTAGTCATCTATCTTTGTTGTGTATCATATGGCATGTACTCTTTGTGTCTGGCTTCTTTCATTAAGTACAATGATTTTGAGATTTACACAGATTGTTAGTGCATCGATCTTTTTATTTTTGAATAGCATCCCATTTAATTGATTCCATTGATTGCAATGCTGCCTGTCTCTCTTGCCCTTAGGGACTCATGTTCTCTTAATCTTCATAGCTCTCCGAGGGTCGGAAACTCCATTACTTGCTACTCAGACTTTGCTGTTATTACAGTAATTAAGCCTATTTTGGTTCTGATGGTTTAGATTTGCCACCAGGCACCTTTTGTTTGGGGATCCTGTTATTCCCATTGCCATCATGTAGCGTAGTTTGGTACCAACATCAACCATCAGACTTAGCCACTGGTGTCTAGAACCAGCTCTCACAAGATGGATTTATTCTCATCAACTCTCACAAGATTGTTACATTTTTTGAAGTTTTATGAACCAGTTGTTACCCAAGATGTTGAATGTAATATGACAGGAGAATGATCCATCCTTATGTCGATATACTCTCCCTTATCCAACATTATTCTCCTTGACTGCATTTTCATGTTCCAGTCTCATGTGTATTTTCTCAGCTCTTGCCAGTACATCTTAACTAGGACCTGCAGCGCCTTTTCCTCCATAACAGACCCAGCACCCCCAAGCTGTGTTATATCATGATTGATCCTAATTTTTTATTGGGTAGCCAGAATGTGAGGTGGGGGTTGCATTACTCTGTTCTCACATTGCTATAAAGAAATACCTGCGATTAGGTAATTGATAAAAGAGGTTTAATTGGCTCACGTTTCTGCAGGCTGTACAGGAAGCACAGTGCTAACAAGTGCTTGGCTTCTGGGGAGGCCTCAGGAAACTTACAACCATGGCAGAAGGTGAAGGGGGAGCAGGCATATCACATGGCCAGAGCAGGAGCAAGAAAATGAGGGGGAGATGCTTTTAAATGACCAGATCTTACAAGAGCTCACTCACTGTTGTGATGACAGTACCAAGACGATGGTGCTAAGCCATTCATGAGAAATCTGCCACCATGATCCAATCACCTCTGACCATGGCCTACCTCCAACATTGGGGATTTTTTATATGAGATTTGGGTGGGGACACACATCCAAAGTATATCAGGTGTGTATCCTGGGCAGAGGTGGGTGGGTGGGGGGTGGCATTTATCTTGCAAAGTAGAGGACTTGGCATCATCTTCCAGGAAATGGGTAGAGCTAACCTTTAAGAGAGGGAGAGGAGAAGGCTGCTTGTGCCAGCCCGGAGGAATCAGGGGAAGTGCGATTCAAGATTTTCAGCATATTAACCAAGAGGACCCATTCCAAGTCTTAAGATCACAGTCCTTCCCATCAATACCCTCCCTGACCTTGATGAAGCCAACTTGCCTGAGTTGAGAATCATATATTTCTAGAGCTTGTTCACTACTCTTGGAATTAAAGGCTGAATCTGATCCTCAGTTTTTTCTGCCTCCAGACTACAAGAGATGAGCATCTGCTGCCAAAGAGGCCTTCTAGCTTTCACACTTTGCCTTCAGTCGATGATTAATACCCTTAGCCTTTCATTTCCCCCCCAAAGTATTCATTGATAGCATTTAGCAATGATCATATTCCACTTTTTTTGTTTACAGATTTATTGAAGTTTAATTGATGACAATAAACTACATATGTGTTTGTATGTATGTGTGTGCAGTGCACAATTTGCTAAGTTTTTGTTTGTTTTTGTTTTTGAGACAGGGTCTCGCTTTGCCACACAGGCTGGAGTGCAATGGCACAGTCATAGCTCACTGCAACCTCAGCCTTCCACATTTGGTAAGTTTTGACATGTATCTATGAAACCATTATCAAAATCAAGACAACAAACATTTCATCAACCCCAAAAGTTTCCTCCTGCTCCTTTTAGTTTTATCCTTCCTTCTATCCCCAGGTAACTCCTGATTTGCTTTCTGATAGGTTAGTTTGCATTTTCTAGAATTTTATATAAATGGAATAATACAGCATGTATTCTTTTTTTTTTTTGGTCTGGCTACTTTCATTAAGTATAATGATTTTGAGATTTATGTATCTCGTTGGTGTATCAATCTTTTTATTGTTGAATAGTGTATCCCATTTAATAGATCTATCAAATGTGTTTATCCATTGATCTGTTGATGGACATTTGGGCTATTTCCAGGTTTGGGCTATTATGAATAAAGCTGCTATGAATATTCATATACAAGTCTTTGTGTGGACATGTTCCCATATTTCTTGAATAAATATGTAGAAGTGGAATGGCTGGGATATTTGGCAAAAGTGTTTTAAGTTTTCAAGAAAGTGCCCATCTATTTTCCAGTCATTGTACTCTTTTGCATTCTCATCAGCAGTGTAGGAGAGTTCCAGCTGCCCCACACCTTCACCAGCAGTGGGCAAAGTCTTTTAACTTTAGCCATTCTAGTGGGTGTATAATGGTAACTCATTGTAGTTTTTTCATTTCATTTTTAAATTGAGGTACAATTGACATGCAATGAACTGCACCTATTTAAACTGTACAATTTGATGAGTTTGACATATGTATATACCAATGAAACCAACACAATCAAGATGATAAATATATTCATCACCCTCAAAAGTTTTCTCATACCCCTATGAAATTCTATCTTCTCTCCCCTCCTTGCTCCTGATTCCCTACCCCAGATAACCACTAATCTTCCTTCTGTCATTAGTTTGCATTTTCTAGAGTTTTATACAAGTGGAATCTACAGTATGTACTTTATATGTATCAATAGGTCATACCTTTTTGTTACTTACATCTTTGTTACTGTGACATATTTCACTGTATGGCTAAACCATTATTAGTTTACCTGTTGACAGACATTTGGGTTGTTTCTAATTTTTGCCAAACACAAATAAAGTGGCTATGAACATTTACATACAAGTATTTGTATGGACTTAAGCTTTAATTTCTCTTAGGTAAATACCTAAGGAGTAGAATGGCTGGATCATATAATAGGTGTATATAGTATTTAACTTTTTTTTATAACACTGTAAAACTGTTTCATAGTGGTTGTATGGAAATAAAAATGAGAAACAAAATAAAACAAATGTATACCAAAACATGTTTAATGTTTCACCTTCAAGAAAAGGGAGCACTTTACAATGAGTGAGAAAATATATATCCACATTTTGAAAAAAACTCCAAGATAAAAGGCATTTTGACAACAGATATTTGGAAATATTTCCATCGTTACAAGAGTTTATTGTCAAAAATGATGTATGTCCATCTATAAAACTCTCCTATCTGTTGCTAAAACAAATTTATCTGCTCTATTTTTAAATATTTTCAAAAAGTTAGTTTTAAACCTATTTGTTTAAAATATGAAAATGCAAAACCTTTTATTGCTTCCAAGAGTAATTTATTGACATCGAAGAAAATATAAATTTATTACTTAAACAAAAATCTTCCTTTTTAGCTCCTCTTTTTTGTTTTGTTTTTATAACTGGACAGATAATAATTGTACATATTCATGGGGTACATAGCGATGTTTCAATACATATACTGTAGTGATTAGATCAGGGTAATTAACATATCTTTTTAATTGGTGAATGGAGTGAAAAATTAATACTCTGATTTAGTAAGTGAAGCTAACTCTTCCATTTGAATCCATACTTCTCTGCAGGATCTTTTTTAGCTTTGAGAGCCATTAACACCAAATATTGAAGTAAACTAAACTTATAACCAGACCATCATATCATTTTATCTCATAAAATGAAGCAAGTATTCCTGTCACTTCTGGGAACACAACTGAACAGTATTGTTTACTAGTGAAAAAAAATTGAGTTTTCAAGTGAAAATTGGAATTTTGGAAAACTTGTATCCTCCCTATGAGCTTGACAGCTTCCCAATATTTAGAGACTTTTATGATATATTTATGGTGAGACCAGTGATAATATTAACAATTGTTATTTTTGAAATATTGCTTAATGAAACCCATCAATACCAACCCAAATTTTATAAAAACAAAGCATATTTAAAAACATTTCTTGGGAGGGCATGGTGGCTCATGCCTATAATCCCAGCACTTTGGGAGGCCGAGGCAGGCAGATTACTTGAGGCCAGAAGTTCAAGACCACCCTGGCCAACATGGTGAAACCTCCATCTCTACTTAAACAAAAAAACAGAATTCTTGCAATATAGGTGACCCTCATAAATCACATAACTCTTCTGAGAGTAAAAGAGGTGCATTTTTTGTTAGAGTTATCCAGACTTTTTACATTAATTATATTTATATTTTTCAGATCCCAAATTGGCAAAAGTTGGAGAATTTTTCTTAAATTACAATTTTCTTCTGCCAGAGCCAAAAATGTAAGAAAACTCCTAGATACCATGGTTATATCCATAATCTTAAAATTATTGTTCTCAGCACAATGAAGAAATTATTGAGAACAAGTCCCTTCCAAAGAAAAAAAAATCCAATAAGAGATTAAATATGTATTGTAATTTTAGAAGACAGTTAAGTTGCATCCTCACATAGAATGCTCTCTCAGACACTGGCTTATTCTAAATGCGTCAGCAAGTAATCAAAGAGTACAGTAAATGCCTATTCTTCCTTAGAACACTGCTGGAACAGATTTCCCCCTAACCCTGGCTAAGGCTCTCTTTATTTATTAGATGGATTAAACTTAATTCCCTTGATTTGTACTTATTCTAATAACAGTTGATCCATAGGAATTCAGAAAGGCTTTTTCAGACTTGAGATTTAAGTGCAATGTCAGCTTTTTTTGTTTTTTTTTCTTTTTTCAGTTTGGCTAAAGCAAAGCAAGGGAATTGTTGCCAAGTAGAGCACACTATGCAGAACCTGGGACATATAGGATGACTCAGCATTGCATTTTAGTCTCATGACTTTGCTGGGAATCAGATGCAGCTATCGAGAATACCAGTAGCATTGGCTTTAGGTTTAGTAGCCATGAGTTGAGTTTAGGAAAGGCAGAATCTTACTAAGCAAACTCCTGATTATTGCTGCAAGAACTTCTTGGTCAAAGCATTCTTGACAAATCATCCTTGAAAAACTCTTTACTATATGGAAAACGTAAAGAACAATGGGTGAGAGCACAGGCTCTGGGTTTGAACCTTGGCTATACCACCACTTACACATCATGTGACCGTGGTTAAGTCCCATCATCACTCTGTGTCTCAGTTACCATATATACAAAATAACAATAACATACTGCTAAATACTTACTAAATCCTTTACATTTATTATGAATATAAACCACATGATCCTATGTGGCTTATATTAATAATAAATATAAAGGATTTAGTCTGGTACTAAATGACCAGTAAATGTTATTTATAATTGGTTTATTTTATTATTTATTTATTTAGACAGAGTTTCACTCCCATTGCCTAGGCTGGAGTGCAGTGGCACTCAGGTGATTCTCCTGCCTCAGCCTCCCAAGTAGCAGGGACCACAGGTACACCACCATGCCCAGCTAATTTTTTTTTTTTTTTTTTGAGATGGAGTCTCACTCTGTCACCAGGCTGGAGTGCAGTGGCATGATCTCGGCTCACTGCAACCTCCACCTCCTGGGTTCAAGCAATTCTCCTGCCTCAGCCTCCCAAGTAGCTGGGACTACAGGCGTGCGCCACCATGTTCAGCTAATTTTTGTATTTTTAGTAGAGACGGGGTTTCACCATATTGTCCAGGATGGTCTCAATCTCTTGATCTTGTGATCTGCCCACCTTGGCCTCCCAAAGTGCTGGGATAATAGGCGTGAGCCACCACACCTGGCCTGCTAATTTTTAATATTTTTTGTAGACACACGGTTTCACCATGTTGCCCAGGCTGCTCTTGAACTCCTGAGCTCAAGTGATCTGCCTGCCTTGGCCTCCCAAAGTGCGGAGATTACAGGTGTGAGTCACCATGCCAGACCAGTTTGCTTTATTTCTTAAGCCTCACAACATCCCTGTAGTTATTGTGGGGTAGGTATCTGCTATGGTTTGAATGTCCACTCCAAAAGTCATGTTGAAATTTAATTGCCATTGTAACAGTACTAAGAGGTGGAACCTTTAAGAGGTGATTAGGCCATGAGAGCTCTCATAAATGTATTAACGACATTATTGTGGGAGTGGGTTCATTATTGCAGGACAGGGTTCCTCATAAAAGGACGAGTTTGGCACCCCATTTGTTTCTCTCTGACTCTCAAGGTCTCTTGCTTTTCCACCTTCTGCTATGGGATGTCATAACAAGAAGACCTTCATCAGATGCTGGTACCTTGATCTTGAACTTTCCCACCTGCAGAAGTATGAGGACATAAATTTCTATTCCCTTAAAATTACCCAGTCTGTAGTATTCTGTTATAGCAGCACAAATCAGACTAAGACAGTATCCCTAAGGGTAAATTGAGTTTATTTCTGAGAGTAAACTGAGGCTCAGAAGTTAATTGTCCATTGACCCAGAGCCTGTGTGTGGCAGTTCCTGTGATTCCAAACAAGGCACTTCCCAATATGTCATTCTAAATCTACAAATTTCATTTATGTCTTGTAAGTGTAGAAATCAGAAACATCATACAAGCTCAGTCTCTTACGTGGTCTTAGACTTCGCCAAATTAAGAAGATTTATAGAATTAATAAATAAGTGTATGAGGCTGGGCGCAATGGCTCATGCCTGTAATCCCAGCACTTTGGGAGGCCGAGGTGGGTGGATCACCTGAGGTCAGGAGTTTGAGACCAGCCTGGCCAACATGGCAAAACCCTGTCTCCACTAAAAATACAAAAATTAGCCAGTAGTGGTGGTGCATGCCTGTAGTCCCAGCTACTCAGGAGGCTGAGGCAGGAGAATTGCTTGAACCCGGGAAGCGGAGGTTGCAGTGAGCCAAGATCCCACCACTGCACTCCAGTCTGGGCAACAGAACGAGACTCTGTCTCAAAAAAAAAAAATAAATTAATTAAAAAGTGTGTGATATTGAACTTTGACTCTTCTTGAACAAAGCCTGCATTATTTAATTGTTGAGTTTATTTAATTTTCTGTTGACTATATTTTGTTTTGTTGCCTTAATATGATAATAGGACAGAGACAGTATTGTAGAGAGTTCAGCACAGTGGCCTGAAAAATTGAGGATACTAGAAAAGTTCTTTTATATATTAATCTATCCAGCAGATATTTATTGCAGCCCCTATTGTATGCAGGCACTGCTGTGATACAGCAATGGATACATCAGACAAGGTTCTTGCTCTTATAGAAATGACATTATAGAGAGAGGAGAAGAACATTTATTCCATCAATAAATACATAAAAAAGACAATTTCAGATAGTGTAAGTAACAGCTAAGAAAACAATAAAACAGGATGATTGGATACAGGAGATGGGAAGAGATGGTGAGAAGTGGGGAAGGCTTAGATATAGTTAAATGGAAAGGCTTGTCTTTGGAGGTGGCATATGAGCTCAGTACTTCTTTTTTTTGAGTCAGAGTCTCCCTCTGTTGCCCAGGCTGGAGTGCAGTGGCACGATCTTGGCTCTCTGCAACCTCTGCCTCCTGGGTTCAAGCGATTCTCATGCCTCAGCTGGGATTACAGGCGTGTGCCACCATGCCCAGGTAATTTTTGTATTTTTTTGTAGAGACAGGGTTTCGCCGTGTTGACCAGCCTGGTCTCGAACTCCTGACCGCAAATGATCAGCCCACCTCAGCCTCCCAAAGTGCTGGGATTACAGGCATGAGCCACTGCACCTGGCCCTCAATACTTTGATCATTAGAGGAAACCACTGAGCAAAGAACCAGGACTCATTCAGTGGGAACAGCAAGTGCAAAGACTCTAAGGAACAAGCTTGGCACTTCCTTGAAATAAGAAGAAAAACTAATTATAAATAATGAAACTAAAAATCCTTACAAGGCCTTTTTTGTCCATTTAAAAACAATACAGGCTTTTAATCACCAAATGCATCAGTCATCTTTATTTACCTTCTAGAAAAAAGGATAGGAGTGGCTGAGGTGTACATTTCCTTTGAAGTATTTTGAAGGAAAAAACTGGTTTCAGCTTGTTGATTCTTATTGCAGTGCCAAAATATGTGCTAGTCTTTCTTCAGTGGATATTTGAGAACCAAAATTTTTATGCTTAGGATTGTCGGTACATCTGTGCAACATTAGTTTCTTTTAAGACACTTTACCAAGAACCTGGAATTCAGTATCCTAATTTATAAATCTGATTTCTTTTTTTTAACTTTTAAGTATGGGGTATATGTACAGGTTTGTTACATGGGTAAACTTGTGTCATGGGAGTTTGTTGTACAGATTATTTTGTCACCTAGGTATTAAGCCTTGTACCCATTAGTTATTTTTTCTGATCCTCTCCCTCCTCCCACCCTCCACCCTTCACCCTCCTGCAGGCCCTAGTATCTATTGTCGCCCTCTCTGTGTCCATGTGTTCACATCACTTAGTTCCCACGTATAAGTGAGAATGTGGTATTTGACATTTTGTTCCTGTGTTAGTTTGCTAAGGATAATGACCTTCAGCTCCATTCACATTCCTACAAAGGGCATGATCTTGTTCTTTTTAATGGTTGCATAGTATTCCATGGTGTATATGTACCACATTTTCTTTGTCCAGTCTACCATCCATGGGCATTTTGGTTGATTTCATGTCTTTGCTGTTATTAATAGTGCTGCCTTGAATGTACGCATGCATATGTCTTTATGATAGGACAATTTGTCCTCTGGGTATATACCCATCAATGGGATTGCTGGGTCAAATGGCAGTTTGGTTTTAGGTTTTTTGAGGAATCGCCACACTGCTTTCCACAATGGTTGAACTAATTTACACTCCTACCAACAGTGAGTAAGTGCTCCTTTTTCTCTGCAACCTCACCAGCACCTGTTGTTTTTTTGACTTTTTAGTAAAAGCCATTCAGACTGGTGTGAGATGGTATCTCCTTGTGGGTTTGATTTGCATTTTTCTATTGATTAGTGACGTTGAGCTTTTTTTCATATGCTTATTGGCTGCACATATGTCTTCTTTTGAAAAGTGTCTGCCCATGTCCTTTACCCACTTTTTAATGGAGTTGTTTTTTTCTTATAAACATAAATCTGATCTTTAAGTGCACAATTGTCCACACCCATGAAAATATAGAAATTTATGCCCACTTTTTCTCCCTTCCCATTCTTTCCTCACTCCATGTGTTATTCAGAAGTTTCTCTTTTTTCCTTCTTACTCTCTTATATATACACACACACTCAGATAATACCACACGAATACCCATTGTGTACATTTTTCTAAATGTTTATATAAAATGTCCAGAATAGGCAACCCTATAGAGTTAGAAAATTAGTTTAGTGGTTACCTAGGACTGGGGGTATGGGGGAATTGAATATGATAGCTAAGGGCTGCAGGATTTCTTTTTGTGGCAATGAAAATGTGAAAGCAATTGAGGTGATGGATGCACAACTTTTTGAATAGACTAAAAGCCATTGAATTGTATACTGTAAATGGGTGAATTACATGATATACGTATTATATTTCAATAAAGTTGTTGAAAAAGCTAATAGAAAGCCAGGCACAGCCCAGGCGCCATGGCTCATACTTGTAATCCTAGCCTTTTGGGAGGCCAAGGTGGGCAGATGCCAGGAGTTCAAGACCAGCCTGGCCAACATGGTGAAACCCCATCTCTACTAAAAATACAAAAATTAGCAGGGCATGGTGGCACTTGCCTATAATCCCAGCTGCTTGGGAGGCTGAGGCATGAGAATTGCTTGAACCTGGCAGGCAGAGGTTGCAGTGAGCCAAGATCATGCCGCTGCATTCCAGCCTAGGTGTCAGAGCAAGATTCTGTCTCAAAAAAAGAAAAAAAAATGAAGCCAGGCACTGTGGCACACACCTGTAGTTCTAATAGCTGATGGAGGAGAAAAATGAAATAACAATAGTTTGATACAAAACAAGGCACAAAGGGTGAAATAAAGGAATAAAAAACAGATGGGACAAACGAGTAGAAAGATGGTACACTTAAACCCAAGCATTTTTGATAATTACATTTAACTAGACTGAAGATTCTCCTTGAAAATATATACATTGAAATGCAAAGGGCCAAGAAATAACAAGATTGACTTTGAAACTATAATAACTAAGACTGTATAATATTGGTTCAAGAATAGACACACAGATTAGTGGAACAGAATGCTGATCCTGGGACAGATCTGCATGAAAAGAGTCACATGATTTATAAGAAAGACACCACTACAATTCAGCAGGGGAAAGGATGGTCTTTTCAATAAATGGTGCCAGGTCCACTGGGTTTCAATATGGAAAAAAATTAACCCTCATTCCTACTGCATACTATAAAAAATTAATTCGAGATGGTCAAATACCTAGATGTAGGTTTAGACCAGTCCAAATAAAGCTCTGGAAGAAAATATAAGAAAATATCTTCATGACCTTAGTGTACAGAAAAATATCATAAGCAGGACAGAAATGTACTATCTGTAATAGAAAAGACTGATAAATTATACTTCAGTAAAATTAAGAACTTCAGGCTGGGTGTGTTGGCTCAAACCTGAAATCCCAACACTTTAGGAGGCCAAGGTGG
The DNA here is from genome assembly GCF_000001405.40 of Homo sapiens. Lineage (NCBI taxonomy): Eukaryota > Metazoa > Chordata > Mammalia > Primates > Hominidae > Homo > Homo sapiens. Next base: position 27,054,971 of record NC_000012.12, read on the forward strand.
GCGGATAGCTTGAGCCCAGGAGGTCAAGACCCAGCCTGGGCAACATGGCAAGACTCCATCTGTACAAAACATTTAAAAAAAATTAGCCAGGTGTGGTGGCACATGCCTGTAGTCCTAGCTATTCAGGAGGCTGAGGTGGGAGATTAGCTTGAGCCCAGGAGGTCGAGGCTACAGTGAGCCATGATTGGGCCACTGCACTTCAGCCTGGGTGACAGAGTGAGACCCTGTCTCAAGGAAAAAATAAAGAACTTCTATTTATCAAAAGACAGAATTAATTGAGTGGAAAAGCAATGGACTGAGCGAAGATAGTTATAGACATAGATATATATTTTTGAGATAGAGTCTTGCTCTATTGCCCAGGCTGGAGTGCAGTGGCAGTCTCAGCTCACTGCAACCTCTGCCTCCTGGGTTCAAGCAATTCTTGTGCCTCAGCCTCCTGAATAGCTGGGATTGCAGTCGCACCACCACACCCACTAATTTTTGTATTTTCATTTGAGATGCAGTTTTGCCATGTTGGCCAGGCTGGTCTCGAACTCCTGGCCTCAAGTGGTCTGCCCACCTCGGCTTTCCAAACTGCTGGGATTACAGGTGTGAGCCACTGTGCCTGGCCTTGAGAGAAAATATCTTTAATACATATATCCAATAAAAAACTCATACATAGACTATGCAAGGGGACTCCAAAACTTCATGAAAAATGGAATTAAAAGATAAAACATAAACTTCGTTTCTCAACATACTTTATCAGGCTCAAGATACTTTTGTAAGCAGTGATACCAGCCATTCAGTCCACCCCTAAAGAACTGAGGATCCTGGGAATTTAACCATGTCAATGCAGTCTTTTTTACATTATCAACTGAAGAAAAATTGGTGCCCTTTAAAGATTTTTTTGAGGCAAAAAGAAGTAAGAAGGAGCTAAATCAGGATTGTAAGGTAGACGTATAATGAGTTCTCATCAAAATGCTCACAAATGTCCCTTGACTGATGAGAGGAATGAGCAGGAGCATTGTCGTGGTGGAGAAGAACTCTCTGGTGAAGCTTTCCAGGCATTTTTCTGCTAACTGGCTAACTTTCTCAAAACCCTGATAATAAGCATTGTCATAATATTGTCATTTTTTTTTTGAGACAAAGTCTCACTCTGTCGCCCAGGCTAATGTGCAGTGGCGTGATCTCATCTCACTGCAACGTCCGCCTCTCAGATTGAAGCGATTATCCTGCCTCAGCCTCTCAAGTAGCTGGGATTACAGGCATTGAGCCACCATGCCTGGCAATATTGTCATTCTTTGGTCCTTCAGAAAGTCAATAAGCAAAGTGCATTGAGCATCCCCCAAAAATGTTGCCATCACCTTTGCTCGTTTTTTTTTGTTTTTTGTTTTTTTTTCTGAGACAGGGTTTTGCTCTGTCACCCAGGCTGGAGTGCAGTGGCGCGATCACGGCTCACTGCAGCCTCAACCTCCTGGGCTCAAGCGATCCTCTCACCTCAGCCACCCAAGTAGCTGGGACTATAGCCACATACCACCATGGCTGGCTAATTTTTAAGTTTTTTTATAGAGACAAGGTCTTACTATGTTGTCAGGCTTGTCTGGAATTTCTGAGAAGTGATCCTCCTGCCTTGGTCTCCCAAAGTGCTAGGATTACAGATATGAGCCACTGTGCTCAGCCCTCCTTTACTCTTGACCAGTCCACTTTTGCTTTGACTGGACCACTTTCACCTCTTGGTAGCTATTGCTTTGATTGTGCTTTGTCTTCAGGATTGTACTGGTAAACGATGTTTCATCTCCTATTACAATTCTTCGATTAAATGTTTTAGGATCTTGATCCTACTTGTTTAAAATTTCCATTGAAAGCTCTGCTCTTGTCTGCAGCTGATCTGGGCACAATGGTTCTGGCACCCATCCAGTGGAAAGTTTGTTCAACTTTAATTTTTTAGTCAGAATTGTGTTAGCTGAACCAATTGAGATATCTGTAGTGTTGGCTATTGTTTCTGCTGTTAATTGTCAGTCCTCTTCAATTAGGGCGTGAAGAAAATTACATTTTTTCTTGCAAATTGATGTGAATGGTGTGTTGTCGCAGGCTTCATCTTCAATATCACCTCATCCCTCCTAAAATGAGTTATCCATTTGTAGGCTGCTAATGTCTTTGAAGCATTGTACCCATAAACTTTTTGTAAAACATCAATAGTTTCACTGTTCTTCCACTTAAGCTTCACCATAAATTTCATGTCTTGTTATTTCTTCAATTTTAGCTGAATTCATGTTGCTCTGATAAGGGCTCTTTTCAAATTGATGTCTTATCCTTCTTAGGACTTTAAACTAGATCCTGTTCAGACATGCTATATTAAGTTTAGTATGAGTTTATTTTGGTGCAAAAACAAATAAATCCATGCATAGTTTTTTTTCATAATACACATTTTCCATGAACTTTTCAAAGGCTCCTCCTGTAAGAAACTCCTGCAAATTAATGATAAAAAGACAGACAACTCAATATTCTTAAACGAGTAGAAGTGTGTACCTCAAAGAAAGAGAATATCCATACGGCCACTAAATGTAAAACATGTTTGTTCATCATGCTTAGGTATCAAGAAGCCAAATATAAGCCATAATGAAATACCACTATACCTCCACCAGAATGTCAACACCAAGTTTTGGTGAGGATACAGAGCAAATGGAACTCTCATACGTTGCTCATGGGAATGCAAATTTGTACACCACTTTGGAAAAATTTTTGGCAGTATCTACAAAGCCAAACATACACAAACTCGTTGAACCAGCAATTCCACTCTTGAGTATGAACACTACAGAAGTGAGTGCTTATATCCACCAAAAGACATGGATGAATGTGTTCATAGCAATTACAGTAATGGCCCTAACCTGATAAAAATTCAAATGTTCATCGTGAGTCAAATGAATAAATAAATTGTGAATGAATGATAGTGATATAATAATGATACAGAAATAAAAATGAACAAACCACATTCAACAACATAGATGAACTCACACACAAAATATTGAAAGAAGATAGACATAAAAATAATATATTGTATGATTTCATTTGTATGTAGTTCAAAAACAAGTAGAACTAATCTGTGGTAAAATTCAGATAGTCATCATTTTTAATGAAGTATTGATGGAATGGCAGGAGGAAGCTTTGTGGAATGCTGGAAATGTCTGTATCTTTAGTTGATGCTTATGTAAAAATTCATTAAACTGTATATGTAAGATTTATGCACCTTACTCTGCATATAAGTTATCTCAAGAATAAATAAATGGGTTGGTTGAGAGTTATATCCATATATCAGTAGACAGAATGATGGTGAATAAAATAAGCTTGATATTTGATTTTATAGGTATCAATAAGAATTCTTGGGTGGAACATGTATATGGAATATAGAATTTAAGTGAAACTTTGGTTAAAAATATGTAATATGCTGGGTGTGGTGGCTCACACCTGTAATCCCAGCACTTTTGGAGGCCAAGACAGGCAGATTGTTTGAGCTCAGAAGTTTGAAACCAGCCTGGGCAACATGACAAAACCCTGTCTCTACTAAAAATACAATGGTATTTGTATTTTTATATTAGGGAAGCATCTTTTAAAAAGTAATTAATTAATTAATTAATTAATTAATTAAAAAGGTCTTGCTGCATTGCCCAGGCTGGTCCTGAACTCCTGGTCTCAAGTGATCCTCCCAGCTACTCAGGAGGCTGATGTGGGAGGACTGCTTGAGCCCAGGAGGTTGAGGCTGCAGTGAGCCATGATCGCGGTACTCCAGCCTGGGCAACAGAGTGAGACTTGTCTCAAAAAAAAAAAAAGGTAATATAATGTGAATAATAATAGTAGTATAGTAGTCAAAGTGCCTATTTGCAGAAAAAACAACTAGAAAACAAAAGTGAAGGAGATTTGGGCTATTTGCATTTCCTAAATAAATTATGTCATACAGAATATCATCATCATAAAAGTCAATAGGTTTTCTGGGGAGAAAGTACCATGTTTGTATATTTCAGTGTCTAGTCAGAACAATATAAATAACTCTAGGTATTTCCCAAAATATGGTGTACAAAATACTGTAGTCATACAACATGTTAATATGTTTTCTTGGGGGAAAATACCATGTTTGTATATTTAAGTGATCTATCAGAACAACAGAAACCACTCTAGGTATTTCTAACACTGAGCCATTAACACAGCGGGTAGTTTGCAAAAGTGTTAGTGGAGCTGAAGAGACAAAAAGGTGAATGGATGCTACCCAGATATCAGTAAGTACTGGAAGCTGCCAACTCCCAAGGCTGGAGGAGCAAAAGGGAAAGGAACATTGCTCAGATCCCATGAGTGCTGTGCTGCTGAGACTTCTAACACCACACTGCCACTGCTGTTTTGCAGGAAGCTAGGAATTCCAGTGATCGCACAGGATTCTGGGAGCCACAGTCCCATTTTTGCTGAACTCCTGGCCTCAAGAGATCCTCCTGCCTCGGCCTCCCAAAGTGCCAGGATTACGGGTATGAGCCAGTGTGCCCAGCCTACATCTACCTCTTTACTTCTGGATTTCTCAAAACCTTTCATATGCTACTGTGTTCAAAAGAGAGTTATAGTTGATGGCACTTCTCATTTTATATGATTGAAGACGTATTATTTTCCCCCACAGAACACATTTGTAACATCTGATAAGACCTCAGACTAGAATAAAAACAGAAACAAACAAAAATGCTATTGTTGTTGGAGTATAATAAGGACATAGAACAGCAGATTATATAAAAAAATGCTTCCTTATCTGAGTGGCTCACACCTGTAATTGGAGCACTTTGGGAGGCCGAGGTGAGAGGATCACTTGAACCCTGTTCAGGACCAGTCTGGGCAATGCAGCAAGACCTTGTCTACAAAAACTTTTCAAATTAATTAATTATTTTTAAAAAGATGCTCTCCTAACATAAATTATAAACATTTCAGAGGGGCAAGTAAAAGTGGCATGTAAGAATCCAAATATACCAACATTCTGAAAACTAATTATCTTAAAGGGATACTATTGACAAATTCTTACATTTTTTTCTTTCTTTCTTTTTTTTTGGAGACAGATTCTTACTCTTTTCCCAGGCTGGAGTGCAGTGGCATGATCGCAGCTCACTGCAGCCTCCACCTCCTGGGTTCCAGAGACCCTCCTGCCTCAGCCTCTCGAGTAGCTGGGACTACAGGCGCCTGCCACCACACCCGGCTAATTTTTGTATTTTTAATAGAGACGGGGTTTCGCCATGTTGGCCAGGCTGGTCTCAAACTCCTGACCTCAGGTGATCTGCCAGTCTTGGGCTCCCAAAGTGCTGGGATTACAGGCGTGAGCCACCTTGTGCAGCTAAAATTCTTGCATTTTTTGAGTCTTGTGTTAATGGTCATTTATTATTTTGGTAGCTCATTATATGACCACCTTCCTCTTTGGGAGAGTCACAAGGGGAAATATAAGGAATGCCAGTCTCTGTTTACTACATGGAAGCTGCAGGGGAATGATAGTCTTTCTCCTTTTTTTTTTTTAGACAGAGTCTTGCTCTGTCTTCTAGAGTGCAGTGGCACGACTTTGGCTCACTGCAACCTCCGCCTCCTGGCTTCAAGCCATTCTCCTGCCTCAGCCTCCTGAGTAGCTGGGATTATAGGCAACTGACACCACACCTGGCAAATTTTTGTATTTTTAGTAGAGATGGGGTTTCACCATGTTGGTCGGGCAGGTCTTGAACTCCTGATCTTATGCAGTCCACCTGCGTTGGCCTCCCAAAGTGCTGGGATTACAGGCACGAGCCACCCTGCCTGGCCCAGCCTTTCTCCTTAATTCTGGTAGCTAGAGCATGGACTGTAACATGAGTACAGTTACTTTATCTACAGAGACATTGTAAGTTCAGAGGCCTGAGAGTTAGCATCCAGAGGCAGCAGACACCAGCAGCACAGCTGTTTCTCCCGCAGGATCATTGCCAGCAGAACATCCTACACCAATGGCTCTTTGGGCAGGATCTTGGCTGTGCTTTGTCTGTCTAGCTTCATGCCTAAGTTTGGTAAGTTTTCTTGCTTATTGTGCAACCTTTAACCCTTCCCCAAATTATTTTTCTCCTTAACGGAGCCAGATTTATTTTCTGTTGTTTGCAACCAATAACTCTAACTAAAACATTCTTAGAAAGTAGAGAAAACCAAAATGGCAAATAATATTCAAAAATTTTTTTCTAACCAACAAGAAAGAAAAGATTGGTTATATGGGAGAAAGTTACTATGAAATAATAGCATTCTAACAGAATGTATAGGTTTAAAAAAGCAGATTTATAAAGATTCAGAAAAACACTATATGATATGGTTTGGCTGTGTCCCACCCAAATCTCATCTTGAATTGTAGCTTGCATAATTCCCACATGTTGTGGGAAGGGCCTGGTGGGAGATAATTGAATCATGGGGGCAGCTTCCCCCACACTGTTCTTGTGGTAGTGAATAAGTCTCATGAGATCTGATGGCTTTATAAGGGGTTTCCCCTTTCTCTTGGCTCTCTCATTCTTTCTTGCCTGCTGCCATGTAAGACGTGCCTTTGCTTCTCATTTGCCTTCCACCATGATCATGAGGCCTCCTCAACCATGTGGAACTGTGAGTCCATTAAACCTCTTTCCTTTATAAATTACCCAGCCTTGGGTATGCCTTTATTAGCAGCGTGAGAACAGATGAATACAGCGTATGTAACAGAAAAAAGGGAAAAATTATAAAATGATATCTGACTGTATAAATGTGAATAGTCCCAAAGAAAAGGAAGTAGGGGAGATATGTAAAGAGACTGGGATGGCTGCAATAAGGTGCTCTGTAAACTGCCCTGATATACAATGAGTAGAAGAATGAAAAGAGAATGTGTCCCAATTTAAATGTGTCTGTAAGGAGAAGGTAGGTATTATGGTCTCCATCTTGATCTCATCTTCAGGGATGATGTACTCATTCCCAAGCTGCTGGAAGTGCTGGCTCATAGGTTCATCCTTCATTTGAAACTGCCCTTGGCTGCAGGGGACCACCTTGATCCAAGATTACAATGCCTCCCAGGTGTGGCTCATGCAAGGATAAAAAAATCCTGGCCCCGGCTGGGGTGGTGGCTCACGCCTGTAATCCCAGCATTTTGGGAGGCTGAGGTGGGCAGATCATGAGGTCAGGAGATCGACACCATCCTGGCTAACACGGTGAAACCCCGTCTCTACTAAAAATACAAAAAAATTAGCCAGGTGTGGTGGCAGGTGCCTGTAGTCCCAGCTACTCGGGAGGCTGAGGCAGGAGAATGTAATGAACCTGGGAGGCGGAGCTTGCAGTGAGCCGAGATCGCACCACTGCACTCCAGCCTGGGCAACAGAGCGAGACTCATCTCAAAAAAAAAAAAAAAAAAAAAAAAAAAAATATATATATATATATATATATATATATATTATATTATATTATATATATATATATAATATTATATATATATATATTATATATATAATATTATATATATATTATATTATATATATATAATATTATATATATATATTATATTATATATATATATTATATTATATATATATATTATATATATATCACACACACACACACATATATATATATACACATATATATATACACACACATATATATATATGTGTGTGTGTGTGTGTGTGTGTGTATATCCTGGCTCCTTTCCCCAATTTGGGATAACTCTAAAGAACCACTCTAGCCCCAGGGCAACCTGTAGGATCAGCTAGGCCTCAGTTAAAACCACTCCTCCCACTTCTCCATCTGCCTCATCCTCCCTTGTTTTCTGCCTTACAGGTGTCTCTTCCCAGATCACTCTCCAATGAACCTTTTGCATGAAACTGCTCATCTAAGAAACTTTTTTTTTTTTTTTTTTTTTTTTTTTTGAGACGGAGTCTCGCTCTGTCGCCCAGGCTGGAGTGCAGTGGCGGGATCTCGGCTCACTGCAAGCTCCGCCTCCCGGGTTCACGCCATTCTCCTGCCTCAGCCTCCCAAGTAGCTGGGACTACAGGCGCCCGCCGCTACGCCCGGCTAATTTTTTGTATTTTTAGTAGAGACGGGGTTTCACCGTTTTAGCCGGGATGGTCTCGATCTCCTGACCTCGTGATCCGCCCGCCTCGGCCTCCCAAAGTGCTGGGATTACAGGCGTGAGCCACCGCGCCCGGCCTCAGAAACTTTTTAAGACAAAGATACAAAGATTGAAGTCCAAAATAAATGTAAACTTGTAAATCTTCTTCCCTTCTCCTCCTCCTCCTCTTTCTTCTTCTTCTTCTCCTTCTTCCTCCTGTGTTCCTCCTCCTCTTCCTCCTCTCCTCCTTCTTTCTTCTTTCTCCTTTTCTTCTTTCTCTTCCTTCTTCTTTCTTCTCCTTCTCTCTTCTTCTTTCTCCTTCTTCTTTCTTCTTCCTCCTCCTCCTCCTTCTTCTTCCCCCTTCTTTCTTCTCCTTCTCTTCTTCTTCCTCTTCCTCCTTCTCCTCCTTCTTCCTCTTCCTCTTCTTCTTCCTTCTCCTCTTCTTCTTCCTTCTTCCTCTTCTTCCTTCCTCCTCCTCCTTCTTCTTCCTCTTCTTATTCTTCTTTCTTCTTCCTCTTCTCCTTCTCCTTCTTCCTTCTTTTTCTTCTGCTTCCTTCTTCCTCCTCCTCCTCCTGCTGCTGCTTCTGCTGCTTCTTCTTTTTCTTCTTCTTCCTCTTCTTCTTCCTTCTTCTTCTTCCTCCTTCTACTTCTTCCTTCTTCTTTTTCTTCTCTCCCTCCCTTCCCTCCTCTTTCTTTCTTTCTTTCATTCTTTATGTTTCTTTCTTTTTCCTTCCATCCTTCCTTCCCTCTTTCTTTTCTTTTCTTTTCTTTCTATCTTTTCTTTCAAAGTGTGCTCTTGCTATGTTGCCTGGGCTGGACTCAAACTCTAGGCTCAAGTGATTCTCCCACCTCAGCCTGCCAAGGTTGTACTCCAACAGTAGTCTTTCGTTTGTTCTTAGTGGGCCATCACGTACAGCTACTTTTACTTATACTTACTTTTTAGTATGATGAAAACTCAAAAAATATAATGGTTCATGTTTATAAATATTTTTTGTATTCAGTCCTGGCAGGGCCAAATAATTAGAGCTCTGTGCTGAGGGAGGGATTGAATATACTCAGTGCTTCTTAGTCAATGTGAATTTCTCTGGAGCACATTTAGGCAATGCTTATTTTCTCATAATGCTCCCCCAATCTTCCCCCTTTTTTTCATTTTACATATTGTTTTGAATTGGATTTCATAGAACATAGGTATTTTTTTCTTCCTTTTAAACTGTTCTATTTTCTCCTTTCTTATTCCTAGCCAAGAGCCCTGATCCAGGTGAAGTGTGTAAACCTTGCACGTGGAATTCCCAGCAAAGAAGCTGTAGGGATCGGGATAGGGCCTGGGAAGTGTCTGACTTACAGAAACCCACCATGTCTTGTTCTCTGCTGGAGACCTCTGCTTCTCCATCTTGTGAACATCCACAGGCCCCCTGCACCGTAATCTTGCCCTCTTACTGTTGACTCAGTCCTCATGGAAGTGTAAGTGCCCTTCCTTCTGTTCATGATGTTCCAGGGCAGGAGATGAGGGGGCTGAGTAGGGAAGAAGAGAAGGCCCAGCTCCTGTCTGCTCAGACCTGGGCTGACCTCTGCCCTGGGGCTCAGGCTGGGACTTGTATTTTACCATAAAGGCCCTATAACAAGTGGTGGTTGGATTTTGGTGTTAGTCAGCTGTGTTGTGGACTGACTGGGATTTTCTGCACTAGCTTTTAATCTAATTGTTACTTGGTTACATCGATTGTTTCAGCTCTTTCATAAGCAGCTTAAGGAACCACTTCCCCAAATAATCTTGGGTCTAAGTCTGAAACAGATGAAAGTGAAATCGCTGTGCCCATGGCTGCACATCCACTCACTTCTGCCTCTGCTCTCTGAAGCATCTTAGGGTGGGAGTCCTAGGAGCTCACTTTGAAAACTGCTCATTAACATGACTGTTTACTTTCAGAGCACACCCTAGTCTTAAAATTGAGCTTGCCTGTTTGTATATAATAAATTGCTTAAAACTTGCTGGGATTGGTGTGTATATATGGGCCATATATGAAGCCAGTGGTAGGAGAAAGCAGAATGGACAGATACTTACCTGATGTGATTTAATGGGGTGTTGAGAAATTCCATGATGAAAATCCACACCCCCATTCATTCCTGAAGTTCCATAGTCAGTAATGCATTTTATTTCACTGTTAAGCAACTGCCTTTTGTGAAGCTTTTTTTTTTAAATAAAAATATCCTCATGAAGGATATCCATTAAGTTGTTGTAACCTTGGAGTTGATCCTTTTGCTTCCTTACTTGATTAAACATCCGGGGTTAATGAATCCTCAAAAGGACAAATGGAAGGAAACAGCCACATCCGTACGTCATAATTTTGTCTAGGACTGGCCCTGACTCTGTATGCATTTGTAAAACACATGTGGCAATATCTCTTGTATTTAACTTGGAGACACCTTGCTTTCTCCTTTGGGTGCAGGTAGTTCTGAGGTATTTGAAGAGAGAGCATCTCAAAAGGAAATTTTACTCTTCTTAAATATTCTTTTAGTACCAAAATATATTTTATTACTGTATCATGGTGAAGATGTATGTGCCCATATATACTAATGGGGATTTTCCCATAAGCATGACTTATTTAAAAGAGATAAGAGAATCAGAAACTCAATTCAGAAACAATATATGTATTTCTACATATTGTCTACAACTTGTTCCTGTTGGATAACAAAATAATAAATTGTGGGCATTTCTTATTTTTTAAATCTTAACAACAAAATATTGCAAAACCACGGTTCATTCATTTACTCAGCAAACATTCATAGCGTACCTACCATGCGCTACTTGGTTTCAGCAGAAAAAATCAGTCATCAGGGAATATTTGAGGTTGTCCAGTAACTGAGGAAGGAAGGCAGAGAAGGGTGGAGTGCTAGATGGGGAAGAATGGAAGAAGGAGGATAGGAGAGAAAGGATGGATGGAAGTCAGTCCTTAACACATGTTTTGTTGTTTTTAATTACACTCATGTTACCTAGTTTGATGTTCTTTGTTAATATAATAATTAGCCATTTGGTGCTTTTATTTTTTCTGGTGTGCTATAATTTGAAATCAGTTTTAACTTGTTTTTGTATTTGTTTCTTTTTAGTATAAAAGAACTTGTGTGGATTAGCTTGCTAAATACATCCAAGATTTGAAGAACTGAAAACAAAATCAGTATTAAACCTGCTTTTTAAAAATGTAAGTGAAGTAACTTCTGGCCATGGTTCATTTCAGACCTCTCTAAAGCCTGCAATTACCTCTCAGTGTATGTGAATTTTTTTCCAGGAGTAAAGTTACTTGACTCTAGTGAGTCTACTCATTAAGTCTAGGAGTGTTTGTATCTGCTCGCCCTTTTAAAACCTGTAAATTCTAAGAGTAGTATGAATAACATAGGTGGCTGTAGGATTTAGACGTGGTGTGGCAGACAGTGAGCAAATCTTCATTTGGCACTGAGAAGGAAAACACAGACTTGGTAGAACATAAAATAAAAAGCACAGCCCTATTCTCAAGTCCTTCATCACTCTTCACCTCACAGACCATTTCACTGCCTTATCTACACCAGCGAGAATTGCTAGTTGACCCATTAATGACCCAGTAGGCTTAGAATATGAGGTGTTGGTTTCTCACAGGCATATTTACCCACTTTCTCCCTATTTCTCTTGCTCAGTAATAATAACTACTATTTATTGAGCTTCTACCAAGTGACAGGCATTTGATTAATTTGATTCCATGTTCATTCTACAAATAGTGTTTCTGAATGCTTGCCGTGTACCAGGCATGGCCCTGACACTACTTATTACCTTATCTTCAAGGCACCCTTGCAGGGTAACAGTTAACACTTCCGTGGTCTGGATGAGGATACGAGAGAGGTAAGGAGCGTGCTGACGGTCACCTAGCCAGTGAATGTGAACTGTCTGACTTTCTCTGATTTGCCATATCCTTAAACGTGTTTAGATGCTCTTCCTGGCATGGATGTAAATAAGAGATTGGAACCTCCTGGATTGTGTTCATAAGAGGAATGTGATCCTCATCCTTCTAAACTTTGTCTGGAGTCACAGAAAGCAAGGAAGTTAGAGAAACATCCTGTCACACAGCTTTGGTACCTGTGTGGGGAGCTAAGAGATCTGATGTCCAGTTCCTTCCAGTCCTTTAATGAATTTCCTCTGTGTCCATGAGCTATCTAACATCCATGGGAAACAGTTGATCTTATGCCAACCAAGGGGCATGGACCAGATGCTCTCAAGAGTCTCTCAGTCAGCTCTTTGCTGAGGGACCTTATGCATGGAGGAAAGTGCACACATCGCTAAGTGGATAGCTTGATGGAATAGTTGTTACAAAATGGACACACTTCTGCAATCAGCACCTTGATTAGTAGAAAATTACCAGCACCCCAGAGCCCTCCTCCCCTCATGCTCCAGGAGCAACCGGTATGCTGCCTTGTGATGCCTTTGTTTAGTTTGTTTTTATGAATAGAATCATACAGTGAATATTCTTTTGTGTCTAGCTTGTTTTACTTATTATGTTTGTGAGATCTACAATATTGTATACAATACTTTTTTTGCATTCTCTTTGCTCTAATGCTATTCAATTGTATAGCGATTTTACAGTTGCTGGACATTTACGTAGTCTCTTGCTTGGGCATATTACTAATAGTGCTCCTATGAATGTGTTGTGCATATCTTTTCATTATGATCGTATTTTGTTTGTTCAGGGACTAAAGTCATTTTGATTCGGTGGCACTTTGGATTGATGTTGAACTTTAGGTAGCCAAGTGATTTGTCTGCTTCAATGTGATGTTCCAAGGTGCTTACTCAACAGGATCAGATGAAGATGTTTTTGTAGATTACTCTTGTGGGGTGTGGCCAGGTGGAAGCCCTCTCTGATATGTGAGTGGTGTGGTGAGGCTTATTGTCCTGGCAGAGAAGGGTTTTGATTGCATGGTACAGGAAGGGACTATGTAGGGGAAGGGGAAATAGATCCAGAAGAGAGATGTGTCTGGATTCCCATAGAAACTGTCAGGATATCTTACCAATCAGATCAAGAACCTGGAAAAGTAAGAGCCCCAGGGAAGACTCAGCTTGTGAGACCCGATGTGTCTAGGGAGACGAATAGAGAAAGAAAAATTGAGGCAGGCCTGAACTCAGAAGGAGCTCTCAAAGAATTTTCTGAACAAATTCATTAAGCCTAACTTGTTTTAAGGAAGCTTTGAAAAACCAGTCCCTAAAAGTATGAATCTTGAGCCAAGAATGAACTTAAAGTATAGAACTAGGAAAAAATGTATTTTCCCAAACAAATATGGGATGTGAGCATGTGGGCTTTGCCTTAAGACCTTTCTGCATTCAGATCACAATTCCACCACTTTCTTGTCTCATGACCTTTCTGGGTCAGCTTCCACATCTGTAAAATGGGGTGGTAAAATCTCCACCTCTAAGATGCCCCCAAAATCTGCTGTAACAATTGACTACAATAGTGTTAGTATTATGCTTCAGGGCACATAGACCTAGCACTAAAAATGATAGTCATTTTATTTCTCATTCTTGTTACTAAGGTTACCCATTTGTATCTGATACTTTATGAGAGTTTTCAGATCACTTTTTAAAAATATGAGACTTTTTTTTTTTTTTTTTTTTTGAGACAGAGTTTCACTCTTGTTGCCCAGGCTGGAGTGCAATGACGCCATCTTGGCTCACGGCAACCTCCGCCTCCTGGTTCGAGAGATTCTCCTTCCTCAGCCTCCCAAGTAGCTGGGATTACAGGCATGAGCCACCATGCCCAGATAATTTTGTATTTTTAGTAGAGATGGGGTTTCTCCATGTTGGTCAGGTTGGTCTACGAAATTCTGACCTCAGATGATCCACCCGCCTTGGCCTCCCAAGGTGCTGGGATTATAGGCATGAGCCGCCGCGCCCGGCCGAGACTTCGGTTTTTAATTTAAGTGTAGTGAATACTAACAAGAAAAGATTTTTTCTACTTGCCTCATCTTAGACTGAAACTCAGAGGAAGGATGAAGGGAGACATTTGTCACTGTGTCCTTGGCATGTCCCTCCCTAGGGTGAGTCAGTGAAGACACTCTTGGTTGTCTGAACTGGTTTACTTAGTTCACAAGAGACCAGTGGAGCTGAGATTTGTGGAAAAATAGGGTCATTTTGCACAAAGGAAATTTGTAATTTTATACATTATACTTTTTTTCCTTTTTTTTTTTTTTAAAAAAAAAAGACAGTCTCAGTTCATTGCCCAGGCTGGGGTACAATGGTGCGATCCTTGCTCACTGCAGCCTTGAGCTTCTGGGCTCAAGTGATCCTCCCACCTCAGTCTCCTGAGTAGCTGGGACTACAGGCGTGTGCCACCATGCCCGGCTGGTTTTAAAATTTTTTGTAGAGACAGAGTCTTGTTGCATTGCCAAGGCTGGTCTTGAACTCCTGTCTTCAAGTGATCTTCCCACCATGGCCTCCCACAGTGCTGAGATTACAAGCGTGAGCCACTGCTCACGGCAATACTTTCAGTCTTAGGTGTTCTGGCAACTGGCAAATATATGAAATTTCATTTGCCTAAGAGTGCAGGCAACACCCTAGTCTCTCCTCTGTGCCAGTGGTCCTTGAGTTCATGGATGATAGTGGTGAATGCTGTCTGGTTATACCACTTTTGAGGCTGAATGGACCCAGGCACAAGAATGAGGTGGGAGCCCCTTGTTCAGCTTCATCTCTGTCTTCCCTTCATTAGGCCAAGGAAGGCTGTGGGACTGTATGGTTAGCTATTCACTCAGGCTTGCCTGTATCATCACTCCACCCTGTAGTGTAGTGGTTTGTAAGTAGGCAATTTGTAGCCACTGAGATAATGTCATCCCCAAAGAAACGCATCTACTATGGATTTATCCTTTGCGCCTTTTTCTCTGTATCCTTTTTGCAGTCTTTGTCACTTTGATTATTATGTGGGGATTGGGGCTTCCTATCTCCTGACCGTCTTTTGTGAACTAAACATTATTTTAGGGAATTCGTACTAAAATTCTGAAAGCACTGCTTGGGGATGGCAGTCTTATTTGGGATTGTGTCACATGTTGTTTGTTTTGTGCTTAATTGGTTCATGATAACTTGGACAATATATAAATGATCTTGGTTTCATCATGTAACTCACAAAATGTTTTCTTTTACATTTTTTTTCTTTAGTGCTTTCTCCTTTTCCTACCAAATATCTAGGCTCACTTTTACCATCAGATAGAGATTTAGTTGGGCTTTTAGAACTCTCTCATCAAGCAGATGCTTTTTGTGTGTGTGTGTGTGTGTGTGTGTGTGTGTGTGTGTGTGTCTGTAGTTTGTGGGCTGTTAGAAGCCATTTGCTCATCTTGTCAAAGCCATAGCAGTCTTTTCATTCTCAGTTGCTTCGCTTTCTCCTCACCTCTTAGGAAATTGGCAGCCAATGACTTTGATTTTTTTTTTTTCCTCTATGAGACAGATATGCTAGTGTGTAACTGTAGACAGAGGAAGAGTTTGCACATTTAGCAAATGATCAAATAAGTGGTGTGTATGTGTGTGTGTGCATACATGCTGGCTCTATAACTGAGCAAGTAGTCTTTTTTCTCTTAAGTTTCCATACATTTATACATTTAATTAGGAGGCCTAAGTATCTATGATGGCTTTTAGATATGTAACCTCAACAGTTTTTTAAGAAGGGGGAAGAGTGTCCAAGATAATTTTTACTCTTATTTAGTGGATGTGTGGTTGAATGTTATGGTATTTTGGGGAAACTTGGGTTCTGACTCCATCGTTTCAGTGAGCCATGGTTTCCCATTGCTTCAGGAGTAGAGAAATGGGGGAAGGCATTTCAATAGTTCTTAAATCTATTATTTAGCAGTAGCTCAAGTCTGTGTGCATAGTAATCAAAGAAATGAGATTGGGTTCCCTGGGTGTGGTCTGCATTCCTTCTGTACTGTAGCGCTGTTCTAGTCTCCTGGTCAAATCACAGCCCAGAGCTGCTTCAGCCAAGAGGAGACTTAAATTAGGGATGTGCAATTTACAGCCATTGTAGCAGGATCCATTTAGTCCCTAGGCAGAAGATAACATGTGCGATCACTGTAGAAATTATAGCAGCTTTGCGATTGAAATAGCCCTGAGAGTTTCTTGTGACTATTACCTTGGGCTAAGGTGTAATCCCTTACCAGTGGTATAATCCTAACTACAATACAACAGTTAATTGTCTTCTGTGTTCTCATTTGTGGTTCAGAACACAAATTGTTACTGTTCCATCAGCTTTTCTTGTTCGTCGTTTGTTTTTTACCTGATTCCTTTCCTGTTTAATAGTAGTTATATGCTTGGCTTGACATAGTTAGGCTATTTGGTACTGTGATATTAAGATATTTTAGAGGAAAAGGTCATCAGCTGTCTTTCTGGACTATTCTGGGCATTTTGTACTCTTTTTATATCTAACTCTTCTTTTTTTTTTATTTTACTTGAAGTTCTTGGATACATGTGTAGAACATGCAGGTTTGTTACATAGGTATGAATGTGCCATATTGGTTTGCTGCACCTATCAACCCGTCATCTAGGTTTTAAGCCCCACATGTATTAGGTATTTGTCCTAATGCTCTCCCTCCCTTTTCCCCCCCACTCCATGAAAGGCCCCGGTGTGTGATGTTCCCATCCCTGTGTCTATGTATTCTCACTGTTCAACTCCAAATTATGAGTGTGAACATGCAGTGTTTGTTTTTCTGTTTCTGTGTTAGTTTGCTGAGGATGATGGTTTCCAGCTTCATCCATGTCCCTGCAAAGAACATAAACTCATTCTTTTTTTATGGCTGCATAGTATTCCATGGTGTATATGTGCCACATTTTCTTTATCCAGTCTATCATTGATGGGCATTTGGTTAGGTTCCAAGTCTTTGCTGTTGTAAACAGTGCTGCAATAAACATAATGTATGCATGTGTCTTTATAGTAGAATGATTTATAATCCTTTGGGTATATACCCAGTAATGGGATTGCTGGGTCAAATGGTATTTCTGGTTCTAGATCCTTGAGGAATCACCACACTGTCTTCCACAATGGTTGAACTAATTTACACTCCCACCAACAGTGTAAAAATGTTCCTATTTCTCCACATCCTCTCCAGCATCTGTCATTTCCAGACTTTTTAATGATCGCCATTCTAACTGGCGTGCGATGGTATCTTATTGTGGTTTTGATTTGCATTTCTCTAATGACCAGTGATGATGAGCTTTTTTTCATATATTTGTTGGCCACATAAATGTCTTCTTTTGAGAAGTGTCTGTTCATATCCTTCGTCCACTTTTTGATGGGGTTGTTTGTTTTTTTCTTGTAAATTTGTTTAAGTTTCTTGTAGAATGTGGATATTAGCCCTTTGTCAGATGGATAGATTGCAAAAATTTTCTCCCATTCTGTAGGTTGCCTGTACACTCTGATGATAGTTTCTTTTGCTGAGCAGAAGCTCTTTAGTTTAATTAGATCCCATTTGTCAATTTTGGCTTTTGTTGTAATTGCTTTTGGTGTTTTATTCATTAAGTCTTTGCCCATGCCTATGTCCTGAATGGTACTGCCTAGGTTTTCTTCTAGGGTTTTTATATTTTTAGGTCTTACGTTTAAGTCTTTAATCCATCTTGAGTTAATTTTTGTATAAGGTGTAAGGAAGGGGTCCAGTTTCTGTTTTCTGCATATGGGTAGCCAGTTTTCCCAGCACTATGTATTAAATAGGGAATCCTTTCCCCATTGCTTGTTTTTGTCAGATTTGTCAAAGATCAGGTGATTGTAGATGTGTGGTGTTATTTCTGAGGCCTCTGTTCTGTTCCGTTGGTCTGTGTATCTGTTTTGGTACCAGTACCATGCTGTTTTGGTTACTGTAACCTTGTAGTATAGTTTGAAGTCAGGTAGTGTGATGCCTCCAGCTTTGTTCTTTTTGCTTAGAATTGTCTTGGCTATACAGACTCTATTTTGGTTCCATATGAAATTTAAAGTAGTTTTTTTTTAATCTAGTTCTGTGAAGAAAGTCAATGGTAGCTTGATGGGGATAGCATTGAATCTATAAATTACTTTGGGCAATATGGCCATTTTCATGATATTGATTCTTCCTATCCATGAGCATGGATTTTTTTTCCATTTGTTTATGTCCTCTCTTATTTCCTTGATCAGTGGTTTGTAATTCTCCTTGAAGAGGTCCTTCATGTCCCTTGTAAGTTGTATTCCTAGGTATTTTGTTTTCTTTGTAGCAATTGTGAATGAGAGAGAGTTCACTCATGATTTGGTTCTCTGCTTGTCTATTTTTTGTTGTATAGGAATGCTTGTGGTTTTTGTACATTGATTTTGTATCCTGAGACTTTGCTGAAATTGTTTATCAGCTTAAGGAGTTTTTGGGCTGAGACAATGGGGTTTTCTAAATATGCAGTCACGTCGTCTGCAAACAGACATTTTGACTTCCTCTTTTCCTGTTTGAATACCCTTTATTTCTTTCTCTTGCCTGATTGCTCTGGCCAGAACTTCCAGTACTATGTTGAATAGGAGTGGTGAGAGAGGGCATCCTTGTCTTGTGCCAGTTTTCAAAGGGAATACTTCCAGCTTTTGCCCATTCAGTATGATACTGGCTATGGGTTTGTCATAAATAGCTCCTATTATTTTGAGATATGTTCCAATAATACCTACTTCGTTGAGAGTTTTTAGCATGAAGGGATGTTGAATTTTATCGAAGGCCTTTTCTGCAACTATTGAGATAATCATGTGGCTTTTGTCGTTGGTTCTGTTTAAGTGATGGATTATGTTTATTGATTTGCATGTGTTGAATGAGCCTTGCATCCCAGGGATGAAGCCGACTTCATCATGGATAAGCTTTTGATTTGCTGTTGGATTTGGTTTGCCAGTATTTTATTAGGATTTTTGCATTGATGTTCATCAGGGATATTGGCCTGAATTGGTGTGTGTGTGTGTGTGTGTGTGTGTGTGTGTGTGTGTCTGCCAGGTTTTGGTATCAGGATGATGCTGGCCTCATAAAATGAGTTAGGGAGGAGTCCCTAATTTTCTGCTGTTTGGAATAGTTTCAGAAGGAATGGTACCACCTCCTCTTTGTACCTCTGGTAGAATTTGGCTGTGAATCCATCTGGTCCTGGGCTTTTTTGGTTGGTAGGCTATTAATTACTGCCTCAATTTCAGAACTTGTTATTGGTCTATTCAGGGATCGACTTTTTCCTGGTTTAGTCTTGGGAGGGTGTAAGTGTCCAGGAATTTATCCATTTCTTCTAGATCTTCTAGTTTATTTGTGTAGAGGTGTTTATGGTATTCTCTGATGGTAGTTTGTATTTTTGTGGGATCAGTGGCGATATACCCTTTATCATTTTTTGTTATATCTATTTGATTGTTCTCTCTTTTCTTCATTATTAGTCTGGCTAACGGTCTATCTATTTTGTTAATCTTTTCAAAAAACCAACTCCTTGAGGCTACGATTTTGAGACCAGCCTGGCCAACATGGTGAAACCCTGTCTCTACTAAAAATGTAAAAATTAGCCTGTGTGGTTGCGCATGCCTGTAGTCCCAGCTATTTGGGACACTGAGGCATGAGAATCGCTTGAACCCAGGAGGTGGAGGTTGCAGTGAGCAGAGATCATGCCACTGCACCCCAGCCTAGGCTACAGAGTGAGACTCTGTCTCAGCAACAACAAAAGACTATATAGAGCACACTCTCACTCTCAGAAGTCCCCTAGAATGCACAATACTGCATATAGTGGACTATGCCTGTTCTTGTTAGTTTGGAAGAAGCAGAACAATCTGTCACTGCTCAAAATAAAAGAAAACGTCAAAACAATTTGAAGAAATTATTAGCATTGTAAGTGTCAGGCTGTTCTTGATTTGTGAGAAACAGAAATTTACTGTGTTTTGAAGGTAGACATGAGATATTCAGGCTTTGAAACTTGCAAAAATTTCAAAGGACAGAGGACCTACCTCCCCATTTGGCAAAAATTATTCTTTTTAATCTCAGCAAAAGCTAGATAAACTCCTGAAATCTTACATGTTCTGGAAAAATACCTCGATGCTAGTCTGCTTTCAACTGAACCAATTTGGCTTTTTATAGTTAGGACTTGAAGGATGAATAGTTACCAATCTGTGAGACTGAAAATTCTTT
The DNA here is from genome assembly GCF_000001405.40 of Homo sapiens. Lineage (NCBI taxonomy): Eukaryota > Metazoa > Chordata > Mammalia > Primates > Hominidae > Homo > Homo sapiens. The sequence goes on from NC_000012.12 coordinate 27,075,141, forward strand.
GCAGCCAGCTGTGAACCCAAAGGCAGGTGCCAGGATGAATGAATGAATCTAGATTAAAGAATTGCCCAGTTTATATTGCTTGAGAAATCAAATTATTATCTAAGTTTTGTTTAGAGTAAATGTTTGATGTTTTAAATATATATATATATACCTCATAAGCTATTACTGTCATACAAATATAGCAGATATAATACTTTAATAGAGATCTATACTACCTACTTACTAGAACTTTTTTTTATATTTTCCCCATCTTTGCTTTCTCATTTTCTCTTTCTCTCTTTTTTCCTGGACTAATTGAAAGTAAGTTGCAGATATCATGACACTTCTATCCTTAAATATTTCAGCCTAAATTTCCTAAGAACCCAGGACATTCTCCTACATAGCCGTATATTCTCATTATACCCAGCAAATATTCAATCATATTATCTAAGGTACACTCCACATTCAGAAAAAAAAATGCCCTTTACCATAGTTTTTGTTTTGCTTTTGGTTTTGATCAAAGATTCCATCAAAAATGGCTCACGCCTGTAATCCCAGCACTTTAGGAGGCCAAGGTGGGCGGATCACCTGAGGTCAGGAGTTCGAGACCAGCCTGACCAACATGGAGAAACCCCATCTCTACTAAAAATACAAAATTAGCCGGGTGTGATGGCACATGCCTGTAATCCCAGCACTTTGGGAGGCCGAGGCGGGTGGATCACAAGGTCAGGAGATCGAGACCATCCTGGCTAACAAGGTGAAACCCCGTCTCTACTGAAAATACAAAAAAATAGCGGGGTGTTGTGGCGGGTGCCTGTAGTCCCAGCTACTCGGGAGGCTGAGGCAGGAGAATGGCGTGAACCTGGGAGGCGGAGCTTGCAGTGAGCCGAGATTGTGCCGCTGCACTCCAGCCTGGGCAACAGAGCAAGACTCTATCTCAAAAAAAAAAAAAAAAAATTACAAAGAGCAATTGGTTGTCATGTTTCTTTCATCTCTTTTATGAACTCTTTTGTCTCCCTGTCTTTTTTGTGTTTTATTTTGAGTTTTATGATGTTAACATGTTTTAAAAGACAAAGACAGTTGTCTGGTAAAATGTCCTGTTGTCTAGATTCATCTAACTGTTGGTGTCCTCATAATTAGATTCAAATTAAACATTGCTAGCAAGTATACATTGCTTCTTTTCAGAAGGTGCATGATATTAGCTAGGCTAAGTTTAATCACTTGGCTAAGTTGGTGTTGACCAGACCTTTCCATTGTAAAGGTGCCTAATCCTCTTGATAACTAAGAAGGCACCTGTGGGGTAATCTTAGAGAGCATGTGCATGTTTTTTTCCCTGACAGTGATTCACCCAATGGTTTTAGCATCTATTTTTGATCCTTATATGAATCAATTATTAAGTTGCTGGTTGCAATATGGTACTAACTTGATTTCTAAAGTCATTTTACTGAAGAAAAATTCTCCTTTCCATCCCCATGTTCTGCTTGGGGAAAATCTTGGCCCCAAAGATGGATGACAGAAGGACTGATGAAAGTGAAACTTAAAAACAACTATCCAAACACACATTAACTATGAAGATGTTTGAAGGGTTTTCTTTTCCTTTCTAAGTAGGTATGCAGGAAACCTGTATCTTAGAATGAGAGCCCTTTATTTTAGAGATTTGTACTTAAAATTATCTTTATTGATGCAGATGAGGGAAAACTAAATAAATTGCCATTCTGATTTTCTTTTGGACTGAGAGAATTCAGTACTAATGAGATGAATTTTCTTTCAGTGCCACAATCTGAAAAGCTATGATGTATACCATACCATTTGAAAATGTCTTAGAAGTAGTTCCTTATAAAGCATATTATATTGAAATCAAATGGGCATTAAAACCATGGAATTCCTTTGAAAGGTGGGATAAAGCAGAAATTGTTTTGTCTTGGTACTTCTTGATCTAGGCTAATAATGCTTTGGAGGAATTTGTCCTGAGGCTTTTTACTCATTCTGCTCATGACTGGCTCACTTAGTGAGTGTTATCTGATGAAGATCTTATTTCACTTCTGAAAGTACAGCGTTATTCTGTTTGTTTGAGGTATTAGTAGGTAGCAGGAAAAGATTGACTCCAGGCATTGCAATATAAAACCCACCCGTCCATCTTGAAATTGGTGGTGTCCTACATGCTATATAAGTTCTCCCACTTGCAATTTATAATGAGGAGACATATTTTTGAAGCAATTAACTGTTCCCTTTAAGTCAACAAAATTGTTCTTTATTATTGGAGTAAGGACTTTAGCACTCTGCAGGAAATCGTTTATAATTTGCTTCATTTTTCTTTTGTTTCATAAGAGGATTTTAGACAGTATTCTTGTGGCCAGTTAGACTTGGACCCATGCATCCTCTTGAGCCGTGAATTTGCTAGTCTCAATCTCCTGGGCTCAAGTGATCCTTGAGCCTTGGCCTCCCAAAGTGCTGAGATTATAGGCATGAGCCACCGTGCCTGGCTGATAACATATTTGAAACTATAATGAAGAGATACTGAGATTGTTTCCTATTTTAAAATACTTTGTCCTGCTTTCTAATATATAGCATGACAGTCAACCTCAAAGGGTATGGAAAGCTTACTTTATTGTAAAGACTTGCAAAGCGCACTGCTTAAATTTTAGGGACAGGTTCATACCTGCCAAGCAGGTTTATAAAACACTGATGAATAAACACAAGTTTGCCAGAAATCTTACTAAAGAACAGTGCATCTTATTCAGTGTAGACAGTCTTCTAAAGTATTTTGGTTGAGTTTTTCTTAGAGCTTAATAACTAGACTAAGGATTAAAATAATAAAACTAGTTTCAAGTCTCTTGAGAGTAAGATATGTCATCTTTCAGGCTTATCATAGTGTCTAGTCTAAAGCAACAGTAAGGCTCCAGGTATATTTGTTTGATTACATTTTCAATTTAGTTTCTAAATTCCTTTAGTCTTATTAGATTTCTCAATCGATAGGTTGCCATCTCACTTGATGTCTACTTGATGGCCATGTTCTCTTCTTGTCTGCCTCCCTTTTCATTCCTATTCTTGATCCTACTGACCAGTCACTTTTGACTTAAAGAATAGCAACTCTTTAAGCTGTTGTATTTGACTTTTTAAAAATTATATAGACAGGATGTATTAAAAACATTTAAAGAATTACATAAAGAGAGCTAGATTACTCAGTACTAAACACTGTGTTAGGATTTGGTTTTTCATTGTTTTTTTTGAGATGGAGTCTCGCTCCATCGCCTAGGCTGGAATGCAATGGTGCTATCTCAGCTCCCTGCAACCTCTGTCTCCTGGGTTCAAATGATCCTCCTACCTCAGCCTCCTGAGTATCTGGGATTACAGGCACCTGCCACCACACATGGCTAATTTCGTATTTTTAGTGGAGACAACATTTCACCATGTTGCCCAGGCTGGTCTCAAACTCCTGACCTCAAGTGATCTACCCACCTCGGCCTCCCAAAGTGCTGGGATTACAGGTGTGAGCCACCGCAACTGGCCCACTGTGTTAGGATTTGAAATAAAAAGGAACTAAGACCTGGTGCTTGTCCTTGAGAGCTCACAGTCTACAGATAAAATAGATCTATAAAGAGAGCTGAAAAGTACAGGTCATGGCAAGAAGGTGGCAGGGCAGGGACTAGGGGACAGCTAAAGGAGGGTCATGATCCTTTACCTGAGGGATCAATATAGTCCCATAGAAACCCTAGAGCAGGATCTTTAAGGATGAGTTTCCCAGGCAGTCAGGGAATGCAGAGGGAATTCCCTATGGTTTTGTGTGTTGGCTGCAGTGAGGAGCAAGAGGGTCCCCTTGGGGAACTTGGTGAGTATAGATTTTAGAAAGGTTTGGGAGAAGGGCAACATGGCAGATGTCACTAGATGTGGTAGAAATGCCAAGTTTGGGAAGGAGGTGTATGGGTTGGATCTAGACAGAAGCGGATATAAGTCGGGGAACAGGTGTGGTGATAGGACTCCAAATCTTGGTGAAGTCAAAGAGCAGGCAAAGGTGGGAGAGTGTGTTCAACTGAGTTGTGGGTTGGGCAGGTGTCCTCAGGGAGGCTGACGAAGTGAGAGGCCTTGGGGTGTGACCTTGAGCATATATTCCTAAAAGGGCCCTATTTTTTATCTCCTCCCTCCTACTGTACTGTCTTTCCTGGGCCATATTCACCACACTGTCTTTCACCTGCATTTTTAACCAGTCAAGATCTCATACCTCCATTCCATACTAATTAAAGTCAGTTAAAGTCCTCCACCTTAAATAATCTCATTTGTAACCCAAAGAATCTCATACAGGAAACCTTTTACAACCAACCCCCCCATGCTGAATGGGTTATTTTTTTCATTAGAACTCAGCGTTTACTCACTATAGAGTATTATCACTCATACCCTTTATAATCATATGTTTGCCTGACCTTATGTCTTAAATAAGTTGCTTGAGCCTAAAGATTGGAGGTTTTTTTGTTTTTGTTTTTGTTTTTTTGGCAAGCTTGAAAAGTATCTGGCACTCCTATTTGTTAAATATTTGTAGAAGGAAGGAAGAAGAGAGGAAGGAGAGGGATACAGAATTGAAATTGAGGAAAGGAAGGAATTTGAAACTGAAGAGTCATATGCTTTGCCACGTAAACTCTGAAGGTCACACAGGATGGTAGTGCCAGCAGAAGAAGAAGGACGTTGAGTGAACCTGTGGTTGAATGAGGAGGATGGTAGAGATGCTGGGGAGGTGAGAGTCAGGACAAGAAGGCTGAGGGCAGCCTTCCTCAAAGAAGTTGACATTTAGTGGAACGTTCAATGACAATTGCAAAGGAGTTTCAGAGGGCAGAATGGAATGGGTTGGGAGAGGATTTGGTTAAGATTTGCTGAAAACCCTGAACTTTTGGTAAATACTGCTCTGTGTGGGAAATGTTTCAATGAGAATTGACTCTTAATTAACTCTCACTCTTGGATATCCCTTGAACAAGTTGTCTGGAGAGTTCCTCAGGATAATGTCTACTTGCAACAACAGTAATAATATTTATCAAGTGCTTGTGTTACCTCATAAACTCTCACACTAACCCTGTGAGGTATGTATTATTATCTTCCACTTCTTTTGAATGAAGACAGCTAGACTTAGAGTGGTTAAGAAGTGTTCACAGTCGTCACATTGCTCCTAAGTGGGCCACTACTACAGCCAAGGCAACACATGCTGGAACCTGTCAAGTACCCAGAGAATATCAGAACTGCTGTCCGATCTCCTGAAATTGAAATTAATTTCCTCAGTGACTCAATACCCACTGCCACTCACTCAAGCCCTGCAAGTTCAAGCCAAATCATCCTGCCACCACAGGAATCTGATGGGTCACGCTGCTGCCTACTGAAAATGGGGATTTGGGTTAGTGATAAAATAGGTTAAAACACATAAAATAGGTAAACTAGGGTAAAATACAGTAAGAATGGGTGAGAGGAGAGAAAAAGAATACTTCAGTTTAGGAAGCATAATACTACTTAAAATTTCCTGAGAATAAATTTGTCTTCTAGACAACACATATACTTTCTTTTCTTTTTTTAAATTTTTCTTTAATTTTTATTTATTTATTTATTTATTTATTTATTTATTTATTTGAGATAGAGTTTTGCTCTTTTGCCTAGGCTGGAGTGAAGTGGTGTGATCTCAGCTCACTGCAACTTCTGCCCCCAGGTTCAAGCGATTCTCCTGCCTCAGCCTCCTGGGTAGCTGGGATTATAGGCGCCCCCCACCACACCAAGCTAATTTTTGTATTTTTAGTAGAGATGGGGTTTTGCCATGTTGGCCTGGCTGGTCTCAAACTCCTGATCTCAGGTGATCCACCTGCCTGCCGCAGCCTCCCAAAGCGCTGGGATTACAGGTGTGAGCCACTGCGCCTGGCCCACATATGCTTGAAATGTGAGTCAAGATGGTGTGCTGGGAGAGGAAGATGTGGGGTAACAAGAGCATTTATTTTGTTTATTGAGGAAAAAACAAACTGATGGGGATTATTAATGGAATCCTTATTATGGATTATTTTAAACTTTCCAAAAAGTTTAAAAATCTGTCTATATGGGATGTCCTAATTCAAGGGTTTCTTGAGGTTGAATTCTCTTGCCTCTGTGAAAGAGTCTTTTCGTTGGTGCTGACCGATGGGGACTTTTGGTGGCATTCACAGGGTGATCCCTCCTCAGCAGAGAGGGGAGGATACGCTGCCTCAGCCAGCTGAAGGCCCACCCAAAGTTCAGGCAGCACTGGGCCTGTGTGTGTGAAGGAGTGTCATCCTTCTCTGGCTGCTCTGACAGGATTGAGGAGATCTCTGGAGCGCTTGTCCTTTGGCTGGCGGTTGCCTGGCTTATCATCTGCCATGAAAATGAAGGATGTGTTAGGTAGGAATAACCATGACAACAGCCAAATCAACGTTTACTCATTTGTGGAACTCACATCCTTTTACCAAAAATAGCCCAAGTGTCAATGCAGAGTTTCAATGCTCATCAATACTAAACATATACGTTTTTGGTGGGGAGGGAGATATAGTTAGCCCTTCTCCTTGCTTGCTACCCTCTTGTTTCCCTCAGCATTCCCAGTCTTTTCCCTACAGCTTCACCCTGACTCCTTTCCTTGTTGTCTCCCACTGGTATCACGTCAGTCCCCCTGGGACCTGCCTCCTCCTAGTGGTCATAAGATTCTGTGGTTCAACCCAGGCCTATCCCTTCCTGTCCTGTGAGGCATCTCTGCTCTCCTCAGCCAGCTCATGTCCCTTAAGCCTTAGAGGAGTCTGTGGAGACTACATAACATCTTTATTTTCTGGTGGCTTGCACTTGGGCAGGTCTTGACAAGCATCATATTCCTGATGACTGACCTGAACCATTTCCGGAGGGGAGCCGCTGGATAGCTGGAAATCTTGCTGAGCAGTTTCAGGAAATACAGCGTCATCATCTTTCAGATTTTCTAGAAATATCTGAAACTCTTGCACAAGATTATTCAGTTTGCCAACAGACAGTTTTGTTCTCTCTTTTGGTAACTTGTCTATCCACAGGTTGTCTCCATTTAGAAGCCTATTAGCTCTTGAGTCTGTGTTATCGGAGCCAATGTCCACGTCCCAGGCCAGGAAGATGCTTAGTTTGCAAAACTGCTCTGGTTCATCCTGAATTTGGTCTTGTCTCTTCATGCGTCTCCCTATCCTTTCAGTCCCCCATGCCCCTTGGACGGGAGGCAGAAAGTGGATGGAAGGACCCTTGGAAGGTGCATCTTCCCAGGAGGTTGTGTCCTCACAGGGGGTGTCCTCACAGGGGAAATAGCCCACAGAGAGGCTCAGGTTGGAATTGGATTTGGAGCTGTCGTCCTCTATGTCGCTGTTAGAGGATGAATATGCCATGGAGTTCAAAGGCACAAATTTCTCTCAACTTGAGAAGCTTCAAAAAAGAAAAAAGAAAAAATAGGTGGGACTAAGGAGAAGAGAGTCATAGTACTTAAGCAAAAACATTATCCATTCCCTTCTCTTTTTTCTTTTTTTTTTTTTGAGACGAAGTCTCACTCTGTCTCCCAGGCTGGAATGCAGTGGTGTGATCTTGGCTCACTGCAACCTCAGCCTCCCGAGTAGCTGGGACTACAAGCACACGCCACCACACCTGGCTAATTTTTGTATTTTTAGTAGAGATGGGGTTTCACCATGTTGACCAGGCTGGTCTCGAACTCCTGACCTCAGGTGATCCACTCACCTTTGCCTCCAAAGTGCTGGGATTATAGGTGTGAGCCACCACACCCGGCCCCATTCCCTTTTCTATTCAGAACTACCCCATTTAGATAGAAGTATTATCCAATAGTTTTTGTTTGTTTTTGTTTTTTTTTTTGAGATGGAGCCTCGCTCTGTTGTCCAGGCTGGAGTTCAGTGGTGTGATGTCAGCTCACCGCAACCTCCGTCTCCTGGATTCAAGAGATTGTCTTGCCTCAGCCTCCCGGGTAGCTAGGACTACAGGCACATGCCACCATGCCCAGCTAATTTTTTGTATTTTTAGTAGAGAAGGGGTTTCACCATGTTAGCCAGAAAGGTCTTGACCTGACCTCGTGATCTACCTGCCTCGGCCTCCCAAAGTGCTGGGATTACTGGCATGAGCCACCAGGCCTGGCCAGTGTTATCCAGTTTTTACAATCTCTCAGTGAAGGGCAGAAGAGGCAGCCCTCTCCCTTTTAAAACTTATTTCATTGTATTATAATCCTCTCTACTAAGCATCTCCACTTCTCATCATTTGTCCTACTGTGGTTGTAAGATCTTGTATCATAAAAGAAAAGGATGATCATTGTATAAAATTGGAAAAATATAGGAAAGTATGAAGATGAAATAAATATGCTGTAGTCCTACCTTCTAAAGATAATGATAACTATCAAAACATTTTGATGGACTTCCTTATCTTTTCTATTTATATAAACACACATATACATATCTGTACATTTATACAATATGTCCACATACACATATACATATATGTAAATGTGGATATGACATATAGTTGAAACTGAAATTATTTTATCCCATAGCCTACAACAAACATATATATGGTTACTCTGCAATTTTTAACCACTTCTTATTAATGCTAAATAAATCTGTAATAAACCCGCTTTTCCATAAATCTTTGACTATGTCTCTTATTTTTCTATATGTAGGATTAATGGACCAAACCCCATAAATATATTAAAGTCTTGTGGTAGTTGATACCAAATTACTTTCCAGAAGGTTTTGGTATTTAGATGCCCATCCTCCCACCGTCTGATGACACTGTTTAGTCCAGCTTTTTCTGTGAAGCCCCAGAGTAAGTAGGGCTGGAAGAATGTGCACGTGCATGCACGCGTGCACGCGCGCACACACAGACACACACACACAAACAAAAGACTGTCACACCCTGCTCTGGTGGCTGCCCACGTGGAAGAAGTGCTGCTAACTCCTGAGGCAAAAAAAGGAGACACGAGAAATCCTTCACATCCCGAGTCTCCGTGGCTAAAAGTCCAGCTGTCAGAAGTCTGTGTTCTGAGACTGTTGGTTACCATGGCAACAGAAAGAACCAAGTTAGAGCCAGGAATGTGGAAAGAGAAAAGGAAAAAAGGGGACAGAAAGCCACAGAATCTATCCCTTTGTTTCCAAAATATTCTATGCCCATACCATCCTAGGCTGAAGAGGATCCCTCTTGAGTGTAGAAGAACGAATGCATGGAGTTTACTTCTCTCTTGTCAGGTGGCAGATGGTTCCCGTCCTTAGGAGATTTAGAGCTCTAAATAAGGGGCATGGGTATAAACATACACATACATACACACACAGAGACATGCTTACAAATGGAAAGCAGAAAGCCAAGAAACACTTATCTGACCTACCTATTGGATTCATCAGTTTTCTTAAGATCTTTCCCCAATATTTGTCTCTCTCCATTTCCATTATACAAGATTACAGTTAAAGTTTGTCGTGACTCACTCTCAGGTTTTTCACTGTAGAACTGGCTTAAATTTGTATATTCTGTTAAATAAGATGTTTAAGGAATTCTGATGACATGATA